>NC_000008.11:55927265-56552265 GCF_000001405.40 Homo sapiens | reverse complement strand
GTTGACAGTGGGGTGTTAAAATCTCCCATTATTATTGTTTGGAAGTCTAAGTCTCTTTGTAGGTCTCTAAGGACTTGCTTTATGAATCTGGGTGCTTCTGTATTGGGTGCATATATATTTAGGATAGTTAGCTCTTCTTCTTGAATTGATCCCTTTACCATTATATAATGGCCTTCTTTGTCTCCTTTGATCTTTGTTGGTTTAAAGTCTGTTTTGTCAGAGGCTAGGATTGCAACCCCTGCCTTTTTTTGTTTTCCATTTGCTTGGTAGATCTTCCTCCTTCCCTTTATTTTGAGCCTATGTGTGTCTCTGCACGTGAGATGGGTCTCCTGAATACAGCACACTGATGGGTCTTGACTGTTTATCCAATTTGCCAATCTGTGTCTTTTAATTGGAGAATTTAGCCCATTTACATTTAAGGTTAATATTGTTATGTGTGAATTCGATTGTGTCATTATGATGTTAGCTGGTTATTTTGCTCATTAGTTGATGCAGTTTCTTCCTAGCCTTGATGGTCTTTACAATTTGGCATGTTTTTGCAGTGGCTGATACCAGTTGTTCCTTTCCATGTTTAGTGCTTCCCTCAGGAGCTCTTGCAGGGCTACTGAAGTTTGTGCATGCATCGCGTAGTTCTCATGCCATGGTTTTCAGCTCCAACAGATCATTTAAGGACTTCTCTACACTGGATATTCTAGTTAGCCATTTGTCTAATCTTTTTTAAAGTTTTTTAGCTTCTTTGGGATGGGTTCGATCTTCCTTCTTTAGCTCGGAGAAGTTTGATCGTCTGAAGCCTTCTTCTCTCAACTCATCAAAGTCACTCTCCATCCAGCTTTGTTCCATTGTTGACGAGGAGCTGCATTCCTTTGGAGGGGGAGAGGCACTCTGATTTTTAGAATTTTCAGCTTCTCTGCTCTGTTTTTTCCCCATTTTTGTGGTTTTATCATTTTGTTCTTTGATGATGGTGACGTACAGATGGGGTTTTGGTGTGGATGTCCTTGCTGTTTGTTAGTTTTCCTTCTAACAGTCAGGATCCTCATCTGCAGGTCTGTTGGAGTTTGCTGGAGGTCCACTCCAGACGCTGTTTGCCTAGGTATCAGCAGCAGAAGCTGCAGAACAGCGAATATTGCTGAACAGCAAATGTTGCTGCCTGATCTTTCCCCTGGAAGCTTCGTCTCAGAGGGGTACCCGGCCATGTGAGGTGTCATTCTGCCCCTACTGGGGAATGCCTCCCAGCTAGGCTACTTGGGGGTCAGGGACCCACTTGAGGAGGCAGTTTGTCCATTCTCAGATCTCCAGCTGCGTGCTGGGAGAACCACTACTCTCTTCCAAACTGTCAGACAGGGACATTTAAGTCTGCAGAGGTTTCTGCTGCCTTTTGTTCAGCTGTGCCCTGGCTGCAGAGGTGGAGTCTACAGAGGCAGGCAGGCCTCCTTGAGCTGCAGTGGGCTCCACCCAGTTCAAGTTTCCTAGCCGCTTTGTTTACCTACTCAAGCCTCAGCAATGG
Organism: Homo sapiens; assembly: GCF_000001405.40. Lineage (NCBI taxonomy): Eukaryota > Metazoa > Chordata > Mammalia > Primates > Hominidae > Homo > Homo sapiens. The sequence continues at coordinate 56,550,761 of NC_000008.11, read as the reverse complement.
TGGGTGCTCCTCTCCCAGCCTTGCTGCTGCCTTGCAGTTCGATCTCAGGCTGCTCTGCTAGCAATGAGCTAGACTCTGTGGGTGTGGGACCCTCTGGGCCAGGCGCGGGATATAAACTCCTGGTGTGTTGTTTGCTAAGACCACTGGAAAAGCGCAATATTAAGGTGGGAGTGACCTAATTTTCCAGGTGCCATCTGTCACAGCTTTCCTTGGCTAGGAAAGGGAATTCTCTGATCCCTTGCACTTCCTGGGTGAGGCGATGCCTCGCCCTGCTTCGGCTCATGCTCAGTGGGCTTCACCCACTGTCCTGAGCCCACTGTCCGACAAGCTTCAGTGAGATGAACCCGGTACCTCAGTTGGAAATGCAGAAATCACCCGTCTTCTGCATCGCTCATGCTGGGATGCGTAGACTGGAGCTGTTGTGTATCGGCCATCTTGACAAACCTGACAAAAACAAGAAATGGGGAAAGGATTCCCTATTTAATAAATGGTGCTGGGAAAACTGGCTAGCCATATGTAGAAAGCTGAAACTGGATCCCTTCCTTATGCCTTATGCAAAAATTAATTGAAGATGGATCACAGACTTCAATGTGAGACCTAAAACCATAAAAATCCTGGAAGAAAACTTAGGCAATACCATGCAGGACATAGGCATGAGCAAGGACTTCATGTCTAAAACACCAAAAGCAATGGCAACAAAAGCCAAAATTGACAAATGGGATCTAATTAAACTAAAGAGCTTCTGCACAGCAAAAGAAACCACCATCAGAGTGAACAGGCAATCTATAGAATGGGAGAAAATTTTTGCAAACTACTCATCTGACAAAGGGCTAATATCCAGAATCTACAATGAACTCAAACAAATTTACCAGAAAAAACAACCCCATCAAAAAGTGGGTGAAGGATATGAACAGACACTTCTCAATAGAAGACATTTATGCAGCCAAAAAACACATGAAAAAATGTTCATCATCACTGGCCATCAGAGAAATGCAAATCAAAATCACAATGAGATACCATCTCACACCAGTTAGAATGGTGATCATTAAAAAGTCAGGAAACAACAGGTGCTGGAGAGGATGTGGAGAAATAGGAACACTTTTACACTGTTGGTGGGACTGTAAACTAGTTCAACCATTGTGGAAGTTGGTGTGGCGATTCCGCAGGGATCTAGAACTAGAAATACCATTTGACTCAGCCATCCCATTACTGGGTATATACCCAAAGGATTATAAATCATGCTGCTATAAAGACACATGCACATGTATGTTTATTGTGTCACTATTCACAATAGCAAAGACTTGGAACCAACCCAAATGTCCATCAATGATAGACTGGATTAAGAAAATGTGGCACATATACACCATGGAATACTATGCAGCCATAAAAAATGATGAGTTCATGTCCTTTGTAGGGACATGGATGAAGCTGGAAACCATCATTCTCAGCAAACTATCGCAAGGACAAAAACAAACACCTCATCCTCATGTTCTCACTCATAGGTGGGAATTCAACAATGAGAACACTTGGACACAGGAAGGGGAACATCACACACTGGGGCCTGTCATGGGGTAGTGGGGAGGGGAGAGGGAGAGCATTAGGAGATATACCTAATGTAAATGATGAGTTAATGAGTGCAGCCCACCAACATGGCACATGTATACATATGTAACAAACCTGCATGTTGTGCACATGTACCCTAGAATTTAAAGTATAATTTAAAAAAAATCAATTCACTCAACCTTCTCCCCAAGACAGCCATGAGGAGGCAGGAGCCTGCTAATTTCCTCTGCTCTCCTCCACGTAGCCTGTTCAATATCATTGAAACTTTTTCATTAATTTGGACTTGGAGATCACATTTTACTTTTTTCTTAGGAGAACGCTGTAGATTCTAACACTCAAGCTTCAAAATGCTAAGCTAATGACTAGGCTAACTGAATTAGTGAACAAAATTGAGCCCAACTCCTGCTTCATCCTCACTCCTCTCTCAGCCTTAAATAATTCTCTTAAGCAAAGCCAATATAGGAAAACAAATAGCCCCTTTCAAAAAACTGTTTTATATCTGCTGCTCACCTGCTTTTTAATGACTCAGAGACATCCAATTTGAATTGCAAACCATGGGAAACGTTGCCAGACTTTACTTGTAAAGCAGAACATATCTTATGTGCTCTCACATAATATAACAATAATTAGTCATTTAAAATCAACCAACTGTTCTAGTTGTTTAAGAAGAATTTTATTCAATGACAATGTACATAATTTTAGAGACCGAACCACAGTGACTATGAAGTATAAAATAGCTTAATCCAAGCTTCTACTATGATGTAGACATTTTGAAATGCTTTTAAACCCTGGTATCTAAAGTCCATTCAGAAAATTATAGTCATATGCTTGAGTACTCACCGTGCCTTACAATTTTTGACTAAAAGTAGCTTGTCTCCACGAAATGGATTCCACATTATTGGTGACCTACATGACAAAAGAAAAAAAAATCCAGTTCAGAGGATAATTGAACGACGTGTAAGCTTAGCACTCCATGGTTTATTACTGAAGTCCAGTTCTGTGCACTTCAAAATTTAACTCTGTGACCTGAGAGCTTAGGAGTAGAGCTGAAGTAACTTCACAATCATTAATTCTGCATGTTTTACATTAGGAATTCATAAGATTTTTCCCACCTTCCTCTTATGTGAGTCTGTTTTGTTTTGTTTTGTTTTTTAATGGAGAAAAACTCCCCAGATCTTCAAATACAATCAGCTATCCACCAAGATGTTCTTTGTTTGTGCTGTGGTTTCTCATCTCCTTGGGGAAACCACAGCACCCCCATTTGAGGAATACAGCTGATCAAGTTGGGAGGCCAACAGCTGTCTTTGAAAGAACTGTCTAGTGCTCTGATAAGTTTTATTTTTCAGTAAAATATTAGGTACCAATAATCCCCATTTTTAAAAGCTGTTCATAAGAGCAACAATCCACAGGGAGAAACCCTGAAAATTAATCCACGTGTCCAACCAGAACAGTCAGGTGTGGAGTTCCTGACTGTTCTGTCAGGCACTGACCTTACCTGACCGCTCCCCACACACTGCACAGTCTGGGAGCCATGCCCTGCCTCTGAGGCTTCACAGGGAGCACAGCATCACCAAACTACTTCTGTGTCCTCAAATCCAGGAAGGGGCACCGCATTTTCAAAGGAATGTTATCCAACGACTAGTTGTTTAACATTTTTCCATTTTCAGTGTCAAAAGCCTGGCCTGTCTTCTTCATTTTAATCCCAGGGCCTAGCAGAGTGTCTGGCACATAACAGAATGCTGAGGTTCGGGAGTCATGGACAGCTTCAGCCCCAATATAGGTGAGATCTTGCGGAGGCCACCTAACTTCTCTAAGCCTCAGAGGACTGTTTTGAGGAGTAATAAGGTCATGTACAATGTTTGGCACTTAGTGACTATAATTATGTTTGCCCTTATCAATAACACCTTAATGGAGCAGAGGACGCAGGCAAAATGGGGTGCCCCATACACCAAGCCGAGGAGCTGGAACCTGGTCTCCCAGCTGTGACCAACCACTCCAGTCTGCCTAAGACAGAGGGGCCTCCCTGGATGTGGGATTTCAGTGCCATAAGAGGACCAGCCCTAAACAAACCAGGTTGGTGGGTCACCCTCTCTCCAGATAACAGTAACATGGGAGAAATGTGTAGAATGGGTCGAACTGTATGAAACTGCTAAAATTTGACCATTTTTAATCTACCAAAATGGCAAAATTGTATGCCTTAACCAAATGATTGCCAACTCCAAAAATTGTGGATCCAGCTGGGTGCAGTGGCTCATGCCTGTAATCCCAGCACTTCGGGAGGCCAAGGAGGGTGGATCACGAGGTCAGGAGTTCGAGACCAGCCTGGCCAACATGGTGAAACTCTGTCTCTACTAAAAATACAAAAATTAGTTGGGCGTGGTGGCACGCACCTATAATCCCAGCTACTTGGGAGAACTGCTTGAACCTGGGAGGAGGACGTTGCAGTGAGTCGAGATTGAGCCACTGCACTCCAGCCTGGGCAACAGAGCAAAACTCCGTCTGGAAACAAACAAACAAAAAAACAAACAAAAATAGAAAATCCGTGCACTGACTCCCAGAGTGCTGATTCCTCCTCCATAACACACCAGCAGTAACCATTCATTCTTTGTGCACTGCTGGTGCTGACATCTGAATTCTCTGGAAGAATTTGAAGATGTACATTCTTGGTGGGGTGGCCCAGTTAATGGGGGAAAATTGTAAGAGCTATTTAAAGCATCCTCTTGTCCAGACCCTGCAGGCCTCAAATATGTTTTTTTGGAAGGAAAGATCTGTCTTTGAAATTCCCAGCTAAACAAAAGCTAAAGTAGGATTTTCTGAAGGAGCAAGTGTTTAATAAGTGAGATGGGCAAACTCAGCCGGCTCCAGCAGGTAGTGTCAAAGGGCCATCAGTTGGGGTCACGTTCATAGAGCCTGCCAGGTGATTTTGATGCTCAACTCACACTGAATTTGGAGGCACTAATACTTCCCCTTCTAGGTTGTCTTTTGAAATACGGTGCCTTGCCCACATGGACTTGGAAGCCCTGGACTGTCTACACCACACACATTCATCAGACCAATGTCAATCAGTTTTAAGTTACAAGGAATCTAGCAGAAAAAAAGAAAAAAAGAAACACCACCACCTTTGTGAATCTCTTATAGCAAAATTGAAAAACACAGGAAGATGGGCAGCAACTGAACTTGAATTTTCAACTTGTTTTGACGTAATGTAAACAGCCAGAGTTTGTGGCATTCACTTTTTTTGAAATTTAGTTCTTGGCTTCCTTTGAGTAGAAGGCATTACAGTTGACATTCAACTGTAAAATGGATTTATGGTTTCCACAAATCACTCCCTGGGGCCTTTAAGCAACAGAAGCCCTGTGAGGCCAAGAGGAACTGTGGCTCAGGCAATGGTTTGATGTGATTCAGACTTCCAGTGGTCTCTGAGCTACCTGGGGCATGAGAACAGGAGCCTGTGAGCGGCAGGGATTTGTGAGGCCTGGCGCTGTCTTCAGCTGATAAGCGGAAGACTCTTCATGGGTGTCCAGCCAACCCATCAGTTTTCATCACCAGTTATTAAAAAACCAGTGACAAGGCTGGGGGCGGTGGCTCATGCCTGTAATCCCAGCACTTTGGGAGGCTGAGGCAGGCAAATCACGAGGTCAGGAGATCAATACCAGCCTGGCCAACATGGTGAAACCCCGTCTCTACTAAAAATACAAAAAAAAATTAGCTGGGCATGGTGGTGCACCCCTATAGTCCCAGCTACTCTGGAAGCTGAGGCAGGAAAATCGCTTGAACCGGGAAAGCAGAGGTTGCAGTGAGCCGAGATCATCCCACTGCACTCTAGCCTGGCAACGTAGTGAGACTCTGTCTCAAAAAAAAAAATTAAATTAAAAAATAAATAAATAACCAGGGACAGGGATCTTTCATGTGCAAAGGCCAGATGGCTTATCTGCTGCAACTTCATGAAGGCAGCAGTGATTTCCAATTCTCGCAAACAACAAAATCCTTCACTTTGAAGCCAGCCCACAGCCATTTCCACCATTTCCTTTCCTTTCTGCAAATGTGTGCTGTTTTCTGTGTCTGCTCGTCCGCTCCCCGGATGTGTCACCTTGGAAGGGTTATTTATCTCCTCTGATCCCAGTCATTTTCCTGATTTGAAAAATGCATCAGTGGACAGGAGAACATGTGAAGATTGAATTAACTAATGCAGTGAATAAACTTACAGAAACGACTGGCACAAAGTGAGTTTCCAATGAGAGATGGCGATATTATTATTCTTCTATTCATGACTCTCTTTCGAGTTCAGTAATTCTAAACTGTTTTAAAATATAAGCTTTTTTATCATTTAGGTTTGGCAAGGCCAACAGATCAGCAGACAAGTGCCACTGAAAAGACAGTTCATTACTCACAGATCCCAAGAGGATGGGGTGCACTACATGGGGGGCAGTGCATACAGGGAAGCGTCAGGGTCAGTCTGGAGGTGGGTGGAGGAGCAAAGCACCAGCAAGAGCCTTTACTGTGGTTTCCATGGGGAACACAGGCAAGGCAGGATACGCATGCTTAGGATTGGCTGGTTTGAATCATTTCAAGGCTCTGAGGACTTAGGGGCTGTCCTTAGCTGTCTGGTCCCTGCCCTGGGGTGATTAGGGAAGGGAAGGCTGGCCCAGAGTGTGAAATCCCCATAGAGGAGGTGGTGGGAGTAGGCTGTGGATTGGTTGCTTTGCATATGAAAGGCAAGCTCCCAGAGGAGTTGTCTGTGATCTCTGGGAATTAGCTACCCACTTCACACTTCATACCGTCAAAGTATGAAGAAAAGAAAAGGCATGGTGAATACATAAACTCTCCTTCCATACCTCAGGAGACCTGCCTATCTGAGTTCACACTAGGCTTCTCCTCAACCACCTTCACCCGAATCCTCAAAGCCATTATGTAGGACCTCTTGCAAATATACGGCCTGCCAGATAGTAGAGGCCAGCTCAGGACAAAAAGAAGCGCTCAGAAAAGTCTTTTGCTTTCTTCTTCTTTCTGAAATCCTGAGGCATCAGTCCTGCCATGGTTCACACCAGCAGTGCAGCCCGTGCTCATGGAGGTGAAGTGAGAGACTGGCCTGCAAGAGTGACACATACAGAGAAGCGGAGGTAAGGCAGGCCCAGCATTCATTTTTCAAGATATATTATTTCAAGATATTTCCCTTTATTGAGATGTGGTAGTGATAGTTAATGATGGCTCCTCTCCCTGCTCAGAGTTCAGAAAGAATACAGAAAGAGATGAAAACATCAGGTTTGTTGTGAGTGAAGCAGAACTGGAAACATTTTGCATCTGGGGACATAATAGAGCATTTACATGCTCCCTCCAATTGTACTTTCCCGTCAGCTGACAGACAGACCACTGCAGACCTCTCCATAGGGAAGAAGGAAGTGTATGACCCCTGGATAGGCTGTTCTGGAAAAGAGACCACCCCAGTGATAGGAGCCATCCGGTTCCAGCTCCTTCCCCCAGTTTCACATCCTATCCTGTGCTCCCCTCCATTGGGGATGATGAGTGCGGGGCAAGGAAAGGAGGGAAGCCAATTTTCTCTAAAACCTCAGAAAGGGAGGGACTTCTTCTTTATTAGTATGGGCCAACCTGGGATGATGGGGAGAGGAGAGAACAATGTTTCCTACAAATGTATGAGTACTTATTGAGGGCAGGGCTTTGTGCTGGGTCCTGCAGCTGCAGAGATCAATTAGGCAACTCTCCTTTCCTAACACTCATGGGCTGGCAGGGGAAAGAAAGGAGCCTATGAAACAAGTCACTCTCAGCCACTGCAGTTCGCATTTGGAATGTATTAAAGGCGACAATGCTGTGAATATTCCAGGTTTGTCTAATCTCACAGTTGCCTACTCCCACTTCCTGAGGCCTGGAGCAGGATGGCCGTCCATCACCACACACACACACACACACACACACACACACACACACACACACACACTACTGATAGTCCACAGTGTAAACCAGGTTCTCCCAGAATCACAGAAAGGCCATTTTACAAAGCGGCATTGAGCTCCTTTTATGTGCTGGTCTGCAGACATTCAAAGAAGTATGAAGTACAATGCTTGCCTTTTAGAAAGGAAAAAAAAAATGTAAAACAAGATCAACATTATTTCTAAGGTAACCATGAGACAGGCAAGTTTGTGGTAAATTTGTACAGAAAATGCAAGCAATCAGAGGAAGGAAAAACTATCAGAGACTGTCATCATCCACACAGGCTTCCTGGAGGAGTTGGGTCTCTGTCTAGACTTTGAAAAATGTGTCTAGACAGAGAAAGAGAAAAATTTCCAAAGAAAAGAAACAGCTACTTGAAAATACCTGGTACAGGAGGGTTAAAGGCACATGGGGGAAGGCCTCAAAGTTGGCTAGGTATTTCATCAAGGCATGGGCAACATGAGAGTGTGGCTACTTCTCAGACTGTGGATAGCAGTTCACCGGCTGTTCAAGGTCAGAAGGGACTTCCTCTCTGCCAGCTGACGGCCTGATGACCTCCTATCTCTGGCCTCAGAGGGTGGGCACGCTGGAGGAATACTTAACACATCTGAGGCCAGAGGAGAAAACACACAGAATCCTTCAATGGCCCAAGCAAGCCTGAGCCTGGCAGACTTTGCAGTTGGATCCGCCAAGCTGTTGCATTTGCTACCTCAGCTGGCTGCTGTCACTGAGTCCCACCGGGCACAGAGACAACCCCATTGAGGCACTCCTGCCTCTCTTACAGGACAAGAATGGAAATGGCAGCACACGGTAGTCACCGCAAAACCACTTTCTAAAGGAGAGCCTGCACTGTTGTGTCCCCAGGACACCAGGGACTGGATGGGCACCTTTTCTGTGCTCTCCATCATCACCTAGGCACCCCACCTAGCATTTCTCAGTGAAGATAAGCCTCTACCTTTTGTGTATTCTCCCTTTGTGTTTTCATCTCGCATGCTCTTCCTCATCTGAACTCTTGTGTTGAGGACTAAGCAGCATAAGATGACTGATGCAGTCTAATAAACTGCACTAAGACAAGTGCTCGGCAGCAAATCTATTTTCCTGACAGTTGTAAGATGCAATCTCCTTGTTGTTGGAGGGTGCCATGCACAGGGCTGGGCTCCTCCAGTCTGCACATCCCCCAAAGTATTGCAGTGTGACAGCCTTCATTAGGAGAGGAACAAACCCCTGGACAAGATATTGCCACCCTGGAAATTCGGCTCTGTGGCGTGCCATGAATATCTTACCTTCTGACAAACAAGTTTCCTCCAGAATTGACATATTCTTGGCCATGTGACATGATCTAAACTAAGTTTCCTGGTGGTTTTCTTTTCTTTTTCTCTTTTTAAGTGAGGTTTTGCCTGACAATCTAGAAACTGAACACACTCTGACAGGTGATGCTATTTGAAGCATTTGTTACTGTGAGGATAGGAGGCGTGAGGCGGGGCACCTAGCAGATTCACCTCCCTCTGTCCCCAGAGAAAGTTTCTGAGCTTCGTGGAGCTCATGTGCCTCAAGCGTGTGGCTTCTGCCTTTCCATTTTCCGTTGACACAAGTACACCTGTGGTAGCAAACGGGTCTGGAACACATGTGCTGCGGCTGAGGATCCAGCAAACCATACCTGAGTGTGCACTGTGTGCCTGGCACTGCATTCCACCTGGGATGTGCACTGTTTGGTTTAATCCTCCCTACCATCCCACAGGATAGATATATTTCTGTCCACATTGTACAGATGTGGAAACTGGGTTACTGAAAGTTTAAGTGCTAAGATCACCGAGCCAGTCTGTGACTCTAGCAGAGGCGCTTATCCAGGGGAGATTTGGCCCCTCGCCTCTGTCCTTTAAAATGTGGATTGGACTGGCCAGGAGCAGCCAGACTCGGGTTAAATACTTGTGCTGTTTGATTTCCTTTTATTTTTCTGATATGTGTTCTCCTTGGAAAAAGAAATGGACCAGGAAAGGTAGATGGAAATCTCCTTTAAGATGAAAAATGCTCATAACACATAGAATCACTGGAAGCACTTACATTGCCATGGAGAACGAAGGGGTCATCATCACGTGGATGTTAGCTTTTTTAGCAGCTTTTTTGTGCCCTACCTACGTCTGAGTGCCTCGATTCCACCTTCATGACAAATGAAACAGGGGCCTCAGAAAGCAAGGGGAGGGGAAAGGGAGTTGATGCGCCTCCTCTCCATTGTAGAGAAGGCCTTGCTGCAAGCATCACTTCAGATTTGCCTCTGCTTGTCCATAAAGGCCCAAAAAGAATGAACTGGACAAACATTCTCATGGACCTCTGGAAAAAACAAACTGCATTTTGCAAGTTTTCCCATTTTCCCCGGAAATGTTATGCTCTAATCAACCTGGTGCTCAGCTGCAGGGAAGTGTTTGTGGTGTCCAAGCAGTGGCTGCTGCCCAGAGAGAGAAACTACTTGCACCTCCATTCACTCAATCCCATCCACATCTTTTCCCAGGGTACCCAGGCTCATAAACTCCAGCAGATCTCCACCCAGGCATGCTGGGGTCTATGTTATAAAAGGCAGCATGTGGTAGAAAGGGGCTAAAATGAGAGTTAGCAGGCTTCAGTTGAGTCCATCTCTGCCACTTCCAAGTCGGGTAACTGGGTAAGCTAGTTGACGCTAAAACCCTGGCAACATAATGCAGGGTGCAGGTGAAGAACAAATGCAATGGAGCTCAACAAAGGGCTTTGTGAGCTCGAGAGCACAATTCGATGTCACCCCCTCCCTGACTAGCATGTGGGCTCCCCAGGTTGGAGCCCCTTTCCCTCTCCCCTGCATGTCCATCGCAGGCTTCAATGTGTCTGGCAGGCAGGTAAGTGCCCAGATCGCACACAGCCCTGGGACCTCAGAGGTGGCTGCGAGGAATGACACGTCCTTCCTTGTATCCAAGTCATCCTTCCACAATCACAGGACCTCTTTTTTGTTCTCAATTGAGAACATTAGGAGAGCTCTCTACTCTCACTGTGGTGGCTCCCTTGCCTGTCCCATGCACCCTGGCAGGAGGTCAGTGAGGGCAAGATGGGGAGACCAATCTCTCTCTCTCCCTGACTCTCCACCACTCTCCCCCACCCTACCCCCATCTCTCTCTGCCTCTGTGTATGTTGGTGCTTCTCTGCCCCGCCACTGTCTCTCCCTCTCTCTCTGCCTCTCTCTGTCTGCCTTTGTCTCCTCTCTTCCCTCTCTCTCTCCCTCTCTCCCTGCCTCTCCCCGCTTTCTCCCTCTCTCTCTCTCTCTCCTCCTCTGCCTCTCTGTCTCTTTCTCCCATCTCTGCCTCTCTCTCCCTCTGCCTCTCCCTCTCTCTCTCCTCCCTTGTCTTTTCCTCTCCTTCTGTCTGCCTTTCTATCTCTGCCTCTGTGTGTCTGTTTGTGCTTCTCTGCTCCCCGCTGCACTGTCTCTCCCTCTCTCTCTGCCTCTGTGTCTGCCTCTCTCTTTCTATCTCTCTCCCTCTCTCTGCCTCTGTGTGTGTGTGTGCTTCTCTGTCCCACCCCTCCACTGTCTCTCCCTCTCTCCCTGCCCCTCTGTCTCTCCCTCCCTTTCTCTCTCTGCATGTGTGTGTGTGTGTGTGTGTGTGTGTGTGTGCATGTGACAGTGCTTGCTTCTCTGGCCGCCCTCTCTCTCCTGCTGTCTCTCCCTCTCTCTCTCTCCTTCTCTCTGTGTCTTTCTCTCTTTCTCTCCCTCAGTCTCCTCCTTTCTCTCCCTTCCTCCCTCCCTCTGCAACTGCCACCCCCGAGCACGCTCATATTCCAGCTGCCACTGTGAGGTGAACACAGTCTCCACCTGCTTCAGGGGTGTGCCGCACAGAATGGGGAACCTGGCTTAGGAATTCCAGTTTGCTGTTGAGACATTTGGCTGTGGAAATGGCTGTTCCACTGAAGAGTGAGCACTTCGTCATAGAGACAGCATCTGTTTTGCCTCATGGGGAAAGGAGAATGATAGTTATTCTTTTTATTATGAGAACGCCAGGCTGTGCCAAGTACATTATTCCCATGCAGGGGAATTTTACTAGCACCATTGCCCTCCCTCCTCCTCCCCATTCTGTTCCTGCCCAGTGTTCTCCCTCTCCCATGACAGTGTCTTTCCCCAGCATGAGATTGCAAATGTCGTTTCCTGGCATCATACTTATGAAGGGGAATGAGAAGACACTTACCATTTTTATTAATTATATTCTGGGATTTTACAAAAACAAATTCATCTTAATTCTAAGAGACTATAGAATCAAATTCATCATGAAAGACTCCCATGATCACCAGGTCAGTTTTTTAGTAGATTGATAATGGACCTGTCACTCTTTGCCATTTCCACACAGGAAAATTGAAGTGCGAATTTGAGTGACCGTCTGTACGTCCAAAATGGAAAATGGCATTCATCAGACTACTTCTTTCTCTTATTTCATGTGTAACTCCTTAACAGAAAACAACTGCTGCACACGGAGGGCCTTATCAGACACAGGACAGGGACCACAGTATTAGCACTCAAGTGCTCATAGCCTTTCCCCCACCAAGCCCATCCATTCTGTGCACTGTTGGCCCCAGGGGAGACAAGGTAATTTTCTCCCTTCCTGGTCATCTTGGGGCCCAGACCACCAGCTGGAGAAATGATGCAGAGAGAGCAGGTAGGAGCTCCCTTCCAGGTGGGAAACGCAAGGCAGGCAGCCTCCTCTGACGATGCTGCCGTGGCTGGACTGAAATTGTGCTCACTTCCACTCAAGTGAGCAAAGCACATCTGTGTTGCTTATTTTCTACTATTGATCTTTCCTTCCTTAGTCTCCCACCCCATCAGCGCCACTGTACAGCAAGGGAGGGGAAAAGGACTTTTAAACGTGTCTATTCACAGGAAAGCAGTGTCCTAAGGCTTCTGACTGCCTCCTTCCTCACTGCAACTGTCATTTCAAGCGTATGCTCCTTCTCCAGCCTCTCCTGCCACAAGAGCACCCAGTGGGTGGGATACACATGGAGTTACCATGTCCCCAGGTGGGCAAGGGAGACACAGGTCTCAGGTCTGTGTGCAGCCAGTGTAGGCCCTGCTGTTTGGGCTCCTGCTGGCCTCTGCAGCAATGCAGTCCTCTCTGCCAGGCCCTGCTCACCTCTGCTCCTGAACCCTGCACCCGGCATCTCAAGGTCCATGTTGTCTCTGTCATGCGTAGCATCTTTCTCAGCTGCTGACGTGGCCTTGCTTTGGATCTCTCATCTATTCTGCAGCCCTTAGATAGGATTACCATGCCCCCTTTGACAAGGCCCCTGGGTGTTTACCCTCACCTAGTGATTCTGATCTCAGCCCGTCCGTCTCTCCTCTGGTACACGGGAACTCCAAAATACCTTCCAAGATACTCAAGGTCAAAATAGACTCATGGTCAATAAATTCTGAGCCTCGTCTGTCTACATACACCCACCTACCATACTATTTATTCTGATGTGGCTGTAGGATGCTTCTGGCAGGACCCCATGCAAGATGGTGTCAGTCTAGGCCCACCGGGTGAAGAAAAAAGGGCCTGTTGACTTTTAGCTTTGCTGCCATCCCATTCAATGCCACCCTCTCTTTCAAAAGTCTGCGCTCAGAGTGAGATTAATGCAGCAAACAGGGTTCGGTTGCTGCCTTTTAGAAAGGCTTGCCCACAATCCACAAGCCAGACAGAGCCACTTCCACAGGGTCATGCTCCTCCTTCCCAAAGGGGCTTCTGCCTTGTCCTCTTTTCCCGAATCATAAGGACTATTGGAGCAAAATGAGAAAGCCAGCTTGCAGGTAAGAGAAAATCCAAAATATTATTCTAATGATACTTTCTCCCCTCAAGCCTTCTACTAAATAATAATAATGACATACAGTTGTGGTCATTGTTAAAGAAAAAGGAAACACAGCAATCCATCTCAACATCACTGAATTTAAGTAATCAATGACTATAATAAGAAAGGGATGATTTAGGGGAAATTCTTATAGTGACAAAATGTTAGAACTAGAAGTTCCAGAATCATATAAAACATTTAGGACCTTTCTATTTTGTAGATGAGAAAGCTGAAATACTGCAAGTTGAAATGACTCGTCCTAGATCCCAGGTCTAGTGAAGAGTGAGCACCAGAAATCACATGTACTAGACTACCAGCAGTCAGATATAATCAGCCCCCAAATCTCCTGTGGTTCACTATATATAAAAGAAAAAAAAAAAACAAGGAATATCCAACCAAAACAAGGTAAATACACAGGAGGGTTCACTGGGCAAGAACAGATGCAAACCAGAGAGATTTTGAAGAGCCTGGGGTCTCTAGACAATTCGGCACTGCTGTGGATTTCATGTTTGTATCCCCTCTAAATACATATGTTGAAGCCCGAGCCCCCAGTGTGATGGTATTTGGAGATGGGGCCTTCGGGAGGTGATAAGGTCATTAAAGTGGAGCCCTCATGAATGACATTAGTGCCTTACAAGAAGAAGCAGGAGACAGCTTGCTTCCTCTCTCTCTCCCCATGTGAGGTCTGAAATTGTCTACAAACCAGGAAGAGGGCCCCCAGCAGAATCTGACCATGCTGGCACCCTGATCTCAGACTTCCCAGACTCCAGACTGTGTTAAATAAATTTCTGTTGTGTGAGCCACCCACTCTATGGTAATCTTTTATAGCAGTCTGAACAAACTAAGACAGGCACTTCAAAGAAAACGTCAATGCCATATTGGGCCATTTACTCAACAAGTTCTTAATAACAGTGTGCTATGTGCCAGGCACCATGGTACATCAGGGCAGAGCCGTAAGGAAGAGTAAAACAGCAATCTGGGAACTGGAGACCACACATTTCAAGAAGCAAATGAAAGAGGCCACTGAGCAAGAGGTTGGGATAAAGAAAGACAGAAATACAAGGGATAGTCCAGATTCTAAGCACCATGTTTGGCAAACCCCACACCATTTAGAAGATTGCACACAGAATCAACCATCTGCCCCAGGCAAGAAACTTCTAGGCTGCTTCTTGCTAAGGCAGAAGTCTCTCCCAATAAAGAATCCTCAGGAATGTGCCCTGCATACCAGCCCCATCCCACCAGACCCTTCCTGCTCCCCACCTCATAGACCTCTCTGGGACAACACCTGTTTCTAGCTTGGCTACTTTTCTGCTGGAAAATAACCAGGTGTACCTACCAAAGCAAAGGCTTCTGGTTATGTTACCAGAACACCAGGGGTTTGGCCTAGGTCCTCCTGCTTGCCATACAGCAAAAAGCCGAGCACTGAGACTTTTATTGCCAAGGAAGAAGGCTTTAATCAGGTGCTGCAGCCAAGGTGATGGGAGCCCAGTCTCAAACCCATCTCCCTGACCTACTAAAACTAGGGGTTTCTAAGTAGGGAAGAAACGTAACAATGTGTACAAGCAGGATAAATGAGGGGTCCTCCAATCTCATTGTCTGGATGTGGTGATCTGGTGAGTTTCAATTCTTTGACACTTTCTTTGAGAGACCTGAAGGTCATTTCCTGAGGAAGGAACTCAGATTAAACAAATGTAAGGTGTAAGCTTTAAGACCAGAAGGGTCAAGTTCTGTGTTTATGCAAGAAACTATCTATGGGATTATTGGGTTGGTTTCAGTTAGCTAAATGTTCACCTTTCCATTGTCACTATTTGGACACAAATTTCCTCTCTGTTTTCCCTTCCCCTCCTCTCTACATTTTTTGCCTGTGCAAAGGAAACTTGGAAAATCAGAACAGTAAGAACAATTTTTCAACCACCATGATTCCAGCAAAAAGGATTTTCTAATCACAAGAAATCCTCCAAATGGAGACACAAAATTCTTCACTTAAACAAGATTGTGCTTTATAGAGTGGAGGAGATAAATGTGTCATGTAAACCCCTGTAAAATATTTCTGTTGGTAAAGTATGTTAGATATACAATTGTTATCAGTAAGTATTTTATAACAATGAATTGCATTGTAAATGCGACATCTAGAAGGCTTTTAAACTATTCCTTTTAAAAAATTTACATCTTCCTCGTTCCAAAAACGTTTAAGGTGGGGGAAAATCCTATTACTAGTTGTACGTGGTAGTTTCCTTCCATGTCACACTCTCAGAGTTTAGCATAGCACTAGATCTGTTGTTCACATTGCATTGATGGTTGGCCCTTAAACAACACAGTTTTAAACTTTGAGGATCCACTTACAGGTGGATTTCCTCCTACTTTGCTGCCCCTGAAACAGCAAGACCAACCCTCCTCTTTCTCTTCCTCCTCAGCCTACTCAACATAAGATGATGAGGATGAAGACCTTTATGGTGATCCACTTCTACTTAATGAATAGTAAATATATTTTCTCTTCCTTACAATTTTCTTAATAATAACATCTTTTTCTGTAGCGTACTTTATTGTAAGAATACAGTATTTAACACATATGATACACAAAATATGTGTTAGTCAACTGTTTATGTTATTGGTAAGGCTTATGGTCAACAGTAAGCTATTAGTAGTTAAGTTTGGGGAAAGTCAAAAGTTATATGTGGATTTTTGATTGTGCAGGAGTTCAGCGCCCCTGACTCCCAAATTGTTCAAGGGTCAACTGCACTTACAATGCTATCCTGTTTCATATTTTATTGTCCATAAGATGGAAAGTAGACACATGTTGTAAAATTTTTGTGCCATAATTTAACTTTTTTCCCTTTTTGGTGATGCCATGATATTTCCATAATTCAGAGAGAATTGTGGACTATGTGAATGTCCTGCTACACCACAACGCATGCCTAACCCTTCAGAGACCTCACTCTTTCTTTCCCCGGTCTCACATCTATTGTGATGAGATGATGCAGTGATGGGCATGCACCCTGCCTGAAGTTCTTAGCCCAAATTGAGCTCTCCTCATTCGGGTTCAGACAGCTTTCCTGACTTCTTGGCCCACAGGCCCCATACACTGCATGCCCTGGCTACTCTGATGCCTTATGCTCCTACTGTCCTATTGTCACTCCTTACTTTCTCTCCATCTGGGGATATTCTTCCCCAAATCATGCCATGAAATCTCCCTCATCCTCCCCCTCTCTCCAGACACACTTTCCTGGTGTTCAATTTTCAGATAATTGTTTCTTTCAGTTACTTGGATTCCTGCCTTATTTACCCATCTGTATGTGGAATTGTATCTGTCACTTTGCTGCGCGCTCTGCTCCCACTCACCCTTGGATCCTGACCAATGCATCCTATCATCAGGTCCCATGAGCCTTGAAAGGCAAACCTTACAGACCCTCATTCTTCAAGCATCCCTTCATTCATCCGACAAATATTTCCTTCGTGCCTAATATGTGCAAGGGCTTCTGTAAGTTGGGGCTGACTCAGGAATACCTTACCCTGTGCTTTTGGTCAGCTTTTTGCTTGGTCTCCTCTTCTTGGCTCTGAATTCCTGGCCTGTGCCTCATCCCTCATACCTCATACCTATGCCTCAGGACCTGGGCATTAGACTTATCTTCCTGACATCACAGAGCTGAATTCCACTATCCTCTCCAGTTCCTCATGATCACTTTCTGCTCCTGGACTTGGCCCCACCGAGCCCTATTCCTGAGTCAACACTAGATGGTTCCCCAGCAGGCCTGCAGCCCTCCATCCCTCCATTGCTGCCCTGCCATGCAACAGTCATTTGTTTCTAGATCCACAGTATGTGGGTCTTTTATTGAAAACTAACAATAAAAAATTAAATTAAAAAATCCTCAAGAGGAGGCAATTAATCTATTAGTCTAGTTACTGTGTTTTTCCAACTGTGTATTGTACAGCAGAAGCTCTGTTCCTTTCTATTTTGTCTCGGTGAGGTCGCATGATGATATTCCCTGACTTTGACTTTCAACTATTCCTGAGCCTCTTTGGCTTAGCAAATGATTAGGTTTGAGCCAAGCTGAGGCTGTCTCAGAAAGTAACTGTGCATTTCTCAACAAGCCAGTGGGGCACTTTGTTCTCTTTGTTCTTCTTAGGTAGTTAACACCTGCTCGTTCTGCAGCTCATACAGTCATGAAATGTTGAGATAGAAGCAGGGGAGGGAAAGATCACCTCACCCCAC
This sequence comes from Homo sapiens, assembly GCF_000001405.40. Lineage (NCBI taxonomy): Eukaryota > Metazoa > Chordata > Mammalia > Primates > Hominidae > Homo > Homo sapiens. Next base: position 56,533,213 of record NC_000008.11, on the reverse strand, counting down.
TTTCCATCCTATGTCATAATTCAGCCTATAGGGAGGCTGATGTTGACAGAGATTATTTACGTCACAAGGAAGTTCCTTTTTTGGAAGTGTACTTTTGTGTGTGTGTGTGTGTGTGTGTGTGTGTGTGTGTGTGTGTGTGACTGAGTTTCTCTCTGTTTCCCAGGCTGGAGTGCAATGACACAATCTCGGCTCACTGCAACCCCAACCTCCACCTCCCAGGTTCAAGAGATTCTCCTGCTTTAGCCTCCCAAGTAGCTGAGATTACAGGTACCCGCCACCACGCCCAGCTAATTTTTTATATTTTTAGTAGAGACAGAGTTTCACCATGTTGGTCAAGCTGGTCTCAAACTCCTGACCTCAGGTGATCCACCCACCTCAGCCTCCCAAAGTGCTGGGATTACAGGAGTGCACCACCGCGTTTGGCCGGAAGTATACGTTTTCAACCTTTCTACTTATGGTGGGTTAAATTGGAGCATTGAGCAAGGGACAAATGCCCTGAATGTTCTTGACCCACCAGTCTTCCACTGTCCAGGGCTCATTGTCACTGATGGAAGGCAAAGCAGTGGTCCAGGCAGCCACACCAGCCCAGCCAGCCCTGTAGGGCCAAAATGGTACATCCAGGCCACCTTGTCCTTCTGTTATAGTGAACCAAGTGATAACTCCCAAGACTTTTCTCCCAACCATCTTACTACTTTTAGAGGTTGTAAAAAATGTCAGTTTTCCATGAGATGTCCTTCCAGTACAGGAATGATAATTATTATCATAAGTACCAAATAATATAACACATGTAAAATGCCTGGCTGTTCTGTATGGTTAAATAAATGATCATGGTATGATTTCACAAATCACTCAGTTTATTGCCATACAAAGAGATATTTTTTCTTTTGGGTCACAATGCATTAAACGTGAACACATCTTACAGGGAATACCCTCGATTAGATGAAGTCCATTTACCACATAGTGGGTGAGCTTCAAACTTAGTAAAGTCAAATTGCTCAAGTGGGATGGAATCAGGCCTCTGTGGAAAGGAGAGTCTAATCAAAGACTGAGGTGTACCTTTACACAAGCAGTTCTCAGAAGAGATGGCATCCAACGCAGCAGAGATCTGTGACTACTAGAAGGCACCTGGAAGCTGGCTTACTTTGTTTTGTCAGAGAAGTGGCTAGTGGAGTGCAGCCTAAGCTCTCAGAGTATCTGTGAAACTCTGGAGTTTCTATGTATTTGAAGTTCAGCAGCTGACATGTGCGGTCTCATAATGTGTGATGTCACATTCTCAAGACAGCAGGAAAACCCTCCAAGTTCTCCTCACAGCAAAACATGTCACTCACATAGAAAACCACAAAAGTGGAATCATTTCAAGGCTCCATAATACTGGCACAGTATCTGGCACAGAGAGGGCATTTGAGAGGCACTGGGTTTGCAACAAATATTTTAAGGGATCTAGGTTTCCGCCTTTGGTTTTTTCTCTTCTCTAGCTGTTATCCAAACCTAATTAGTGTCCCCTTATGACACGGATTGGTAAGCAATTCTTCCTCATATTCTGGCATAAACTATACACGTGAACATAGCCTCATCCACCCCCTCAGGCATAAACTGTAAATAAACGAAGTTCTACTTTTGCCTTGTAAAATGTATACCCTTTGTCATATCTTTATTTTGAAAAAATATAAAAATTTTCATTTATTTCCCTAGATTTTCAAGAAATAATACCTTAATTTGAATTACAGCAGGGAATTAAAGTTTTTGCTTGTTAAATAGTCCAAAGAGAACAGCTTGACTAATATCATATCTTTAAAGACTGTCATGTGGAGATTTGCCTTGGCTTTTTAGAAGGCAGATATATAACTGTTCAGGTGTCTCTAAATGACCAAAATATCCAAAAGATGCCAAAGAATAAGAATGAAGAGCATATGAGAAGGAATCTGAAGTATAAGGAAGCATTTAGCCGGGCGCGGTGGCTCACGCCTGTAATCCCAGCACTTTGGGAGGCCGAGGCAGGCGGATCACAAGATCAGGAGATTGAGACCATCTTGGCTAACACGGTGAAACCCCGTCTCTACTAAAAATATCAAAAAAAAAAAAAATTTGGCGGGCATAGTGGCGGGTGCCTGTAGTCCCAGCTACTTGGGAGGCTGAGGCAGGAGAATGGCGTGAACCCAGGAGGCGGAGCTTGCAGTGAGCCAAGATAGCACCACTGCACTCCAACCGGGGCAATAGAGCAAGACTCCGTCTCAAAAAAAAAAAAAAAAAAAAAAGGGGGGAAGCATTTAAATGACTGTGTTTACAATCTTAAATCAACTCTATTAAGTAATAAATAGTGAAAGTTGCATTGACACTTATATATATACATTTTTTTTTTGAGACTGAGTTTTGCTCTTGTTACCCAGGCTGGAGTGCAAAGGCACGATCTCCACCTCCCGGGTTCAAGCTATTTTCCTGCCTCAGCCTCCTGAGTACCTGGGACTACAGGCGCACGCCACCACGCCCAGCTAATTTTTGTATTTTTAGTAGAGATGGGGTTTCACCATCTTGGCCAGGATGGTCTCAATCTCCTGACCTTGTGATCCACCCACCTCAGCCTCCCAAAGAGCTGGGATTACAGGCATGAGCCACTGCGCCTGGCCCAGTTAAAATATTTTACTCCAGGATTACAAGAACGGTAAATTTCTTTATTCAAACTTGTAGTGGGTGAGCTCTTTTAATAGAATATTTCATTTTAGTCTTCATCTTTCTTCACAGTGATATCTTAGTTTGTACAACACTGTACAATTTTCAAAGATACCATCGTAAACCCTTAAGCCTTTTAGAAATCTTACAAGTCAGGCTGTTTGACTCCCAGTCTGGTACTTGAGCCTCTTCAATGCATCCAGCATCCCGATGCTCACTCCTGGAGCCTCTGGCAATCCCACACCTCCCACAATGGGGAGTCTGTTTCCTTCTAACACAGCTCATTGCACATTTATGGCTCTGTACCTCAAAGTCATCTGTAAATATTTTACTCCTACAACAAGTAATTGTACATTGTATTCCTGTAAGATGTTTATAAGACTGATATTGAAATGGGAAAAGTTCCCTTTCCCCCCTCAGATAGCATGGGATGGGGGTGTGGCTCACTTCTTCAGTGCTCAGACCTCTAGGGGAGCATACAGATGGGCAGGCTCTGGGGCTCCAAGTCCACAGCAGTGTCTGGGGGTGAATGCTTACAGCTCCTGAAGTCCCAGTGAGCATGTGTTACAGGATGCTCTTTTAGTTTAGCTGTCCATAGGCAGCTTGTGTTAGTCAGCTCAATTAGACCCTCTACCTTATCACAAGGACAAAGGGCTTTCTGTATCCCTGGGTTCTTGTTTTGACGTACCAGAAAAATCGGATCACACGTGGCCTTGGAGAATGAGTGCAAGGTTTCATTAAGTGGAAGTAGCTCTCAGCAGATGGGGGAGCCAGAAGGGAGATGGTTTTCCCCTAGAGTCGGGCTCTTGGTGGCCCAGGCTCTCCTCCAACTGCCCCAGCCAAACTCCATGTCCTTCTGCTTCTGCCGATCGGTGGCCTACTGGCGTGCTGGTGCCTATTGGTGCATTCCTCTGGATGTTCAGCTGCCTGTGTGTTCCCCCACTGATGTGTTCCTCTGGAAGTCCAGCTGCCTGTGCTTCTGCCTACTGGGGTGGGGGCGGGGGGCAGTGTTTATAGGCACAGGATGGGCATGGCAGGCCAGGGTGATCTTGGGCAATGCAACATTTGGGCAGGAAATGCCTATCCTCACCAAGGTCCGTGGGGGTGGAGGCTTGGCCAGGGGCCACGCCCTCCTCTACCCAGCATTTCCCTTCCCAGCTTCAGTATCATTTAAAGGGACCATACTCTTTCCTTCCCAGCACTTCGGTACCAAAATTACTATTTTAAATGAAAAACATAGAAATTTTATTCCAACCTGTATCATTATTCAAACTAATAAAATACAACCCAAATTTAGTCATTATGCAAGAAATGTTCTCTAAGGATGAGGAAATGAGGTTTAAACAATGCCAACTGATGCCGAACTATCCCTCAACATCTGAATCACAAAGCTGAAACCAGAACTCAAATCTGCTATTTCCTAGTAACTCTGTTCAATAACATCTCATTTTCAATCAATAGGCCTCCAACTCCCTCATAAGACAATATACACATCAAATGATGAGACCAGTTACAACTAGTGTGGTCTTTTCCTCATTGATGTGGCTGGAAATTTTGACTCCAAATAAAGCCTAGACTTTAGCATCTTGTCTCTAAGACAAATCAGATTTTAAAACTTAACGGTTATTTTCGTAAAACAAGCAATAGACTCAGCCTGGTTTAAAATTTAGTACATCACCAGATGTTTCTTTCACCAAAGAGAATCACAGGCATTGTGTAGGAATGACACCTGCCAATTCTTAGAATGTCTGATTTCAATAGTACATTTTTAGCTGAATGGCAATCATGGAAATATAAGCTGCATTTGGTTCTCCAAGATTCCAGCATTTGGAGCTAGGTACTGTTGCTTTAAATATTATATAAGCATTGAAATTTACATGCCTACCAGCACTAGCATGAATTAGCCTCTTTGAATCATGAATATCCTTAAAACAAAGCTATGAGCAAAACGTTAGCAATTTCTAAGTTGCACTTACTTTTGACCACAATGGTCCCAGAAATATTTTTCCTAGGCACTTTTTATTTACCATTAATTATCAAATTACTTTAAATTGGCAGTATTTTTAAAGACACTATATAATTATGTGTCTCATATATCAGCAGGTGCTCACATTACTCAGAGTTTTTCAGTCATGGGAAAGTTAATTATAATAACCTTAATTGTTTCTCTGCAACAGTAAAAATGGACCCTGAAAAATACCACTAGGGGCTTAATGTTTGACACACAGATAAAAATGAGCAGAGATTTTTTTTTTGTAAGCCGCTGCATTAAATCACATAATTGGACAGAAAAGATTTAGGTGCAATTTGTTTTTGTAATTGTATTCTAAGTGGTGTAATTTTTAATTATACACAGAGAGTTCAATGTTCATTCCTTGAATTTTTAAGCTGAGATTTTTCTTTTCTACCTGCAGCTCCTTTGTTCAGGCTTGCTTCTTTTTTGACATGGATTGTTTGAATTCCTAACTCAACAATAAATTCACAGCTTCCTAAGTTTTACTTGTGCAATGGTAAAATGAAAAACATATAGCTTGGGAAATACAGCACAACTCTGGAAAAAAAGTAATAATCATTTTCTCTAATTAAGAAATTTTTTGAGAATGGTATAAGGTTGTTCCTTTCTATCCTTTCTTCTTTAGGCAAAGATCAGCTGCCTTTGACGTCTGACACAATCACATGCATATAATGTGACAGTTACCAATTCTGTACTTTTCCAGACATCAGTCCGTACTCCCTTGCCTTCACCTCAGTTTTAGTACAGCAGGAAGCCCACAGCCATGCTGTTAATGGCTGACGTCGTGGTTGTTGTCCCTCGGCACCCCAGTGTGTGGTTTCCTAGCTTGATTTGCCCAGTAATGTGTCAGAGACTGAGTTGTAGCTGATGTACAGGGTCCAACTCACATCAGACTGATTTGGATGAAAACCCAAATAGGCAATCACACTTTCTAGTAGAAAATCTTGTTGGGGCATCAACATTAAGATCTGAAAATATGGCCGGGTGCGGTGGCTCACACCTGTAATCCGAGCACTTTGGGAGGCCGAGACGGGGGGATCACGAGGTCAGGAGTTTGAGATCAGCCCGGCCAACATGGTGAAAAACCGTTTCTACTAAAAATGCAAAAATTAGCTGGGCATGGTAGTGGGCACCTGTAATCCCAGCTACTTGGGAGGCTAAGGCGGGAGAATCATTTGAACTTGGGAGGTGGAGATTGCAGTGAGCCGAGATCGTGCCACTGCACTCCAGCCTGGGTGACATGAGTGAAACTCCAACTCAAAAATAATAATAATAATAATAATAATAATAATAATCTGAAGATATTTGAGGGAGAATGCATACCAGCAATAGTAGTAGTAGCAGCAGCAGCAGTAGTTAACTGACCTAAAGAAAGAAAAGACCAATATCTGGACACACCTTTTAAGGGTTGGGCCCCATTTCCACAGTGAACCTTGGAATGGATTGGTCCTCAGCTTTCTTCATGTCTCTTTTTTCAGACCCTGAGTTGCCTCACTCTTTCTTCTGACCACAATAAGCATTACTTCCTTTCAAGAAGACTGCCAAATCTGCCCTTAGAAAAGACAAAAACAAACATAATTTAGAAAAAACTTAACTGCAAAAATATGCTTCAACTAGGTATTCAAAGTAGTGAAAAACTAGAGAAAATGTGGTAGGTACAGTGGAAAGAGAACAAGCTTCGGAAAGCCATCTCATTATTTGGAATCACAACCCCTGCTCAGAAACATACCCTGATATGGTTTGGCTCTGTGTCCCCACCCAAATCAAGGAAGGGACCTGGTGGGAGGTGATTGGATCATGGGGGCGGGTTCCCCCATGCTGTTCTTGTGACAGTGAGAGGGTTCTCATAAGATTTGATGGTTTTAAAAGTGACTGTTTCCCCTGTGCTCTCTCGCTCTCACTCTGTTTCTCTCCTGCCACCATGAGAAGATATACCTTGCTTCCCCTTCACCTTCCACCATGACTGGAAGTTTCCTCAGATCTCTCCAACCATGCAGAACTGTGAGTCAATTAAGCCTCCTCTCTATAAATTACCCAATCTCAGGTAGTATCTTTATAGCAGTGTCAGAACAAACTAATACAGAGGACTGGAGGCTGAGGCAGGAGAATTGCTTGAGGTTAGGAGTTCAAGACCCGCCTGGGCAACATAGTAAGAGCCTGTATCTACAAACTATACAAAAATTAGCTGGGCATAGTGTTGTGCACCTATAGTCTCAACTACTGAGGAGGCTGAGGCAGGAGGATCACTTGAGCCCATGAGATTGAAGCCGCAGTGAGCTATGAATGTGCCACTGCACTCTGGCCTGGGCGACAGGGCAAGATCCTGTCTCAAATATATATATATATATATGTTTATCTGGTCTTTTCCCCCAGTTCTTAACACAGAGCTTTAAAACTCCTTGGCATTTCCTGAGTGATGGAAGTAACTTTGTTACGCTAAGGAGGTGATTAGTGGTGGGTGTCTGGATAGCTTCAGGAGGGGGAGTTGGTCCCAGAGAGACCATGTGTGTATTAGAGAGCTGGACTTTCAGCCACCTAACCTTTGGGAAGAAGAGCTGGAGATCGAGTTCAATCAAGTGGCCAATGGTTTAATAAAACCCCAATAAAAACCCTTGCATCAAGGCTCAGAGGAGCCTCTTGGTTGGTGAACTGATGATGTGCAAGGAGGGCAATTCTTTGAGGACAGGGCATGAAAGTTCTGCCTCTGGCTCTGTGCTTATCCCTTGTAAAAAGAAAATAAAATCTTTGGACTCCACACTTGATATGCCAAAGAAAAAAGTTAAGCTTGAGAACTCAAATGAAACAAACAAATCTTCCTCCTTTTGTCCTCAGAGAGCTGTGATTCCACATGCTTACTTTACCTGATTTAAATGTAGATCTACCAAGAGCAAGATGCATGCACAACTGACTTTCCCCAACTTCTGTCTTTGGACAGGTAAAATGTGGATTCAATGAGCATTAATCAAAACCTCACAAGAATGTAGCCACTGGCCTCATTGCCCATCTTCCTCTTTCTAGTTTCTTTCATCATTTCCCTCCTACCCAATCTTTCCCATTTAAATATTGAAGTCCTCAAAACCCTCTTTGGAAAAGGCACAGGCCACAGATCCTATTGTGATTTGTGTTTCTTTTTCCTGGGTGCACCTTCGGCCTTGGCAAAATAAACCTCTATACTGATTGATATCTGTCTTGGACACTTTTTGGTTTACACCCTTATAATAAAACTGTAAGAGGCCAGGCACAGTGGCTCACGCCTGTAATCCCAGGACTTTGGGAGGCCAAGGAGGGCGAATCACAAAGTCAAGAGATGGAGACCATCCTGGCCAACATGGTGAAAACTTATCTCTACTAAAAATACAAAAATTAGCTCGGTGTAGTGTCATGTGCCTGTAGTCCCAGCTACTTGGGAGGCTGAGGCAGGAAAATCACTTGAACCCGGGAGGCGGAATTGCAGTGAGCTGAGATTGTCCCATTGCACTCCAGCCTGGTGACAGAGCGAGACTCCGTCTCAAACAAACAAACAAAAATTGTAAGAGTAAGTATAATGCTTTTCTGGGTTCTGTGAGGCATTCCTGTGAATTATCCAAACTGAAGCACTCATCAGTCAGAATTGTGGGGGATCCGGGGGGGCCTGGAACTTGCTGCTGGCCTCTGAGGTGAGGGCTATCTTATGGAAGACTTAACCCTTCATTGTAGGGTCTGACACTAGCTCTGGATCATTAGTGTCAGAATTTAATTGCACCACCCCCAGTTCGGGTGGAAAAGGAGCTAGAACAATCATACCTGGCTTTAATTATTATATAAACTTCATTCAAAATCACCAAAGTTCAGACAAATTCTGTTTCCCCACATTGTCATTGAAAATCTCTGCGTGGTTCCAGATTACAAGTCAGGGTGTAAGTCAGGGATCTGCAGCAAAGATAAATGAGAGAGACATCCCCAGCAGGGCAGGGAGGTCTGCATTCAAGGCAAATGTGGACCCTCAGTTTTTCATAGTGTAATAGAAGGCCACAAGAGTGGCTTTTGAAATACTTATGTGTTACAAAGCCAAAAAAAATGACTCTTACGACAGAATATCCAGGCCAGTGAGCAGGCTCGTTCCTATTCCCAGAGGACAGGCTGGGGGTGCAAAACAGCCTAGCAACATGTAGATTTCCTTGCAAGAGACAAGGGCACAGCCAGATCTCTGTCCTCAGGAGGGAGTCAGACCTGAGAGGTGTTCCTTTTTTAGATGTGCAAAAGAAACAACAGTCTGACTTCCCAAAAATAGGGGAAGTTAATTAAATTATAAGACATCATCTAAAGTTAAATTATAAGACGTCATCTAAAGAACACTATGTAGCCATTACCAATCATGTTGCAAAAGTGAAATCCTGTGGAAAGCTATTCACCATTGATTAAGTAGAAAAACGCTAGTGACTGAACAGTGCTTTCGAATGAGCCCTGGAGGATGGGGTAGCCCAAACCCTCTCACACAATCTCTTTCCCTCATTCCAGCACATTCTTCAGGCAGCCCTCTTGTGGCCTCCCAGTCACCATTCCCAGTCTCCAAAATGCTAGTCTTTTCCAGGTCCTCTTCTCTCTACGAGAAGAATGATAAAAGGAAGGAAAGCAGGGAAGGAGTGGGAGATAATTGGTCTTGCTTTGTAAGTCTTCATCTAGGTAACCTGCTACCTCAATATACTTATGACTGAGGAGCTCCAGGGAGCTGAAATGTTTATCAGTCCAGGTAAGATGATTGATTTTAACTTGAGCCAAGTGAGGGATTCATTTATTCAATGAACGGAAATTGGGCATCTACGAAGTACCAAAGAATGAGAGGAGGGCAAAGAATACAGACATAAAAAAGGCAGTCCAGCCTTCCAGTGAGCAAGGTGACAGCAGCATGAGCCCATGCATTAGCAATTTTAGAGCAAGAAGCAAGCAGCTGTCTGCAGAAGTAAGGAAAAACTTCGCAGAGGAGACAAAGTCCCCTAGGATCTGAAAGGTGGAGCAGGAATGTCATGCAGGAAAGGGCGAATGGAAATTTCAGAGAGGAAAATCACAAAATGCAATGCGAGGCTCAGCCTGCTTTGGAAACAGGGAGATGTCCAGTGTACGCGGAGTATAAAAAGTGGTTGGATGCGTGTCTTCTTCCAAGCACTTCAATCATTAATTTTAAATCACCGGTTCTTCTCTCTATCCCTTCAGATTGCAAGTTTCCTCGCAGTGTCTTACCCATCTTTATTTTCCCTGTGCCTTGCATACATTAGGTATGCAATAGTACTTATTGACCTGAACTTAGGCAAGAAGTAAATGGGGTTGGATGTGAAGGGCTCTGTGACATGTGGAGTTTGGACTTCATCTCATACACTCTTAGGGAGAGGTTGGAGGCTCTGCTGAAGACTTTGTTAGGGTGAAGGAAGCACATATGGCTTTTAGAGGGAAAATCTGCTGGCTCTGTGTGTGTGTATTGGGGACTACAGGAAACAACTACAGTAGTGAGGGATCAGAGGCAGGAAGGACAGCAATGGAACTGTGATGATTTCACAGGTTTAGGATATATATGCCACAGAAGCAATAGTTTCTGGTGACCAATGCACTACTAAGAAGTTGTAGTCAAAACTAACTCTATGAAAAATGGGTGGCTGCAGGCATACACCATGACTGGGAACAGAGAAGGCAGATAAATTTTATGCTTGAGGGGATTAACCTAAATTTTGGATTAACCTAAATTAGCTTTGATGTCTATAGTTCTTAGAGGAAGCAATCAGGAGGCAACTGAAAATCTGGGTCAGGGACGTGATAGAAAATGGAAGCCATGCAGATTTGATAGAAGTCGTGATAGAACTAGGAAAGAGGACTAAGGACATGACCAGGGAGCCACATTAAGTGTTAGGCCAAGGAGGGTGGACAGGAGGAGAAAAAGGGTGATCCAGTGGGCACAGGGAGGGAGCTCTGAAAGCCATCAGGCCATTGTGAAGCTCAGCAGAAGGCGTTTGGGAATAATTGTGTAATGAGTTGCCAAGTGTATGAGGAACTGCAGACTCTCATGAAGAAAGTTACAGTAAACCAATCTCTGCATGATGTGTTGCTGCAGGAAGATGGTCCTGACTTTCCACAATCCCGAAGGCTCTGCTTTGCCTTTCTGCATCTAACTTTCCTGCCTTCTGCCTCCATCTTCTACAAGCCCAGGCTTGGAAGCAGAATCACAAGGAAATTGCTGCAATTCCACAGTACAGAAAAGCTTCAAAGGAAAGCCACATCTCCCAGATCTAGGGATAAGAGGGGAAAATGCATCCACTCTTTGCTCTTTGCAGCAGCTCTTCCTATACCTGGCTAGTTCCATTTCGATGCTCCAGTATTTGTCACCCTGAGCTGAAACAACATGAAAGAAACTCATTTTGAGGAATGTTTCTTTCTGCACATTTTCTTTTGCTCATGCAGAGTAGTTTAGATCCTTTGGCTGCAAAAAAGATAAGCCACTTGTGACAGAGTAACATTTTGAAGATAAATTACTTGGCCCACCACCCGTATTTCACAACCATTTACTCGTGTACTTCCACCTCTTTGCTATTTAGTAAGCACAGCCAAAAATGGCAATGCTCTGAAAAGTAAATTCTGCCTTATTTCTAAAATTATATATATCCATCTACTATAAGTAATGACTCTATAATAAGTTTAGCACAGACTCATTGTTCTAATTTAAATATGAGCATAAATTTTCCTTTAACATATTAGGTAATATTTTTGAAAGTTTTAATATTTTTAACCATGTTATTATGAAAGGAACTTCATATTTCATTTACAACAGTTTAGGAAAAAGGAAAAGAACCGTTACTTCAGAAAAGAATGAAGGCTGTCTGAGTAATAATGCTGTCATACTTTGAAATTCAAAGCAGTGTCTTTGCTATCTTTATCAGAAAGAGTAAAATGCCACCTTATTTTGAAAATTATTCAGGACTTATTGAAAACAACCAAGTAGATGGCTTCTCTATAATAAAACAGATTCTACTGATAGACTTTTAGGAGAGAAGGATTATAACCCTTCAAAAGTGTGTGATTTCTAGTGACACACACATTTGTTTTCACAACTACTTTTAACATAAACCTATATTCATGATCTTGGATAGAACAGAGGAAAAACAAGAAAAACCATGCACACATATTTCTTTACATTAATCAGATGTTAACATTAAAGCCATGTTTTATTTCTAATTAAAAGCAGCTCCAAGAGAACAAAAAACAAAAATAAACAACAACACAACAGAAAACTTAGCATTCTCTTTATGCAGTGCAGGACATAATATTGGAAAATCAGTCCTTCTACTTAGCCACACTTAATGTCAAAATCAAGTGGGGATGGGACCAATTATTTCTCACAAAAACAAGCCTTTAAAAGAAAAGTAAGGTAGCTAAAAGATTTACAGTCTCTTCAATGGTGACCCAAATCATGTTATTCTCAGAATGCAAAGGGCTTCAGCATATTTGCAGCTGCTGTTTTCTCTGCCAGGAATGCTTGTCCTTTGGTTCTTCCCATTTCTAGATTCTTCTCATCCTTTGCAATGAGATGTACGCCTACAGAAAGGCCTTCCTGAATCACCTTACCTACATTGCATCTGAAACAAGTTCTTGTCTCCTGGAATCCCGTTAGCGTCTTCTATTGCACTAATCTGAATCTGCCATCATCTCTGTCTTTATCTTATTTTTCTCTTGTTTCCTAGCATATTGTTTGTCTCCCTCCATAAAATATCAGCTCATCCAGGACATGAGCTGGCTCAATCTTACTGTTAAGACCCTCAGGGCCTGGAGCAGGGCCTGGCACAGAGTAGGCAGGCACTCAATAAACTTCTGGGCTCTACTAAAGTTGTTGTCATCACTGTAAAATAATATTTCATGTATTTTACAAAGAAGATAGGTCTTCTGTGCTCAGTTTCAGGCCCTGGAGGTCCATGCTTCTGCCCAAGCTGTGTCTCATCTCTGCAGGTGGAGCCCAGTTGACAGGAAATGTTTCTCCAGAAGCTGAAAAGCTGCCTGGTAAAGGCCTTTCATAAAATGGTCTGCGTTTGGGACCAGGAAGACAGAAGACTCCTCAAGAAGAGAACTGGAACCTTAACCCACTTCAGACTTCTTCATGTCTGAAGCTTATTTCCACCATCCCATTGAGAACCAAAGAAGCGAGCTCCTTGGAGAATCGGCTCCCACCTGGACCTTCTGTTTATCCTTCCAATAGCTGCTGCATTCATCCTTCCCAGCTAATGACACTTCCAGCCTTTCGTGTTTCAAAGTATCACGGACTTTGCAAAAGATTCCAGGTTTCTATGGAGCAGATAGTACTTTTAACAATCAACATGTGCATTATTATTTCCTCCTAAGGCATACTTAGACATCAATGCATGCTACAGCAAGGCAACTTATCTCACCCTCACCAAGGTATGAACTTCAGAATTTGAACTTGTTCCTTTGGGGTAAGTTGTATCACCAGCACTCACTAACAGACTGTATTTTCCAGTGAGGTTTCATTCTGTTTCAGATATTCTGCACTTTCAGTGGCAAAATTTTAAAGAAAAGGAGACAAAATGGAACACAAATTCAATATGACTATTGTCATCCTTCCCTCCCAGGAAGTGTAGGAATCATCCAAAGTGGTAAAAGAGCAGCGCTTCTAAACTCTGACTTCACATGGAAAATAACGCGACTACTAAAACTGATAACAATAGCAGTCCATGCCATTTGACAGGGGTGTGTAGGAGAGGTGGTGAGCAAGCTGAAATCCCTTCAGGTATTTGCAGAACTTCTGAGCAAAAGCTAAAGCTAAAATTAACATTAAATATGCAAAGTATTTTTAACCCAACATAAATTAACAATGTTCCTATTTCAATTCTATTGCTCTTGGGATGACTATGTCCTTTGGAAAATGTTTAAATAACTTAAGATTTCCGTCATGAGTTTACTATTTCAAAACTTATTTTTTTAACTGCAAGATACCTTTTTATGTTACCAGGAGTGTTACCAGCTAGCTGCCAAAACCTGGTTGAAGTTCTCCCACTTTATATTGTAAATGATTACATAGTTTATTAGTAATTGTGTCCCCTGTCCACCCACTGGTCCATTTGGATGGGAAAATTTTCAAAATAACTTCATAAGAAAATGATAAGAAAAATGTGGTCACCGGTATCATGAGGAACTTCCAGACAGCTCAGCACAGAAAAGTTGGTTTTAAAGTCCTCGAAAACGTTACTGGTAATGAGCTTCCACTCCTTTAGTCGTTGTGCATAGATACACCACAGAGTAAGGTTATAAAAATAAAAGTTGTTTCAGGAAATTTCCCATTGCTTTATTACATGATCAATGAGAGTAAAGAGAAATGGAAGTTGACGGGATAGGAATGAGGGACCTGCTGGAAGAGTGATCACAATATCCAAAGGAAATTTAAAATGCCTGTTGAAAGTGACACACTGACTCAGCATTGTCACTAACACAGAATCACCACAATAAAACTGCCCTGCCCTGTGGCTCCTGGCACCTCATGTCTCTTTAGGTTAAGCAGAGAGAGGTCTGTGTTGCTTTGGAACAAGGTGCAGCCTCCCCCTAAGCTACAGAGAGGCTCTGAGCAAGGACCAGCCCCCAGGGTGCAGCCTTGCCCACCCTCCACAGGCTCCAGAGCAGATGGGGTGGCTCTAGAGAGCAAATGGTCAAAACTTCTAGCGCTAAATAGAGCTTTAACATGTCTCAGATACTAGCAAAATAGAGAAGCCTCAGATGGCTTTAGGTCTGGAAGTGTGTTGCTAAAAATGCTAAAAATTTAACAAACTTTTATAAATCCTTAAGAGATCTTTTTCAGTTTTCTGAAGTACCGTTAATTGCCCATGTGTTTCAACTTGCAGACAGGCAAGAATTTGGCTTTGTATGTTTAAAAATATGTACATCTTGGTTCATAATGATGATTTATTTCCAAAATGGTGACTCATACTAGGATTACATATAAAACATCATATGTGGGCCTTATATGTAATAATGTGTAAGTATAGTATATTAATTACTCTGACATAACATGGGCAGAGATTTGTATTAATTTATTTCTATTTCATCTAATCAATATTTTACTTAAGTCTAAAACCTTATATATATATTGACATGTATCATCGTATATATAAACATTGTATCTATTGAACTGAGCAATCTGTAGTTTATTTTAAATTCTGATACATTAAAGATGTGGAGAACTACATGAAATCATAGGAAATTTTTCATTCAAATAAAAATTGCAAAGAGCCATTCCTAAATGGCAACCTGGTTTTAGCTGCAAAGACAGAAAGTGATAAGAAGAGACCCCGAAAATATAAGTTATGCAAAATGTCAACTTATACATAGATGGCTAAACTCAGGGTTCACTGTCTGGACTTAGCAGAGAACATGTTTGCAGAAAAAGAAAATGGAGGCCGGGTGCAGTGGCTAATGCCTGTAATCCCAGCACTTCGGGAGGCTGAGGTGGGTGGATCACCTGAGGTCAGGAGTTTGAGACCAGCCTGGCCAATATGGTGAAACTCTGTCTCTACTAAAAATACAAAAATTAGCTGGGCGTGGTGGTGTGCGCCTGTAATCCCAGCTACTCAGGAGGCTGAGACAGGAGAATCGCTTGAACACAGGAGGCAGAGGTTGCAGTGAGTGGAGATCGCGCCACTGCACTCCAGCCTGGGAGACAGAGCAAGACTCCGTCTGAAAAAAAAAAAGAAAGAAAAGAAAAGAAACTGGAGACTAGTTATTATCATCAGGAAAGTCAAATGATGGAACAAATAGAAATGAGAATCTGTAGATAAAAATTATAGATTCACATAGCATCAATTCTAATTTCAAGTTTGATTGTCTGGTCCCAGTAGGCTCTATCTATAGTTCAATTACGATCAATGCTGTATTGACGTTGACAAAATCTGAAAAAGATGCTTCAATGAATGCTTAAGTTAAATAGGTCTCAAACAAAATAAGGAAAAGGAAAAGAAGAAATAAGAAGGAGGAGGAGAAGAGGAGGAGGAGGAGGGGAAAGAGGAGGGAGAATCAAGCTATCTATTTCATTAAAGCCATCTCAAGCAGCAAACTTTGGACTACATTGTCATCACTATACTAGAAATAGACTGTGTCTATACACTAAGTATACTGTAGCAGGTTTCCATTACTAGCCAGCCTCCAAGACCACTGACTTAATTTTCTGCTGTTTAGAGTCATGCATAATTTAAATTGATCAAATACTTTTCTAATGCTCTATTCCTATCCCAGATGTAATATACCTTTCTATTCCTTGTCAAATCTTAAGAAATAGTAGCCCTAAGGATGCAAAGTTGCTGAAAGTGCATCAAGGCAAGAAACAAATTCCTCTTCCCTTTATTCCACAAACACTGTCCTCACCGACCTGAGGTTTCCAGCAAGGGAACTGTATATCAAGCAGGCACAGGAATTGCCCCTGGTGTTCAGGATTTACAATCCAAGAAACAGCATGTTAGCAAAAGTACTCCCCTAAAAAGTCATCTTGGCTTGTTTTGATTAAGTCTATTTCCTTTTTTATTTATAGTAGAAGAGGTGCCGGACAACTCGTATGAAAGCATACCGTATCTCTTGCCTTCTACAGAACATGCAATTGTTTCCTACCCGTGGATCTCGTTTCTAAATGAACATTTATGGTCCTCCATAATCTGTCTCTGCTTTCTTCTGCTCATATTTATCTTCCTGTACTTCTCAAAATGAATCCTAAGTTCTAACCAGGACAATTTTCTAACTGTTTTTCCTACTTACTCTTGTTCTCTTTTTTTTTTCTCTTTTGAGACAGGGTCTTGCTGTGTTGCCCAGGCTAGAGTGCAGTGGCATGATCTCAGCTCACTGCAACCTCCGCCTCCTGGGTTCAAGGGATTCTCCTGCCTCAGCCTCCCGAGTAGCTGGGATTGCAGGCTACACCTGGCTAATTTTTGTATTTTTAGTAGAGATGGGGTTTCACCATATTGGGCAGGACATCCAGTGATGTGCAGTCTGGGACTAGGATGGCAGTTCCATGACGTTGCCAGAGCCCAGGTCCTCCGATTGTTCTGACCAAGCACCCTGAGGAAGTGGCTTTTGTCCTCACAGTGTCCTCATGGTTGTAATCCACCTGATACTCCTCCTATATCCCATACACAGGCACGGAGGACGAGCCAATGGCCGAAAACTTCCTTCTCCAAGGCTTTGCCTTTTAATTAGAGAAGAGAACCTTTCCCAGGAAGTTCTATGTACATATTATTGGCAAAGACTGCCTGCCCTGCTACCTACCTTAAGCTACACACAAAAGCTGGGAGATTGAATATTCAGCTTCCCAGTGTCTAAGACAAGGGAACACAAGGGGCTGGGAGATTGAGATGCATGTTGAATAAGCCAACCTATAGTATTTGCTGTACCTTCATAGTCAGCTTATAAACCTATACATTTATCAAAGAATTCGCCCTAAATCTACCCTTGAAAAAACTGCATTAACTGTGGATATTCACAAGGACATGTCATGGACTCTGCAGGCAATTCCAAAAAAGAAAATGCAAATATAATTTGTACAATAGCAGCAACATTGAAATAATTATTCAGATTCCAAGAGCAACTATATTAAAATGGACCACATTCATCTAAACAGATGTCTTCTTAAATGTTTGGGCTTTAAACCAAGTCGGCATGTCACTGCAGAGTGGCGTGTTTACTATATTATTCCCACAGGATGCATATGCACACATGTGGGTTTCTTGAAAAGGTAGGAAGCTCTTTGAGGGTGGCCTGTGCTCTGTGCCTTTTTGTTACCTCTATTGTACCCAGAAGGGTTCACGATAGAATACACTGAGGTGTACAATTTAACTCACAAATGGACAGGGTGATAGGCAGCCACAGATTTTTGCTGGGCACTTAGGGCATCTTATTTTATATTTTTTTGTTTGTCTTTTGTTTTGTTTTGTTCTTTTAGACAGAGCCTCTCTCTGTCACCCAGGCTGGAGTTCAGTGGCGAAATATTGCTCACTGCAACTTCTGCCTCCCGGATTCCAGCAATTCTCCTGCCTCAGCCTCCCGAGTAGCTGGGATTATAAGCGCATGCCACCACACCTGGCTAATTTTTGTATTTTTTGTAGATACGGGGTATCACCATGTTGGCTAGGCTGGTCTTGAACTCCTGACCTCAAGTGATCCACTGGCATTGGCCTCCCAAAGTGCTGGGATTACAGGTGTGAGCCACTGCACACCCGGCCTACTTAAGGCATCTTAATATTATAGTTGCACCTAGCAGAGTTCTTGTATGTGGTAACTACTCAAGTCTTTTCTGTATTGGATAAGGCAATTCATCTGCCATAGGCTAAACAGGGGTGACCCTTTTTCTGAGAAACTGCTCTAGAAATGTGTGCTAGACACTTCTGACATTTCTCATTTTCTAGCTATTTAGTTGTCAACTTCTTTGAGTAGGGAATACATATAAGTAAAAATAGAAAGAGCAGCAGCATTGCACAGCTCCACAGGCATCATTCTTATCGGAGCTGACGTGAGGGGCATCTCCGGAGCTGTGCTCTGTATGACCCATGTGGCTGTATGCAGCAGGCCTTTGGGAATACTGCAAGGGACATGGCCTGTACCGTCCTTATGCATTTAACGATGAACGATGGCTTAGAAAGAAAAAGTATTCTGCAGGATCAAACCTCAATTCAAAGAATGCTTTGCTATTAGATCCGTGGCTAATTAGACCCATTTTACGCATCATATGGCAAACAAGTGTTCTTTCTCCCTTCGATGAAATAACCTGTAAAGCAGATGAATTTTGACATTTCTCATTGAGACACCCAGGATGGTGAGGAAGACCAACAACACTGTCCACAATGCTGCCCTGTGATGTGCAGGATAAATGTCAGATGTGAATTCGGATTTGATTCAAGGTCTCATGAAAGCTAAATGCCACTCAGAACACCAGCTCACCCTTGTGAATTCTGACGTCAGTGTTAGGCGCCACTGAAGCCCCCTGGTTTCTACTTTTAGAGGAGTCCAGTTGCAGTATGTAGGTCAAGCAGCTCAAGAATGTCAACTGCAAAAACTTTGAGGGCTTTTGTGAGCCAGTTCCTGTCACGACGGTAGCTCAAAGTTGGCCATGATGAAACTATTTACACCAAAGAAAACCACAAATCAGTGGGTTGTTTTTTTTTTTTTTGAACTGGTTGGAAAACGTTTATGAATGCACCACTGATCATGTGTAAAATGAGAAAGCAGCTGCAGCCTCATTGTTACCTGGGCAGAAACACCCAGGTCACAGTCAAAAAAGCCAGGGTGTGCTAATAGAAAATCATTAAACTCTAGGAAATAGAGTCAAATGACAAGTATTCAGCATCTACAGATGTTCTACCCCATGCTGAGTCCTGCAGAGATGAAATAGAAAGCTCAAAGCCAATTCTCTGACTTTAAAGAGCTTTCGACTGACTGACTTCAAACTATGATCATATTCCTAAGAGCAAACACTCAACGAATCCTGGCTGTGTGCCAAATGTCTGTCACCTCATTTCATCCTGAAAACCTGATGGCATTGTTCCTGTTATTAGCCTCATTTTGTAGATGAAGAAATGGAGGCTTAGAGAATCTTAGTCTATCATTCAAGTTTGCACAGGAAGTGAGCAGAGCTGGGAGCCAGCCCCAAGCAGACAGAAGCACCTGATGGTGACCCCCACAACCCAAGAGCACAGTGCAAGTGAGGGCGGGTCCACGCCAGGGCTGTGTGTGTGGATCAAGGGATACCCCAGAGACACAGGAGAAGGACAGACCCGACCGAGAGGAGGCAGGAGGCCACAGGGATGAAGGCAGAAGAAAAGTACAGAGCTGGGGTGAGCATGGGGTGGATCCCAGGCCATCTCAAGGATCTCCTCCAAATGGGCCTTCAGAGGCAGATGTGACATCACCTCCCCATGAGAAGCTGCCAAAAGGCAATGCTTGGGCAACCAGCTCCTCTACAGTGGATGAAGGAGAGTGAATCTAAACACATCGCTATGAAATTTCCCTTTCCTTAGAAACTCTAAGTCAGTGCTCCAAATTCTCATTCCCCACAATTAAAATTGAACTAAAACTAATGTTTGTTTCAGTGTACCAAAGCATATTTTAATAAGATAATTACAAAAAGTCTGCTGGTAGAAATTACACTTTGCATTCATGTCATGGTTTAAAGCTGATGCTGCTGGAAATTGTAAGACTCTAGTCTAGTATATCTAAAAACAGATTAAGTACTAATTAATGATTTCCTCTCTTTAGTGAGCCTGACATCTCATTAACTAATTATCATCAATCTTTAACTTTTTCAAAGCATGATGTTCTGCCTGCCAAGGTTCTGTGGGCTGTCTTCTTAACACTGTGGTACAATTCTCCACCCTGGCTCCAGCATAGCAAAGCTGTGCTACATGGAATCAGATACTCTGTGAGCCAGGCTACACCCTCTGAGATGCATGAACGCCACACAGAAAAGCTTTAGTGAAATAGCTGCTAAAGTAGTTACAGTGCTTTCCCTGCCCACAAATGCCAGAACTAACCAGGGCTCAACTGGCTGTGCAGATGCACAGTAGACAGAGAGAGGAGAGTCCTTTGTCTGTGATGGGCGGGGACAGTGCAGTGGGAAGGGGGCTCTCCCAGCTTCCTTTCTTTCCTCTGACATCAGATATTTAGAAAGCAATTCCACTATTCCACAATTCCACTTTGGAAATGTTTCTTGACTCAGTTTCAGCAAGACACTAAATTAGAACACAATCATCCCTGCTTTTGACTTATTAAAGGAATGACAATTTAATATTATCAAAGAAACAGACTAAAATCTAAGTTCAAGATCACTCATTGAAGCATTTTTTATAATAATGAATATTTAGAAACAATATAAATGGCTAAAATCAAGTAATAATTTATTTTTATCATGACATCATATATCATATAGCTATTAAAAAGCATGTATTTGGCCGCGTGCGGTGGCTCACACCTATAATCCCAGCACTTTGGGAGGCCAAGGCGGGCAGATCATGAGGTCGAGACCATCCTGGCTAACACGGTGAAACCCCGTCTCTACTAAAAATACAAAAAAAAAAAAAAAATTAGCCGGGCGTGGTGGTGGGCTCCTGTAGTCCCAGCTACTCAGGAGGCTGAGGCAGGAGAATGGCGTGAACCTGGGAGACAGAGCTTGCAGTAAGCCAGATCACGCCACTGCACTCCAGCCTGGGTGACAGAGTGAGACTCCATCCTCCCCCACCAAAAAAAAAACATGTATTTGAAGACTATCAAATCTCATGGGGAAAATGTCACAATGTAATGTCAGGTGAAAAAAAGCAAAATATAAACTTTATTATTTCAAGTTTAAAACAAAATTTATGGGTGTTTCTGTGTATATATATGTGCACATGTATATGTAAATAGTGATATTTTGTGTATTGCCAATATTAAATACATAACATATTTTAGCATATAAATATTATGTAATCTATATTTATATATAAATAGTATAACAGATATTTGTAATAATATGTGTTTAATGTATATTTCATATTGGATACGTAAAATTTTGCTAGTTATTTCTGAGAAGTTGCTTTGCAGAGGAATTTTATATTATTCTTCCTATTTTGAAATATTTCTTAATTCTCTATAATAAGCACATATAATTGTATAGTTAGAAAAACATTTAAGAACGCTTGGATTAATTTGGTAACCAGCACACTCTTCCTAGACATAAATATCTCATAACACTTCACTCACTGCTTCCCTAACAAACTGACTGTTCCTCTTGCTACACTTCTGTGACCGTGGGCGCCATTTCTGGCCTGCTCTCACCCTCCCTGGCTGTCTGTGAAGGCTGATGTGTCCCCATCAATCCAGTGCACATAATTGGAGCTCCGCACACCCTCACATGCTCAACTGTGCTCCAACCAGCAGGCAGGGTAGAGACAGTGTTATATGACAAACAAGTGAAGCTGAACTGTCTCTGGATATTAGACGAAAAAAAATTGGGTTTGCCCTTGGCTAGGGACCTATTCCACCAATTTATCACCAATTAGCTCCCTCCACCACACTCACTCATCCCTGAGGCTGGCTCAAAGGAAACATGAATGCCTGAGCTGTGGGTACTGCTGCTTCTAGAACAGTGTAAAGCTTTGTCCATGAGCATCTGTATCAAAGTCACCTGTGATCCTTTTAAAAAGTGAAGTTTCCAAGCCCTGTGTCAGACCTACAAACCAGGGCAGTTTTCTTACTGTCAATGAAAAGCAGAGCTTTTAAAAGAATGTACTTGAACTGAATACATGAAAATGAAACCCAGTATGAAGTCACCCTGAGTCACTCTGGGGACTTGAAAGGCAGGTCTCCTGGGACAGAATGAGTGCCAAAGCCCAGGAGAGATGGGGAGAGGGGCATCCACCAGGCAAGCCGCTGCCCCTGGAATTCCGATTTAATAAGCAGACTAGGGCTTGTGCACACCAGAGGGTTGCATGACTTTTCAGAGGCGAATCACAGCACCCGTCCGGAAGAGCGAAGGAGCAAGAGAGGGTTAACATGGCCTAGACTGGATAAAGATGACTGGGCATTGCAGTCACCTACAACCCAAGTGCTGACTAACAGCCAGGCTCTCTGTGTGGTCCTAACTTCAGCATCATTCTGGCAGGGATTTTGGGCAGCTTCAACCCAAAGAAAGTCCATGGAGAAGGCTTGGTCATCATCAGTTCCACTGGGTTCTTCTGGAATCCTGATTCTTGCCTTATTGGCTCATAATTCACATCCTTGAAAGAATTCCAGAATACCTGTGTCCACTTAATTTACTAAATCCCTAGTATTGGACTCTGAGAAGTTAGACGTCTAGAAATAATAGAGCTTTATTGGGATGTCCCACATAAGAATCACATTAAATAGCCCTGAGTTGGTGGATAAAAAAGCATAGAATCATAATACGTGAAATGTTTAAAATTACCTTATAGTTCATGTATATTTCATTCATTTTGGTATGCACTCAAAAAATATTTATCCAGCACCTCCAACATGCCAGGTACATGAGGATCCATAGTGAATGAAGATAAACCTGGTTTCTGTCCTCAAGGAGTGACGTTCAGAGCGGGAGGCAAGGAGGAATCGAATGAGCATATGAGCTAATATAAAACTGCAATGCTGACATGAGCTAGGAAGGAAAGGTCCTGCCCTGGGAGAGTCAGGAGTGGGGGCCTGCTCAGTCCAGGGAGGCCTGAGGAGGCTTTTGTGAGGAAATTGCACTTGAGCTGGGGGCAGGAGGCTGAGTAGGGGCTGACCAGACAAAGGGGCAGTAATAGCACTGTGGCAGAAAGAAGTTAGTGGAGCTAGAAGTTGGGGGGTGCCCAGGTGAGGTGAGGTGGGAAGAGGGTCTGAAGAGGCAGGATACCCAGACTAGGACAGGTTTGGAGCCTAAGGAAGGGGAAGGGGCTTGTCTTTTATTCCAAGAGCAGAGGAAGACACTGAAGGTGTCCATTGGAAAAGTTTGACCTGTGATGTGAGAACAGATGTGGAAGAAGTGGTTGTCAAAGCAGCAAATTACATAAATCAATTAGGACTTGCAACTTGCAACATTTCAGGCAAGAGAGAGTGGCCACTCAGACTATAGTGGTCACGGGAGGCAGGTGGTCCGTAGATTGCTTTGAAAGATCTATTCTCAACTTCTCAATGCAGAAATGAGGACAGGTGTCTACAGAAGTCAGCTGGCCTCCCCAAAGTCCAACATCTAGATGGGGGTACATGGGCTGGAACCCAGTCCCATGACCCCAGCACTGGAAGCAATGAAAAGTCAAGTAACATTAAAATAAATGTTCATGGCCAGGCACTGTGGCTTGCACCTGTAATCCCACCTACTCAGCAAGCTGAGATGGGAGGATTGCTTGAGGCCAGGAATTTGAGACTAGCCTGGGCAACATAGCAAGACCCTGGCTCTATAAAATAATTAATTAATGAAATGTTCTTCTTTGATGCATTGGTCTTTTATAATGATATGGCCAAGTCAGCCAGAATTAGACACAAGTGGAACACAACAAAATGCGAGTAATGGTGTTCAAGTCACCTCGCCGATAAAGCCCCAGCAGGCACGTATCCTCACCAAAGCTTATCTGGTTTTTAATCTTTTTGTTGCCCAGGCTGGAGTGCAGTGGTGTGATCTTGGCTCACCACAACCTCTGCCTCCCGGGTTCAAGCAATTCTCCTGTCTCAGCCTCCCAAGTAGCTAGGATTACAGATGCCAGCCACCACGCCAAGCTAATTTTTGTATTTTTAGTCGAGATGGGGTTTCACCATATTGGTTAGGCTGTCTCAAATTCTTGACCTCAGGTGATCCACCCACATTGGCCTCCCAAAGTGCTGGGATTACAGGCATGAGCCATCATGCCTGGCCTGGTCCTTAATCTTTATAACCACAAACCTATCATATGTGAATGTAGTACTTTGTATTTTAAAAAAATAATCTAATATGTATGATTTCATTTGGTACATGTGACCTGTGAGGGCACTGGTGTTTCTCACACCCCTACCTACCACTGGTAACTGAGAAACCTAAAACACAGAGAAGCAACCTGCCTGTGGTTGCAAAGCCAATAGTAAGAGAACCTGGATTCCTGCTTCTGGGCTCCACATTTTCCTGCTAAAATGTGCTATTTCTAAGGTTTACCCTCAATGCTTTCCCACAACCACGATTCTACTCTTTCAAAATGATGCCAAAAATGTCAATAGACTACAAGAGAGTCACACAGATGATGAGGATGATGCTGACAGTTATGCCTTAGCAGCATGCTTACTGGACACAAATAGTGTCTGATTTAATTTTTACAATAAACCTGTGAGACAGGTGGCATCATTATGCCAGTTTCACAGATGAGAAAACCAAGGCTCAGAGACATTAAGTAACTCAAGCCCAGCCAGTTTATAAGTAGCAGAGAACAGATTCAAACCAGATCTGACTCCAAGACCTGACTTCAACCAACAACATCTATTTCCCCTTGTCTAGGGAGCCTGAGGATCTCAGCCACTTCCTATTTGGTCTATACAAGAGTCACACATGAAACAAGCTTGGTGAGCACAAGCAGTTTCATGAAATTTTTCTGATCTCTTTATTGCTTGTTCCTTCACACACCTAACAGACCTAAAATCATATTTATACGAACTATTTTGTCAAGGTACATGTCACATAAATAGACCATGAACACTCATCTCCAAAAAAAATACGTCATTGAGAATTTTCTTTCCGTTTTTTGTTTTTGTTTTTTGAGACAGGGTCTCACTCTGTTGCCCAGGCTGGAGTGCAGTGGCACTATCTGGGCTCACTGCAGCCTCGACCTCCCAGGCTCAAGTGATCCTCCCACCTCAGCCCTGTAAGTAGCTGGGACTACAGGTGAGCTTCACCATGCCCAGATAATTTTTTTTGTATTTTTAGTAGAGACTAGTAGAGACATGGGTTTTGCCATGTTGCCCAGTCTGGTCTTGCACTCCAGAGCTCCAGCAATCCACCAGCCTCGGCCTCCCACAGTGCTGGGATTACAGGCATGAACCATAGCGCCTGGCAAGATATTTCTTTTTGAACTGCATCTTCTGTTACAGTAAGTGGAAGTGTCTGGCTTGGACAAGTTTATGTGACATTACATAGGATGGATTACGAGGAGGAGCAATTTGGGGGTTCAGGGTACTGTTTGGTTACTTGAGATGGGATAATTGTGATGTCATGAATGTTTGTTCTGTACTGATGGCTTCACAAATAAGGCTGAATACTTTGCTAAAATTGCTGCAAAGATCAATCAATCATAAAACATCCATCCAATCCCAGGATCCTGACTGATTCCAGCTCAGATATTAACTAAATCTGGGAAGGACAGTGGAGAGCCAAAACTAAGTTAGGAAGAAATATAAATATGTCCAGAAACTAGGCAATCTTGTATGAGCAATGTCAGTGTATTCAAAAAAGTCACTAAAAGCAATAAATAAGTGACAAACCTTATCATCTAAACTATAGAAGTTTTGATAGTGAAAAAGAGTTCTATTAATAACTATCAGGACAACATAAACTGAGCTGTTCCAGAAAATAATTTGTAAGATCACTCTTGTTAGGTAGAGAGAGGGTGGGCTACAGAGAAATACACATCAAAATAAGTGTGTATAACTGAGAAACAGTTATGAATGAGGAAACAATGGTGTGACAAGAAAGTTAAGATGAAATGCTAGTACAGTCACAAGGTCACAGAAGTCCACAGGTGAAGAGAGTCAATTGAGCTGCTCAGAGACAGAGGAAGAATTGACTGGAAGCTAAAATGCTTAACCTTCAAGACACCTTCCAAGATTTTAGCAATTTGTTCACATGATTCTATATCTCATAAAGTAAGGAAAAGTGGTCGGGCATGGTGGTTCATGCCTGTAATCTCAGCACTTTGGGAAGTGGAGATGGGAGGATTGCTTGAGCCCAGGAGTTCAAGGCCAAGAGCTATGATTGTACCACTGCACTCCAGCCTGGGTGACAGACTGAGACTCTGTTTCAAAAAAAACAATAAAAAAGAAAGAAAGAGTAAGAAATGTCTGTATTCTTTTACTTAAAGATGCTCCACTAAGTTGTAGGAGCATAAGGCTCCACAACAGCTGTATGCATTCGGCTTGCAAAGCTGATTCTTCTACGTGGATGCCACTGGGCTCCTAGACTTCAATGCCAGTCTTAGACCACTAGAAACAAAAGGTTTTCAGAAATACCAACATTACTCCTTTAAATTCTTAAATTTTTCTCAGGCCACAATTATCAGAAGTGGGCTGAGCAGTCAGCGTTAGAGAACTCACACACGCTGCACCAAACTAGCCATGGAAATGTCACTGACTGAGTGGTCCATGGAAGAAGTTATGCCCTGAACTCAAAAGAGAGGGTTGGAGGAGCTCTAGATGAGTATGCCTAATGTCCCAATATCCAAGCGATTCTGCTGGTCTTCTCTGTGGATGAAGCCAGATACTATCCATCAGTTTTGAAAAGTCTCACTTAACTGTCTTAGGACAGGTATTCCCCAGTACCTAAGGGTCAGCTCAGGAGCTTCCTCCCAGTGGTGCCGAGCAAACTCTCCCTTTTACCCACACCCCTTGAACCACAAAGAGGCTCTGAAGACTGAAGAGCAGGAGAAGAGGAAGAAGAGTTGGAATTTTCTAGAAAAGGTCTTGGGATACTCCAGAATCAAATGCCAGCCTGTGCTGAAGCAAAAAAAAAAAAAAAAAAGACCCGTAATCTGACTCACTTTCTTAAACTGAGCCAGTGGAGGGAAAAGGGGAGATGACAATTTCTCCCTCAGAACAATGAACCTCTGAGAGCTGAGTGGGAGGAATTAGTGACAATAACATGATGTCTGTCAACTTTTGAAAAATTGGAATCAGGAAATCCAAAAGTAAAGTTGAAAGAAGACAAATTAGGTATATCAAGATTTGACACATTACTGAACACCTGCTAATGAAAAAAGAAGTATTTACTTTTAATTTTTTATTGTCTTTATGCATAATACTTTTAAAAATCACATAACATTTGCATAAAAGCATAAAGAGTATTTTTTAAAACTTTGCTTCTAACATGGAAAAGAATAAAATAGCCGTATGAAGCTCATCCTCTAAAAGAGACAGTAGCTTGCTCTTGAGTCTTAGTTTTTTCGTTTTCTACAGCTTTCCTAAATAATTCAGATAGAGGATCCTTAACATGCCAATTGTGAGAGCTGTTGCTGTTCTGTTGGAAGTTTTAAGAAATGATTGTAGTAAAGCCAGAGATGTAGCAAGGAAGCAAAAGTGCAGATGATTTTCCAATTTGAGTATCTTTCTCAAGGGATTGAAATTCAATTTGTCAGGATAATAGACTGAGTCATTTTCTGTGGTCAACAGATGTGACAAAGCCACATAGCCACATGGCTTCTTAAATGTGACTGGACATTTAATAATGCTAATGCCAGTGATCACTTAGAGATAATCAGTAATTGCTTCAGGAGCAGCCATGAAACCTACATACCCCAGAACACCTCATTCGAAGATCCTCACTGGCAGTGCACGTTCATATCCAAACCGGGGGCCTAGTTTGGAGCACTTGGGCCACATGGGAGGCAGTCTAGAGTTCAATAATCCTCAGTTTCAATTTCCTCTGCTTCTTACGAGTTTTATAACTTTGAGCCAGTTACATAACACCTCCAGTACTCAATTTGGTGTGTTGTGTGGAACCAATGAGGTAAACACTTAGCATTCAACCCAGCACCATATAAGCCCTAGAATGCTAAGAAACTTCAAGGAAATGGCTTTCTGACTTAAGCAGAATGTATGAGAAGGTTTTCTTATCCAAGTTAAGTCTTTTACTCATCCTTCAAGTTATCCTGGCAAAGGAAATAACTCAGGTCAAATATCTCTGTGAACATGTAGAGTCTTGATAATTAATTGAGCAATTATCTTGGAAGCATCTACATTAATGAAGCATCGAAATGTTGGCAGCTAAACAACACATTTCTTGTGAACCATAGATATCCCAAGGTCCGAATTCTAATTGTAATTATCCAGATTCCTAGACTCCCTTTGTCTCTCTCATGCTTAATGTTGGGAACTCTACTCTGCATCTCATTCTCATATTCTTTCTTTCTAGGAAGGAAGAGGGAAAAGTGAGAAAAAAGAGGAAAAGTTCCCAAAGCAATCAACTTTATTCTTTGTGAATAGCTTTCTAAAATGCACTAGAGCTACTATTCAATATCATGTTGATGATTTTGGCCAATGTAATAAGACAAGAGAAGCAATTAGTAGTCTAAGAATTAAAAAGAGGTATTTGCATGTGATAAAATTATACATCCGTAGCGTCCCCCTAAAAAATAAATCAGTGGAAAACCAGTATTAACAATAAGATAATTTATTATAGTAGTTTAAATGGATACTTTCAAAAATAGCTCTCACATGTAAAACAAAAATCAATTGAAAATTAATGGGAAATTATAATGGGAAAGATTCTATTTACATTTAGAAAAGAAAACATTGGGCATAACTTTAACACTAAGATTAAGAAGTATATAAAGCCTATATGAGGAAAATCATAAAACACTCCTAAAAACTACAGAGCCTACTTAGTGGAAAATGGGAAGACATGCAGTATACCTTGGCAGAAAAACTCATTATCGTAAAGATGTAAATCATCCCTAAGTTGATTAACAAGCTTAATGCCATCTCAGTACAATATCAACAGTCTTTTATCTCTAAAGCTAGAGAAAGTGGTAACAAAGTTCATTTGGAAGAACAAACAAGCAATAATAACTACAAAAGCCCCAGGAAAGGAGCACAGTGGGTTGGTTGTGGGGGGAAACTTTTCCTACTGTGTATAAAATGACATTACAAATTATTGTTACTGTATGAATGATAAAGTCTATATAATTAAAAATAGCATAATATTGGTTCACAGACAAACTAATGTGATAAAATAGAAAATCCAGAAATAGGCATGGTTGTATGTGGAAATTTAATGCATGTAAAAAAGCAGAATTTCAAATCAATGGGGAAAGGATGGCCTTCTTGACAAATAATATTGGGATAACTCAATAGCAATGTGAAAAGTGATAATATAGGATATATTTCTTATAATAGACACCAGGGAAATTCAAAATAGTTTAGAGATTGAAATGTAAAAAATGAAACCACACAAATATGAAAAGAAAACAGAGATGAATTTCTTAATTACCTGAAAACGCATAAGTATTCCTAATCATGATTCAAAACACAGAGGCAACAAGGAGAAATAGTGATAAATTTAGCTCTGTGAAATTAAAACACATTTACAGTAGCAAAGTATAAAACAAATGACAATCTAGAGAAGTATATTTGCCACATGTAACAAACACAAAGAGCTAACTAATATCCTTAATTTACAAAGGCTTCTAAAAGTGGAGAAAAGACCAACAACCTGATAGAAAAAAATGGGCGAGAGGTAACAATAAAAAATTATTTTAAAAAGAAACACAAATGACACTTAAACATATAACAAGATGCTCAATCTTGCTCATAAAAAGTAAATGTAAAGTAAAATTTACTCTTCTAACAAACTGGCAAAAATCCAAATATTCTACCAGTAGCTACAACATGTACAAGGAGAAATAAACAGGTACAAAAATCCATAGAAATTTTTTCCAGTTCTTTACATGCCAGATGGAGTTGCCTGCTCTCACTTAACCAGAAGGACAAGAAGGCTGTAAAACCCAAGATAGTAAAAAAGTTTGGCTCAGCAATAATGTTGCATCATGTCCAAGACTAATTCTTTTTTTAAATGTTCAGTTTAAGTAGTAATAAAGTCAGTGGAGATGAAGTTTGGCTTTTATTTAGTCAACCAACATTGATTATCTACCATATGCCAGACCCCATCTCCTTTCCCTGTTAAAATCAATATCTTTGCAGAAACACTAATGTTATCAGCATGTCCTGGATATGCAAAGAGAAGAGGCAACTGGAGAGAACTACCCACAAGAGAAGGAGGAGAAAAGGTGCAGGAATGGACAGAAACTGGCCAATCATGAGGCTGAATAAGTGGCCCTAAGTCCTACCCTGCTGAAATATTCCTGAAAATGGTGTGAAGACTAGAAAAACCTCTTATCAAAATTCTTCAGTGGTTGTTTCTTTCCCTTGTCCTCAAAACTGAGATTATTACAATATCTTTCTTGTTTATTCAGTACCTACACCTGGGATTTCCAGGCTCCTTACAATGGCATCCATCTCTGCTGATAACCACCGTGCTTGGAACTCTAGCAAGACTGTGGCAACCCTGGGCAACATAGTAAACAGAGGGCAAAATAGTGGCCCTCTGTTTGAAGCAGAAGCCGTTTCACATTAGATGTTGCCTATGTTCCAGTGGCACATAAAATCCCACATTAAACAAGACATCATTTTGTTGTACATCTTTCATCATTACAGTTGGGTAAGGAGGTTGGGGAGATTTTGTCTCTCACCACCTCTCAGGAAGTTGGATGTCAACATATGAACCCCTCCCCTCTGTTACCAAGGGTGAGAGATATTGTAAGTATTCTGAAATGAGACACAGTTTGAAAAAAAAAAAAGGAAATGTTTTCTATCAAAAAACCCTATCTCAACTGGACAGATTTGGAATGCAAGGGAAGTTTCCTGAAATATGCACTTCTCTAATTCAATCTGGTACACTTGAATCAGATTTGCAGGATAATTGGCTCTTTTGGACATTTAAAAGCAAAATAGCCAGGTTTGCTAATAGAAGATCAGGTGTTGGGTCTTTCAAAATATTATTCACAGTCATTAAAACAGTTCCAGTAAAAACACTCTAGGACGATGTCGTGCCTGTTAGGCAGTGCTGTGAGATTAAACTGACAGGCATAGATAGCATCACAGGCATCTGCCGGCTGCCAGCACCAGGAGGGGAAGCTCCCAAGGCCTCCATAGGATTTTCCAGAACTCTTGTCCAGGGCCCCATCCTTTGGCCAAGAAAAACAAAGAAGTAGGGCTTTTATGTGAACTGAAGGAGAACTTGAAAAGAAAATGCCCTAAAATATGGAATACCCTGATGGTTCCAAGTTAGATATGTTTATAACTTTAGAATTTCTTCTTCTTTTAAGTATAGAGTCTTTCAACGAAGTGATCCCCTTGGGGTGTTAGGTGTACTTGAACTCACCCTAACAATAAAATGAAAGAACAGCCTAGCTGGAAGTCACCACTCTCAGCAGCCAAGAATAAAGGTTTTATTTTCTCCCTTGATCATTACCCAAGTTTGCTTTTGATAGATCCCACTCACCAGGGTTTGCCATATTGGCCTATTACAAGGGATGTTTATTTTCTTCCAAATGCTATCATATGCCTTAACTCCACAGTGGCAGCAAGAAAGAAATGTGTGATTGGAAACTGTAGGCACATTGCAGACGTGGATGGATGATTGCCACAGAACAAAAGGAGGCGGGAAGCCAGAGCGGCGTCGCTTTTCCACTGGGGGTAGAAACCCAGACAGTCCTGTGGCGAGATAAGCCCAAACAAACCTTTCTTTCAAAACACATTTTATTTTTTTAAAGATCCATTGTAAGAGCTATTCATATCATATTTTTAAAAATTTTCCTGATTTCCTCATGAGACTCATTCTTAACCATCAGAAATTCATTTTCAGGGGTTTTGTGCTGCAAGATGCAAGACACAGTTACATTAAAAATGTTGTCACACTCAAGGGAAAATGCAGCAAAGTAGTTCACAAAGCCACACAGCACCATCCACCGTATAATTTTTCCATTCTCTATTACTTCCACTGATGAAGTACACTTCCTTCCTCCTTAACCACCCAGAACAGGATTATGTGTGAGACACGCTTCTTTTGTGACCCATAATCAGACTTCTGAAAATCTTTGCAATCATCTTGCCTGCAAGGAGCTAGGTTAGTTTTCGTAAAAGTTGCATGATGCTTTTTTAGTTGATTTAACATTTTTTTGGAAGTACCTATGATTTTTTTTTAAGAGACAGAGTATCAATCTGTTGCCCAGGTTGGAATGCAGTGGCACAATTTTGGCTCACTGCAGCCTCAACCTCCTGGGATCAAGCCACCCTCCTGCTTCAGCCACCTGAGTAGCTGGGACCATAGGCACATGTCACCATGCCTGGAAAATTAAAAAAAAAAATTCATGGAAGTAGGGTCTCACTATGTTGTGTATGCCGGTCTTGAACTCTTGGCCTCAAGTAATCCTCCTGCCTCAGCCTCCCAGAGTGCTGAGTTTACAAGTGTGAGCCACAATGCCTGGCTGTATCTATGATTTTTACTCCCTGTTCTTATGTACCTATCATTATAGGTTTAATTATAGAATACTTTAATGATGCTATGCAGAATTTGAGATTGTACTACTTGGGTTTGAAGAGGAAGAGAGTGCAAATGCATACAGTTTAACAATTCTGTAAAGATGTGCCTGCATGTAGATTTTGTTGTTGAAACAGGGAATAGAAAGTTACAAACTGGGTGGAAATTCCACCACATCTAGGAATGCAACAAGCAGCTTAAGATGAAAGAAAATTCCAAATGGCTTTGGGCATTTTTCTGGCTTTATCTCCAGTTTGATTTTTAGTGATCTGCTCATAGCTCTTAGTCATAGATATTACATATATTCTTTTGTATAGATATTTTAGTACATTTCCTTGTAGAGGTGTTTTGTGATTTAAAAAAAGTGTTAGTGCTATATCTTTTTATTAAAAGATACATAGTACAAAGGAAAATTGGCACTGACTGCAGACATGTTGATTGGAAACATGGTCAGGCTATTATTTCAAAGACGAAGGTAAAATCTAAGTAGATGTTTTATAGACTGTCACTTGCCAGGACATGTTACAGCTCCTCAGAAAAAAACACATGAAACTGAAATCACAATTCTTTGTTTGTTCAAAAAAGATAGAAAATATATCAAAGTACATTTTTTACTGTGTTATTTCCTAAACACAGGAAGTAGAATTATTCTGTCACAGAAAATATAATCCTCAATATATTTATTTGCAGGTTAAAATTCTTGCTAACTGCTTATAACAGCACACATATCATTTAGGTTCTTCAAAAAGTTCATGGAAATTCATATTATGAAAAAACTATGCAAAGATTTCAAAACTTGTTTACACTGAAATAAACTTGTGCTAACTTGTTATACATATATGAATAGGATCTAGTTTGCGTTATTAAGAAGAATAAGATCTCAGTTTGAAAAGCATCCCTATCAGAGCAACATGAATTCTGCTGAACTTGATGGAAGAACAAACATCAAATTTATCGTGAAGCTTGGGTGGAAGAATGGTGAAGTCACTGATGCTTTACAAAAAGTTTATGGGGACAATGCCACAAATAAATCAGCAGTATACAAATAGATAACTCGTTTTAAGAAGGGACAAGATGATGTTGAAAATGAAGCCCACAACAGCAGACCATTCATATCGATTTGACAGAAAAAATTCATCTTGTTTATATCCAAACTGAAGAGGACAGATGATTAGAAAATGAAACAATAGCCAACACCATAGATATCTCAAGTGATTCATCTTACACAATTCTGACTGAAAATTAAAGTTGAACAAACGTTCCACTCTATGGGTGCAAAAACATTGCATGACAGATCAGCTGCAGACAAGAGCAGAGCTTTCAATGGAAATTTTAAACAAGTGGGATCAAGATCCTGAAACATTTCTTTGAACAACCGTCACAGGAGATGAAACATGGCTATACTATGTTTGAAGTATGATCCTGAAGACAAAACACAATCCAAGCAATGGCTACCAAGAATTAGCAGTGGTCCAGTCAAAGCAAAAGTGGATCGGTCAAGAGCAAACGTCATAACAACAGTTTTTTGGGGGATGCTCAAGGCATTTTCCTTGTTGACTTTCTGGAAGACCAAAGAATGATAACATCTGCTAATTATGAAAGTGTTTTGAGAAAGTTAGCCAATGCTTTAGCAGACATATTCCCAGAAAAGCTTCAACAGAGAATCCTTCTCTACCTCGACATACTCCTGCCCATTCCTCTCATCAAACAAGGGCAATTTTATGAGGATTTCAATGGGAAATGATTAGGCATCAGCCTTACAGTCCTGATTGGCACTTTCTGACTTCTTTTTGTTTCCTAATCTTAAAAATATCTTTAAAGAGCACTTATTTTTCTTCAGTTAATAATGTCAAAAAGACTACATTGACATGGTTAAATTCCCAGGCCCATCAGTTTTTTAGGAATGGACTAAAATGGCTGATACCATCACTTACATAAGTGTCTTAAACTACATAGAGCTTATGTTGAGAAATCAAGTTTATATTGTTTATTTCTTTCTTTCTTTTTTTTTTTTTTTTTGAGATGGAGTTTCACTCTTGTTGCCAAGGCTGGAGTACAATGGCACGATCTTGGCTCACTGCAACCTCCACCTCCTGGGTTCAAGTGATTCTCCTGCCTCAGCCTCCTAAGTAGCTGGGATTACAGGCATGCGCCACCACGCCCAGCTAATTTTGTATTTTTTAGTAGAGACAGAGTTTCTCCATGTTGGTTAGGCTGGTATTGAACTCCTGACCTCAGGTGATCCTCCTGCCTCGGCCTCCCAAACTGCTGGGATTACAGGCATGAGTCACCATGCCTGGCCTCTATCTTTTAATTCCATTTTCCAAGAACCTTTTGAAGTCCTCTTCTATATTACAGACAAATAGTCAATGGATATTTGTTCAGTTATGTTAACCTGAATTAATTGTATCTCCAGAAAAAGTGTTTGGGTGGAACCAGTAATGTTTTAGAAAATACCACTTTGCTTTCTAAAGCACAAAAGCAAAGAAGTGCAAAGCCTGTCTTCTACAAAGTTTTTTTTAATAATATATATTTTTCAGTCAACGACAGAACCAATTACTAGAAATAAATAAACTGGGACTTTTAGAAATGCGAGAATATGAGGAATATGTACCACTCAGTCAATTGTCTTCCTGTGTGGCGGCTTGCCAGACAATCACTGGAGACATCTGGAGGCAGAGAACAAACACTTCTGCCCACTTCTCTGCTCAAACTTGAGTCATCTGCTATTTGTACTTAGAGAGGTAAAGAGCAAAACTATCTCAAGGCAGACACTAGCTTCAGGCATTTATCTGTCCAAAGCTGAGAACCCACTGTTTCGTCTCCACCAGTGCCTCACACCCCACTTTGGGAGGCTAAATATTGTATATGTTTTCTTTTCCATTCATCCTCTTCACCTTGTTTCACCTGCTTGGCCTCAATCTTTCCCATGGGAAATGAATGAATGAATGAATGAAAAATATAATTGAAGATCAACATCTTATTTCTAGCCTCTCTTATTTCAACCTATAGAATAGAGGGTAGAGATAGACAGCAGGGGATGGAACAGATGTGCCTCACTTTTTTCTCTTGCCTTGCAGTTGAGAATTGGGTTGTCAAGTTGAAGAAAAAGAAATTGTGTCTCCTTTCTGATTAATGGTTCAGTGTTCTTCCATACTGCTTTCCCAAAAAGATGGGTAGAGAACAACCCTCCAAATAGGTCTTCTTCCTAACAGTACACTCTGAACCAAAACATAGACTACTAAGAAATAAATTTGTATTATTATAAATCTTAGTTAAGAGATTGAAATAGATTTATTTAGTTTCTAATACAGAATATAAGGACCAATAGCTACAAAACAATTCAGGTAAATATAATTAAGGAAAAGATTTTGAGTGAGAAGTAGGAAGGTCCTTAGCTTTTAGGACAAAATACCATCAATCTGTCCTCCTGCTAATGATGACAGCCAAAAATGCTGTCTATTCTTTATTGATGGCAATAGTACCAATTTCAGTGTCCTGGTTATTTTGACCTTATTAAAACCCAAATGACTTCAGAGAAACGATATTGAAGACTTACTATCCAGCTTGGGATCTAACACAACTATTCCATGTGAGACCTTGGTTTTCTCAATCTCAGTAATTTTCAGAAATCAGCATAGTCATTTTTCTTTTTTCCATCCACACCCCCCATCCCTTGTTTATGGATGGCAGAGGCCCAGATGGCAGTACCCCAAAAATACCAACCTGTCTCTATACTGAAGAATTATCTGGGGATAAACAGGGAGCAAAATGCTGAATAAATTTATTCCTGTGTTAATGTCTTCATCCTGTATGGGTAGCAATAAAGAACAATCCACCAGACAAACCATTGGAATAGAATTAAAAGAGCAATAAAGGCAAGTGGAAGAACAAAATTAGGAAACCAAGTCCAAGATATGCTGATGGATGGTAGTCTCAGCTTATAGGAAGGAGTTAGTCAGAGATATCTTGTGCATAGAGCTGAGTCAACCCCGGCTAGTGAGATGGTGGTTATGAGGGGGCCAGTGGCAGATGTGTGGTCTAGATGGGAAAATATGATAGGAGAGATGCTCAGGCAAAGAAGGTGAGAGAAGGAGCTGATTAAGAGCCGGAGACTTGAATGAAGGAGTTAATGAAAGAGTAAGGTACTTGTGAGCAAGAAAGATACACTAAAAAAGAGACAGGAAACCTGGGCCTACCTGTGGAAATTTGTTTAAAGCTGACCATCCTTTAGGCTTGCCATACAATTGCTGTATGACTGACATAGTTCCTCATATTTGAGACAAAGTTTACTTCAATTCTCATGCAAAAGTACATTTTATTGGCTAATTAGGTTTCTACCTGCAGAGACACACATACAAAAAAAACCGTAGTAGCAACATCTTACTGGGTTTTCTTAAATCCAACAGGTGGCTTCTTCTTGGATATCTGAATGGTGGTGAGATCAACCTCTGGGCCAGCCAAGTATGGAACTCAATCCAAAACAACGGACTTCTTTTGTTTCGTGTCAGTTCAGCTTCCTACAAACAAAATTAAAGCAGCATTGGTTTAGTAATTGGAAATGCATATCAAAGAAAAGAAGCTTAACTCAAAACAGATTTTCCTAACCATCTTCAATGTACATGTGTAGGAGAAATGCATTCTTTATTTGTAGCAGTGCAAATGTCAGTGATTACAAACATGTGTGTGACTGTTTGCCAGCAATTTGTTCTTGCCCTTGGATGATCAGACCCTTACGGAATCTAGGCAGACTGTGGAACTTCCATTGGCTTCCACTGGCTTTGGTGTGAAATATAGAGATATGAGTAGTGGTGACAAGAGGGGACACGGGAAAGGCCCGTGGGAATAGGCCTTTGAGGGGAAGCACGCTGATCTCTTGTTCTGCAGCGCATGCTTGGGATGGTATGCGCATGCCTTCTCTCACTAAGACTAGGACTGCTTACAGAATGCGAATATAAGTATCCTTATTTGGGAGAAAAGTACATTTTCAAGGGCTGGTAAAATGACGTGGAGGAAGGGAGGATCCAGGGAGCCTTCTGAAGAGTATTGTCAGGATGTCTCTTCTCTTTCAGCCACCTGGATATGTTTCACATTTTGTTTCCCAAACAAGGACTAGATTGGATCCCAGAAGGGAATGGTTTCCTTAGTATACATTCCGAATTCCTTTGTAAGGGAAAAATCCACTTCATCTGGTCTAAGAATACGTAAGAACAAATGAAAATGTTGTGGCTGGAGATGTTCCTGAGTTAATATCAGGATGTTTGCCTGCTGGTTTCTGTTTTACCAAACAAAACATAGCTGCCAATTCATCCATCTGTAAAAGTGCTCCTTGTGGACCCCCTCAAGAGAAGTACTGGTTATTTTATTTGCAGAAAACGTTTTATTGGGAGTTGTTTACTTTCTGTGACTGAAGTGGGGAACATGAGGGTCCCTTTACGGAGCCCTCATATTCCATGTGTACTCTGTATTTTATTGAGGCTGTTTCCCAGTCAGAACAGCGTCTCTCTTTGTTTGTCATTCCAAATCTTTCAGTGTCTTTAGAGCTCTGAGGGCCCTGGAGAGCCTCACCCAACCTCTCATCCTTCCATGGCTGTCCCCACCTCTGTGCACTTATGAGTCAATGTTGCCGCACTTCATTACATGCTGTTCATATTACAGCATTATAAGATTTTTTCTTTTAAAAGCCTATCTTCTTCAATCGGGTAGTAAGACCATTGTGGGTTGAGGCATGTTTCATACTTCCCACATAATCACTCCAGACTTAAAACAGAACCGGAAATACATGAAATAAAAAATTATTTTTCTGTTCTCAAATAAAAATTATTGTTCTGTTCTCTACAAATCTCCAAGTGCATAATGCAGCAAATATGCAGGTTATTCTGATATTCTACACTATTATTTGATGAAAAAGAAGATTTTTAAATATGCAGTAATAGGGAAAATCCTGTGGTCATTTAATGATTCTGGTAAGTCAAGGAGAAAAAGGTATAATTAATGAGTAAAACCAAAGTGCACAAACTATGTAACCAGGAAGAGAAATTGAAAATTGAATAACAGAGACTTAGATGGTGGGGGATGCAATTGTCTGGGAGGGGAATTTTTAAAGCAACTTCTTTGGATTTTATAAAAGTTATAAGCTTCAAGAAAGAGGATCCATCTCCCATTTTTTTTAAAACAATTCAGCACTTGATTTAAAACATTTGAAGGATAACTAAATAAATGTAAAAAAAAAGAGACTAAATTCTAAATTGTAAGGGCGGGTTTAATCAGAAAACACAGTCTTCAAGAAGAGAATTTCTTATGGCTGCATAGTATTCCATGGTGTATATGTGCCACATTTTCTTAATCCAGTCTATCATTGTTGGACATTTGGGTTGGTTCCAAGTCCTTGCTATTGTGAATAGTGCTGCAATAAACATATGTGTGCATGTGTCTTTATAGCAGCATGATTTATAGTCCTTTGGGTATATACCCAGTAATGGGATGGCTGGGTCAAATGGTATTTCTAGTTCTAGATGAGTTCATGTCCTTTGTAGGGACATGGATGAAATTGGAAATCATCATTCTCAGTAAACTATCTCAAGAACAAAAAACCAAACACCACATATTCTCACTCATAGGTGGGAACTGAACAATGAGAACACATGGACACAGGAAGTGGAACATCACACTCTGGGGACTGTTGTGGGGTGGGGGGAGGGGGGAGGGATAGCATTAGGAGATATACCTAATGCTAAATGACGAGTTAATGGGTGCAGCACACCAGCATGGCACATGTATACCTATATAACTAACCTGCACATTGTGCACATGTACCCTAAAACTTAAAGTATAATAATAATAATAAATAAATAAATAAATAAATAAATAAATGCTTTGACATTTCATCATTAAAAAGGTTTAATCGTTATAAGTTTCAGGGATAAATCTTTTTCAGCTTAAGTAGATTTTATTTCTAGGTTATGCAGAGGAGAAATGATTATGTTATTAAAATGTATAAACAGAATTATTAATACATTTATATAACACATATTAATATACACACATTCTTTCAAGTGATTTAATTTAAAGAATTTCATTAGTAAATTTTATAATGTTGAACTATCCCTGCATTTAAAAAAATAAACCCTACTTGATCATGAAAAAAAAAAAAGAGAGAATTTTTGGCAATATGGTGGATCACCTATTGTAAGGAGGGCCTCTACCTGCTACAAACATAAAATACTGGATGACATAAGTATAAAAAGTATTTCCAAATATATCTTGAAGCTTAAAATACACAGAAATGTCCAGTTGTCAAGTATTAAGAATGAAAGAAAAGAAAAGTCTGTACAATAGAGGGAAGCTAATCCTACCAGGGCAGTGGGGGCGGGGACTTTAGGGTCAGATATGAGGATTCTGACACTCACGCAGAGAGAGGGAATATTGCTACAAGCCTGCACTAAGGAGAAGGAGCTCTATGCCTTCGCAGACACACACACACACACACACACACACACACACACACACACACACAGAGGCTGCCCACCACTAGCCTTGGGAAGCAGCAAGAAATGTTGTTATGTATCCAGGCCTTAATGTTGAGACAAACGCATCTGTAGATCTGCACCAAGTGCAGTTTTGAAATTACACTATCTTCCTTACCTGAAAGCCTCAAGCCAATAAATGAATATAATCGTTGTTCCGGGAACACTGACACCTCCCCTACGGCCTGTTTATCAGTTTGGGTTAGGCAAAGATGACTTAGGAAACAAAAAGCACAAAACATAGAAGAAAAAAACTGCTAAATTAGACTTCTTAAAAATAAAAAAGTATGCTCTTGAAAAATACTGTAAAGAAAATGAAAAGAGAAGTCACAGACGGGGAGAAAATATTTGCAAAACATACACCTAGTAAAGGACATGCATTTAAATTATAAAGAACTCAATTTAATAATAAAAAGGCACAAAACTCAATTTTTAAATTGACAAGAGATTTAAACAGACACTTTACCAAAGAACTTTTTTAAAATTTAAAACTAACAGTACGACGTGCTAGCAAGAATGCACAGCAGCTAGAACTCTCATACACTGCTGATAAGAATGGAATGGTACAATGACTGGAAAGCTGTTTGTTTCTTATCGTACCCATAAGCAATCCCACACCTAAGATGTTACCATAACAGCCCTGCAACTCTACTCCCAGGTGTTTACCCAAGAGATATAAAAACACCCATAGGTAAATGTTTGTGGCAACTTTATTCAAAATTGCCAACAACAGAAACAACTAAAATGTCCACCACTAGTATGGATCAACAAACCGTGATACACTCATGCTATGGAACACTACTCGGCAATAAAAAGAATGAACTACAGATGCATGCCACAATCTACGTGAATCTCAAAAGCATTACACTGAGTGAAAGAAGCCAAATAACAGCTATATCCTCTATGATTTCATTTATATGACCTTCTAGAACAGGTAAAACTATAGGGACAGAAATCAGATCAGTGATTTCCAGGGACTGGATGTGGGGGAAGGGGATTAAATACAAAGGTGCATTAGCGAAATTATCTGAGTATAGGAATATTCTACATCTTTTTAGCACTCACATGAGCGCATACATTTGTCAAAACTCATCGAACAGAGCACCTAAAGAGAACACTTTACTGTGTATAAATTATTCCTCGATGAACCCGAGATCATGTTAAATGAGTATATGTTACATTTCTGACTTCGCAAATACTCTATGGAATTAGAGGCTCAACACACATAA
This sequence comes from Homo sapiens, assembly GCF_000001405.40. Classification (NCBI taxonomy): domain Eukaryota; kingdom Metazoa; phylum Chordata; class Mammalia; order Primates; family Hominidae; genus Homo; species Homo sapiens. The sequence continues at coordinate 56,491,987 of NC_000008.11, read as the reverse complement.
ATCGAAGTTCCAGAAGTAAAGAACAAGGTGGGTGGGAAGTGGCAGTATTCAAATGTATAATAACTGAAATTTTTACAAAATTAAAGAAATATATTTCTTCATATTAAAGAAGCACCTTAAGTCCTGAGCAAGCAAATAAAACAAACTGCAGAATACCAAGTTACAGAAAAGTCCAATCGCCACTAGAGAAAAAAGATTCACAGTAATGATAATTTTCTCAATGGATACAGGATATCTGAGTCTCCTGTTTCTTGCTTTGTTTTGTTTTGTTTTGTTTAAGATGGAGTCTCGCTCTGTCGCCAGGCTGGAGTGCAGTGGCACGATCTCAGCTCACTGCAACCTCCTCCAACTCCCTGGTTCAAGCAATTTTCCTGCCTCACCCTCCCAAGTAGCTGGGACTATAGGCATGTGCCACCATGCCCAGCTAATTTTTGTATTTTTAGTAGAGACTGGGTTTCACCATGTTGGCCAGGATGGTCTCGATCTCTTGACCTTGTGATCCACCTGCCTTAGCCTCCCAAAGTGCTGGGATTACAGGCATGAGCCACCGCACCCAGCCTGAGTCTCCTGTTTTATTGTCTTCTTCCTATATACCTGTTAAAAACTGTGCTAACATAAGTCAGGCTCCTTTTTTCTCTCTTGCTAATAAGAGAAAATCTCTGCCGAAATCTAAGAGTTGTTCACACTCTAAGTATTTCTCTTTCTCTTTTGACTGATGTTCAACTCTGATGAAAATCCTAATATAATATTTAGAGATGATTCAGAGCTTAAGAAAAAGATATTCTTTGTACTTATATGTTATAATTTATAAGTATTTTAATATAAAATATTCTGCTCTAATTCTACTGAGATAACTCAATATGAACATAGCACCTCCCCAGATATTTAAGAGTAAATATACCACTAATATATTTTGCTTTTGGAATTATCCATGATTTCAGCATGCTATGGAAACAAAGGAGTTTTCTAACTTATTCATGTGCCTCTCCACTGAAAATTCTAAAATAAATTAAGAGCTACCTATTGGAGATAATCTAACATCCAAAGAAAACCAAACTCAGTTATTTAGATTAAAAACTTTTTTTTTTTTTTTTTTTTTGAGGCAGGATCTCCCTCTGTCACCCAGGCTGGAGTGCAGTGGCGTGATCTCTGCTCACTGCAACCTTTACCTCCCAGGCTGAAGTGATTCTCCTGCCTCAGCCTCCCAGGTAGCTGGAATTACAGGCGTGCACCACCATGCCCAACTAATTTTTGTATTTTCTGTAGAGATGGGGTTTCACCATATTGCCCAGGCTGGTCTCAAACTCCTGAGCTCAAGCAATCTGCCCTCCTCGGCCTCTCAAAGTGCTGGGGTTATAGGTGTGAGCTACCGCACCCAGCCTTAACACCTACTTTAAAGATATACTTTTCAATTAACTAATTATTTTTATTTTCAGACAATTATAGATTCACATGCATTTCTAAGAAATAATAAGAAAGAGTCAATATAACCTTTATCCAGTTTCTTCCAATGGTAACATTTTGCAAATCTATAGTACAATGTCACAATCAGGATATTAGCATGCAGTCAAGATACAAAATATTTCCATAACCATAGGGGTTTGTTGTATATTCTTTGGGATTTTCCATGTCATCTGCAAATAGGGATCATTTTCTTTCTTTCTAATCTGTGCGCATGTTTGCTTTGTATTGCCTTATTGCATTTGCTAGAACTTCCAACATTATGTTGAATAAGAGTGCTAAGAGTGGGTATCTTCAGGTGGACTACCAGTGACCTGCACTTTAAAAAATGCTGCATTTCAGAGCCTGGAAAATCTTAAAAAGAAAGTATTTTGAACATACATTGGCCTATTTGCTCAGGGATCTTGTCACAGATGCATACCATTTAATAAAAACCTACATTCAAAAAAAAGTAGACATCTTTGCCTTTGCCCAATCTTAAAGGGAAAGTATAATGTTAGGTGTAGGTTTTCTGTAGATGCTCTCTATGAAATTGAGGAAGTCCCTCCTACTCTTAATTTTCAGAAAATTTTTATCATTAATGGATGTTGAATATCGTCAGATACTTTTCTGAGTCAATTGATATGATGATGAGATTTTTCATCTTTAGTCTGTTAATATGGTGAATTACATTGATTGACTTTTTAAATTTTATTCTTAGAGACAGGGTCTCACTATGTTGCCAAGGCTGGCCTCAAACTGCCAGGCTCAAGTGACCCTCTTGCCTCAGCCTCCCAAGTAGCTGGAAATACAGACATGTGCCACCATGTCCAGTGATATTAATTGATTTTTGAATAATTAACCAGATTTGCATCTCTGGAATAAACACCACTTGGTGATGGTGTCTGTTTTGCATTGCTATAAAGTGATACCTGAGGCCAGGGGCAATGGCGCATGCCTTTAGTCCCAGCACTTTGGGAGATTGAGATGGGCAGATCACTTGGGCCCAGGAATTCAAGACCAGCCTGGGCAACATAAGGAGACCCCATCTCTACAAAAAATTAAAAAACTGGCCAGGTGTTGTGGCTCACACCCTGTGGTCCCAGCTACTCAGGTGAGAGGATTACTTGAGCCCAGCAGTCAAGGCTGCAGTGAGCCATGATCGTGCCCCTGCACTCCAGTCTTGGTGAGAGAATGAGACCCTGTCTCAAAAACACCACCACCAACAACAACATAAATAAATAAATAAATCCTGAAACTGCGTAACTTATAAGGAAAAGAGGTTTATTTGGCTCACAGTTTTGCGGGCTCTACAAGCATAGTGCCAGTATCTGCTTGATTTCTGGTAAGGCCCCAGGAAGTTTTACTCATGGCAGAAGGTGAAGGGCGAGGTGTCACATGGCAAGAAGAGCAAGAGAGAGAGAGGGAAGAGGTGCCATACTTTTATAAATAACCAACTATTGCATGAACTAATAGAGTGAGAACTCACTCATCACCAAGGGCATGGCATCAAGTCATTATGAGGAATCCCCCACTATGACCTAAACAATTCCCACTAGGCCCTATCTCCAGCATTGGAGATCACAGTTCAACATGAGGTTTGGAGGGAACAAATATCTAAACCGTATCAGGGTACAATCTTTTTAAATATTGTTGACTTCTATTTGTTAATGTTAGTTTAAGATTTTTGTCTTTTTATTTGTGAATCTGTATGTTCTGGGGTGGCTGGGTGTCTGTGTGTGTGTCTACTGTCTATTTCTGTTTTTTGTGTCAAGGTAACACTAACTTCATAAAATGAGTTAAGCAGTATTCTCTCTTTTATTTTCTGGGAGAGATTGTATAAACCTGGTGTTAATTCTTCCTTAAACATTTTGGAGAATTTTCTAGTGAACTTATCTGGGTCTGGAAAGTTCTTTTTGGGGGAGTTTTTCAATTATAGATGTAATTTCCTTAATACTTATAGGGCTATTCAAATTATGTTTTACATTGGATGAGTTCTAGTAAGTTGTGTTTTTCAAAGGTCCATTTCATCTAAGTTGTTACATTTATGTGTAGAGTCTTTAGTAATATCTCATTTTTTTGGATATTTTAATGTCTGTAGTGATATTTCCAACTGTAACAATAGTCTCCAACTATACTTGTGGATTTGTCTAATTATCCTTTTAGATCCTTCAGTTTTTGCTTCACACATTTTGCAACTCTGTTTTTTGGTGTATATACATTTAGTATTGCTATACCTGCTGGGTAAGTTGATTCTTTTTCATTATATAACATCTCTCTATGTCTTTGATAATATTCTTTGCCCTGAAGTCTACTTCATCTGATATCAACAGAGCTAGTCTTGATTTCCTTTAAAAATTTTTGCATGATATAACCGTTTCCTTCCTTTTAGTTTCAACTTGATTATATCATTGAATCTTAATTGAGCTTCTTGCAGATAGCATATAGAAGGATTGTGATTTAAACTCATTTTATCCATCTCTATCCTTTAGTTGGTATATTTAGATCATTTACATTTAGTGTAGTTAAGAGATTATACTGAGCTGGGGTTAATTCTTCTTTAAACATCTTAGAAAATTTCCCAGTAGGCCTTTCTGGGTCTGGAGCTTTCTTTTGCGGGGAAGTTTTTAAATTATGAGTGTAATTTCCTTAACAGTTATAGGGCTATTAAAATATTTTAGGGCTTATGTGTGCTTTTTTTTTTCTATTTTTCTCTATTTTCTTATTTTTTAATGCCTTTCTGTGGGCTACTTAGACATATTTTAGAATTCCATTTTGATTTATCTACAGTGTTTTGGAGTCTATCTCTGAATAACTTTTTTCAATAGTTGTTTTAAGTATTTACATATATATTTATATATGTGTGTAAGTATATTCATACATATGTGTGTGTACAAAAATGTGATATAATGTGGTTTCATCAAATGAAATATCAAAATCTTATCTCCTTTTGTGTTCCTTTATCATCCCTCATTTATAATATATTTCTTAAATATTTTCTCTACACATATTTAGAACCACATCAGGCAATGTTATAACTTTTGCTTCAACTGTCAGACATAATTTAGAAGTCTAGTAGAGAAAGAAAGCCTATTATTGTTTTCATTTATATTTTTGACTGTATTTTTCTTTCTTCCTTGCTGATGTTCCAAAGTTCCTTCTTTTATCATTTCCTTTTTATTTAAAGAAATTCCTTCAGCATTCTTCAGGATAGATCTTCTGGCAACAAATTGTCTTTTCCTTTATCTGAGAATGTCCTAATTTCCTGTTTATTTCATGATATATTCACCAGCTATAGGACTCTAGGCTGACAGGTATCTTTTTTAACTTTTGAAAAATATTGTGACACTACCTCTGGCCTTCATGGTTTCTGATGAGAAATCCTCTGTAATTGTATTGTTGTTTTCTTATACGGTTAGGTATCATTTCTCTGTTTCTGCTTTTAAGACCTTTGTCTTTAGTTTTTATAAGTTTAACTATGATGTGTTTTGGTGATTTATTTAGGTTTATCTGGTTTGGATTCAGTCAGCTTCTTGAATCTAGGATTACATCTGACGCCAAATTTAGAAAATGTTCAGCCCCCACCCTCTTTTACGTCTCCTTCTGGGACTCCAATGCCATGACAGTTGGGTAGTTTGTTATAGTCCCAAAACAGAGCCCCCTGAGGCTCTGTTCATTTCTTTTTAGTCTATTTTTCTGTGTTATTTAAGTTGAGTGATTTATATTATTTTATCTTCCAGTTCAGTGATTATTTTCTCTGTTCCCCCAACTGGCTGTTGAGTCTATCCACTTAGCTTTTATTTTAATGATTATATTTTTCAGTTCTAATATTTATATTTGGTTATTCTTTATATATTCTATTTCTTTGAAGAAGCTTTCTGTTTTCTTGCTGTTATGGGTTAAAATTGTGTCTCTCAGAAATTCATAGGCTAAAGTCCTAACCACCAGTCTCTCAGAACATGCCTTAGTTAGAAATAGAGTTCTTGCAAATGTAATTAATTAAGATAAGGTCATACCAGAGTAGGTTGGGTCCCTAATCCAATATAGCCAGTGTTCTTATAAAAAGATAAAATTTGGACACAGACATGAACATTGGGAGAAAGCTATGTGAACATGAAAGCAAATATCACGGTGATTTGCCTACAAATCAAGGAACACCAAAGACTGCCAGCAAACCACCCCAAGCTAGGAGAGAGAGAGGCCTGGAACAGACCCTCCCTCAAAGCCCTCAGAAGAAATCAACCATGATGATACCTTGATCTTGGATCTCTAGCTTCTAAACTCTAAAACCTATTGCCACTTGATTTGTGGTACTTTGCTATGGTAGCCCTAGCAAACTAGCATACTTGCTAAGGCTTTCTATTTTTCTCATTTGTTTCCATTGTTTCTGTAAATTCTCATTAAGCTATTTTTATCATTGCTATTTAAAATCTTTTTCAGATTATTTTAAAATCTCTGTCATCTTGAAGTTGGCATCTGTTGATTTTTTTTTTTCATTTAGTTTCAGATGTTCCTGGTTCTTGGTAAAACGAGTAACTTTCTGTTGAAACCTGACATTTTTGTATTATGTTTTGAGATGCCAGATCTTATTTAAACTCTGCTTTAGCTCACCATCTCTGACACCACTCCAACAGGGCAAGGGGAGGAACTGCCTTGCTACTGCTAGATGGAGTAAGAAAAGTCCAGACTCTCCATTTGGTCTCAGCTGACACCTAAGGGGAGGAGCTCCTCATAAGTGCTGGGCAGGCATGGGAGTTCATGGTCCCCACAGGGTCTTCACTGACACATATTGAGGTGACCCCAATACTGTTAGGCAATGTTGAAAGTACTGACTTTCTACTCAGCTTCCTCTGATACTACCACAGCGGTGAGAAAGTGGAACGCCTCTTTACTGCTGGATGGAGGTGAAAGTCTAGGCTTTCTACAGAATATCTCTACTGACACTTTGGTGTGGGGAACTCTTGATACCTGCCAACAAGAAGAAAGTCTTTGCTCCCCACTTAACTTTCTCAGAAACCACCTGGCAGAGGTTTAAGGATACCTTATTGCAACTTCAGGAAGGTGGAAGTCTAAGCTCTCCACTCAGCCTTTGCTTGTGTTCGGGTGGGGTGGGGACTAGGTTTTCTGTGGTTTTTTGACTAGAGTAGAATAGCAATTGTCAAAAAGTCTTCTTCCTAAGCTACCCCTTTCTTGGTCTTTTGGCTACAAAGAACAAGCTTTTTTTTCTTGGAGTTTTTCTTGGGGAGTTGGGTGGTGGGGAGGTCTGAGTGATTTGGTGTTTCTGCGTTGCTGAGTTATTTGGCTCCAAGTCTGAGATATATGAAATAAAAAGAAAATCCAGAGAACTCATCATCACATTATTCTCAGATCTGAAGGTCCCTAACTAACCTGCGTTCTTCTCTCCACCTCTAAGAATCCTTCTTTTATATTGTTTTATTTATAGTCCAGAGTCTTTAGGTGTATTTAGCAGAAGGAATAGGAAAAAGTACATCTACTTTATCTTCTGGGAAGTGGATGTCTAAAAATATACTTTTTTTTTTTTTTTTTTTTTGAGACGGAGTCCTGCTCTGTCACCCAGGCTGGAGTGCAGTGGCAGGATGTCGGCTCACTGCAAGCTCTGCCTCCCGGGTTCATGCCATTCTCCTGCCTCAGCCTCCCGAGTAGATGGGACTACAGGCTGCCACCGTGCCCGGCTAATTTTTGTATTTTTAGTAGAGACGGAGTTTCACCGTGTTAGCCAGGATGGTCTTGATCTCCTGACCTCGTGATCCGCCTGCCTTGGCCTCCCAAAGTGCTGGGATTACAGGCGTGAGCCACCGCACCCAGCCTTTAAAATATACTCTTAAAACTAAAGAAAATTTTCCACCTATTTGCTAAACTGTCTTTACTGTTTTAATCATAATTAATACTATAAAACCATTCGTTGTTTGCTCTGATTTCTGAATAATAAAACGATATTTAAACATAGCTGGCTGTTTATATAAAAAAGAAAAGATATGGCCGGGCATGGTGGCTCACACCTTCAAACCCAGCACTTTTGAGAGGCTGAGGCAGGTGGATCACCTGAGGTCAGGAGTTTGAGACCAGTGTGGACAACATGGTGAGACCCTGTCTCTACTAATAATACAAAAATTAGCCAGGCGTAGTGGCGCACACCTGTAATTCCAGCTACTCGGGAGGCTGAGGCAGGAGAATCGCTTGAACCCGGGAGGTGGAGGTTGCAGAGAGCTGAGATTGCACCATTGCACTCCAGCCTGGATGATAAGAGCAAAATTCCGTCTCAAAAAAAAAAATGCTATCTCAAAAATTGTGCCACATGAAGTCACCCAAAGCCAATCTCCGACCTCTCATTGTTATCTAACAAAAACTAATCTATGTGACAGAGAAAATTGGATGAAACTTTTCAAAAACATTGGGATGAAAAATGTTCCCCAAGAAACACAATGAGTAACCCAATACTTCCATAATTAAGGAAAAACTGCAAAGGTAGGGCAAGACTTAGGACCCTACTCCATTGATCATTTGTGCATTTACAAGTGAATTTCATTCAGTTGCTTCAAAGTTTAAATATGCATTAATAATAATGTGTAAATGTCCTGGTTTAACTCAAACTCTTTCCTTACCAAAACACTAAAGCTCATTTACACACACAAAATATGTTAATACTTTCCCCACTTGGAAAGAAAATATTAACATACATTAATGACAATATGAATATGTCAATATTGTCCTTCCAAGTGGAGAATATATTCAATACTCTCCAATGATTAAAAATATACACCATGGAATACTACTCAGCCATAAACAGAAACTTCCTTAAAGCTCTGGGAAAACAAACTAAGATCATGATATATTAAAATAAAAATATTAAGGTCCTCAAGTTCACTTCCTGCGCTAATGATAACAGCCACCAGATCTACATCTCATGAAAGATGTACATCTGGAAGATTGAGTACGTTAAAAGAGTATCGAAAGTGAGACTTGACGCCCCATTGGAAAGAACTGCTTCAGGTTCTCCTAATTACAAATGTTGTCCTTAAGCTTCAGGACACACATCTACAGATACATGTGCCCTAATGCAAATATTCTTTGAATTCCATAGCCTGGGCATCAAGTACAAATGAAGATCTGACCCTGAGGCTCATGAAAAGATCCCTAGAAGCAGGTCATATGTTAAAGTAGACAGATTCCTTTCAAAATTCTATGGATTAAGAAGGTGTCTTCCTGAGTAGAGAGCTTCCTCCCAAAACCTTCAGACTGAAATCCTTGATGGACCATCAGACTTACCTTTGCATTTTTACCATATTATGCATCTCCTCATTCTCTTCTTTTCTTTCATAATAGTCCTCTTTAAATCTTTTCTCACCACCACACCTATAAAATGTTAAATTTGATAACTGGCCTCAAAGTACCCTATAAAATATTAACCCTCATACATGTATGAGACAGGGTCCGGCTCTGTCACCCAGGCTGGAGGTGCAATGGCACTGTCACAACTCACTGCAGGCTTGACCTCCTGGGTTCAAACAATCCACCCACCTCCAACTCCCAAGTAGTTGGGACTACAGGCACATGGCAACATGCCCAACAATTACCTGCTGCCACTGATACTTTCAAAGCTTTACAGGAATCCAAGGAATACCACAAAAGAAAGGGACATAGGCATACTGACAGAAACTTCAGTTTAATTATTTTCTCCTAAAGCAATGCAATAATCACTATATAATATTTTAATTCTAGCTATGATTGTCTCCCTCCAAAATCAGACAAACTAAATTTAGACATCTATTTTGGATACATTCATTTGACCTTTCCAAATATTCTAAAGAAACCTCCTAATTAGATCTTATGAGAAATCAGACATGACAATTTTAGGGAGGGATCTAAGACATTGACATTGGATTTCACTGGTTTGTAAAAGGATTTCTACTCTAGTTAAACTAGTTACTAAAGTAGAGTGTGTAATTTCTAACTTGCTTATGGCTTAAATAACAAAATTTAATTATTTAAAAAACCAAAATTTTAAAGATTATCATGAAATTGTTAACTAAAATAGCCCTAGGTAATACAATTATCCTTGATTGTTAAGCAGCCACTATGAAATGTGTGTAATAATTAATTTTTAATAGATGAATAGATGGGTAAACAAAAATAATCAATCAATTAGAGGTGAAAAGGTCACTTTGTTAACTGAAGTTGATCAGACTAATTATTGAGACTTACTCTGCTTATTAGGCAGAAAGTAGTTTTTAAAATGAATGTAGGCCAGGTGCAGTGGCTCTTGCCTATAATTCCAGTACTCTGGGTGGCCAATGTGGGAGGGTTGCTTGAGCCCAGGAGTTTGAGACCAGCCTGGGTAACATAGCAAGACCACATCTCTACAAAAAATTTATAAATTAGCTGGGTGTGGTGCCATGCTCCTATAGTCCCAACTACTTGGGAGGCAGAGGTAGGAGGATTGTTGGAACCCAGGAGGTCAAGGCGGCAATGAGCTGTGATGGCGCCACTGCCCCTTCAGCCTGGGTGACAGAGCAGACCCTGTCTCAAAAAAAAAACAATGAATACAAAATATCTTCAAAATATTTTTCATAACTTTTATGATTTTTATTCTGTGGGTTTTCCTTCTTCTCATGTCTAATATCCAGTAAACTTCTAACTGATGATTCTGCATCACAGAGACTAAACATTCTTAAAGTGAAATTTGCTCCTTTGGGAAATTCTTTTGACTGAAAAAGGAGAAACTAAGAAAATTTTTTTTGAGTAAAACAGTGCAGATCCTGTCTAACTAAAGCGAAGGTGCCAACAGAAGGATATTATGCAGACTTTATTCAGAGATAGCCTGTCAAGTATATTCAACAACTAAACTCCCAAAGTTTTGGCCTTGTTTTGTGGTGTTAGCTACAAGTTATTCAGTGTGTTTATCCCAAAAATAAAAAACAAGACTCACTGTTCCCAAACTGCCTAGTTTTTTCTCTTCTTTCTTCCTCTTCTTTTCTTTCGCTCCTTTCCTTCCTTTTTCTTCTTTTTTTCTCTTATACATCCTGGTTTTTTCCTTTGTCACTGATAAAAGGCTAAAAGCTCTTCCTTTCACAAACAAAAGTGAATTGCTGACTCTGTGTTACCCTTTAAATTATTAAATAAAATTAAACAGTAGCCAAATGTATCCCCCAAAATTCCAAGCCCAGTAGGTTTTACATGAAAATTTTACCAAATGTACGAAGAACAAATAATCACTACCTTGCAAAAATTGTTTCAAAGAAATCTACCAATTTATTTATTAAAAATAGAAGTGAAAAATGGACTAATATTATTTATAAACATAGATATGAAAATTATGAAAAATATTAATAAACTGAACCTAGCACTGTGTGTGATACATATGTGTGTACGTATGTGTATATGTGTGTGAAATTGAAAGGCCTTTCTATTAAAAAGACCTAGTAATAAAATTCCCCTCATTAATAGACTAAAAAATAAAAACAATACAATCAAACTTGGAATTCAGAAAAGGCCTATGAATATGTTAAACTCCTGTCATGACTAGAAAAATAATATTAACCCATTTATGCTGGAGGTTGCAATTTTTTGAATTTTTGCACAAGTGAAAAAATCAGACCTTGGTGATAACCTTGAGTAGTAGGATATAAATAACTCCCACATGCTTAGGGTTCCAATAATGGAACACTGGGCATAAGTGGGTTAATGAGGAAATGGAAGGGAACTCCTTTAACCTGAAAAAGAGCACCAAAACTTACAGCAAACATAATAATAAGCCATGGAGTGTTAAAAGTCTCCCTTAAAAGTCAAGAATAAGACTTATCGGGCTATTATCACTACTTACATGCACCACTTCTATATATTGGATATAGTGACATTGTACAAGACAAGAAAATAAAGTTATAAGGATTAGAAAAGAAAAACAAATTCTCATTGTTCTCATGTAATATATGGAAGTTTTAATAGAATTTATACATCAAATATGACCACTAATAGAAGAGTCCAAAAAGATTGTTCTATACAAAATCAGCATACCAAAATCAATAGCTTTCTTAAAAATTTGAACCAACCAGTAAAACTACTATAATAAAGAAGGCTTTTATTCACAATAGCAACAAAACAATTAAAGATAGAAATCAATATAAAAAGATGTCCAAGGTCTGTATTTAAAAATTTACAAAACTTTATGGAAAGACATTAAAGAAATTTTAAATAAATTGAGAGATATATTATGCCCTTGAATAAGAAACTCAATACCATAAATTTTGCACTGCACCCCAGTTAAATGGAATGACAATCAAAACCCAAATAAGATTTTTATGTTAAACTTCATAAGCCCTTATTAAAACTCTCATAGAAGACATAGTCAAGATAATTTTTTTGAAAGAGAAGAACAATAAGGACGGACTTGCCCTATCAAAAATCAAGACTTTGTTATAAGGCTATAGTAATTAAGGAGGTATGACTCCAGCACAGAGCTATATAACAGACTAATGAGGAAGTAAAGAGATGAAAACCAGATCCACAAGTAACTGAAGGAGGATGGACTATGCAATAAATAGGACTGTAACAAACATACCATATTCAAAAGTGAAATCTAGGTAGATTAAAGCCCTAAGTACACAAGTCAAAAATTAAAACTACCATAAGAAAATAGAGATAAACATCTTTATGATCTCCAATTTGAACACGATTTCTTTTTTAAAATTTGTAGTTGTGGCAAAAATATATATATATAATTCATCATCCTAACCAATTTATTTTATTTTTTGTTTGTTTTTATTTATTCATTTACTTTGCTTAGAGACGGGGTCTCTGTTGCCCAGGCTGGAGTGCGGTGGTGTGATCATAGCTCACTGCCACCTCAAATTCCTGGTATTAGTCTGTTCTCACTGCTATAAAGACATACCTGAGACTGGGTAATTTATAAAGAAAAGAAGTTTAATCACTTCACAGTTCTGCAGGCTGTACAGGCTTCTGCTTCTGGGGAGGCCTCAGGAAACTTACAATCGTGGTGGGAGGCAAAGGGGAAGCACACAGTCTTCACATGGCCAGCAGGAGAGAGAGAGCAGTGGGAGGTGCTACATACTTTCAAACAACCAGATCTAGTGAGAACTCTATCACAAGAACAGCAAGGGGAAGTCCACTCCCATGATTCAATCACCTACCAACACTGGGAATTACAATTTGACATGAGATTTGGGTGGGGACACAGAGCCAAACCTTATCACCTGTGCTCAAGCAATCCTCTTACCTCAGCCTTCTGAGTAACTGGGACTAAAGGCATGGGCCACTATGCCAAGCTAATTATTTTTATTTTTATTTTTGTAGAGACCAGGTCTCCCTATTTAGCCCAAGCTGGTCTCAAACTCCTGGCCTCAAGTGATCCTCCCATTTCAGCCTCCCAAAGCATTGGGATTATAGGCATGAGCCTCAGCACCCAGCCCATCTTAACCATTTTTAAGTGTAGAGTCCAATTGTATATAGTATATTGAGATTGTTGTGCAACAGCTCTCCAGAACTTTTTATCTTCAAAACTGAAATCTTATACCCATTAAATAACAACTCCCCATTTCTGTCTCCCCTCAGTTGCTGACAACCACCATTCTATTTCTGTCTAAATCTGACTACTTTACATGCTTCATGTAAGTGGAATCATACAGAATTTGTCTTTTCGTCATTGTCTTATTTCACTTAGTGTAATGTTCTCAAAGTTCATCCATCTTGTAACATGTGAAAGGCTTTCCCTCCTTTTTAAGGTTGAAAATTATTTCATTTTATATTTCTGCCACATTTTGTTTATCTAGTCATTCACTGAAGGATATCTGGGTTGTTTCTACCTCTTGACTATCGTGATATGTCTGTTATGAACATGAATGTGCAAATTTATCCTTGCGATCTTGTTTTCAATTCTTTTGGATATACACTTGGAAGTGAGTTGCTGGATTATATGGTAATCCTATGTTTAATTTTTGAGGAGGCTCCGTACTATTTTCCACAGCAGCTGCACCATTCTACATTTTCATCAATAGTGCACCAGGATTCCAATTTCACCACATCCTTGCTAACACTCATTATTTTAAGGTTTTTTTGATAGTAGCCATCCTAACCAATATAAGGTGTGGGCAGGATTTCTTCAGACACAAAAATCAAAAAACATAAGAAAAGGATTAATAAATTTTACTTATTTCATGATTTGAAAATTAATTTAATAAAAATCTTAGACTAAGAGCAGTTATTTGCAACATATTGAATTTAAAAAGGATTAGGGACTGCAGCCCTCCGGCCTTCCCGCCGCCGTAGCCGGGACCAGCAGCTCCGGGCCGGGCTGATACAGCCGCTTCACCGTGCCCCCGCCCGCGACCATGGCTCCGAGGTGGCGCGGCACCTGCTCTTTCAGTCTCACATGGCAACGAAAACAACTTGTATGTCTTCACAAGGATCTGATGATGAACAGAGAAAAAGAGAAAACATTCGTTCCTTGACTGTGTCTGGCCATGTTGGTTTTGAGAATTTGCCTGATCAGCTGGTGAACAGATCCATTCAGCAAGGTTTCTGCTTTAATATTCTGTGTGGGGGAAACTGGAATTGGAAAATCAACACTGATTGACACATTGTTTAATACTAATTTGGAAGACTATGAATCCTCACATTTTTGCCCAAATGTTAAACTTAAAGTTCAGACATATGAACTCCAGGAAAGTAATGTTCGATTGAAATTGATCATTGTGAATACAGTGGGATTTGGTGACCAAATAAATAAAGAAGAGAGCTACCAACCGATAGTTGACTACATAGATGCTCAGTTTGAGGCCTGTCTCCAAGAATAACTGAAGATTAAACGTTCTCTCTTTACCTACCCTGATTCTCGCATCCGTGTGTGCCTCTACTTCATTTCACTGACAGGCCACTCTCTGAAGACACTTGATCTCTTAACCATGAAGAACCTTGACAGCAAGGTAAACATTATACCAGTGATTGCCAAAGCAGATACGGTTTCTAAAACTGAATTACATAAGTTTAAGATCAAGTTCATGAGTGAACTGGTCAGCAATGGCGTCCAGATATACCAGTTTCCAACGGATGATGACACTATTGCTAAGGTCAACGCTGCAATGAATGGACAGTTGCCGTTTGCTGTTGTGGGAAGTATGGATGAGATAAAAGTCGGAAACAAGATGGTTAAAGCTCGCCAGTACCCTTGGGGTGTTGTACAGGTGGAAAATGAAAACCACTGTGACTTTGTAAAGCTGCGGGAAATGTTCATTTGTACAAATATGGAGGACCTGCGATAGCAGACCCATACCAGGCACTATGAGCTTTACAGGCGCTGCAAACTGGAGGAAATGGGCTTTACAGATGTGGGCCCAGAAAACAAGCCGGTCAGTCTTCAAGAGACCTATGAAGCCAAAAGACATGAGTTCCATGGTGAACGTCAGAGGAAGGAAGAAGAAATGAAACAGATGTTTGTGCAGCCAGTGAAGGAGAAAGAAGCCATATTGAAAGAAGCTGAGAGAAAGCTACAGGCCAAATTTGAGCACCTTAAGAGACTTCACCAAGAAGAGAGAATGAAGCTTGAAGAACAAAGAAGACTTTTGGAAGAAGAAATAATTGCTTTCTCTAAAAAGAAAGCTACCTCCGAGATATTTCACAGCCAGTCCTTTCTGGCAACAGGCAGCAACCTGAGTAAGGACAAGGACCATAAGAACTCCAATTTTTTGTAAAACAGAAGTTCCAGAGCACAGAAGGTCATCATCACAAGCAAAATTTATTAAAAACAAAAACAAAAACAAAACTAGAAGTGTGCTTTGATTTTGCTGTTTTTGTTTGTTTTATCACTTCTATATTTGGTGAACGGCCACAGTTACTGATATTTATGGAAAAGTACTTTCAAGTATGAGGTCAATACGTAAGCCAGAGTGAATGATACTACAAGTTGAGCATCTCTAATTCAAAAATCTGAAATCCAGAAGCTTCAAAATCTGAATCTTTTTGAACAATGACTTGACCCCACAAGTGGAAAATTCCCCACCTGACACCTTTGCTTTCTGATGGTTCAGTTTAAACAGATTTTGTTTCTCGCACAAAATTATTAAAAATGTTGTATAAATTACTTTCAGGCTATATGTATAAGGTGGATGTGAAACATGAATTATGCAATTAGAGTCGGGTCCCATTGTGTATACACAGATATTCCAGAACCTGAAATCCAAAACACTTCTGGTCCCTAGCATTTTGGATAAGGGATACTCAGCTTGTACCTATATATTCGTATATATTCACTGTTGTTAGAAATTTTTAAGTTGCTGTTTTGTGATGGATCTAAATCTTTTCTCTTGCTACCAAGCTATTGTCACTGCAGTGCATTATACCAAAGAGCAAAGTGTCAGTGCCACTGAAAATAAAGAACCCATTAATATCGTGGCTAACTGATTACATTTATATCCAAGATGAACCTTTTTTATATATAATAAAAATTTGAGGGAATATGTTTTGGGATGTATTATAGAGCTAAAACTCTAACCTCTTAATAGTTTTATAGAACTTAAAAATTTTTGATAGTTACCCAATTGGTGATACGATCTTAAGCTTTTGTGTCAGATTATTTAATATGATGACTTCATGCTTTATTATGCCTTATTATGGCTGATGTATTACTGTGATGAAACAAAATATCTTTAAAAGTTAAAACATCCAGACATAGAAACTCTTTTTTCCTAAGGATAAAGTACCTTTGAGCATGAGTGTATCACAGCTTTCCTTAGGAAAACTTTTCATTACATACTTGTTTAAACTCTGTCTTCCAGGGGAAAAATAATAAGGTTGAATCATTTTATTAAAAATACTTTTTAAGAAAATAACTATGAACATCTGAATATTAAAGATATAAAAATGCACATAATTCATATTTCAGGTGGTATTTGCATTCAGTGCCTTACTAGTATTCTCAGAACATTTTAATGATTTCTAACATTTCTTAACAGTCATAGATATATAAATTTTCATTTTTTGTACTTGAATATTCTAAGTAAAACTGACATTTACTCTTGACAAATAAAACATATATATATTTACTAAAATGTGTTTAATTTTACTTTTTGAAAACTGTCATTTTAAAAATATTCAATTAATTATGTATTTGAATTATTTTGGAGATGAGGTATTTTATGAGTATTTTCAGACAATAAAACTTAATTAGTCTGTGTCAAAAAAGAAAAAGATTAGGATAGAAAATGGCCAGAGAATATGCATACTTCAGAGAAATAGAATCCCAAATGATCAATAAATACATAGAAATATGTTCATCTCACTTGCTATAAGGTTAGTACAAAGCAAAATAACAATGAGGTGTCATTTCATACCCATCATATGGGTGACAATTTTAATATCTGGCAAGTTTTGGAGAAGATGTGAAAAATGGAAATTTCAATACTACTGCTGAGAGCGTAAGCTGGTACAACTCCTTCATAGAGCAATTTGTCAATAACAAATACAATTAAAAAGTAGTTGGGCATGATGGCTCACACCTGTAGTCCCAACTACTCCGGAGGCTGGGGCAGGACGATCACTTGAGGCCAGGCATTTGAGACTGCAGTTAGCCATGTTCACACCACTGCACTTCCAGCCTGGGTGACAGAAAGTGCCCATACATCAACACCCTGGTCACCCAAGGTAGGTGTATTTCCTGAGCAATTCTTCAGGGATATTTACTACAGCATTGTTTCTAAAAGAAATCACCTAGATGTTCATAGTAAGGTAATAAATCACAAATTGTGGCTTAATCATTCTAGAAAGCAATTTAAATGATTAAAATAGAAATAATTGTATTAACATGGATAAATCTCAAAAACATAATAATGTCCTAGAACACTTACAATCTGATATCATTAAATGTGATTTTAAAAACACATAACACAATCTTGTATATTTTATGAACTCAAATGGACGGAACAAAATGTAAAAATATGAATGAGAAGACCTACACTGTTCTAAAAGCTGGCTCACTCTGAAGGCAGAGATAGGGAAGTAACACGGAGGAAGAGAGCAAAATAGGCTTTACAATCTGAACAATTTGTTCCCTTGAACATGGAAAATATGCCAATATTTATTATGGACATGCATCTAGGTAGTGGGTATGTGTTTGTTTTATTATTCTGTTTTCTACGAGTATTATTTGCATAAGAAAATGAATATGAGTGGACAAAAGAGGCATTTAAATTTATCACTATTCCATTGGCTGTTGTTTAAGGGTCAGGTTTGTATCTCATTTCCATGCACTTAGAATCCATCATTTAGTTCACAGAGGAACAAGCTATAATAATTAAAAATTCATGTCATTCTTCTACCACAGCAGTCTTGATAATACTTAAACATTCGAGTCACTCTTCCACCACAGCTGTCTCTGCACAGAGGCTTCTCCTATCCTTGCTGGCTCCATTGCTTCTTACATATATAAAATGTTTCATTTGCACCACACAAACTACCAAAACTATAGTTTAACTTTTAGAGAGGGCAGAGGTATTTTTTTCAGAGAACCCCAGTCTTAAACTACATTTTCTCACTCGTTTGGCAGTTCAGCTTACTGAGAAACAATCTCATCCGTGCTTGTTCATTATACTTTGTTAAGTATCTGCTGTGCAATAATTGTGGGGGTTTTTGGTGTATGGGAGAAAATCTAACCTTGACAACAGTAGCCCCTCACTCCCTGATTTGCCCCAGCAAGTAGGAAAGCCAACCTGGCTACCAATTAATCTACTGACTCCATAGATATTTACTGAGAACCCACTCTTTCCCAGGCACAAAAAAATAAGTTTAGTATCAAATACTACAACCAAAATACTATGAAGTGAGCGTGAAGTGGAGACCACCATTGGGGTTCAACGGCGGCTTCTCCTATCCTTGCTGGCTCTGGACCTCTCAGGGCTGAGTGGTAGTCTGGTCCATGCAGATGAAGGCAGGGAAGCAGAAGGGAAATGAGGGTTAATAGTGAAGCTAGACATTGACATGTCAGCCCCATGCTAAATGCAGTGTTCATAGCTAAACGCAGATTTTTAGAACTGCAAGGGTCCTTGCTCATTTTATAAATGAGTAAACTGAGTCCAAAGAGATTAAGTCCAAAGAGATTAAGTCCTTTCTCTAGATTTTATGGTCCTTCTAGATCAGTCACTTCATAAAGCTTTTAGAGCCAGCAATAGAATGCAAGGCTCCAAGTAGATTAGCATGTGTCCAGCAAGCCACGTGGACCAGAGGGCAGGAGCTGCTGGAGCCATGCCCCTCCCAGGGCCCCTGCGATCCGGCCTCCATCTGTGCATCCAAACGCCTGGGCAGAAGCCAGTTCTTATTCCCAAAATAAGCTGGAAATCTCAATTTTTTTTAATATTTTATTTTATTTTATTTTTTTGAGATCAAGTCTCACCCTGTCAGCCAGGCTGGAGTGCAGTGGCACCATCTCGGCTCACTGCAACCTCCGCCTCCCAGGTTCAAGCAATTCTCCTGCCCCAGCCTCCCAAGTAGCTGGGATTACAGGCATGCGTCGCCATGCCCAGCTAATTTTTTGTATCTTTAGTAGAGATGGGGTTTCGCCATGTTGGCCAGGCTGGTCTTGAACTCCTGACCTCAGGTGATCTGTCCACCTCGGCCTCCCAAAGTGCTGGGATTACAGGCATGAGCCACTGCGCCAGGCCGAAAATCTCAATTTTTATGGAAGATCTCTTATTCTTAAATGATGGAAGCCAATTCAAAACTTTAAAACATACTATATGAGCCATGTGTGGGCCGAGTTCCAAGCACTGGTCACTATTTCACAATATCTGCTGTAAAGAACTGGGTCTGAGGCCTTATCCTGGCTAGACTTTATGGCTCCTGAATGCAGGAAAAGAAAACAAGTTACGTTCAAAGCTGCTCAATGTTTGAGACATCTGAAATTTATTTTGATGTAAAGCAGAAGTCATAAAACTGATTCATTTGTACCTTTGAAGATTACAAAGAATAAAATTGCCCACCTGGCCCATCCAGAAAGACCATAATTATCAGGGATCTATCATCAGGTCCTGCGGTGGGAAGGAGAGAGGACCAGGCTACACTCAGTGATCCCAATGCACTCGCACCAGAATGCTTCTTCATCCTCCCATATCCCCTCTGCCTCATCCTCCCCACAGCCTTATTCTCCCAGCTCTTTCCTCTCTTCTCTTGGTCACTGAGAAGTAGTCAGAATGGAGATTGATAACTGAGGGCAGTGTAGAAAAAGTCTGGGAGCTTAAGCACGTCCAGGCATAATTCTGCTTATTAACAGAAACAAACATTTACAGAGTCTTTAGTATGTTTCTCACCCTATTGTAAGCACTTTCCATTTTAATCCTTAGAATTCCATGAGTGAGGTACTACGATGATGATCCCTTTGTAGAGGAGGCTTGGAGAGGTTACTACCTTAGCCAAGGCCACAAGTAGCAGAGCTAGGACCAGGGACCAGATGGTTCCAATCCGAAGCCTCAGAGCCCCAAAGCGGAGGGCTCCACCACCACCCCCCCATTGTCCTGTTCACGCGATTTCATCCTGTTCACTTCTATTCTCACGACACATCACATCATTCAGATTTCTTAACCCAAAACAGAGTAAACATGAAACAAGTAAAAGATCGTGTACATGTGGGAATGTTTTTAAAAAGAAACATTTTAAACTGATATTTAGAGTAGTCTGTCTTGTCTTTTCATTATAATAACAGTAAAGTCTGTCCTGCAGCAATGAATAAGCGGCTTCTGGGAAGGACACAGAGATGAGCTCATTCCTGGGACTTGCACTTTCTTTTTAAGAACTTCAAGAGCGGACTTGGAGGAAAAGACCTCTGCTCTCTAAAATACCACTGCTTGATAGAGAGCAGTGTTTTCCCTGTATTTTAAATGAAAAGGAAGGCTCACATCCATGTGTATATGCATAGTATGGCATGTGTGTGGAATGGTACATATGTGGTGTAGTGGGGGGAGGATGTGTATGTGTGTATGAGTGTGGTGTGTGTGCATGTGTGGCATGTGCATGTGTGGGGTAAGTGTATGTGTGATGTGTATGTGGTGAGTATGTGTGATGTGTGTGTATGGTGTGTGTCCCTTTGTGTATGGTGTGATATGTGTGTGGTTTAGCATGTGTGTGTGTACATGTGTGGTGTGTGCATGTGTGGGCTGTGTGTGTGTGTGGTGTGTATTTGGGGTGTGGTATGTGAGGTGTAGAGGGTATGATATGAGATGTATTTAGGGGAGTGTACATGTATGATGCATGTGTATCTGTATGTGTGAGTTTTTTGTGTGTGTGTGACAGAGTTTCACTCTTGTTGCCCAGGCTGAAGTGCAATGGCACGATCTCAGCTCACTGCAACCTCTGCCTCCCAGGTTCAAGCTATTGTCCTGCCTCAGCCTCCCGAGTAGCTGGGATTACAGGCATGCACCACCATGCCCGGCTAACACTGTATTTTCAGTGGAGATGGGGTTTCTCTATGTTGGTCAGGCTGGTCTCAAACTCCTGACCTCAGGTGATCCACCCACCTCAGCCTCCCAAAGTGCTGGGATTACAGGTGTGAGCCACCACGTGTGGCCTGTATGTGTGACTTTTAAAGTTACACTCAGGACAATCAATTTAGCCACGTGATCTAAGGTCCTGAGATTAAGCCATTAGTCGAGGCCACATCCATTTGTGTGTTTTCTTCCTGCAGACAATCCTTTCCTAAGTACTATCTAATGGTTCGACTGCATGAGAATCATATGGGGGACCTGTCACAGTGCATAACCCTGGGGCCCCTCCAGGTCTCAGCATCAGAGCCCCTGGGCATGGGCTGAAGAATCTGCCCATTTATCTAACAGGTGTCCCAGTCAATGTCAATGCACTCTTGTAGGAAAGCCACTGCTATAAGCTATGGTTATATAGACGAATGTCCCATTCAAGTATTTCAATTGCAGATACTCCAGATAAAAGGTAAAAAATAATTCGGGCATAGTCAATTTTTCTCTTACTTTTCTGGCATTAACTAAATAAGAGGGGGGAAATAATCTTATCCCTTATTCCCATCACACACACAGACATACACACACTCAGATGCACACAAACATTTGCACACATATGCACAGAAAGGCAAGCCCATTTATGTTCTCAGCTTCTAAATTCTTTTTTTTTTTTTTTTTTAATTGAGACAGGGTCTCGCTGTCTCACATAGCCTGGATCTCAGTGGTGTAAACACAGTTCACTGCAGCCCGAACTCCTGGGCTCAAGCAGTCCTCTTGCCTCAGCCTCCCACAATGCCGGGACTACAGGCATGAGCCACCACGCCCGGCCTGAATTCGTTTTTATTTGACAAGCACATGAAGCCTTATCAGACGGAGGCCTCAATCCTTTGGCTGGGGTTTATAAGCAGGTAGCGCTAGACCTTCCCATTCTACATAAGCTGATGGGCACGGTAATAGCTGGGGGTTTTCTCACAAGTCAAAGACAAATTGTCTGTTTTCAAGCGTGTGAAACAGTTAATACGTTTGAGGTCTCTCTCTTGCTTCATAGGCCATCTTGGCTCAGACATTCTACAGACAATTATCATTGATGTTACAAATGAGGACTTTCCAAGTGCAGATGCTTTCGACCAGGCAGCACCTCCAGCAGGCGGTCATTAGAGATCTTGGGCTAACAGGTCTGACCCTCATTTTTCACACATATTCATTTAAATGATTTGAAAGGTTTTATTACCTAAATTATAAACTTTCCTGTGACAAACAGCATGATAAGAATAAACAGGTAAAATAGAACCAACACTGAAATCCAGAAAGAGGATAAAAATAAAGTGCAAGCCTCATTTAGAACCTTCCTTTGATTTTCCATCCAGTAATGACCCACTCTCCAAGCCTAGGTCCGAGTGCCAGGAATGAAAGGATGGTTCTAAGTGAAATGCACTCCTGCCCTGTGTTACTCCAGAAATATTGCCATTGCTTTTTGGACAGAAAAACTTCTTCCTTCCCATGTCTGTCCTTCCTTGCTTCTCTCTTCTTATAAACGTTACCACACCATGGAACATAGTGAGCCTGTTGCAGTAATTCATCTGAGAAGCATTGAAGGCCTGCACCAAGGCAGTGAATATGATGATTGAGAGGAGGTGACAGGTTCAAGAGACATTAAAGAGGTAGAATCATTGTGATGATGGGAATGAGGGATGGGAGGCAGAGAATCAAGGAAAGGGAGAGGCCATGGATAACAGGCAAGTTCTCGGTTTGAATCCCCAAATATCAGATCTTACAAAGTCATATGCCTCCAGGAGCCAAGCGAGTAAAATGCACTAGTAAAGAGAGCCTGGGTAAGGACAGTGGAGACTATGAGAAACTAGAGAAGGCAGGCAAAAGAGAAGCCTGGGACTCCTCAGTCCCAGCCAGTTGCTGCCATCTCAGAACCAAGGCCAAGGGCTTATACAACTTCTTGTTTCTAAGACAACCCAGAAATCCTGGTTTTCCTACAAAAAGCCTGGTTTTAAAATCAGTATAATTAATGTTTAAGTATTAATCTTTATTTATAGATTTTTAAAATTTTTATTTTAGGTTTGGGGGTACATGTGAAGGCTTGTTACACAGATAAACACGTGTCACTGGGGTTTACTGCACATATTATCACATCACCCACTTATTAAGCTCAGTACCCAATAGTTATCTTTTCTGTTCCTTTCCCTCCTCACACCTTCCCCCCTCAAGTAGACCCCAGTATCTGTTGTTTCCTTCTTTGCATTCGTAAGTTCCTATCATAAAATATAGATTTTAAAAAAAAAATTTAAAACACTGTATAGACCAAATAGAACACGTTGTGGGGGATGTTAAGGGCTGGACGTAGCTTGGGGCTTCCAGTTTCAAGCCTCAAAAATAGATGATGATACTCGCCAGGTGATATGGTTTGAAGTTTGTGTCCTCTCCAAAATTCATGTTTAAATGTGGTGGCACATGCCTGTAATCCCAGCTACTCGGGAGGCTGAGGCAGGAAAATCACTTGAACCTGGGAGGCAGAGGTTGCAGTGAGCTGAGATCATGCCATTGCACTCCAGCCTGGGCAACAAAAGTGAAACTCCATCTCAAAAAAAAAAAAAAAAAAGTAATCTCTAATGCAATAATATTAAGAGTTGTGGCCTTTAAGGGGTGATTAGGTCATGGGGGTTCCTCTCTCATGAATGGGATTCTTCACACAGAATTTAGCTCCTTTTGCCCTTTCCAGCCCTTCTGCCACGTGAGGACACATCATTTATACCTTCCAGAGGATGCTGCACCTTGGAATCAGAGAGTCCAGTTCCTCACCAGACACTAAACTTGTCAGTGTCTTGATCTTGAACTTTCCAGCCTCCAGAAATGTGAGAAATACATTTCTCACATTTATAAATTACCAGTGTCAGGCATTTTGTTATAACAGCATAAATAGACTAAGACACAAAGGTAATAAATTCCTTCTCTCTCTAGATAATGTGGTTTTAAAAAAATAAAATAAGATAAGATAAATCTATAATCTGGTCCAACTGCCATGGAAACTCAAGATCAGAGAGGAATCTGCTTTCATCTGATTCAACTATCCCTCTGATTCTTGGATTGTCTCTTTTTCTATTTGCCTGTGACCCAGAGATTCCATTACTCTGTGAATGCTCTAATGGCCTTGAGCTGCGTCAGCTGCCTACACTGTACATCTGAGCACAATAATGTTGCTTTGAAATTTGTAGTTACCTATCTTTTTTCTCTGTTCTTAGGCTTTTCTGCTGAGATAACATAAATGAGGATGTGATTTGACACTTACTTTGTTAAGATGAACACTGGATAATTTGAATGTCAATCAAGTGTAGAAAAATGTCCACATTTAAAAAATCAGTCAAATAATTGTCACATCACTTCACTCTGCTTTACAGATGTAGCTCAAGCTATGAGAATCCCCAGAGTTTTACATTCTGAGTGCTTTTTAATGGTCTTTTGAAACCTAAAACAAAATCAGTTTGATTTTGAAAGTGATACCTTTATTCAAAAAAAAATTATTGAGTGCATATTATATATCAGTACCTGTGCCTACATGTGGAGAATAAAAAGGAGACTATGGGAAATCACACATAGGGTAGAACAGAAGACATTCACTATTAATTTTAATCCAAGGTAGAACAATGTTATTACTCACAAGAGTTTGTCCCTTCTTAGTAATAATAAGGCAGAACTAGCAACAAACTATTGAAAAACAAACTCTTAAAATAGTACTATTTGAAAAATCACAAAATGTGTGAAATGCTTAAGGTTGAACTTTACAAAATTTGCACAATGCCTACATACTTAAAACTACAAAACATTGCTGAAAGAATTTTTAAAAGACATGAACAAATGAAGACGTGTACCATGCTCATGAATTGGAAGATACAGTCATGAAGATGTCAATTATCCTGAAATTAATATGCAGATTTAAATCAAATTAAAATTACATTAAATTTAAATTAGGTCCAATTAAAATCCCAGCAGGCTTTTTTTCGTAGAAATTGACAAACTAATTCTAGTTATTAATTGAAATGTAAAGAATCTATAATAGACAAAGCAATTACAAAAAAAAAAACAAAGTTAGAGGATTTACACCATTTAATTTCAAGATTTAATATAATGTAACAGTAATGAAGACAGTATGGATTGTTGGCAAAAAGACAGACACACTGATCAGTGATATAAAGAATCACAAAGAATTTAGACATAGATCCACACATATGTGGTCAGTTGATTTTTTTACCAAGTTGCCAAAGTAATTAAATGGGAAAACAATGTTATTTTCAGTAAGTGGTGCTAGAACACCGGGTATTCATTTTGGGGGAAAAATGTACTTTAACCTTTATCTCACAGCTGACACAAATATTAACTAGACATGTACCAAAGACTTACACATGACAACTAAAGCTATAAAACTTACAGACCAAAACAAGGACATTATTTTTGCAACAATGAAGAAGGAAAAGATTTCTTAGATGGGACACAAAAGGCATGAGCTATAAAAGAAAAAATGATAAATTGTGGACTTCATCAAAATAAAAATATTCTGCTCTTCAAAAGATATAACTAAGAAAATAAAAAGGAAAGCCTGACAGTGGAAGAAAATATTCACAATATGTATTTATAACAAAGAACTTGCAGCCAGAATATATAAAGAGCACTTACAACTCAGTCATAGATAAACAACCCAATAAAAGGTAAAACATGCTTTTGTTTTTGTTTTTTTGAGATGGAGTCTAGCTCTGTTGCCCAGGCTGGAGTGCAGTGGCATGATCTCAGCTCACTGCAACCTCCGCCTCCTGAGTTCAAGCAATTCTCCTGCCTCAGCCTCCCGAGTAGCTGAGACTACAGGCATCTGCCACCACCTCCAGCTAATTTTTGTATTTTTAGTAGAGATGGGGTATCACCATGTTGACCAGGCTGGTCTCGAACTCCTGACCTCAGGTGATCTGCTCACCTCATCCTCCCAAAGTGCTGGGATTACAGGTGTGAGCCACAGAGCCCAGCTTAAAATAAGTAAAATATGTTAATAGAAGCATCGCAAAATACATAAATAACCAAAAAACACATGAGAAAAAGCTCAACATGATTAGCCACCAGGAAAATGCAAATTAAAATCATTTGATGACACTACACACCTATTGGACTGGCAAAAATTAAAAATTAAAAAAAAAACCCAGATGTCTCCCATTCACTGAGAGTGAATATACAGGAGGACAGATTTGAAGAACAGAAGATTAAAGTAGTTTAACATATGATAAGTTTGGATTGCCTGGAGCACATGTACACTGAGATATGTCCATGTAGATGCAGAAGCCTGAGCTAGAGGTAGAGATTTATGAACAAGTGACGTATAGATGAGAGGTTGTATTAGTCTGTTTTGCACTGCTATAAAGGAATACCCCTGACTGGGTAATTTAAAGAAAAAAGATTTATTTGGCTCATTGTTCTGCAAGCTGTACAAGAAGCATGGCACCACCATCAGCTTGACTTCTGCTGAAGCCTCAGGAAGCTTTTACTCATGATGGAAGGCAAAAGGAGCCAGCATGTCATATGGAGAGAGAGGGGGAGGCAAAGAGGAGGGGAGGCAGAGAGGAGGGGATGGCAGGCTCTTTTTAACAATCAATTCTCACATGAAAGAGTGAGAACTCATTCATTACCATAAGGAAGGCATCAAGCCATTTATGAAGAATCTGCCCCTCATGACCCAAACACCTTCCACTAGGCCCCACCTCCAATATTGGGGGACCACATTTCAACATGAAATTTGGAGGGGGGAAATACCCAACTATATCATTCTGTCCCTGGCCCCCCTAATCTCATGTCCTTCTCACATTGCAAAATATAATCATCCCTTACCAAGAGTACCCCCAAATTTTAACTCATTCCAGCAGCAACTCAAAAGTCTGAAGTCTAAAGTCTCATCTGAAACTCAAGGGCAGTTCCTTCCACCTATGAGCCTCTGAGATCAAAAACTGAGATGGAACAGGGAACCCCCCCACAACCTAAGGAGTCTGGGGGCCTCCCAAGCATGGAAGTACAGGGAAATCTTTAATTACTACAAGGGAAATTCCAGACACCTGGCTAGCCATGAGAAGTAAATGAGCAGCTTGATAAGCAAGAAGGTAATAATAGCTTAAAATAATAGCCAAGAAATCTAGAATCACAGGATTCTAGATTTTGTTCCCCTATAGAAACTAAACATAACACCTAACATATGGCTCTGAGTTGTTTTTCAAAAATCCATATCCACACCAACAGATGTACTGGCATATAGATTTCAGATAAGAGGGAACTGAAGACTGAACTTTGACCATCATTCTTTGTTCTAAATTTGTTCCTGAGGGGCCTGAAAGGAGTCACATTCATGGGCCAGAGATAACATTCTTTTCTGATGATCCCACATTTTTAAACAAAGCTTCTCTTCCTTAAGCAATTGCAAATCAGAAAATCTTGGGATGTCACCCTTGCATTCTGTGTGCCTGCAGACTTAGCACCACACAGAGGCTGCCAAGGCTTATAGCTTGCACTATGCTGAGTGGCATCCCAAGCAGCACCTGGGCCCTTTGAGCTGTGGCCATAGCTGGAGCAGCATCCCAAATCATCACAGGGCAGCAGTACCCTGGGCTTGGCCCCCGAAACCATTCTGTCCTCCTAGACCTCTAGCTTTTTTTCCCATCATCTTGAATATCAGCACCTAGCTCCCTTTCAGTCACGTTACTGTCTCTAGCAAGTGGTTGCTCCATAGCTTTCTTGGATTTCTCTCGTTTGGATTCCACTCCTTTGGATTCCTATAGTGAAAGCATTCTTTCCTTCTCTACCAGATGGCCAGGCTGTGAATTTTCCAAATTTTTATGCTCTGCTTCCCTTTTAATTTTAATTTCCAACTATGGGTCCTTCCTTTGCTCTCACATCTGATCATAGACTGTTGGAAGCAGTCCTGACACTTCTTGAATGCTTTGCTTCCACCAAAGACCCTGGGTCGTCATTCTTACCTGGGACATCATTCTTACATTCAGCCTTAGAATGATGAACTTTCATAAAGCCTTCAACAAAGCCCTGCAACCTAGACACAATGCAGCCAAGTTCTTTTCTAGGTCATCTTTGGTCTAGTTTCCCAAGTTCTTCACCTCCATCTGAGACTTAGCCTGGACTTCACTGTCCACATTTCTATCAGCATTTTGCTCACAGCCATTTAACCAGTCTCTAATAAGTTCCAAATTTTCCCAATCATCCTGTCTTCCAAGTCCTCCAAACTCTCCCAACGTCTCCCTATTACTCAGTTCCAAAGCTGTTTTCACATTTTTAGGTATCTTTATAGCAATGCTCACCTCCCCAGTACTAATATTCTGTATTAATCTGTTTTGTGCTTTTATAAAGGAATACACTTGACTGGGTTATTAATAAAGAAAAGATTTATTTGGCACATGGTTCTACAAGCTGTAGAAGAAGCATGTTGCTAGCATCTTCTTGGCTTCTGGTGAGGCCTCAGGAAGATTTTATTCATGGTGAAAGGCAATGGGAATCATGGTGTCACATGGTGAGAGAAGAAAAGGCAGAAAGGAAGTGATGCCAGGCTCTTTTTAACAATTAGTTCTCATATGAAATTATAGAGGAAGAACTCACTCATTACAAGAAAGGCACGAGGTCATTCAATAAAGGATCAATCCTCATGACCCAAACATCTCCCACTAAGCCCCACCTCCAATATCAGGGATCACATTTCAACATGAGATTTGAGGAGACAAATATCTAAGCTATATCAAAGGTAAACTCCTGGAGAAGATAAATTTTCCCAAGAAGAATGTGTAATTTGAGATGAGATGAACCACAGGACAAAACCAGATGGAACATCATCATTTAAGGGACAGATATAGGAAGAAAAATCCAGGAAAGAGTAAAAAGAACAACCAAAAAGGTAATAGTGAACAATGTCAGGGAGAATACCTGGAAAGAGTGAGGGGACAATGGTGTCTAATACTGAAGATATGATAAGTGGTATAATAACTGAAATAGGTTTGTTGGGTTTTCATCTAAAATGTTATTGCTTACTGTAACAAGTACAATTTCACTGGAGTGATAAGAATAAAAGCACATTTTCAGTGGAATAAGGAAATCATAGAAGATAAAGGAGAGCTACCAAAAAAATTAGACCATTCTTCAACAATCTTAATTGTGATGAATGAGTTAGGATAGAAGTTGAGACAGAAGTTTTTAGGAGAATCATTATAGATTTGAAAAGTGCTTTTGTAAAAAATCAGAAGAAAAATAAGCAAGTTTATATGTTCAAAAGGATATATACGGAGTAAGAAGCAATAGAGAGAAAAAACTGGCAATGCAAGAGAGAAAAGAGTAAGTAATTAGCTACTCTCTCCCAGCAAAGACCAAAGATACCAGGGAGGCTTCATTTTCAGAACGCTCTGGCACATTTTCCAGACATCTGTATACCTGCAGGCCTGAGGGAGCATCATCCCTCCCCACTGCAGGTTCTCACTAAGAGTGGCTGAGTAATCTCCTTTCTTCCTATTTCACTCACACTACCTCCTACCCCATCCCACCAAAGGCTTCCTACATCAAGTCAATGCCCATTCACACTCCCTTGCATCTCAACAACTCCCATCACTGACAGGCTCCTTCCTGTCACTCTGCCTTGTCCTGGGATCCTCTCTTGTGCCTTTCTCACTTATTCACATCCTCCCCTCTGTGGACAGTCTGAGTCCTAGTCCAAACACATCTTACTTTTCCTAATTTGCTCTATACCTACAGATACATTGGAGATTAATACTACATAATATATACCAAATGAAATAACTATTCACAAGATTTTTGTGTGCTATCCAGAACTCATTTTTTCTAGGAATATCTTGTTACAGTTTTATGAAGCAGCTTTCTACCTATAGTTATAAATTATTCTATTATTATAATTTTTGATATGGAGCACTGGATCCATGCAGATAAACAGCCTGTTTCCTTCAATCATTACAAGAATATTCCCTTTCTTTCATGATTTGAACACTCTACTAAGGCAACCAAATCATAGCTCAAGAAAAGAGGCCAAGAATATGATAATCCAGGAATTTTTAAAAAGGCCATTTTGCCTCAGAAATTTAAGCTTAACACAGCACTTTAAAAAGGGTCATTAATAAAGAAGTTCACACCAAGACACATTATAAGGAAATTGTAAAAAAAAAAAAAAAAAAAAGAGAGAGAGAGAGAATTTTGAAAATACCAAGAGAAAAGCAACTCAGTAAGGGAACCCCTATAGACTATCAGTGGATTTCTCAGCAGAAACTGTGAAAGTAGAAGGAAGTGGGATGATATATTCAAAGTGCTAAAATATTTTTTAACTGTCAACCAAGAATATTATATCTGGTAAACTGTCCCTCAAACATGAAGGAGACAGGGCCAGGCATGGTGGTTCGCACCTGTAATCCTAGCACTTTGGGAGGCTGAGGCAAGAGGATTGCTTGAGCTCAGGAGTTCAAGACCAGCTGGGGCAACATAGTGAGGCCCAGTCTTTATTAAAATAAAGAAAAAAAATGAAGGAGAGATAAAGGTTTTCCCAGATAAACAATCACTGAGAGAGTTCATCACTAGACATACCTTACAAGAAATGCTAAAGTGAGTCCTTTAAGTTAAAAAGAAAAATACTAAACATGAAAGCATAAGAAAATATAAAGCTTGCTGGTAAAGGTAAATATATAAACAAATATGGAATACTGTAATACTATAACAGTGGAATATAAATGACTTTTTAATTTTGGCACACAATATAAAATATATAATCTGTGACACCAATAACAAAGATGGAGAGAGTAAAAGGGTAAAGTTTTTGTATGTCATTGAATTTATTATCAGCTTAAAATAGATGTGATAACTATAAGATGTTTTATGTAGGACCTATAATAAACACAAAGAAAATACCTATGAAGATACACAAAAGAAAATGAGAAAAAATAAAAATATGTCACCACAAAATGTCAACAACAAAAAAAGCAAAATAAAGACAGCAAGAGAGGAAAAGAGAGACAAAAGTGCTAAAGACAGACAGGAAACTATTAACAAAATGGCAATAGTAAGTCTATCCTTATTAATAATTTCTTTAAATACAAATGGACCAAACTCCCTAGTCAAAAGGCAGAGAATTACTGGGACAAAACTATATGCTTTCCACAAAAGACTTACTTTAGATTTAAGGACACACATAGATTGAAAGTGAAAGAATGGAAAAAGATATGCAAATGACAACTACCAAAAGAGGGAAAGAATGGCCATACTTACGTCAGACAAATTGACTTTAAGTCAAAAATTGTCACTAGCGAAAAAGAAGGACATTATATAATGATAAAAGAATCAATTCACCAGGAAGACATAATAATTATACATATATATGTGTATATACACATGTGGATATATACACATACATATATGCAAATATTAGAGCATCTAAAGATACAAGAGAAACATTCATCAAACTCAAGAAAGAAATAGAAAGAAGAAATATAAGTAGATAGCAACACAATAATAGTAGGAAATTTCAATAGCTCACTTTCAATAATGGATAGAACATCTAAAAAGAAAATTGATAAGAAAACAGAATGTGAACAACACTATACACCAAATGGACCTAACAGGCATATAGAGAACATTCCACGCAACAGCAGCAGAATACACATTCCTCTCAAGAATGTACTGAATATTATCCACAATAGATCACATTTTAGATCACAAAACATGTCTGAATGAATTTAAGAAAATTGAAAATTATAACAAATATCTTTCCTGATCACAATGGAATAAAAATAGAAATCAACAGCAGAAGGAAAACTTGAAAATTCAAAAATGTAGAAATGAAACAACACACTTTTGAATAACCAATAGGACAAAGAAAAAAATTAAAAAGAAAATTAAAAAATATCTTGAGACAAACAAAAACAAAATATGGTATATCATACCAAATCTTATGGGATGTAGCAAAGGCAGTACTAAGAGGAAAGTTTATAGTGTTAAACTCCTACACTTAAAAAGAAAAAATATCTTAAATAGAAGACCTAACTCTACACCTAAAGAAATTAGAAAAAAAGCAACCATGTGCAAATTTAGCAGAAGGAAGGAAATAATGTAGATTACAGCAGAAATAAATTAAATAGAGAATAGAAAAAAATCATTAAAACTAAGGATTTGTTTTTTGAGAATATCAACAAAATTGACAAACATTTGGCTAGACTAAGAAAAAAAGAGAAAAGATTCAAAGAAAACCGGAAAAAAAAGAGAAGCCATTACAACTGACGAATACAAAGGATCATAAGAGACTACTATCAACAATGATGCACCAACAAATTGGATAACCTAGAAGAAATTCCTAGAAACATTCAACCTACCAAGACTGAATCATGAAAAAATAGAAAATCTAAACAGACATAATTAACAAAGACATTGAATCAGTAGTCAAAAGTCCCCCAAAAAAGAAAAGCCCAAGACCACATAATTTCACTGGTGAATTCTACCAAACCTTTAAAGAAGAATTAATGCGAATCTTTCTCAAACACTCATAAAACATGTTTAAAGTGAGGAACACTTCCAAACTCATTATATGAGGCCAGCATTACCCTGATACAAAGGCCAGAGAAAGACACTATGAGAAAAGAAAGCTACAGGTCAATATCCCTAATAAATACACATGTAAATATTCTTAACAATATATGAGCAAACAGACCATTAAAAGGATCTTAACCATGACTCAAGTGGGAGTTACCCCTGGGATATAAAGATGGTTTATCATATGAAAATCAATCAATGTGATACACCACATTAACAGAACAAAGAATAAAAATCACAAATAATGATCTCAATAGATGCAGAACAAGCATTTGACAAAATTCAACACACTTTCATTAAAAAAATCAATACACAACGAAGAGAAGGAAATTATATCAACATAATAAAGGCTATATATGAAAAGTCCACAGCTAACATTATACTCGATGGTGAAAAACTAAAACTTTTCCTGTGACATCAAGAAGAAGAAAAGGATGCCTGCTCTTGCCACTCCATTTACCATAGTAATGGAAGTCCTAGCCAGAACAATTTGGTAAGAAAAAGAAATAAATGGCATTCAAATCTCAAAGAAAGAAGTAAAATTATTGCAGTTTGTGGATCACATGATCTTATATAGAGGAAACTGTAAAAGCTCCACCAATAAACTATTAGAACTAATAAATAAATTTAGTGACACTGAAGGATAAGAAGTAACATACAAACATCAGGTGTGTTTTTATACACTAATAAATCATCTGAAAAGGAAATTAATAAAATAATCCAATTTACAATGGCATCATTAAAGAATAAGCTTAAGCATAAGCTTAACCAAGGAAATAAAAAACTTACACACTGAAAACTACAAAACATTGCTGAAAGGAATTAAAGAAGAAAGAAAGAAATAGAAAGACATTCTATGTTAATGGATTGGAAGATTTAATATTGTTACAATGTCTGTACTACTCAAAGTGATCTACAGACCTGATGCAATCTCTATCAAAATCACAATGGCACTTTTTACAAAAATTAGAAAAAAATGATTCTAAAATTCAGATGGAACCACAAAGGACCCTGAACAGCCAAAACTATCTTAAGAAAAAAAGAACAAAGCTTGAGGTCCCACATTTCCTGATTTCAAAATATATTACAAAGCTACAATGGCAAAAAAAGAACACAGTATAATACTGACATAAATACAGATACATTAGTCAATGGAATAGAATAGACAGCAAAGAAATCCATGCATTTATGGTGAGTTGATTTTTAACAAAGGTGCAGAGAAAACACAATGGGGAACAAATAGTCTCTCCAACAGATGGTGTTGGGAAAACTGGATATACACATTAAAAAGAAGAAAATTGGATCATTATCTTACACAAAAATCAACTCAAAATGGGGTAAAGATTTATACATAAGATCCGAAACCACAAAACTACTAGAAGGAAAGCATTGTGGAAATGCTTCATTACTCTGGTGACAATTTCTTGGATAAGACACCAAAAAATAGGCAAGAAATGCAAAAATAAACAAGTGGAACCACATCAATCTAAAAAGCTTCTGCATAGCCAAGGAAACAGTCAACAGAGTGACAAGGTAACCTATGAAATGGGAGAAAATATTTGTAAGTCATATATTTCATAATAGGTTAATATCCAAAATATATCCAAACAATAGATTAAAACAACTTATTTTAAAATGGTCAAAAGTTTAGAATAGACATTTCTCCAGAGAATATATATAAATGGTCAACAAGTATATGAAAAGATTCTCATATCTTTTCATGATCATTAATCATCAGAGAAATGCCAATCAAAACGACAATGAAATATTATCTCACATCTGCTAAAATAGCCATTATGTTAAAAAAAAAAACAGAAATTAAGAAGTTTTAGCAAGGACATGGAAAAATTAGAACGCTTGTGACTGCTGGTGGAAAGGTAAAATGGTGCAGCCACTATGAAGATGGGTATGAAGGTTACTCAAGAAATTAAAAATAGAACTGCCATATGATCCAGCAATCCTACATCTGTGTATTTATCCAAATAATTGAAATCAGGATCTCAAAGAGATATTAGCACTCCCATGATCATTGAAGCATTCTACACAGTGTGAGATGGGGTCCAATTTCATCCATTTGCTTGTGGATATCCAGTTTTCCCAACACCATTGATTAAAGACAGCATCTTCCCCATTGTGTGTTTTTAGCATTTTTGTCAGAGATCAATTGATCATAAATCCATGGATTTATTTCTGGGTTCTCTATACTCTTCTGCTTTACCATTGGCCTATATGTTTATTTGTACGCTGATCTCATTCTGTTTTGATTACGATAGGTTTGCAGTATATTTGTTATCAGGTAATCTCTTCAGCTTTCTTCTTTTTCCTCAAGATTACTTTAGCTGTTTGGATGTTTTGTGGTTCCATACAGATTTTAGGATTATTTCTTCTATTTCTGTGGAAACAGATGCCATTGAAATTTTTATAGGGATTGCACTGAATCTTTAGATCCCTTTGGTAGTAGGAATATGTTAACAATATTAATTATTCCAATTCATAAACATGAGATATCTTTCTTTATGTCTTCCTTAATTTATTTCATCAATGATTCATAGTTTTCAATGTACAGATCTCTTACCCCCTTGGTTAAATTTATTCCTAAGTAATTTTTAACTCTATTGTTTGCTTGATTTCTTTTTCAGATAGCCATCATTAGTTTACAGAAACACAGCTGATTTTACTTGTTGATTTTGTATCTTGTAATTTCACTGAATTTGTTCATTAGTTCTAACAGGGTTTTTGGTGTGTCCTAGTTGTACATTTTATATACAAGTCTGCCTGTGATCCATTTTCAGTTAATTTTTTTAAAGGTGTAAGATCTGTGTCTAGTTTCATTTATTTGCATATGAATGTCCCATTGTTCAAGCACCATTTGTTGAAAAGACTTTCTCTGTTGTAGTGCTTCTGCTTCTTTGTCAAAAATCAGTGGGCTATATTTATGTGGGTAAATTTCTGGGCTGTCTATTCTGTTCCATTAACCTATTTGTCTATTCTTTTGCCAATAGCATACTGTTTTGATCACTATTTTTATAAGTCAGCTTTGTAGTAAGACTTGAAGTCAAGTGGTGTCAGTCCTCCAAGTTTGTTCTTCTCCTTCAGTAAGTGCTGACTATTCTGGCTTTTTTGCCATCCACATAAACTTTAGACTCAGTTTGTCAATAAACATAAAATACCTTGCTGGGATTTTTACTAGATTGCATTGAATCTATAGATAACTCTGGGAAGAACTAACATCTTGAAAATATTGAGTCTACCTATCCATCAATACGGAATATCTCTCCATTTATTTAGCTTTTCTTCAATTTCTTTCGTCAGAGTTTTGTAGTTTTCCTATAGATTTTGTACATATGCTGATAAATCTGGGGGGTCCCAGTGTACATGGTACAGTGTTTTTAAATTTCAAATTCCACTTGCCATTGTTGGTATATAGAAAAGTGACTGACTTTTGTGTACTAACCTAACATCCTGCAACCCTGCTATAATTGCTTATTAGTTCTAGGAGGTTTTTTTTAATTATTTCAGATTTTCTATACAGATGATCATGTCACTGTATAGAAATAAAGATAGCTTTATTTACTCCTTCCCAATCTATAAACCTTTCAATCTATTTTCTTATCTTATTGCATTAGCTAGGACTTCCAGCAGGCCCTCAAATATTTCATTTTGTTGTAATGTTGATGAGAAAAAAAATCAATTCCTAGCCAGGGTCACTGTTATGTGTGGAGTTTGCACATTCTTCCCATGTCTGCATAGGTTTTCTCTGGGTACTCCAGCTTCCTCCTACATCCCAAAGATGTGCACATTAGGTGAATTGGCATGACCACATTGTCCCAGTCTGAGTGAGGGTGGGGGTGTGTGTGAGTGTGCCCTGCGATGAAATGACATCCTGTCCAGGGTTGGTTCCTGCCTTGTGTTTTGAGCTGCTGGAATATGCTCCAGCCATGTACAACCCTGAATTGGAATAAAGAAGACTGGAAAATGAATGAATGAATGAATACAAATTATCATAAAATAACAATTCATAAAATATAGGACAATTATATAAATGCACAAGAAACAATGCAGTACAAATGTGCTCATCAAACCCACCATATTTGTTATTGTTTGTTTTTGAACTGAATGATGGTAGGAGGTGTTCCTTACAATTTTTACCTTGCAAACATTCCTTGATTTAACCCACTACTATGACTGTTGTCACTCACTGATTCACCAAAAATTGGGTAAATACTTATCTTACTGGTTTTAATTAATCATTCTAAAATGCATATATAGTTCTTATTTATTTTAATCTTTAATATTAGAAATGTTTAGGGTTTCATTTAGAAGTTCGGTGATGTTTTTGTGACCAGGAATATACCTTAGGAACTTAACTCTTGTTTATGTCAATTAGCCTATGGTAAAATTGGTTTCATTACACATTGTTTTGCTTAAAGTCACAGTTTCTAAGAAACTATCAACAACTGTTAAGTGGGGACTTACTATACAATGTGAATATGCTGAACAAAAGGATGATTGGCATCCCAATGGGACAGAGGAAGGTGGCATGAGATTTCATCACACTACTCAGAATGGTGCACAACTTAAAGCATATGAACTATTCATTTCTGGAATTTTCCATTTAATAATTTCTGACTGTAGTTGACTGCAAGTAACTAAAACCAAACAAAGGAAAACCATGGATAAGGGAGGACTACCCAAAATGACATAAAAACATGAAGACAGGATAATAAGACAGAGAAATCTAACAAATCTAATCTATCCTAATTTCCA
Source organism: Homo sapiens (assembly GCF_000001405.40). NCBI lineage: Eukaryota > Metazoa > Chordata > Mammalia > Primates > Hominidae > Homo > Homo sapiens. Next base: position 56,454,683 of record NC_000008.11, on the reverse strand, counting down.
TCATTTCTTTTCTTCTACTTACTTTAATTTGATCTTTTTCTTCCAGTTTCCTAAGGTGGAAGCTTAGTTGATTGGTTTTAGATTTTTCTTCTTTTCAAACATATGCATTCAATACTACAAATTTCCCTCTATGCACTGCTTTTACTGCATCCCACAAATTTTGATAAGTTGTGTTTTCATTTTAACTCAATTCTAAGTTACTTTTAAATTTCTCTTGAGATTTCTTCCTTGACCCATATGTTATTTAGAAGTGTTTTTTCATCTCCAAGTATTTTGGGGTTTTCCATTCATCTTTCTATTATGGATTTCTTGTTTAATTCCATTGTGGTTTGACAGCAGGCATTGTATGATTCATATTCTTGTAAATTTGCTGTGGTGTGTTTTATGGCCCAGAATGTGGTCTATCTTGGGGAATGTTTTGTGTTAGCTTGAGAAGGATGGATATTCTGCTGTTGTTGGATGAAACAGTCTGTAGATATCTATTATATTCAATTGCCTGATGGTGTTGTTGAGTTCAGCTTTGTCCTTACCAATTTTGCGCCTGCTGGATCTGTCCATTGCTGACAGAGGGGTGTTGAAGCCTCCAAATATAATAGTGAATTCATCTATGTCTCCCTGCAGTCCTACCCGTTTTTGCCTATGTATTTTGATGCTCTGTTGTTAGGTGCACACACATTAAGAATTTTTATGTCTTCTTGAAGAAGTAATCCCTTTATCATTATGTAATGGTCCTCTTCACCCCTGATAACTTTTTCTGGTCTGAAGTCTTCTCTGGTTGCAATTAATATAGCTACTTTTGCTTTCTTTTTATTAGTTTTAGCACAGCTCTCACCAGTTGTTTACTTTTAATCTATATGTACCTTTATATTTACATGGACTTTTTGTGGACAACACATGGTTGAAACTTGTTTCTTATTCCACTCTGACAATATCTTTTAATTAGTGTATTTAGGTCACTGAAATCCAAACCAGTTATTGATACAGTTGGATTCCTATCTACCATATGTGTTATCGTTTTCTATTTGTTGCCTTTGTTATTTTTGTCTTCTACTCTTTTTCTGACTTTTGTGGTTTTAATTGAGTATTTTATATCATTCTATCTTCTCTCCCTTAGTAGCATATCAGTTGTCCTTTTTTTAACTTTTTAAAGTGTTTACCCTAGATTTTACAGTATACATTTACAAGGAATCCAAGTCCAATTTCAAATAATGTAATAACACTTCACAGGTAATGTGAGTACCTTACAATGACAAAATAATTATAATTCCTTCCTCTTGTTTCTTGTATCATTGCTCCCATTTATTTCACTTACATATAAGCGTACCTAAACATATATCTGCACATAAGCATACATAATCAAATACACTGTTGCTTTTATTATTTTAAACAAAGTGTTATTTATTAGATCAATCAACAATAACAAAATACAAGTTTTTATTTTACCTTCACTTATTCTTTCTCTGATACTCTTCCGTTTTTAACGTAGATCCAAGTTTTTGACCTTTATTATTTTCCTTCTCTCTAAAGAATTTAACATTTCTTGCAAGGCAGGTTTACTGGCAATCAATTCTCTCAATTTTTGTTTGTCTAAGAAATTATTTCTCTTTCACATTGGAAGGACAATTTCACAAAATAAAGAATTCTAGCTTGATGGGGTTTTTTTTTCTCTTAATACTTTCAATATTTTACTCCTGTCTCTTCTTGCTTGCATGATTTCTGAGAAATCAGATGTAGTTATTATCTTTTTTTTTTTTTTTTTTTGAGATGGAGTCTTGCTCTGTCACCAGGCTTGAGTGCAGTGGCACGATCTCAGCTCACTGCAACCTCCACCTCCCAGGTTGAAGCGATTCTCCTGCCTCAGCCTCCCGAGTAGCTGGGACTACAGGCGCCTGCCACCATGCCTGGCTAATTTTTTTGTATTTTTTAAGTAGAGACGGGGTTTCAGCGTGTTAGCCAGAATGGTCTTGATCTCCTGACCTCGTGATCCACCCGCCTCTGCCTCCCAAAGTGCTGGGCTTACAGGTGTGAGCCACCGCACCCGGTGGTAGTTCTTATCTTTACTCCTCTACGGGTAAGGTGTTCTTCCCCTCTCTGGCTTCCTTCAGGATGCTTTCCTTATGTTTGATTTTCTGTAGTTTGAAAATAGTATGCACAGGTATAGGGTTTTTGGCATTTATCCTGCTCAGTGTTGTCTGGGCTTCCTGACAACATATCCTGATATATAGGGGTTAGCGTCTGACAAAATTTGGGGCAATTCTCAGTTACTATTGTTTCAAACATTTCTTCTGTTTCTCTCTTCTCCTTTTGGAATTCTCATTACATTTGTGTTACTGCTTTTATAATGGTCCTGCAGTTCTTGGATATTCTGTTTTTTGTTTTTTGTTTTTTCAGTCTTTTTTATCTTTGCCTTTCAGTTTTGGCAGTTTCTATTGACATATCCCCAAGTCCAGAGATTCTTTCCTCAGCCATATCCAGTCTAACAATAAACCCATCAAAGGCATTTTTCATTTCTGTGACAGTGTTTTTGATTTCTAGCATTTCTTCTAGGATCTTTCTTAGAATTTCTGTTTCTTTGCTTACATTGCCCATCTGTTCTTGCATGCTGTCTACCTCATCCTTTAGTGTTTTAATCATAGCTGTTTTAAGTTCCCCATCTGGTAATTCTAACATCTCTGACATATCTGAGCCTGGTTCTGATGCTTGCTCTGTCTCTTCAAACTGTGGGGATTTTTTTTTTTTTTTTTTGGTTTTTAGTATGTCTTGTAATTTTTTCTTGACAGCCAGACTTGATGTACTGGGTAAACGGAAATGTTATAAATATGCCTTTAGTAATGTGTTGATAAAGCAGGAAGGGAGTGTTCTGCAGTCCTCTGAGTAGGTCTCAGTCTTTAGTGAGCCTGTACCTCTGGGCTGTGAACTTTACATATGTTCTTAGTCCCCAGCCTCCCCTTCAGTAGAACACAATGGCTGGAGGGGGCTGGAGTTGGGTATTTCCAGTCCCTCAGGTCAGCTATTTTCTGATAAAACTTCAGGAGATTAGACTCTGGTTAACTAGGTTCTCCTGTGGGCAAACCTTGTTAGGAACACAATGTTCCGGTGTATTTCAAAATGGCTCTTTTTTCCCTCCCACTGCTTGAAGCACAAGGGAAATTTTTTCCATTATTCATTGTGAGAACCTGGTTGAACACCTGTAAGTAAAACTCATGAAAGTGTGGAGGCCTCCGTGGACTGGGTTCTCCTGGAATTTTTATCTCAGATTTGTTCACACAGTTTCCCGGAATTTGTCAGCTGTAGTTCAGGTTTTTCTACCTCCCAACTGATTCTCTGGGAGGTTTCTGCACCAGCAAGCCAGGACCCCCTGTGTTTGCCTGTTGGTCTCTCCAATTTGGGGGGACAGTGGTTTCCCCTGTGACCCAACCTCTATGATAGATCTAAGAAGAGTCGTGGTTTTTCAGTTTGCTCAGTTTTTATTTGATAGCTTTGAAAGATTTGAGTGCTTTCCCTATATAATTTTATTAAAACAGTTTGACCTCTTGGGTCTATCCCACCATTCACCATCACTTGGGAGCTATGGAAGATGTAACTATAAGCAAAAACACATGTTTTAAAAGCAACTTCACTGAGTCTCTACTATGTGCAAACATCTGTGCTGTGGATCATACGCAAAGGGATTCCCTTAAGAACTTGGTATCCTGCAGCCATTGCATTCATTCCAATAACTTACTATTGATCAAAATCTATTTAGAACTTCTCTTCTAGCATTCCTTCAACTGTGGAAATTGTCTGTGGTGGATGAATATTTTTGAATGCCTTCTATACAGGTCCCATAAGTGGGATCTAATATTTGATTTCAGAAACAACCAAAACACCAAATCAAAGTCAAGTTGTTGAATAAGGTTTGAATCCAATGAGGTGACACAATTTTTTTTGTGATGGAGTCTTGCTCTGTCGCCCAAGCTGGAGTGCAGTGACGCAATCTCGACTCACTGCAAGCTCCACCTCCCAGCTTCCTGCCATTCTCCTGCCTCAGCCTCCTGAGTAGCTAGGACTACAGGCACCCGCCACCACACCCAGCTCATTTTTTTTGTATTTTTATTAGAGACGGGGTTTCACTGAGGCAACACAATTTTTTAACATTGACTGGTTCTCTCACGTGGCTATTAAATTTCTCAAGGCAATTTCAAAAGTCATTATTAAAAGTCGAGCTGCTCAAGACATACTCTATTGGTTGGACTCACAGCTATATCTTATTTTAATCTAATTTTTCATAATAGGACTTGCTTTATTCATTGTCTAATTACCTATACTTAATAGTAAGATTGATCTTTTCCCTCCTGGAGAGCAAAAGGCCAAAGTTAGGAAGTGTGTTTCAATCCTCCCTAAGTTTACAGTACATAAACAATATGTTTGATATTCTTGGTTTAATTTACCTTCCCTTTCTCCCCACCTCCTCTGACACATTGACATGTTTTCTATTATTTAAACTCATTCTATTATTTAATTTATATTATTTAAACTCTTTCTATTATTTAATCTGGCAACTTTGTACCAGATTACCTTTTCTTCCTAGAGTTTTATTCTATTTCCTGGTACATTTTCCAGAATGTTCCAACACTGACTTTCCTTAAAATGGGGTTTGTGACACCATAAAACATCTCGTTCAAGCCAACCCCACTTCCAGCTGCTCTGTTATGGTGTTCTGAGCCAGTCTGAAAAAGAATCCCTTAACAGTGCTACTTCACAGTTATATGCCCAACTCACAGAATCACATTTTGCAAACTGTGCACTTTAGATTGTAACTGAAAACGGGGATGTCTCCCCTGACTCTGGCATGACTCCAAACATCTGAAATGTTAGAACATGTTGCTTTTATGCTGAACCATCACACAATTGCCTGAGTGCTGAAGGGGCTTGTTTCCACTACTGCTACTTTAGAGAGAGGGGGGCAGACAGAAATGGCTTTCTGTAATAAAACACGTGTGCTTGGGTGACAGGAAGGGGAGGGGAGCAGAGGAGTGAGTACCAGAAAGACGTCATTCAATTTAGCCATCTTCCATCTGAAAATAATGGAAGAGGACACTAAAAGAACATTGTAAAATCCCACCTTTTTAGACTCTGAGAACACCTAAGAACTGAGTAAAATGCCATTCATCATCAGGGTTAAAAAGTCAGATTTCTTGGTCTCTAGGATGAATCCCTTTGGGCAAATGCTTGGGACCCTAGGATCAGAAGATGAGTTATTGATCCTAACCTGAAAATAAAAAATGTCTGGATTGAATGCTTTAAGACAGAGCCCCTTCCCTTTTTTAGTCTGATTTCTAGAGCAGCTTTCTCCCAGATCATAACTGCAAAGTCTGTTCACTCTTGATAAATATTTAAAAGATGATGAAAAAATGAATTTCTTACAACTCATTGCCACCAGAATGACTTTTAGTTTCTCAGGTCGATGGGGGAGGATGATGGGAAGAGATGTCACTGATTTGGGGTAGGCAAACAAGGTCGACCTCCTATCACTTCATTCATTCAGTCAGTCAGCCGGTCGACACACATTTACCAAGCAACCACTGTGCCCCAAGCATCTAGGAAGGTCTCGTGGGGGACTGCACACTCTTGCACTGCCCCTAGGAGGCGCCCTCTCTTTCCCTTTCTGTTTCTCTCTCCCCTGACATTTCAGGAGTCTCAGGGGAAAATGCAAATGCGCCAAGAGACCCTAACTCAGAGCAAACATGACTAGTTCCAACAGAAACAAACTAGGCCTGAGGTAGGTTTCGGGAAGGAACTCAGAGGCTGGAAAACCTGGTCTGCCACTGCCCTGGCTGGTCACTCAGACGTTCTGAGCCTTGGTTTTTACCATCTGTAGAACGGGCGGTGGAATAAATTATCCCTAAAACCTCTCCCAAACTTAAGCTTCTACTTTTCCAAGATCCTAACGAGCCTTTGTGTCGCCAGGGTGCAGAAATGCACTGTTTCCACTACTGCGCGCTGTGCACCCTTAAAAAGCATCGCGTGATGTGGTCATTCCAAACACACACACACACACACAAACACACACACACACACACACACACCTACCTCAGCCTCCCGCTCCTGATTATGCGTTTAAAGTTCTTAGGTGATCCCAGGTTCGCAAGTGCTCAGCTATAGCAAGTTTCCTTTAATTTTAGGTAGAATTTGTTCATGCAATACTTTCGCACTGAGTACTGCAGTGGAGTCAGCTTCCTTTCCAAAGCCCAGGCAACAAGGAAAAATCTGAAGTAAAGACAAAAGCTCTCCTTTGCCTTGGGGAGAGAGTAAGGAGCTAGTAAGGGGCCCCATGATGAAAAGAACCTAAAGCGGGAAACATTGTGTTTTCCTGCTCAGAGGGTAATGCTGGCTCCCTAGGGCTATGTCCGGGGTTCTCCAGCCCCACTCCAGGGCTCTGCTTTCCCGACCTTGCTACCGTGATGCCCCGGCCGGGAGGCAGGCGGTGCTCGGGTGCAGCTTCGGGGCTAATCCGAGGGCTGCGTGTCAAGCCCGCACATTGAGGCCTGCGGAGAACTGAGACCCCAGTCCCCGCAAGCCCAGCCTACGCAGGAGAGCGCTGCCCTCTAGCGACTATAATGGGACATGCAGCGCGGCCGGAGCCCCGCGGGAGCAGCGCCGCTGCAGGTCCTAGCGACTGTAGAAATCAGCCCTTTGCAGAGGGCGCAGAGGGCCTGGAAACCTCTGGGACCTTTTCCCAGGAACTGTTTATGGTTTCCCCCTAGGTCTAGGAGACATAGATGCATAGGTGGATTGGATACATCGATGGTAGCTATAAGGTAAGCAGACAATGGTCACAGATGGAAAGGTGGACGGACGGATGACGGATGGTTAGAAGATGTTTTGAGGGCTTGCTATAGTGCCAGGCACAAGGCTAAGAGATTTCGTCCACTATTTCATTTGATTCTCTCCAGAACCTTATGAATGGCATATTACCTCTGTTCCTATTTTTCAAATAGGGAAACTGAGGCCTCAGGCAATGTAAGCAGCTTGCCGCTTAGCAATCTTTTGCAGAGCCAGGAAGCGGGAAAGCGTGTCTTAATGGACAGTACCAGCCTCCACAGTGTGCCCTCGGCCCCCTCCCGGTGGAGAAGAGGTTCCAAGCCCCGGCGTCCCGGGTAGGGTGTCCCTCATCCCTCCCTCCCCACCACACTCCTGGCGCGCTGACATTACACCCGCCCCGGCACCCCCCTCTCACTGATCCAACACCCCCGGACACCCTGGACAGCGCTCTCAAGGCAGTAGGTCTTCGACTTGGGAGCCCCGGGGAGCTGGTTAAACACGGATCCTCTCCCACAGTGGCTGAAAAGCGCGCAGTCCCGGAACCTGAGGGTTTACCTGCTTCTACGCTTGGCCAAGGGTCTCTAACTGGAAAGGTGAAAATTCTGTCCTGAGATTTTAAGATTCCCAGAAACTTTCAATCGTTCAGTTCCTGTAACCATTAATTGAGCGCCTAAACTGCGCACCTTGACGCTGTTAGATGCTGCAGTAAGGAACTCGGAGTCAAGTGTGGGGGACAGGTTGGTCAATAAATGACGACATTCCGGACGGCTGTGCTTGGTGCCCACGGGGACCCGCGAGGGGGCCCAGGGAGGAGGCGGGAAAGGGGCAGGTTCACCGGCCCGCTGGGTCTCCAGCACATTCCAGAAGTCTAAGCCAGTCCATCTATCCTTCCAAACGCCCCCACCTCGCTTCCCTCCCTGGAGCCCGCATCCCACGGTGCAATTTCAGTGACTTTATGCGGAGAAACTTGATCCTATCTCACTCTCCCCAAACTTCCTAACTGCCTTGGGTTTGTCACCTGGCCGTGTGGGGAGCCACCGAGCGCCCCCTGTGGCCCCCACCCGAGCTCGGCGGGGGGAGCGGCGCGCGGGTGCTGGGGGACCGACCCCTCCCGCGAAGGCGTCGGCGCGGGGCTGGCGTAGGGCCTGCGTCAGCTGCAGCCCGCCGGCGATTGGGGCGCGCGCGCCTCCTTCGGTTTGGGGCTAATTATAAAGTGGCTCCAGCAGCCGTTAAGCCCCGGGACGGCGAGGCAGGCGCTCAGAGCCCCGCAGCCTGGCCCGTGACCCCGCAGAGACGCTGAGGACCGCGACGGTGAGGCCCTACGTCCGCCAGCACACCCGGGCCCGCTTCTCCCCGACGCCCGCCCTCCTCACACTTGCCTTCTTCTCTTCCCTCTAGAGTCGTGTCTGAACCCGGCTTTTCCAATTGGCCTGCTCCATCCGAACAGCGTCAACGTGAGTGAATTTGCCCGAAGCTTGTCTTTGCTGAGCGGGTTTGGGGACGTCTGCCCGCCCTCTTTCCCTTCACATTTCATTGCATGGGTTCCCCAACAGCGTTCCCTGGTTCTTCTTTGTGACCCCAGTCAATGTCCTGCCTCCCCCGGCTCCCGCTCTCTCGCCCCTGGTCTGCGGCGTTCTCTCCGGAATCTTGCCCTGGGCCGCGGACGCCCAGGAAAAGAGCCGGGTGCCCCAGGCAGCCTCGCGTTGGGGGCGACCGCGCCATCCCGGGAACCGCGAGGCGATCTGAGTCGCCTCCACGTCTACCTAAAAGCTGTCGGCCGGGAGGGCGGGGCCCCAGAAAGGAGCATTCCTGCGGGCTTTTGCTCGACGATCCCCTGCTGAGGCTGTCGCGGCGAGGGTCCTGCCGAGGGACCCCGTTCTGCGCCCAGGCAGGCTCGAAGCACGCGTCCCTCTCTCCTCGCAGTCCATGGCGCGGTTCCTGACACTTTGCACTTGGCTGCTGTTGCTCGGCCCCGGGCTCCTGGCGACCGTGCGGGCCGAATGCAGCCAGGATTGCGCGACGTGCAGCTACCGCCTAGTGCGCCCGGCCGACATCAACTTCCTGGTGAGTGTTGCGCGCGGCGAGTGTTGCGCACCTTGTGAGACAGAGTTTCCGCAACAGTACGCGGACTGCCTCCGGCCCACCGCGCGGCGCGTATGGCGGTTCGCACCGGGTCGGAGCCGCAGCGGCGCGAGCCCGTGGTGACCTGGGTGTCTCAGCTGTTCCTGGAACACTGACTGAAGTCCTGCCCTGGCTCTTAGCTTCGGGGATCCGCGACTATCTGGGGACCGGTAAGGGTAGCGGTGTCGCCGCACAAACCAAGTTTGTTTTAACCCTGGGAATTCGGGAACCCCGAGAAGTCCTCTGTTCAGCACCTCGGATAGCACTGGGTTCTCTCCTGGGCTGTCAGAAGGAAGATGGCTGTCACCACAACTCCTAACATATCCCAGCTAAGGGCCCCTCCACACGCAGTCATCTTCCCATCTTTCCCACAAATAATGTAATTTTTTGTTAGTGACATTTCGGTGCCTTTCTTTAGATTTATGTTCCCCAGCTCTCTTAACCTCAGGTCCCTCATTCCCTACCCTCACCTGTAAATAGGAGAGAGCAAAGGGATGGAAAAGGGGTACGGGGAGAGGAAGGCGAAATAACCGTAGACAGGAAAGAGTTCAAACTGTCTCACTAGCCAGTGATGCTGGAATTCAACTTCTGTTTCAACTGCCCTTTGTAATAGTAACTAAAACAACAGTTTAATTTGGCTATGAGAAAGGAACAAGAGAAGTGGCCAGTGTCCAATGGGTGACAACAGTCCAAAGATACACTGCACTACAGGGGGTTGGGGAAAGAAAAAGCTGAGGACAAAATAACTTTCATTCTGATCATGGTTCCCCATGGGCTGTCGAATCACCTCTGGTGCTCTACTGAGTCTGAATCTCCAACCTCGAGACTCAGGTAGCTTCACTTTTACCAGCTCCCCTGACAATTCCTTTGCATTGCTTTTGAAATTTGTTGAAATTTTATGGTGACTTAAAAAGCTCATAGAGAATAATGTATTCATCCAAGCTGCTTTGGGTTCCACCTGGAATTGAGGAAATTTTACCTTATGTAGATGTTTGAAATGGGGAGAAAACCAAGGAACAGTTTCCAAATATCTGTGGTATATATTTCAGGTTAAATGTTTGTTTCTTTGACCTGTGCTAACTTGGCATTAAAGAGAAGACACATAGGAAGGTTGTATATTTAAACTATGAGAAAAATGTTTCATCTTCAATAGGAGAAACAATCCCCTTCACCCATCTTTCTTCTTTCTCCTGTAGTCATGAGCTTTTAACCTATGCCTAAAAATTGAGCCAGTGCTACAAATATAAGGATAGATCTTGTGGATAAAGAATTTTAGACACAGAAGGAGGAAGAAAAATCCAAAACATGCCACATAGAAGACTCCACTTTCTGACCCCATAATTCCCTGTGCCCAGTCACACATATTTTGAGCTTTGCCTGCTCAACATGTCAGGGGCTCAGCCCCCTCCCCTAGCTTTCTCTGCCATCTGAATAAAGGTTATATGGATTCTAGTCTAATTTTTCTAATCACACAGACTGACCCCAAAGTAGTATCATATTTACTTAAATTATGTGAGTTAGCGAATTAATATGACTGACTTTTAATCATGCCTATTCAAATGGGTTTTTTTCATACTTAATCTATTTGATTCACCAAGCTCCCAAAATGCTACTAATCTTCCTTTTGCATTGTTGAGGAACTTGAGCAGAGCTCACTGGGTAGCAGCTAGCTCTTCCCTGGGTATCACCTCAAATCTTGACTTCTCTCCCTCTCTCACCCTCTTCTCATCATGTAACAGGATTGTGGGGGAGGAGAAGAGGAAGGCTGCTCTTTCCAGAATTTTCCATACTGCTTTTTATGCTCTTGTTGTTATCACTTATTACTATTATCATTACTTTAATCCAGGTGATGGAATGGCACGTGTAGTGTTAGCAACTTGAAAAAAATAGATAATAAGCAACCATCAATAAAAATAGTCTTATAGAAAGGCATTTTGCATAATAACTGATTTGCATTGGACCCTACATTTAGGGTTGTTATTGTCTCAATGACAAAAGGTTTACTTAGTGACTGTCTCGCTAGAATTACAACATTCTGGGATTTTGGCTCGGATGCAAAAGACATGTGAGAAACGAGGTTGCCTAGCCAAAATTATGTAGTGAAATCAATGTAACAAATATTTACTGAGCTTCTACCATGAGAAAGACACTTATGATTGGTACTGTGGTGGATGCAGAGATGAGCAGGCGTGCTATGGCTGATGTCCAGATAGAATTTCCCATCTAATGTGATCTTGACCATACCACACAAAGTGTGGTAAATACCACAAAACATGCATACATGGTTATAGGAGCCATCAGTTAACATCGCTACCTTAGTACGAGTGCATTATTCTGATATTTGTTACTATTTGGTTTTGAAGGAATCTCACATCACATACATTTAAAAATCTTTTGGTATTAGTATGCAAAACATTCAACATTAATTTTTAACAACAAGATCACTTAGATACAACTTTAGAATGGAAATATTATTGCTCCTTAAATATCTTAAGCTTCTAATGGTGTTTTTATTTGTTCATCATATGTCAGGAATAAAATAAGACATTTTAATTATTAATGGATCATCTTTAGATTCTTACGTAGTTATATATTTAATCTTCTCAGACACGAAGCTTAAATACTCATTAAGAGCTTACTAAATACGTGCCTTCAAGATTTTGTTGCACTAATAAAATGCTTTCTTTCATTGTGAAAATAATATATGTGTATTTAACATCACTTAATATACCAGTATATTTTTAATAATACCAAGAAAGACTTCAGAGGGCTGTAAAAAACTCCTGAAATGCTAAGAAATATCATGCATGTTTTGTAAATGTTCACATATTAGTACTCTCTTTATCATACCCAAGTGATGTGTTAAATAGAAAAAAACTTAAGATCATTCGAATGTATAGACTTACAATGATTTTATATTTAATATTTATATAAGAAAAAGGAAAGAATGTATGCTGATGATTCCTATTTTACCAAACACCATGATTTCCATTGAAAAATACTTTTTCTGTACAACAGTGACTAAATGTGAAGAAAATAAACATGAATAATTTGTGCACTTGCATTTGTATAATTTTATATCTGATCTCATCATTATAGACATTTTGTTCAAAATAATAAAGTCTGTTGTATCCAGCAAAGAAAAAAGGAAAAAAACAAAAGATCTGTACTTACAACAAATTAACAAATTAATAAGAATGCAAATAATTCATCAGATTTAAATTGAGTTTTTAGGATGTGTTTATAAACTTTTTTTAAATTGTTGTTTTTCTTTGAAGATTGAAAGTATTTGCAGGAATACTCGATACCATTTTAGGTAAAATATTAACACAAGAAAGCAAATGACCCTTAGGTTATTAATATTGATTTTATCTCTAAGACAAGAAGATAAAAGGAATTTTGAGGAAATATCCCTGATTAGGTAAATAAAAATTTCTCCTTTTTGGTTAGAAAAATCTCAAACAAAATTATATCAGAAGTGGAAAATTATCCAGTGAAATTAGATTGTGAAAGCAGTCAATCTAAGTTAAAACTGCATGGAAAATTTTTTTTTAAATTCTTTAAAATTTCTATGGGTTTAAAATCCAAAGGCAGATTCCTAACTGGATTCAGTGAACCCCTCCACTTTCACCTTTCCAAATTTTATTTGTTTCATTTGCATGCTCAGCCTTATGAAAAGTCGTGATAAGAAATTGGAGATGACCTTATTATAATAAGGAAGTTATGATGTCAAAGCAAGCATATTTTGGTCCACAAAAGTTCATTTGCTTAATGAAATCACAGAAGCTTCTTTTTATCATTACATCAAATTGTTTTCCCAGGCTTGCGTAATGGAATGTGAAGGTAAACTGCCTTCTCTGAAAATTTGGGAAACCTGCAAGGAGCTCCTGCAGCTGTCCAAACCAGAGCTTCCTCAAGATGGCACCAGCACCCTCAGAGAAAATAGCAAACCGGAAGAAAGCCATTTGCTAGCCAAAAGGTATGGGGGCTTCATGAAAAGGTATGGAGGCTTCATGAAGAAAATGGATGAGCTTTATCCCATGGAGCCAGAAGAAGAGGCCAATGGAAGTGAGATCCTCGCCAAGCGGTATGGGGGCTTCATGAAGAAGGATGCAGAGGAGGACGACTCGCTGGCCAATTCCTCAGACCTGCTAAAAGAGCTTCTGGAAACAGGGGACAACCGAGAGCGTAGCCACCACCAGGATGGCAGTGATAATGAGGAAGAAGTGAGCAAGAGATATGGGGGCTTCATGAGAGGCTTAAAGAGAAGCCCCCAACTGGAAGATGAAGCCAAAGAGCTGCAGAAGCGATATGGGGGCTTCATGAGAAGAGTAGGTCGCCCAGAGTGGTGGATGGACTACCAGAAACGGTATGGAGGTTTCCTGAAGCGCTTTGCCGAGGCTCTGCCCTCCGACGAAGAAGGCGAAAGTTACTCCAAAGAAGTTCCTGAAATGGAAAAAAGATACGGAGGATTTATGAGATTTTAATATCTTTTCCCACTAGTGGCCCCAGGCCCCAGCAAGCCTCCCTCCATCCTCCAGTGGGAAACTGTTGATGGTGTTTTATTGTCATGTGTTGCTTGCCTTGTATAGTTGACTTCATTGTCTGGATAACTATACAACCTGAAAACTGTCATTTCAGGTTCTGTGCTCTTTTTGGAGTCTTTAAGCTCAGTATTAGTCTATTGCAGCTATCTCGTTTTCATGCTAAAATAGTTTTTGTTATCTTGTCTCTTATTTTTGACAAACATCAATAAATGCTTACTTGTATATAGAGATAATAAACCTATTACCCCAAGTGCATAATATCCTTGTAAGTCTCTTTTTCTCCAAGGCTCTCATTTACCTTTGGGTTTCCGCATCAATCCTAGACTCAGGGACAGTAGAACCATCTGCTTTTGACATAATTTTGACATCATAATCATTGTCTTTCTTCTCCTTCAGCCAAGGCTCAAAAACATTTTTTATTTAATTCCTCACAGCATGAAATCTTAGATTAGTAAACACGTGGGAGCAAAATAAAATGTATTTTCACTCTCATTTCTGGAAATCAGATACATGAAGAAAAACCAAAGCCTAATAAAGGAGCCAGCTATGCCCCCATTAAACACACACACACACACACACACACACATACTTGCATTTACATCAGATGTGTATGTCTCTTTTCTTCAGTAAAGTATTTTAGAAGTTAGTAAGAAATTAAAGATAATTTAGTCCAATTTTACAAATGAAGAAAGGGAAGCCAAGAAAGGTTGTGTAGTTGGCCCAAAGTTGCCCAGCAGTTGAAGGACAAAAATAGGATTAAAACCCCAAACTTTTTGTGCCCAGTCAATATCCTTTTCACTGCGGTTCCTTATCTCCTATCCACGTCACTAGTAAGAATTGTAAGAACGTGGAACTACATCTTAGTCACCATTGTACACCTCTACACTATGACTGTAGCAGATTCTCCAATATCGGATGAATGGATATATGAATGATGAATAAATTAATTTGGTGACCAGATAATGAGGAAAGATATTGTGAGTGTTTTGTAAGGTAAATCCCCAAAACACAAGGTGCTTATGACTACTTCATATTAATGAGACAATGCTCAGATATAAGAAATGTAACTTTTCATTTTTCTTATTATTATTATTATACTTTAAGTTTTAGGGTACATGTGCACAGCATGCAGGTTTGTTACGTATGTAAACATGTGCCATTAACTCGTCATTCTGGTTTCTCTTCAGATCGTGCAAATCTTTCGCCTTTAACTTTTCATTTTTCTAACTGAAACAACATACGGCTTAACCCCTACTCACTAAATCATTTTTCCAGGACCCCCACCAACCCTTTCTCTTGTGTTTCTCAAAACATTGGAATTTAGCAACTCTGGAAAGTGGGGGACGAGTCTCTGGTCTGCAGTCTACCAAGGCTGCTGCCGAGATGCTCACTGTGCAAGCCTGTGTGCCCCATCTGATAAGGCAGCTGCACTGTGCTCGGCAGTTTGTTCTCTCTGTACAGCCCCGCCAGGGCTCACAGGACATCCACATGATCATGCTGTTAGGAGACCCATCTCCTGGAATTAGTGCAAGGAATCACAGGGCCCCACACTCACAGAGCCCCAACTCCATCAATCTTCCTGATCCTTGGTAAACTAATTTTTTCTTCCAGGCAAAGCCCGGGAGGAAAAAAGATAATACAATAATTATTGATAAGATAATGCCATTATTATCTCACAATAGTCCAATATGTATACTTACATATCTCATACAATGTGTTTGAGAAAATAACAAAGTTCACCATCAGACAAATACATTTTTCAAAGCAAGCGCAGTTTCATGCGCGTCGGTGTGAAGAGACCACCAAACAGGCTTTGTGTGAGCAATAAAGCTTTTAATCATCTGGGTGCAGGCGGGCTGAGTCCGAAAAGAGAGTCAGCAAAGGGAGATAAGGGTGAGGCCATTTTATAAGATTTGGGTAGGTAAAGGAAAATTACAGTCAAAGGGGGGTTGTTCTCTGGCGGGCAGGTGTGGGGGTCACAAGGTGCTCAGTAGGGGAGCTTTTGAGCCAGGACGAGCCAGGAGAAGGAATTTCACAAGATAATGTCATCACTTAAGGCAAGAACAGGCCATTTTCACTTCTTTTGTGGTAGAATGTCATCAGTTAAAGCAGGAACTGGCCATCTGGATGTGTACGTGCAGGTCACAGGGGATATGATGGCTTAGCTTGGGCTCAGAGGCCTGACACACAGTTCTTTTTTTTTTTTTTTAGAGATGAGGGCTCACTTGGTTGCCCAGGCTGGAGTGCAGTCGCTAGCTCACTTCAGCCTCGGCTTCCTGGCCTCAAGCAATCCTCCCGCCTCAGCCTCACAAAATGCTGAGATTACAGGCGTGAGCCACCGCGCCTGGCCAAGCACAGTTTTTTTAATCTAGGAGGCTTTCTTCTCTTTTGGGGAAGCAGTGTAGACTGGGCTAAGGCACTCGTGGTAGTTAAGAGTTGTCTGCGGCTCCATTTCACCCCCCACCCCCCAACACTACCCCCCCCACGCCCCGCCGGTCGCCTCCGCCAAGGGCCGCACGATGCTCGGGGTGGGACAGCGTCACACACTTGCAGTTCCTCAATTCTCTCATGTCTGGTGTAGAATCGGGAACCTAGAGGATGCTTCAAAATTGCCTAGGGAAGGAAGGAACAGAGGAGAGGGGTCGGGACACGAGGAAAGGGGAAAGGGACGATCGGGGATGACTCCTCTCCAGGCCGCGGAGCGATGCCAACCAAGGCTGTGCGCCCGCCCCGGGCATTACAGGACGCAGGACCCCCTCCTCCAGAGGTCCTCAGCAGTAAGTACGGGCGGTCGTCCACAAAACATGACTCGAGGGGGTTGCGTAGGCCTCACTCACTCTCCAAATTTCTCCTGAGCTGTCTGGCCTTCAATTTGAAATTGCAGCATTAGAAGTTTGCTTTCCAACTCTTAAGGGCTTTGATGTTTGATGTTTTTAAGAATTTCCTATTTGAATTCTGAGGGGCCCAGGCCCCCTAGGTTGCTATTCTAAGGGCCGCTAGCCGGACTTTGTTGTGGCACTCGGTGCGTACTCAGCGCATATGTCTGAGTTCTGAAAACACGAGACAGGCTAAGGTGGGGACTAACCTAGGACTAGGACTTAGGGTGAGATGAACCCAAAGCCACAGCTGATTTGAGAGGGTCTCAGAGAAAACCACGTGGAACAAGAAGAAGGAAAATCCACAACCTGCAGAGGGCGCTGCTGCTCCATTCCGCGCTCTCCCGGTGCTGGGGCTGGTTCCTACCCACTCGGGCCTTCCACTGCCACCACCAAGCCTGCGTCCCGCTCTGGGCTCCCTCTGAGAGTTCATTTGTGAGGCCAGGCTGCCTGCATCGAAATCCCAGGTAGCTGTGTGAACTGCAGCTCTCCCTGCCTTGGTTTCTCCTCTGTGCCTCATTCAGTTGTTGTGATAAGTAAAATGTGTTAGGGTGTAGAGTCTTTAAGCCAGGGCCAGCGCACAGCAGCACTTACAGGATTAGCAGCCACGATTGCTCTTCCACGTGGATCTTGGGCTCCCCCACCCCACCACACACACCCACTTCACCCTGGCTCTTTCAGAGATTAGATACCATCCATGAGCCTCCGTCCTGGTCACCAGGCAGGGGGCTCCTTTCCTGACAGTTATATCCCACGAGGCAGAAACTGCTTGCAAAGCCACCTCATACTCATCTTCACTTGTTCGGTTTTCTATTACAAACCTGGAAAACCTGTGTAATCAAAGAATTATCCACATGTCATTCTGCATTTGTCCAAACCACAGAAGGTCCAACACCAAGAGCGAACCCTAATGTAAACTATGGCCTCTCGGTGATAATGATGTGTCAGTGCAGGTTCATCAACCTTAACAACTGGACCTCTCTGGCGGGGCCTGTTGATCATGTGGGAGGCTGTGCATGTGCCTGGACAAGGTGCATACAGGAAATCTCTGTACCTGACACTCAATTCTGCTGTGAACCTAAAACTGGTCTTAAAAAGAGAGAGGAGAGAGAGAGAGAGAGAAATTATCCAAAAATAAAACGCATGAAGACTCTGAGCCTTGAGCTAAAACGATTCTTAGGAGAAGATAGGGGAGGGGTGTAAAGCTTTGACCATTTTTATTTATGTGTTTGTTTTTCTTCTTTTCCTGAAATGTACAGAAGCACCCCCGCATAGATCAATTCATTCATTCAACAAATGAATATTTGATGGAAGAGGCTCCAGATGGAGGGAAGAGCCAGTGCAATGCCTCAAAATGGAGACATGGTGTATTAATGGAGAAGCAGCAGGACTTGTGAAAGCCTGGGACGAGGGCTTGGGGTTTTATTCTCAATATGATAGAAAATGATTCAAGGCTGAGAGCAGGAGAGTGGCAGGATATACTGACTTATTTAAATCTCACTGTCTCCCACAAAGAACAAGTTTTATCTCTCCTCATGCTCCTGAGAGAAGAATGTACTGCTTATCTACCATCATTTCTGCATCCATCGAAACATCTGGGTTTACCTGAAAAGAAATTATATAAAACTTTCAGTGTTTTCTAATAAAAATGCAATGAATACATTCTTTATCAATTCCTATTCCAAAAATCAGAACTCACAGCACTCGCCAATAGCTTTGAGAATGACAAATTACAAACAAAACAAAACATACAATTATATTATTGGCCAGGCATGTATGTCTCTGCAGGGAGTGCAAAATTCACATCTGCAGAGGAGCTTGGCAATAGCCTAAACACAGCCATCCATGTTTCATGCTTATCCTTCTTCTCTTACCTTTTTTTTTATCAGGTATAACATAAACACAAAGAGTTCCACATATCACGAGGGCACTTCTCACTGGATTGCTATGAAGGAAACATTCCCATGAACCACCCTCCAGGGAAAGAAAGAGAATATCACCTGCATCTCAAAAACCCCACTCATGGCCCCCCCAGTTAACCATTCTTCCCTTCTGCCCAAGGTGACCACCCTCAGGACTTCGAAAAACCATGGATTAGTTCGCCTGTTTTTAAATTTTATAGACATGGAAACACACTTTTCCCCCCATCTATTTGGCTCCATATTTGATTTGTGAGATTCATCCATGGTGTTGCATATCGACATGGTTCATTCTTTTTATTGCCACAGACTATTCAATTGTATGAAAATACGACAGTTCCATTTCATTACTCGTGGATGCCTGGATGGTTTCCAGGTTTTGGCTATTGCAAATAATGCTGCTATGATTGTGTACACTTTATTCTGCCACGTTTCTTTCACTTTGTGTATCTTGGCAATATTTCTACATCAACATGTGAGTCTACCTGATGCACTTTAACTACTGCATGGAATTGTGTCATATATATGCTTTGGGTTTTTTCTTAATAACTCCACTAGCAATTAGTTTTTTTCACATTACAAACAGTGCTTCAGTAAACATCCTCCACTGTGTCTCTTAGCACACATGACACATTTCTCCTGGGTACTTAACTGAGAGCAGACTTGCCAGATCATAGCACATACGTGTATTCAACTGTCATTTATAGCGCCTGACAGCTTTAAAGAGTTTGTACTAGGCTGGGCGCGGTGGCTCTCACCTGTAATCCCAGCACTTTGGGAGGCCAAGGCAGGTGGATCACCTGAGGTTGGGAGTTTGAGACCAGCCTGGCCAACATGGTGAAACCCCGTCTCTACTAAAAATACAAAATATTAGCTGGGCGTAGTGGTGTGCACCTATAATCCCAGCTACTCAGGAGGCTGAGGCAGGAGAATCACTTGAACCCAGGAGGTGGAGGTTGCAGTGAGCTGAGATCGCGCCATTGCACTCCAGCCTGGGCAACAAGAGTGAAACTCGGTCTCAAAAAAAAAAAGTTTGTACTGTTTTGGACTTCTACTTGCAGTATAGCCCACCAATACTTCATATTGTCAGTCTTTTCAAAGTAGGCCATTCTGTTTTAATTTACATTTCCCTAATTACTAATGAGATCAAGCATCATTTCATATGTTAATTGATCATTTGGATATCCTTACTGTTTTGCTTTTCAAGTGTGTTTTTCAGGGTACATATCTGAATGATTTTCTGCTCTGCGGTGAATTGCCTTAGACCCATCAAATGCATGAATTCTTTAAGCTATAAATTACCTTCAAGAATCATTTTTTATCACCTTGTTACAATCCACACAAGCCTATCCATCACCCTGACTATAGACTTACTCCATGACATTGCTAATTTATCTTTTGCTGCCTAGCAAAATACTGATAGGCTTTCTGTTTTTCCTTCCAGCTTTTGTGTTTAGAAGTCCTGAATGGAGTGTTGGGGTTAGAACAGCCCTCTCCCATAGTCAGCCTTACCATTCTGCTGGTCTCCTTGCAGGCTCCTTGGGATTAGGAGAACTGGGCAGGTCCTCCTAGGACCTTCCACAGCAAGGTGAGGAGCACACCCCACTTCTGAGGGATTCACAGGTTTTGATGACTGAGACATTTCAAGGAGCCACTCCATCCCAGGCCCTCAGCGAGGCGCCCCCTTCCCTTAGCCACTAGGCTTTAGTCTGTCACCTCGCCCCTGGGGTTTCTTGTTGCTCTCTTCCCTGGAGAACTCTGGAGGACCTCAGGCACACCCTTTGCTGGCCACCTTGCTTGCTCTCATTTTGATATTGATCTAGAAAGAAATTGGAAGGGAGAGGGAGTTATAGACACGAAATGAAAGAGCCAAATTTCTAAAATTCCTCTTTCAATTTATCAATCAAGTAGAATACTAGATCTTCAAAGAATCCAGAAAGGACTGAGTAGAGGATGGGCCATGAGGAAGGCACACAATTTGAAATCAGCAGTGAAGTGATAGGAGAGGCTACTCTTGTTAAAGAATTGTCTGGCGGGATGGAGACTTAGGTGAATTTGGAACTGGCAATAGAGAATTTGCCCAGAAAGTCATTATTTCCTTTTCATTACCCAAATTACTAACTGAATAAATACTTATGGAGCATATACTATAGGCCAGGGGTTCCCAATCCCCAGGCCACGGACCAGTACTGGTCCATGGCCTGGTAGGAATCCAGCAGCACAGCAGGAGGTGAACGACAGGCTAGTGAGCATTATAGCCTGAGCTCCGCCTCCTGTCAGGTCAGCAGCAGCATCTGATTCTCACAGGAGCGCGAACCAACCCTACTGTGAACTGTGCATGGGAGAGATCTGGGTTGCACGCTCCTTATGAGAATGTAACTAATGCCTGATGAGCTGAGGTGGAACAGTATCACCCGGAAACCACCCCACCCTGGTCCATGGAAAAATTGTCTTCCACAAAACTGGCCCTTGATGCCAAAAAGGTTGGGGACCACTGCTATAGGCCATGCACTACCCTCAGCTCAGAAGCTACTGAAAATGAAAGTCCACCTGCTTTCTCAAAATTTACATTCTATGGGTAGAGTGAGGCAATAAACAACAAGTGACAGGGAGATTTTAGGTAGTTCTAAGTGCCATCATTTTTCTTCATAAGAATTCTTAAAGGCAGATTTATACAATGTTATTGGTGAAATTCGTCTTTCACCTTCTGTAACTCCCACAGAAGTAACCACTGTTAACAGTTTAACTGTTAACAGTTAACAGGTGTGTTAACTGTTTTCACAATATTGATTCTACCTATCCATGAGCATGGAAGGTTCTTCCATTTGTTTGTGTCCTCTTTTATTTTGTTGAGCAGTGGTCTGTAGTTCACCTTGAAGAGGTCCTTCACATCCCTTGTAAGTTGGATTCCTAGAGATTTTATTCTCTTTGAAGCAGTTGTGAATGGGAGTTCACTCATGATTTGGCTCTCTGTCTGTTATTGGCATATAAGAATGCTTGTGATTTTTGCACATTGATTTTTGTATCCTGAGACTTTGCTGAAGTTGCTTATCAGCTTAAGGAGATTTTTGAATGAAACGATGCGGTTTTCTAGATATACAATCATGTCATCTGCAAACAGGGACAATTTGACTTCCTCTTTTCCTAATTGAATACCCTTTATCTTTCTCCTGCCTGATTGCCCTGGCCAGAACTTCCAACACTATGTTGAATAGGAGTGGTGAGAGAGGGCATCCCTGTCTTGTGCCAGTTTTCAAAGGGAATGCTTCCAGTTTTTGCCCTTTCAGTATGATATTGGCTATGGGTTTCTCATAAATAGCTCTTATTATTTTGAGTTATGTCCCATTAATACTTAATTTATTGAGAGTTTGTAGCATGAAGTGTTGTTGAATTTTGTCAAAGGCCTTTTCTGCATCTATTGAGATAATCATGTGGTTTTTGTCTTTGGTTCTGTTCATGTTCTGGATTACATTTATTGATTTGCATATGTTGAACCAGCCTTGCATCCCAGGGATGAAGCCCACTTGATCATGGTGGGTAAGCTTTTGCATGTGCTGCTGGATTCAGTTTGCCAGTATTTTATTGAGGATTTTTGCATCAATGTTCATCAGGGATATCGGTCTAAAATTCTCTTTTTTTGTTGTGTCTCTGCCAGGCTTTGGTATCAGGATGATGCTGGCCTCATAAAATGAGTTAGGGAGGATTCCCTCTTTTTCTATTGATTGAAATAGTTTCAGAAGGAATGGTACCAGCTCCTCCTTGTACCTCTGGTAGAATTTGGCTGTGAATCCATCTGGTCCTGGACTTTTTTTGATTGGTAGGCTATTAATTATTGCCTCAATTTCAGAGCCTGTTATTGGTCTATTCAGGGATTCAATTTCTTCTTGGTTTAGTCTTGGGAGGGTGTCTGTGTCCAGGAATTCATCCTTTCTTCTAGATTTTCTAGTTTATTTGCGTAGAGGTGTTTATAGTATTCTCTGATGGTAGTTTGAATTTCTGTGTGATCAGTGGTGATATCTCCTTTATCATTTTTTATTGCATCTATTTAAGTCTTCTCTCTTTTCTTCTTTATGAGTCTTGCTAGTGGTCTATCAATTTTGTTGATCCTTTCAAAAAACCACCTCCTGGATGCATTGATTTTTTGAAGGATTTTTTTTTTGTGTCTCTATCTCCTTCAGTTCCACTCTGATCTTAGTTATTTCTTGCCTTCTGCTAGCTTTTGAATGTATTTGCTCTTGCTTCTCTAGTTCTTTTAATTGTGATGTTAGGGCGTCAATTTTAGATCTTTCCTGCTTTCTCCTGTAGGCATTTAGTGCTATAAATGTCCCTCTACACACTGCTTTAAATGTGTCCCAGAGATTCTGGTATGTTGTGTCTTTGTTCTCATTGGTTTCAAAGAACATCTTTATTTCTGCCTTCATTTCATTATGTAACCAGTAGTCATTCAGGAGCAGGTTGTACAGTTTCCATGTAGTTGAGCGGTTTTGAGTGAGTTTCTTAATCCTGAGTTCTAGTTTGATTGCACTGTGGTCTGAGAGACAGTTTGTTATAATTTCTATTCTTTTACATTTGCTGAGGAGTGCTTTACTTCCAACTATGTGGTCAATTTTGGAATAAGTGCGATGTGGTGCTGAGAAGAATGTATATTCTGTTGATTTGGGGTGGAGAGTTCTGTAGATGTCTATTAGGTCCGCTTGGTGCAGAGCTGAGTTCAATTCCTGGATATCCTTGTTAATTTTCTGTCTCGTTGATCTGTCTAATGTTGACAGTGGGGTGTTAAAATATCCCATTATTAATGTGTGGGAGTCTAAGTCTCTTTGTAGATCTCTAAGGACTTGCTTTATGAATCCGAGTGCTTCCGTATTGGGTGCATATATATTTAGGATAGTTAGCTCTTCTTGTTGAATTGATCCCTTTACCATTAGGTAATGCCTTCTTTGTCTCTTTTGACCTTGTTGGTTTAAAGTCTGTTTCCTCAGAGACTAGGATTACAACCCCTGCTTTTTTTGTTTTCCATTTCCTTGGTAGATCTTCCTCCATCCCTTTATTTTGAGTCTATGTGTGTCTCTGCACGTGAGGTGGGTCTCCTGAATACAGCACACTGATGGTTCTTGACTCTTTATCCAATTTGCCAGGCTGTGTCTTTTAATTGGAGCATGTAGCCCATTTACATTTAAGGTTAATATTGTTATGTGTGAATTTGATCCTGTCATTATGATGTTAGCTGGTTATTTTGCTCATTAGTTGATGCAGTTTCTTCCTAGCATTGATGGTCTTTACAATTTGGCATGGTTTTGCAGTGGCTGGTACTGGTTGTTCCTTTCCATGTTTAGTGCTTTCTTCAGGAGCTCTTGTAAGGCAGGCCTGGTGGTGACAAAAATCTCTCAGCATTTGCTTGTCTGTAAAGTATTTTATTTCTCCTTCACTTGTGAAGCTTAGTTTGGCTGGATATGAAATTCTGGGTTGAAAATTCTTTTCTTTAAGAATGTTGAATATTGGCCCCCACTCTCTTCTGGCTTGTAGAGTTTCTGCCGAGAGAGCTATTCGTCTGATGGGCTTCCCTTTGTGGGTAACTCGACCTTTCTCTCTGGCTGCCCTTAACATTTTTTCCTTCATTTCAACTTTGGTGAATCTGATAATTATGTGTCTTGGAGTTGCTCTTCTCGAGGAGTATCTTTGTGGCGTTCTCTGTATTTCCTGATTTTGAATGTTGGCCTGCCTTCCTAGGTTGGGGAAGTATTCCTGGATAATACCCTGCAGAGTGTTTTCCAACTTGGCTCCATTCTCCCCGTCACTTTCAGGTACACCAGTTACACGTAGATTTGGTCTTTTCACATACTGCCATATTTCTTGGAGGTTTTGTTTGTTTCTTTTTACTCTTTTTTCTCTGAACTTCTCTTCTCGCTTCATTTCATTCATTTGATCTTCAATCACTGATACCTTTTCTTCCAGTTGATTGAATTGGCTACTGAAGCTTGTACATTCATCACGTAGTTCTCATGCCATGGTTTTCAGCTCCATCAGGTCATTTAATGACTTCTCTACACTGGTTATTCTAGTTCGCCATTCGTCTAATCTTTTTTCAAGGTTTTTATCTTCTTTGTGATGGGTTCGAACTTCTTCCTTTAGCTCGGAGAAGTTTGATCGTCTAAAGCCTTCTTCTCTCAACTCGTCAAAGTCATTCTCCGTCCAGCTTTGTTCCGTTGTTGGCAAGGAGCTGCATTCCTTTGGAAGGGGAGAGGTGCTCTGAGTTTTAGAATTTTCAGCTTTTCTGCTCTGTTTTTTCCCCTCTTTGTGGTTTTATCTACCTTTGGTCTTTGATCATGGTGACATACAGATGGGGTTTTGGTGTGGATGTCCTTTCTGCTTGTTAGTTTTCCTTCTAACAGTCAAGACTCTCAGCTGCAGGTCTGTTGGAGTTTGCTGGAGGTCCACTCCAGACCCTGTTTGCCTGGGTATCAGCAGCGGAGGCTGCAGGACAGCAAATATTGGTGAACAGCAAATGTTTCTGCCTGATCCTTCCTCTGGAAGCTTCATCTCAGAGGGGTACCCGGCCATGCGAGGTGTCAGTCTGCCCCTGCTGGGGGGTGCCTCCCAGTTAGGCTACTCGGGGGTCAGGGACCCACTTGAGGAGGCAGTCTGTCTGTTCTCAGATCTCAAGTTGCGTGCTGGGAGAACCACTACTCTCTTCCAAGCTGTCAGACAGGGACATTTAAGTCTGCAGAGGTTTCTGCTGCCTTTTGTTTGGCTATGCCCCACCCCCAGAGGTGGAGTCTACAGAGGCAGGCAGGCCTCCTTGAGCTGCAGTGGGCTCCACCCAGTTCGAGCTTCGTGGCCGCTTTGTTTACCTACTCAAGCCTTAGTAATGGTGGGCGCCCCTCCCCCAGCTTCGTTGCTGCCTTGCAGTTCAATCTCAGATTGCTGTGCTAGCAATGAGAGAGGCTCCGTGGCTGTGGGACCCTCCGATCCAGGCAGGGGATATAATCTCCTGGTGTGCTGTTTGCTAAGACCATTGGAAAAGCGCAGTATTAGGATGGGAGTGACCTGATTTTCCAGGTGCCATCTGTCACCCCTTCCCTTGGCTAGGAAAGGGAATTCCCTGACCCCTTGTGCTTCCTGGGCAAGGTGATGCCTCACCCTGCTTTGGCTCATGCTCGGTGGGCTGTGCCCACTGTCCTGCCCCCACTCTCCGACGAGCCCCAGTGAGATGAGCCCAGTACCTCAGTTGGAAATGCAGAAATCACCTGTCTTCTGCGTTGCTCATGCTGGGAGCTGTAGACTGGAGGTGTTCCTATTTGGCCATCTTCCTGCCACCTTTTTTTTTC
The DNA here is from genome assembly GCF_000001405.40 of Homo sapiens. Classification (NCBI taxonomy): domain Eukaryota; kingdom Metazoa; phylum Chordata; class Mammalia; order Primates; family Hominidae; genus Homo; species Homo sapiens. Next base: position 56,429,091 of record NC_000008.11, on the reverse strand, counting down.
CACTTCATATATCTTGGCAATATTTCCACATCAACATGTGAGTCTACCTGATGCTCTTTAACTACTGCATGGAATTGTGTCATATATATGCTTTGGGGTTTTTTTAACAACTCCACTAGTAATTAATTTTTTCACGTTACAAACAGTGCTTCAGTAAACATCCTTTTAAATACATATGCACTATATATCCCATTCTATGTAAAAGGCACGTGTCTGTGTATGTGTGTGTGTGTGTAGTAATGGTACTAGTAGTAATACATATTGCAAATATTCCATAGGATTAACTTTTAAAAGTAGAATTGCTGGATTACCTTTATGTTAAAAACCCTCAACAAAGTAGGCATTGAAGAAACGTACTTCAAAATAATAAGAGCCATCTATGACAAATCCACAGCCAACATCATACTGAATAAGCAAAAGTTGGAAATGTTCCCCGCCTGAAAACCAGAACAAGACAAGGATGTCTTCCCTCACCACTCTTGTTCAACATAGTACTGGAAGTCCTAGCCAGAGCAATCAGGCAAGAGAAATAAATAAAAGGCACTGAAATTAAAAAAGAGGAAGTCAAACTATCCCTGTTTGCAGGCAATATGACTCTATACCTAGAAAACCCCTTGGTCTTTGCCCAAAAGCTCCTTGATCTGATAAACAACTTCAGCAAGTTTCAGGATGCAAAATCAACATACAAACGTCAATGGCGCTGGGCATGGTGGCTCACACTTGTAATCCCAGCACTTTGGGAGGCTGAGGGGTTTATATCACGAGGTCAGGAGTTTGAGACCACCCTGACCAACATGGTGAAACCCTGTCTCTACTAAAAACATAAAAATTAGCTGGGTGTGGTGGCACGTGCCTATAATCCCAGCTACTCAGGTGGCTGAGGCAGGAGAATCACTTGAACCCGGGAAGCAGAGGTTGCAGTGAGCTGAGATCGTGCCACTGCACTCCAGACTGGGTGACACAGCAAGGCTCTGTCTCAAACAAACAAACAAACAAAAAATCAGTGGCATTCCTATACATCAACAACATCCAAACTGAGAGCCAAATCAAGAATGCAATCCCATGCACAATATCCACAAAAACAATAAAATACCAAATAATACAGCTAACCAGGTAGGTAAAAGATGTCTACAATGAGAATTACAAAACACTGCTGAAAGATATCAAAGAGGGCATAAACAAATGAAAAAAACATTCCATGCTTATGGATAGGAAGAATCAATATTGTTAAAATGGCCACAGTGCCCAAAGCAATTTACAGATTTAGTGCTATTCCTATCAAACTACCAACAACAGTCTTAATAAAATTAGAAAAAACTCTTTTAAAATTCATATGGAACCAAAAAAGAGCCTTACTAGCCAAGGCAATACTAAGCAAAAAGAACAAAGCTGTAGGCATTACATTACTGAACTTCAATTTATACTACAAGGCACAGTAACCAAAACAGTATGATCCTGGTGCAAAAACAGACACATAGACCAATGGAACAGAACAGAAATCCAGAAATAATTCTGCCCATCTACAACCATCTGATCTTCCACAAAGTCGACAAAAACAAGCAGTGAGGAAAGGACTCCCTATTCAATAAGTGGTGCTGGGATGACTGGCTAGTCACATGCAGAAGATTGAAACTGGACATCTTCATTAACCATATACAAAAATCAACTTCAGATGGATTAAAGCCTTAAATAAAAAACCTAAAATTACAAAAACTTTGGAAAATAATCTAGGAAACACCATTGTGGACATAGGATCTGGCAAAGATTTTATGAGGAGGACACTAAAAGCAATTGCACCAACAACAACAAATTGACAAATGGGACCTAATTAAAGAGCTTTTGCACAGCCATAAACAGACAACCTACAGAATGGGAAAACATATTTGCAAACTATGCATCTGACAACAGTAACTATCAAGAGAGTAAACAAGCAGAATGGGAGAAAATATTTGCAAACTTTGCATCCAACAAAGGCTTAATGTCCAGAATCTGTAAGGAACTTAAACAAATCAGCAAGCAAAAAACAGGCCCATTAAAAAGTGGACAAAGAGCATGAACAGACACTTCTCAAAAGAAGACATACGTGAGTCCAACAAGCATATGAAAACATGTTCAACATCACTAGTCATTAGAGAAATGCAAATCAAAACCACAATGAGATACCATCTCACACCAGTCAGAATGGTTATTACTAAAAAGTCAAAAAATAACAGATGGCAACAAGGTTGCAGAGAAAAGGGAATGCCTATACACTACTGGAAGGAACATAAATTAGTTCAGCCATCCTGAAAAGCAGTTTTGCGATTTTTCAAAGAACTCAAAGCAGAATTACCATTCAACCCAGCAATCCCATTATTCGATATATACCCAAATATAAATTGTTCTACCATAGAGATGCATGCATGCGTATGTTTATCACAGCACTGTTCACAATAGCAATGACATGGAATCAACCTAAATGACTGTCAATTGTAGACTAGAGAAACAAAACGTGGTGTATATACACCACGAAATACTATGCAGCCATAAAAAAGAACAAGATAATGTCCTTTGCTGCAACATGGATGGAGCTGGGGCCATTGTCCTAAGCAAACTAATACAGTAATAAAAACCCAAATACTGCATATTCTCATGTATAAGTGGGAGCTAAACATTGAGTACATATGGACACCAAAAAGGGAACAACAGACGCCAGGGCCTACTTGAGTGTGAAGGGAGAGAGGAGGGTGAGGACTGAAAAACTACGTATCTAGTACTATGCTTATTACCAGGGTGGCAAAATAATCTGTACACAAAACCCTTGTGACATGCAATTTACCTACATAACAAACCCTCACATGTATTTCTGAACCTAAAATAAATGTTAAAAATAAATAAATAAATATTTTTTTTAAATCGCTGGATCAAAGGACATGTATGTTTAATATTTTGTAGTTATTGCCACATACTTCTAAAGTACTGTACCAATTTATATTCCCAGCTACAATATATGTGTGTCCTTTCCTCATACTCTTGACAGTGTTAAATAATTTCAGTTACTTAATTTTGCCACAATGATGGGTAAAATAGTATCTTGCATTAATTTGTGTTAAGTCTCTCTGTACTAGTGAGTCTGAGCTTCATTTTTTGTTTCCTGAACATTCTATAAATTTTTATGTATTTTACCTTTTATCTGATTGCATTTTTCTTATTGAGATATAGATAACTTTTAATGGAATGTACCAAATAATCCTTTTTCTGTATATTGTACTATGTAACTAAGAAGTTAAAGTTTTCCATCACAGTGTATCTTAAGCTATATATGTAATGCCTCAAATTGCAAGTCTCTTGAAAAATCTTGTGAATTTAACTTTCTGAAAACTCCAGGAATCACATAATTTTGTTATATGTGGGAAGCTACTCCAAATAGAAAACAAGCCTGTCTCCTGATAGTAAACTGACAATTTTAACATTAAATCATCCTTTGGACAATAAAGCATAAAAAGGGGAAGCATTTGAGAGTTGGAATACATCATGTGGAAACTCCTTTGTGCATAAGGAATCTCATTTTCAAAATGTGTCAACCACTAACTTATGCATTAAATTATTGGCCCAATCAGCCTCCCCAAATTGTAGCATGGTCTAGTAATGACTGCTGTAGCAAATGGAAGGCGTAGAGCCTTTGGACAGAAGAATACTGAGCTGTTAAAAGAGTACCAAGCAGAAATGGTTTTATGTGATTAGAGATCTCTAAATTGAATCCTGCCCTCCTTCTTGAAGCATCACGGGAATATTTGTCAAGTTGAGCATCTACTATACCTGGAAGTCTTCAAATGAAACAAAAACTGGATTTTATATGACTGATTTATTGCTGTTCAAGGTCTTAATATCAAGGTATTCTAGCAAGGGAAAAACTCTATAGACTTTTGATCAGAATTTTAAAACCACTAAAATAAAACATTTCACTCTATATCAGCCAAGCACTACCAATCAGCTGTTCTAAAAAGCTACTTACTGGTTTACTCTATTATTAATGACTTCCAGAGGTCCACCTCCGCACTCCTCCCTGCTTGGATTCCCTTTCTTCATCATAGCTCTCATACAACACTCTTTTTTGTTTGGTGGTTTGTTGGATTTTGGGCTGTCACAGCACTTGGTTCACTTTATAACTATTTCTTAATTCATGTCTCAACAAGTAGAAAGCCCCAGGAAAGTAGGAACTGTGTCTATTTTGCTTGTCATAGGCATTCAAGAAGTATCATTATGAGCCCTTGTTCCCATCCAAACTCATAGCAAAGATATGTAAATTGTTTTAATTTAAAAGACATAATTATGCCTAGAGATAATGAACCCATGCGCAGCAAAGAAACAGAATAGGTAAGCACCACACTAAGTTAGAGCTGAATGGTGGGCTTGTGGGCTCCCGGGCTCTGAGGCTTGTGCCTGTCTGATGCAGGCAGCCTTCTTTCCTTCTTCATGATAGCTGAGAACAAGTGGCAAGGTGTAAGAGACAGCTCCACTGCCAATGACCTCAGATAGAGACAGTCCTCTTGCATGTACTGAAAGCAACAGGAAGAGTAAGAAGACACAGTTGAGGAATAAGATCTGGCCAAAGCCACTTGCCAGCTTTACCATTAGATTTGCAATATTATTTACATCATTATGGGGAAGTAACCCCAAACCTCCAATGTAAAATGTATTTCTGAACCAAAAGTGCAAAACTACTAAACAGGTAAAAGTGAGGAAAGAGAGAAAAACAAATATATCTATTTGATATGAGCAACACTATAAAATTCTAAATTACATAAGGAAAATAATATTAAAAACAAGAGCCAAAAATGCAACATTGACTTCACTCCTGATGAAATGCAAATATTAAAGGAATCTGAACAGAAAGTTTAAAACAAGTGTTTCAGTATTTTCAAAGCGATAAAGACAAGAAGGCCATTCATTAAGAAGAAGCAAGAAATCATAAAATTAAAATGTGTTAGCAATAAATTATGTCTATAGTCATTGGGAAAAAGTGTGTTTAAACAAGATTTATTCTACTCTAGACAGAATTAAAGACTTCGTTCAGTAATAAAAAGATAGTGATGAGAAATTAACCCACAACAAAATGAAGAATTTTTAAGTGACAAAAATTGATTGAGTGGCTTGTTCCCTAAGATGAGACTACAAAGAATGGCATAGAAGAAATAGTGAAAAAAAAAATAGTAGCCCTTGAAGAACATGAGGATGGCTATAATAAAAAAGATGAATAATTACCACTATTCACAATGATGTGGAGAAGTTGAAACCCTTACACACTGCTAGAAAACAGTTTGGCAATTCCTCAAAAAGTTAATTATAAAGTTACCATAAAACCCAGAAATTTCATTTTTAAATATATACCCAAGAGAATAGAAAAGATATAGGCCAGGCACGGTGGCTCACGCCTGTAATCCCAGCACTTTGGGAGGCTGAGGTGGGCAGATCACAAGGTCAGGAGTTCAAGATCAGCCTAGCCAATATGGTGAAACCCTGTCTCTACTAAAAATACAAAAAAAAAGTAGCCGGGCAAGGTGGCACACGCCTGTAATCCCAGCTACTCAGGAGACTAAGGCAGGAGAATTGCTTGAACCTGGGAGGCAGAGGTTGCGGTGAGCCAAGATCGCACCACTGCACTCCAGCCTGGGCGACAGTGGGAGACTTTGTCTCAAAAAAAAAAAAAAAAAAGAAAAGAAAAGAAAAGAAAAGATATGTCCACACAAAAACGGTTTCATGACTTTTCATGGTAACATTATTCATAATGGCCACAAAATGAAAACAACCCAAATATCTATCAACTGATAAATGGATAAATAAAATGTGGTATATCCACAAAATGAAAACAACCCAAATATCTATCAACTGATAAATGGATAAATAAAATGTAGTATATCCATATAATAAAAAATCATTTGACAATAAAAGGAAATTAAATATTGATACATGCTACAGCATGGGTGAAACTTGAAAACATCATACTAAGTAAAATAAGACACAAGAGTCACATATCGTATAATATAATTCCATTTATAGCAAATATCCAGAATAGATAAATCCATAGAAACAGCAAGCAGATTAGTGATGGTCAGTGGCTCAGAGACAGAGGGAATGGAATGTCACTACTAATGGTTATTATGTTTCTTTTGGGGTGATCAAAATGTTCTGAAGCCAGGTACAGTAACTGATTCCTGGAATCCCAGCACTTTGGCAGGTGAAAACAAGAGGATCACTTGAGGCCAGGAGTTCAAGACCAGCCATTGCAACATAGTGAGACCCCATCTCTACAAAAAATTTAAAAATTAGCCAGGCGTGATGGTGTGCACCTCTAGTCCTAGCTGCTCAGGAGCCTGAGGCAGGAGGATTGCTTGAGCCCAGGAAGTCAAGGCTGTAGTGAGCTATGATTGTCCCCCTGTACTCCAGCGTGGGCGACAGAGACAGACGCTATGTGTAATAAATAAATAAACAATTTTTAAAAATGTTTTAATATTACAGAATTAATAGTTGTGACGGTTACAAAACTTGGTCAATATACTAGAAAACCACTTAATTACACAATTTAAAAGACTGAATTTTATAGTATGTCAATTATATCTCAATATAGCTGTTGTTTTTTTTAAATAGTGGCTACAAATTTTATGGGATTGAAGACAAACTTTAATCCAAAGATGGCAAGCATGAAGACGGTGCCAAGCAGTTTACATAAAAGCAAATCCATACCTGGTACACTATAGTAAAACTTGTAACATCATCAAGAAAGCAAAAAATCTTAAAAACTACCAGAGATAAAAGAAAAATTAAATACAAAGAAATAACAGGCAGACTGGAGATTTTATAATAGAAACAATACATCCTAGGAGCTGTAGGAAATTATCTTTTAAAGGCAGTAGAGGAAAAGTGGGATATGGAGTTGGGGAATAGATTCAAGCCCAAATCTTACATCCTTTTAAACCAGCATTTAACGGTGTAAAAAAAGGAAGATGTTTTGAATAATATAAACATTAAGAACTTTTGTAACTCTTTCTAGAAGATATGCTAAAGGATATACTTCAGCAGAAGGAATAGCAAACGGAGAAGAAAAGAAGAGGGAAAGGAAATAAGATAAATCCAGAAACAGGTAAACAAGAAATTAAGTATAATCAACACAGAGACTCTTAGACTTAGCTCTTTTCTGTTCTGGAAACATTAATATTAATTTAGTACTGACGGTTTCAAAAAGCAAATTTTATGTATTTTTAAAGCAAAATAAAATTTCCAGACAAAAATAATGAGGAAGAGAAGAGGCAGAAAATTCAGTGGGTAAAAATAGTGGCAGAGTCAAAACTGTTTTCAGGCCGGGCGCAGTAGCTCATGCCTGTAATGCCAGCATATTGGGAGGCTGAGGCAGGTGGATCACCTGAGGTCAGGAGTTTGAGACCAGCCTGGCCAACATGATGAAACCCCATCTCTAGTAAAAATACAAAAAATTAGCCAGGTGTGGTGGCAGGCACCTGTAATCCCAGCTACTCAGAAGGCTGAGGCAGGAGAATTGCTTGAACCCAGGAGGCGGAGGTTGCAGTGAGCAGAGAAGAATGGTAGCTAGTTTCCAGAGCACTCCTTAGATGCTATCTTTCCTCTCTTTTGCAATAGATAAGAGTGACTACAGGTTCTGGAACTGGACTGCCTAGGTTACAATGTTGGCATCCCAACATTGTAATCTTAGGCAAGTTACCTAAACTTTAGTGTGTTAATGGGATGATACTATTACCTAAATTACATTTGTTGTGAGAGAAAATTGGCTACACTGAAACTATGCTTCCAAAAGTAGAAATCTTGGAGAGAAGATAAAAATTCTTTTTTTTCTGTTATTATTATACTTTAAGTTTTAGGGTACATGTGCACAATGTGCAGGTTAGTTACATATGTATACATGTGCCATGCTGGTGCGCTGCACCCACTAACTTGTCATCTAGCATTAGGTATATCTCCCAGTGCTATCCCTCCCCCCCTCCCTCCACCCCACAACAGTCCCCAGAGTGTGATGTTCCCCTTCCTGTGTCCATGTGATCTCATTGTTCAATTCCCACCTATGAGTGAGAATATGCGGTGTTTGGTATTTTGTTCTTGTGATAGTTTACTGAGAATGATGATTTCCAGTTTCATCCATGTCCCTACAAAGGACATGGACTCATCATTTTTTATGGCTGCATAGTATTCCATGGCGTATATGTGCCACATTTTCTTAATCCAGTCTATCATTGTTGGACATTTGGGTTGGTTCCAAGTCTTTGCTACTGTGAATAGTGCCGCAATAAACATACGTGTGCATGTGTCTTTATAGCAGCATGATTTATAGTCCTTTGGGTATATACCCAGTAATGGGATGGCTGGGTCAAATGGTATTTCTAGTTCTAGATCCCTGAGGAATCGCCACACTGACTTCCACAATGGTTGAACTAGTTTACAGTCCCACCAACAGTGTAAAGTTGTTCCTATTTCTCCACATCCTCTCCAGCACCTGTTGTTTCCTGACTTTTTAATGATCGCCATTCTAACTGGTGTGAGATGGTATCTCATTGTGGTTTTGATTTGCATTTCTCTGATGGCCAGTGATGATGAGCATTTTTTCATGTGTTTTTTTGGCTGCATAAATGTCTTCTTTTGAGAAGTGTCTGTTCATGTCCTTCGCCCACTTTTTGATGAGGTTGTTTGTTTTTTTCTTGTAAATTTGTTTGAGTTCATTGTAGATTCTGGATATTAGCCCTTTGTCAGATGAGTAGGTTGCGAAAATTTTCTCCCATTTTGTAGGTTGCCTGTTCACTCTGATGGTGGTTTCTTTTGCTGTGCAGAAGCTCTTTAGTTTAATTAGATCCCATTTGTCAATTTTGGCTTTTGTTGCCATTGCTTTTGGCGTTTTAGACAGGAAGTCCTTGCCCATGCCTATGTCCTGAAAGGTAATGCCTAGGTTTTCTTCTAGGGTTTTTATGGTTTTAGGTCTAACATTTAAGTCTTTAATCCATCTTGAATTGATTTTTGTGTAAGGTGTAACAAAGGGATCCAGTTTCAGCTTTCTACGTATGGCTAGCCAATTTTCCCAGCACCATTTATTAAATAGGGAATCCTTTCCCCATTGCTTGTTTTTGTCAGGTTTGTCAAAGATCAGATAGTTGTAGATATGTGGCGTTATTTCTGAGGGCTCTGTTCTGTTCCATTGATCTATATCTCTGTTTTGGTACCAATACCATGCTGTTTTGGTTACTGTAGCTTTGTAGTATAGCTTGAAGTTAGGTAGTGTGATGCCTCCAGCTTTGTTCTTTTGGCTTAGGATTGACTGGCAATGCGGGCTCTTTTTTGATTCCATATGAACTTTAAAGTAGTTTTTTCCAATTCTGTGAAGAAAGTCATTGGTAGCTTGATTGGGATGGCATTGAATCTGTAAATTACCTTGGGCAGTATGGCCATTTTCATGATATTGGTTCTTCCTACCCATGAGCATGGAATGTTCTTCCATTTGTTTGTATCCTCTTTTATTTCATTGAGCAGTGGTTTGTAGTTCTCCTTGAAGAGGTCCTTCACATCCCTTGTAAGTTGGATTCCTAGGTATTTTATTCTCTTGGAAGCAATTGTGAATGGGAGTTCACTCATGATTTGGCTCTCTGTTTGTCTGTTGTTGGTGTATAAGAATGCTTGTGATTTTTGTACATTGATTTTGTATCCTGAGACTTTGCTGAAGTTGCTTATCAGCTTAAGGAGATTTTGGGCTGAGACAATGGGGTTTTCTAGATATACAATCATGTCATCTGCAAACAGGGACAATTTGACTTCCTCTTTTCCTAATTGAATACCCTTTATTTCCTTCTCCTGCCTAATTGCCCTGGCCAGAACTTCCAACACTATGTTGAATAGAAGTGGTGAGAGAGGGCATCCCTGTCTTGTGCCAGTTTTCAAAGGGAATGCTTCCAGTTTTTGCCCATTCAGTATGATATTGGCTGTGGGTTTGTCATAGATAGCTCTTATTATTTTGAGATATGTCCCATCAATACCTAATTTATTGAGAGTTTTTAGCATGAAGGGTTGTTGAATTTTGTCAAAGGCCTTTTCTGCATGTATTGAGATAATCATGTGGTTTTTGTCTTTGGCTCTGTTTATATGCTGGATTACATTTATTGATTTGTGTATATTGAACCAGCCTTGCATCCCAGGGAAGAAGCCCACTGGATCATGGTGGATAAGCTTTTTGATGTGCTGCTGGATTCGGTTTGCCAGTATTTTATTGAGGATTTTTGCATCAATGTTCATCAAGGATATTGGTGTAAAATTCTCTTTTTTGGTTGTGTCTCTGCCTGGCTTTGGTATCAGAATGATGCTGGCCTCATAAAATGAGTTAGGGAGGATTCCCTCTTTTTCTATTGATTGGAATCATTTCAGAAGGAATGGTACCAGTTCCTCCTTGTAACTCTGGTATAATTCAGCTGTGAATCTGTCTGGTCTTGGACTCTTTTTGGTTGGTAAGCTATTGATTATTGCCACAATTTCAGCTCCTGTTATTGGTCTATTCAGAGATTCAACTTCTACCTGGTTTAGTCTTGAGAGAGTGTATGTGTTGAGGAATTTATCCATTTCTTCTAGATTTTCTAGTTTATTTGCGTAGAGGTGTTTGTAGTATTCTCTGATGGTAGTTTGTATTTCTGTGGGATTGGTGGTGATATCCCCTTTATCATTTTTTATTGTGTCTATTTGATTCTTCTCTCTTTTTTTCTTTATTAGTCTTGCTAGTGGTCTATCAATTTTGTTGATCCTTTCAAAAAACCAGCTTCTGGATTCATTAATTTTTTGAAGGGTTTTTTGTGTCTCTATTTCCTTCAGTTCTGCTCTGATTTTAGTTATTCCTTGCCTTCTGCTAGCTTTTGAATGTGTTTGCTCTTGCTTTTCTAGTTCTTTTAATTGTGATGTTAGGGTGTCAATTTTGGATCTTTCCTGCTTTCTCTTGTGGGCATTTAGTGCTATAAATTTCCCTCTACACACTGCTTTGAATGCGTCCCAGAGATTCTGGTATGTTGTGTCTTTGTTCTCATTGGTTTCAAAGAACATCTTTATTTCTGCCTTCATTTCGTTATGTACCCAGTAGTCATTCAGGAGCAGGTTGTTCAGTTTCCATGTAGTTGAGTGGTTTTGAGTGAGATTCTTAATCCTGAGTTCTAGTTTGATTGCACTGTGGTCTGAGAGATAGTTTGTTATAATTTCTGTTCTTTTACATTTGCTGAGGAGAGCTTTACTTCCAAGTATGTGGTCAATTTTGGAATACGTGTGGTGTGGTGCTGAAAAAAATGTATATTCTGTTGATTTGGGGTGGAGAGTTCTGTAGATGTCTATTAGGTCTGCTTGGTGCAGAGCTGAGTTCAATTCCTGGGTATCCTTGTTGACTTTCTGTCTCGTTGATTCTAATGTTGACAGTGGGGTGTTAAAGTCTCCCATTATTAATGTGTGGGAGTCTAAGTCTCTTTGTAGGTCACTCAGGACTTGCTTTATGAATCTGGGTGCTCCTGTGTTGGGTGCATATATATTTAGGAGAGTTAGCTCTTCTTGTTGAATTGATCCCTTTACCATTATGTAGTGGCCTTCTTTGTCTCTTTTGATCTTTGTTGGTTTAAAGTCTGTTTTATCAGAGACTAGGATTGCAACCCCTGCCTTTTTTTGTTTTCCATTTGCTTGGTAGATCTTCCTCCATCCTTTTATTTTGAGCTTATGTGTGTCTCTGCACGTGAGATGGGTTTCCTGAATACAGCACACTTATGGGTCTTGAGTCTTTATCCAATTAGCCAGTCTGTGTCTTTTAATTGGAGCATTTAGTCCATTTACATTTAAAGTTAATATTGTTATGTGTGAATTTGATCCTGTCATTATGATGTTAGCTGGTTATTTTGCTCGTTAGTTGATGCAGTTTCTTCCTAGTCTTGATGGTCTTTACATTTTGGCATGATTTTGCAGTGGCTGGTACCGGTTGTTCCTTTCCATGTTTAGCGCTTCCTTCAGGAGCTCTTTTAGGGCAGGCCTGGTGGTGACAAAATCTCTCAGCATTTGCTTGTCTGTAAAGTATTTTATTTCTCCTTCACTTGTGAAGCTTAGTTTGGCTGGATATGAAATTCTGGGTTGAAAATTCTTTTCTTTAAGAATGTTGAATATTGGCCCCCTATCTCTTCTGGCTTGTAGGGTTTCTGCCGACAGATCTGCTGTTAGTCTGATGGGCTTCCCTTTGAGGGTAACCCGACCTTTCTCTCTGGCTGCCCTTAACATTTTTTCTTTCATTTCAACTTTGGTGAATCTGACAATTATGTGTCTTGGAGTTGCTCTTCTCAAGGAGTATCTTTGTGGTGTTCTCTGTATTTCCTGAATCTGAACGTGGGCCTGCCTTGCTAGATTGGGGAAGTCCTCCTGGATAATATCCTGCAGAGTGTTTTCCAACTTGGTTCCATTCTCCCCATCACTTTCAGGTACACCAATCAGACGTAGATTTGGTCTTTTCACATAGTCCCATATTTCTTGGAGGCTTTGCTCATTTCTTTTTATTTTTTTTTCTCTAAACTTCCCTTCTCGCTTCATTTCATTCATTTCATCTTCTATCACTGATACCCTTTCTTCCAGTTGATCGCATCAGCTCCTGAGGCTTCTGCATTCTTCACGTAGTTCTCGAGCCTTGGTTTTCAGCTCCATCAGCTCCTTTAAGCACTTCTCTGTATTGGTTATTCTGGTTATACATTCTTCTAAACTTTTTTCAAAGTTTTCAACTTCTTTACCTTTGGTTTGAATGTCCTCCCATAGCTCAGAGTAATTTGATCGTCTGAAGCCTTCTTCTCTCAGCTCATCAAAGTCATTCTCCGTCCAGCTTTGTTCCATTGCTGGTGAGGAACTGCATTCCTTTGGAGGAGGAGAGGCGCTCTGCTTTTTAGAGTTTCCAGTTTTTCTGTTCTGTTTTTTCCCCATCTTTGTGGTTTTATCTACTTTTGGTCTTTGATGATGGTGATGTACAGATGGGTTTTTGGTGTGGTTGTCCTTTCTGTTTGTTAGTTTTCCTTCTAACAGACAAGACCCTCAGCTGCAGGTCTGTTGGAGTACCCTGCCGTGTGAGGTGTCAGTGTGCCCCTGTTGGCTGGTGCCTCCCAGTTAGGCTGCTCAGGGGTCAGGGGTCAGGCATCCACTTGAGGAGGCAGTCTGTCCCTTCTCAGATCTCCAGCTGCGTACTGGAAGAACCACTGCTCTCCTCAAAGCTGTCAGACAGGGACATTTAAGTCTGCAGAGGTTACTGCTGTCTTTTTGTTTGTCTGTGCCCTGCCCCCAGAGGTGGAGCCTACAGAGGCAGGCAGGCCTCCTTGAGCTGTGGTGGGCTCCACCCAGTTCAAGCTTCCCGGCTGCTTTGTTTACCTAAGCAAGCCTGGGCAATGGCGGGCGCCCCTCCCCCAGCCTCGCTGCCGCCTTGCTGTTTGATCCCAGACTGCTGTGCCAGCAATCAGCGAGACTCCATGGTCGTAGGACCCTCCGAGCCAGGTGCGGGATATAATCTCGTGGTGCGCCGTTTTTTAAGCCTGTCGGAAAAGCGCAGTATTAGGGTGGGAGTGGCCTGATTATCCAGGTGCCGTCTGTCACCCCTTTCTTTGACTAGAAAAGGGGACTCTCTGACCCCTTGCGCTTCCCCAGTGAGGCAATGCCTCGCCCTGCTTCAGCTTGCGCACGGTGCGCGCACCCACTGACCTGCGCCCACTGTCTGGCACTCCCTATTGAGATGAACCCAGTACCTCAGATGGAAATGCAGAAATCACCCGTCTTCTGCGTTGCTCACGCTGGGAGCTGTAGACGGGAGCTTTTCCTATTCGGCCATCTTGGCTCCTCCCCCAAAAATTCTTAAAAGAATAGGAAAGAAGGTGGAAAAGTCAACGCTTCCAAACTTTGGTATTCTCAAGTGCACTTTGCCAAGAAGTTCCCTCTTGTCCCATCCCAACAGGATAGGAACAGGTTCTAGCCTTGGAAGGCAGTGAGGGCTGTCAATCAAATAGAGCACTTGGGTTGTGAGAAAACAAACATGCTGACCAAACCAGAGACAAGTTCAACAGAGGATTAGTTGAGACAAGGTCAAGCGAGTTATGCCTATTCATTTCTCTAACAAATAGCTATTAGACATTCTTCTAGGTTGTGTCCACCAGAAAAGATATTCAAAGTGTAAGTTCTAGGTTACAAACCCAACATCAAGCTCACTCAGCAGATATTGAGGGAGGGAGGGCTGAGGGACTGCTGAAGTTGGAGACTGAAATAAAGCAAATTCTACTAAGAGCTCAAAACCCATTGTCTTGAAGCAAAGTCAAGCTTTGCCTGAACTGATGGCCATGCTTTGGCTTTCTTAAAGTGGCCAGGTTGTGTTACAGGCTTGTGAGCAACTGTCTGATAAACAGCATCTACTTGGCTCCACACCTGCCAGAAGCTACCTAAATAGATTACATGGATGGGCTGCATTGTTCTCTGGCTTCATGTTGAGTTTGACTGAGTGGACATACCAGCAGATTAAAGAGTAAGTTATGAATTATTTATACCTCCAGCTTCTTCCCTGCAGGGTTGTCACTGGCTAACTGGGCCCCCGAACTAAAGGTCTCAGATTCCTCTCCATCTTTCCTCTCTGCCTTCGGTTCTGGTAATGTCCCTGCCTCTGCTCCTTCAGACCCAGGGCAGCCTTCTGTCACCAGCCACTGGTCACCTCATTCTCCCATGCAGTTTCCTCATGCCCTGTCCACATCTCCGTAAATAGTCTCTTGATTAAACTCGACTTGAACACCCTGTGTGGTTGCTGAGACCCAGCATGTAGTAATGAGCAGATAAAAATCCCTGAGATTGCAGAAGAAAAAAAGATCTCAGAAGCAGCTCCATGGGGAGACTGGCACCTGCAGTCAGACCAAGCTGTTCAGTATGGTTGGCCATTTGCAGAACTACAAGCAGAAAAATGGGACTGGTGAAATCACTGCAGTGTCAGAGGGATTTCACATTCCTCAGACGACCAGAATTGTGAGCATTTCCACTTTGTGTCCTTTCCTCCCTTCTTAGAGTGGCTCAAAATATATTATAACAACATTCAAATCTGCTTACAGGAAGGAAGACTCAACTCCAGGAAAGAGACAATATTTTATTAATGAAAACACACACACACATACAGTAATTTTCGTGGATTATTTTAATAAAGTATAAGTCTCTAGCGCCCCTAAGTCCTTGGAGTTTGACAGAATCGATAAAGAAAGCTGTGTTCTGCAACTCCTACTTCTCTTAAATGGATTTTGTTCTGTTAGAGTTGGTTTTATTTATGTGTATGTTTTTAATTATATATATACATTTAATTGTATAAATTTTTCAGATGTGATATTGTGGAAAGAGTACCAGGACAGGGTCTAGCTTTGGGTCACTTGTGTGACTTACGCATGACCTCCCCAAGCCCTGATTCCTTTTGATCAGTTAGGGAGCGATGATAGCCATCAATCTCATTTGGGGCATTATTGAAATGGATGTCTTTATTTTAGTTTCACGAGCTCTGCAGGCCTAGACTGGCTGCACGTTGTGCTCTGCATAAAATAGGATGTTATGTAAAAACAAAACCTAATATCTAATAAGGGAGAAACACCTTTCTAAATTTTATGATAGCGGATCCAATTTGCATTTCTATATTCAACTAAAAATATTTCTTCAAAATCACTTTTATTAATTTTTTGCTATCACTTTTAATCTAGTCTAAATAGTCTGGGCAAACTACATTTGTTACAATTAACCTTGTACCTATTATGTTGTAAAAATTTCAAAGCTGGCTTGTACAATTAAGAAAATTTCACAACAGCCCCAAATGGTAAGTGTTCTATCAAGTCTTCCAGGCCATTTTATTAGCCAATGTAGTTTCTTAGTGTTAGGCTCACTGTTGAACTTTACTTTGATGTCAAAATTCTGGCAATAGGCCAAATAACTTCAAAAGATCCATTACTGTCCTACAACTCTATTTCAGAACCATGGATATATTTCAGTAAGTTCCAAAAGGTAAAAGGAAACCAGGTATCTATCCACAATAAACTTGAAATATAAAAAACTATCAAAGTGTTTATCTTTAAATCTACTGTGATTTTTTGCATCTATTTCATGTAAAGAGTAAGGTTTTATGTACTTTATGAATGGCAGAAATCCTGGTTTGCTCATTAAGCTATTAATTAATAGCTACTGTATCCTTATAACGTGAAACACTCACTATGGGGTAACAAAGCACATCAATCTCTCTAGGTAAGATCTATTTTGGATTCTCTGAGAGCAATGCATTTTTCCTCCATGACATATAACTGGAATTAAATATTTTTACTCAATTAGTTGTTTTCTATCTGTCTCCCACTAGACTTACTACGAAAAAAATAATCCTCGGTGCTTTGTCATAGCTGTAATCCCTGGAGCCTAGTATACAACTTTCAACAAAACAGGTATTTGAAAAATGTTTGTTAAACACATGAAAAAAAAAAGCTTAACATCACTGATCGTTAGAGAAATGCACATCAAAACCACAATGAGTGAGATAACCACATCTCACACCAGTCAGAATGGCTATTATTAAAAAGTCAAAAAACAACAGATACTGGTGAGGTTGTGGAGAAAAAGGAATGCTTTTACACTATCGGCAGGAGCATAAATTAGCTCAACCACATGGAAGACAGTGTGGCTATTCCTTAAAGACCTAGAACCAGAAATACCATTCGACCCAGCAATCCCATTACTGGGTATACACCATGAGGAATATAAATCATTCTATTATAAAGATACATGCACGTATATGTTCACTGCAGCACTATCCACAATGGCAAAGACATGGAATCAACCTAAATGCCCATCAATAATAGACTGGATAAAGAAAGTGTGGTACATATACACCACAGAATACTATGCAACCATAAAAAGGAAAGATATGTCCTTTGCAGGGACATGGATGGAGCTGAAAGCCATCATCCACAGCAAACTAATGCAGGAACAGAAAACCAAGTATTGCATGTTCTCACTTATAAGTGGGAGCTGAGTAATGAGAGCACATGGATGGACACAAGGAGAAGGAACAACACACACTAGGGCCTGCCATAGGGTCGGGAGTGGGAGGAAGAATGGCTAATGCATGCTGGGCTTAATACCTAGGTGATGGGATGATTTGTGCAGCTGACCACCATGGCACACATTTACCTATGTTGTAAACCTCCACATCCCGCTCATGTACCCTTGAACTTAAAATGAAAGTTGGAAATTTAAAAAAGAAAAACGTTGGTTAAATAAATGAATGGCTTAAAAATCAGCTGAATGGATAGCACACAAATGGCATATGTACTTAAAATTGATTATCAATAGAAGGCAAAAATAAACAGATCAGACAATAATTCAGGAAAAGTGCTGTCACTGTGCACTGCAATGGAGAAAATGGAATCAGAGCTGTGATGGGATGGAGGACCCACTCGTCTAACAATGTGGTGTTTAGGCAGGATGGAGCCAAGAGGGCTCTGGGAGGTGGGAATCAGGCCTGGGCCTCACATTACTAAATCTTACATACATTGTCATAGAGTCCACTCAAAGTTCTGGAAGAAGATTATGCTCATTATAGAATACATAGCAAGCATCACGAGTTAATGCTTTTTTAAAAAATAAATCCTGTAGTTGTGTCATTATCAAAATTATACTACAGTGTATTTTCTGGGTTAAAAATGTAACAGTCAATTTTTAAAGCCACAGGTGTGGTGACTCTTATTTGGCATTTCTTCATTTTTCAGTATTTAGTAGAGACAACACATGGAAGGGCCACTGCCTCTCTCTGTCTCTAAACTGTCAATTGGGACTGTCAATTGTCAATTGTGGAAGAAGAGAAGAGAGCTCATTCCAGGCTGGGAAAAGTGTTAGCGAGTGAGAGAGTTGGGAATATAAACAGCTTGCTCCTTGGACTCTGGGTAAGCTAGGTGGCACAGAACTTAAGTGACAGGGAAAAAATCCAGAAAAAAATCTAACAGAAAAACTAGTTAGAATCAAATTACAAAGACATTAAATGACAGGCAAAGGCATTTAGACTACGTCCACCATTGGATCCCTCAGTCACAGTGGTCACATAGTCACTTCTTTCTACAGTGCCTCTGATACCTGCCCTTCCTTTCCATTTTCAAAGCTGCCCGTTTGGCCTGCTCAGGCGGGTCCTCAGTTCTGCTGAGGGTGCAACCTCCCAGGTCACCAGTCCCTATCAGGAAGGTTTCACCGTGCTGATGGAGGCAAGGACGAGACTAGCAGGATGTGTGATAACCACCAGGCAGTCCTCTTCTCCCTTTAATTTAGGATTCTTGATCTCCTATGTTTGATGTTACACAGTAACACAAACTCAGCTGTTTAAAACAACTTTATTTATTTCACACAGTCTACAGGACAGAAGAAGCCTGAGCACAGCATGGCTGGGTCCTCTGTTCCAGGTGCTGACAAGGACATCTGAAGCTTACGTTTCTCATTCGAGCTCATGTGGAGTAGCAGGGATCCATTCCTGTGGTTGCAGGTCTGAAGTCCTATTTCTTTGCTGGCTGTCAGAAGCCACTCACAGTCATTCCTTGTCACATGGTTCCCTCCACCTTCAAATCAGCATGGAGAATCTCCCTCATGCTGAATTCCTCTTACCCTTCTAGTCTCTTCTGTCAGCAAGAGCCTGGTCAGCCCAGTCTCCTCTAATGGGCTTACCTGGTTAGATGTGATCCACAGAGGATAATCTCCCTTTTCTTAAGTCAACTAACTTGGGACCTTAAGAACATCTGCAAAATCCCCTCACAGCAATGCCTCCATTCTTGTTTGATTGAATGACTTGGAAAAGATGTGTGCACACCACAGGCAGGAACCTTGCGGCCCTCTTAGACTTCTGCCTACCACACATTCATGGGTAAACTAACGAACCCATGACAAGTGGTTGAGGTAAGATAAAAATAAGTCAAACTCTTAGCTAATCCATTGTGAAGTTACACTTCCAAAAGTTGGGTCACGACTTTTTTGTTGTTGTTGTTGTTGTTTGTATTTGTAAACAAGATTCTGTAACATAATCCAGGATCTTGTTTATTTCCTACCCTTCCACCTGAACCCCTGTTGCTACACAGTATGCCAAGCTCAGGCAGAGGTTCAAGACATGTTTTGTTCTCTCCCGCCTTCTACAGGCTTGGAATCCCTCCTTGACACCTCAGTCTGAGGACCTGAGCCCTCTCACCTGCTTTCTTATGCTCTGATGCTGGCCAGACACCTTTCTCTCTCTGCACCTGGCAAAGATCCTCAGTCCTCTGTAGATTATTGCCCAGTGGGTCTCAAACGTGAGTGTGCACCAGTATCACCTGCAGGCCTTGTTCAAATTGAAATTGCTGGGCTGCTCCCCAGAGTTTCTGATTCCATAGGTCTGGGGTGAGGCCCAATAATTTGTATTTCCAGCAAGTTCCAAGGCGATGCTGTTGCTGCTGAGACCACACTGCTGAGACCACAATTTGAGAGCCACTATCCTTTCCCTCCCTTCACCTGAGTAGAAAATATGCAGCCCAATGAACTTACTGCCAGAGAAGTCAGTTGACTTTTAACTTGGAACACCTCAGCACCACTGACCATCAAGGACCCACATTAGTCTTTGTAGTGAGCTTCTTGGTGTCCACATCTGATGGGGCATGCTGAGCAGAACCCAAACACATTAGAAGCTAAGTTTTCAGGTCAGCAGACTTCTCTTCATGGTGACTGTTATTTCACATATTCAGAAAATATTTATTAAGCACATAATATGTGCCAGGAATGCAATTGTAAACAAGGCAGATACTTCATTTCCTGGCACCTGGAACTTGCAATAGACCACTGAGTAGTCTCTGCCCTGTCTTGTGCCAAATGCAGCTGGATCAATAAGGATTTGAATAGCTCATGTAATTGGGAAAGCCAACATCGAGCAGAGCTTTGCTCGATGTTGTGAGATGGCAACTAGATTTCACCCCAGTTGCCAAGTGTGATTAATCTCTAGGAGGGGTTGACAAGAATTCCAGGCCATGTCAGAGTTCGGTAGGGTTAAAAGATAAACTTAGGTACATCAAAATCATGTGTTTGTGTGTATGTGTGTGTGTGTGTGTGTGTGTATAAATTCATATGGACGTGTATATATATGTATATATATATGTATATATTCGTAGAGAAAGAGAGAGAAAGCACAAAAAATGGGATGGGGTAGTTATGGCTGGAATAGAAGGATATCCACCATGAGTACCTGGCTATATAACTTTGTTCTTCGAATAATTAATATGAATTACCTATTCCAAACAATAACTAAAACTAAATCTTAAAAGAATATTTTTAATTTTAAACAAACTGAAACAAATGTACCTGTGTGTATATCAAGTTAATAACACAGGAACATGTATCTCAATTTCCTTTAGAACATAGTACTTTAACCATGTGCTTATAGTGGAAGGCATTCTAGAAATAAAAAGAAACTCAGGGGAATTTTGAACTTCCTCAGCAGTTTTGCTGTTTGTAGTAATATTTATGTGTTTTGTAACTATTCTCCTTATATTGAAAGAAAATGAAGAAGAGCTATGGGAAGAAAGATTTTCAATGTAAGAGGAAAAAGATGTATATAGAATAAAAAACAAGTTAAAATGATTCAATGCTAAAGTTGATTTGAAAATGTCAATGTCAAGATATTTTAAAATATATACTATCTGGCTCTGCCACTTTAAAAAAAAAAAAAAAAACCTTAGAATTTATTGCTGCTTCAGTAGTAATGAGCAACCTAAGATCCTAGATTTTGGTGTCTGATATTCTGCTGGAAGGAACAATAATTCTTTTTTTTTTTTGAGACAGAGTTTCACTCTTCTTGCCCAGGCTGGAGTGCAATAGCACAATCTCGGCTCACCTCTACCGGGAGGTGGAGACCTCCCGGGTTCAAGCGATTCTCCTTCCTAAGCCTCCCATGTAGCTGGTATTACAGGTGCCTGCCACCACTCCCGGCTATTTTTTATATATATATATTTGTAGTAGAGATGGCGTTTTGTCATGTTGGCCAGGCTGGTTTTGAACTCCTGGCCTCAGGTGATCCGCCTGCCTTGGCCTCCCAAAGTACAGGTGTGAGCCACCACGCCCGACCCAGGAATGAAAATTCTTACAGAAACAGCTAATTTGAGTTCTGATATAGAAGTTTAAGGTGGGCCTGAGGTACCTTATTGTGCCAGAAAGCAAGGTCATTTCCAAAGCTTACAAGACTTTCCTCCTCCTCCTCCTCCTCCCCCTCCACCCCTTCCCCCTCTGCCTCCTCCTCCTCTTCCTCCTCCTCCTTTCTCTCCTCCTTCTCCTTCTTCTTTTTCTTCTTCTTCTTCCTCTCCCTCCCCTCAGAGGCGCCAGGAGTGAGGTGAGATGAGAAGTTGATGGCAGGGTCAGGGTTGAGGTGGAGGAAGGATTGTCATTTCTGGGTATTCCTTTCAAAAATGCTTGAATGACCTATATCTGGACATGAGGACACATTGGATGGACCCATGCTGAGGGTCTTCCTACAGAGTAAAAGGACTGCACTTTGTAAAATTGCCAAGGTCACGGAATTTTGGAAAGCCAAAATTTTCCTGGGTTTCCGTGGAAACCCAGAAAAGACTGAGGAATGGTTTCAGAGTAAGGGAGATTAAAAAGAATGTCAACTACAAGCAAAAAAACAATCCAATTTGTTACTACTGGGGCAGTAATAAATTCTAGGCTTTTAGGTGGCAGAGCCAGGTAATATATATTTTTTAAATATCTTGACGTTTATATTTTCAAATAATATCAATATGAATATATATTATTGATATTTTCTTTCTTTCTTTCTTTCTTTTTTTTTTTGAGCAGGGTTTCACCCTTGTTGCCCAGGCTGGAGTGCAATGGCGTGGTCTCAGCTCACCACAACCTCTGCCTCCTGGGTTCAAGCGATTCTCCTGCCTTAGCCTCTCAAGTAGCTGGGATTATACGCATCCACCACCATGCCTGGCTAATTTTTGTATTTTTAGTAGAGACAGGGTTTCACCATATTGGCCAGGCTGGTCTCAAACTCCTGACCTCAGGTGATCTGCCCATCTCGGCCTCCCAAAGTGCTGGGATTACAGATGTGAGCCACTGTGCCCAGTCGATGTTTTCAAACAATAGTAGACAACATTGGAGTGTTTGGAGAAATTTGAATGGAGACTGTGAGCTACATATTCACCTTCTGATGTAAATGGTTGTATTGTGGTTTTGCAGGAGTGTCCTTGTTTTGTGGAAACACACAGTGGAGGATTAGGTGGCAATAATGCAATGAGACATCATGCAGAAAAAGAAAAATAATAATGGATGAAAAATATATATGTGTTATTATTATGTACATATACATAGAAAGAAAGAGATAGGGGAGTTCTCTGTAACAATTTCACAAATTTTCTATAAGTTTTAAATTATCTCAAAATTTAAAAAACACACTGGGCACAGTGGTATGCACTTGTAGTCCCAACTACTTGGGAGGCTGAGGTGGGAGGATTGTTTGAATCCAGGAGTTCATGCCCAGCCTGGACACTACAGTGAGACTCCATCTCTTAAAAAAAAATAGAAACATACAATGAGATATTATTACATAATGACATTCCTCATTTTGCCCATTTGCCTTAGTTCATTTTGTGCTGCTGTAACAGAATACCATAGAGTGGGTAATTTACGATAAACAGAAATGTATTGGCTCACAGTTCTAGAGGGCGGGAAGTCCAGGATTGAGCCATCATCATCTGGCAAAGGCCCTCTTACTTCATCCTGACATGGCATAAGGGCAAAGAGAGAGTGAAAGAGAGAGGCAAGAGGGGGGCAGATTCATCTTTTTATAAGAATTCCACTCCTGTGATAATGGCATTAATGCACTCATGAGGGCAAAGCCCCTCGCAGCTGAATTGCCTCTTAAAGGTCCCACCTCTCAATACTATTACAATGGCAATTGAATTTTAATATGATTTTGGGAGGCAACAAACATTGAAAGCATAGCAAAAGTAGTGCAAGACCATAAAAATGACCCAAAAAATTTCAGTGCAAGTTGTAAGCATATAAAACAATCTCAACCGTAAATGGGAAATATTACAATTATGCCATAACCATTAAAAATTTTTGCCAAAACATTAAAAGCTCTATTACCATTGGTTATAAATGTATGAGGAAACTTAAAAATAGTAGAACTAGTATTTACTTTGTACAAAGTAATTTAAAACACTTGAAACATTGAGAATTAAAGTGTTTTATTTCTTTGTAAAGCATGTATTAAGTTCCACCCATGCTTGTCTTCTCATCATGTAACTTACCATATGGGAAAAGCATCTTTCCTATGCTTTCTTGAATTTTCCCACACCTTTCTAAGTTTGGATCAGCTTTTAATATTTTATGCATTGTGCTTTTGACATCATAAAATTACCTCTGAGAATTCTGTATGCGAGGTTTTTTGATGGCATCATTTCCTCTGGGACATATTTATCCTTTTTGTCACAACCCCCTTTCTCACTTATGTTGGTAAGTACCCTTCACTGAGTTCCCCTGAACACATAGCTGGAGTCTCTCCAATAATAGCAGTGTTCCCATTCCCAGCCAGCTATTTCTTCTATTGCTCTATTTACATTCACTTCAAATCCTGCGGCTATTTGCACAGCACAGTAAGAGTTTTCATCATCTTGAACTCGTATCATGCACTGTTGCTTCCTGCCTTGATGCCTGAACGTTTCCAATTGTGTGTCACGTTTCTTCTAAAACTCAGCTAAAGAAATTGCTTGATCTTCATGTCTTAGTCCATTATAACAAATTATCTGAGACTGGGTAATTTACAAGCAACAGAGATTTATTTCAAGGTGGAGGTAGCCATGCCTCCACAGCTCATATACTCTGCCCACCTAAAGATTTGGCACTACACAGATGCTGCCAAGGTTTACTGCTTGAGCCATCTGTAGCGGCAACCCCAGCAACATTTGGGCCTGCTTGAGACACAGCTGGGGCAGCCTGGGAGTGCTGCACCAGAATATATGAAGCAGAGACTTGAGGCAGGCCTGGACAGAGAGCTGTAAGGTCCCACTGGTGCCCTGGGCCCCTCCCTTGAAACCACTGTGCCCTCAAAATCTTGGTATTCTGGGCCTGTGATGGGAGTGGCAGCCTCAAATATCTCTGAAATGCCTTTTGGGTCATTCTCCCACTGTCTTGATGAATAATATTGTAGTTTGCCAGCCGCCATTAGTATTTTCCCCCAAACAAGCCTTTTTTTTCTTTTTTTTACTACATGGCTAGGCTGAGATATTTCCAACTCTTTAATATCTGTGTATTTTAGGATTATAAATTCCATATTTAATTCATCTTCTCTTCTTGCATTTTATCATAAGCCATCAAGAGAAGCCATGCAGCAGCCTGAACACTTAACTTGGAGATTTCCTCTGCCAAATATCACAGTTCATTGCTTGCAAGTTCTGCTTTCCCCAAAGCACAGACACAATTCAGTCAAGTTACTTGCCATTTTGTAAAAAGAATGACCTTTTGTCTAATTTCCAATAACATATTCCTAATTTTCATCTAAGACCTTATCAGAATCGCCTTTCCTGTCTATATTTCTACCAACATTCTGATCACAATCACTTAGACAATCTCTAAGAAGACCTCTTCCTCTTCTTCTGAGCTCTCACCAAAATCACCCTTAACACTCTGCTCACAGCAATTTAGCCTTGTTCTAGCATGCATTTTTTTTTTTTTTTTTGAGACAGAGTCTCACTCTGTCCCCCAGGCTGGAGTGCAGTGGCGCGATCTCAGTTCACTGCAACCTCCGCCTCCCAGGTTCAAGCAATTCTCTGCCTCAGCCTCCTGAGTAGCTGGGGTTACAGCTGCCCACCACCATGCCCAGCTAATTTTTGTATTTTTAGTAGAGACGGGGCTTCACCATCTTGACCAGGCTTTTCTTCAACTCCTGACCTCGTGATCCACCTGTCTCGGTCTCCCAAAGTGCTGGGATTACAGGCGTGAGCCACCGTGCCCAGCCTAGCATGCACTTTCAAACAGTTCCAGCCTCTACCCATTACCAAGTTCCAAAGCCACTTTCACATTTTCAAGTATTTGTTATTAACAATATCCCAATTCTTGGTACCAATTTCTCTCTTAGTCCACTTATGCTTCTATGACAAATCCTAGACTGAGTAATTGATAAATAATAGAAATGTTTTTCTCACAGGTATGGATGCTGGGAAGCCCAAGAACAAGGCACCAGCAGATTCAGTGTCTAGTGAGGGCTGCCACTCTCAGCTTTCAAGATAGTGCCTTGTTCTGTATCTTCTGGAGGAAATAAATGCTGTGTCCTCACATGGCAGAAAAGACAGAAAGGGCAAAAATGAAAAACAAGTTAGCTAGTTTTCTAGAGCCCTTTTATAAGGGCTCTAATCCATTCATGAGGGTGGAGCCCTCATGATCTGATCACCTCTTAATGCCTCCACCTCAATACTATCACTTTGGCGATTAAGTACCAGTATAAAAATATTGGGGAATATTCAGACCATAGCAGATGGCTACTGGCTGTTTTATTAAGCAGAAAGCACAGCCCTAGCTGCTTAGAGCAAACCCCAAACCCTTATTAAGTTTGCTAGACCCCTAACCCAGCCACTGAAATGCATCTGGGTCTGGGTCAAAAGCTCTATATTCTCTGGAACTAAAAGCTTTGCTGAGGATGCTGGCTCCTCTTTGGACAGGAGGCAACCTCATCTGGGTTTGGATTCCTCCTTTCATTGAATGTTTCTGCCTCTGATGTTTAATCTTCTGCATTCCTACTCCAGGGCTAGGGCAGAGGTCAGCATAATGAGGCTTTCATAGTGTCGCTCCTAAGTTTTTCTTCATGTGAAATGTTACCTCACAGTTAACAATTGAAAGATTATAGTAAAATCTGAGAGGCATAGTCAAGTCAGCCGTCAGTCTGTGCATGCCTGCTCAGGTGACCAGCAGTGACCCACTGACTCTCAAGGGATTACACAGAAAGGTCCTATGAAACATTACCCAATGTAGTGCTCCTAGTGGGATGTCCTGTGCCTGAGATGTATTGACCAAGCAAAAATATGATTTAAAAAATTAACCAGAGCAAAGGGTCAAAAACAGGGATTTGAGTTGCAAAGCAAGACTTTGGAAGACACAAATTTGAAACACAAACATTTTATGAGCTTCTTAATGTATACCCTAGAAGACTCAGCCAAGGAAAGGAAGGAACACAGAATCTGCAAGTGCAATGGGCCACTACATGGACAGGGCATCATTAGCCAACCACCACATTTTTTAGGGAAAGGCCTAGCAGGAACTCAGAGAGGATAGCAAAGAAATTGCTGATGGGCAGAGCAGGCAGAGTGACATGCATGACCTGGCCCCTGGAAAGCAGAACAGGGTGGAAATCCCAGCAGCAGACACTGTGATGTAGAAGTCCACAAAGAGTGAAAAGGAGGGTGACATCAACATCAAAAGCCACAGAGAAAGTCAACCAAGAAGACCTGTGCCTTCCTGCAATGCCTTAATGCCACCCAATGGAATGAGGCAGAGTGTAGAATTTTGACTTATCTATCCAAAAAAGACTAGGCTTTAACCTAGAAGACATAAGGAATAACTTGGAAATGGTAAGATTAATCATCTGCTGTAAGTAGAAATGGAGCCTTGAGAGCTAAGACAATTCAACTCTAGAGAAATAAAGTGCTGTTTCTTCACCTGGGTCTTGTGTTCCTCATGGCTGTATGGGATGTAGGTGTGCTATGATGAATTGATGATTAAACTGTCAGTAGCAAATACAAAAGTTTTTGGCAGGAACGGGGTTTTGAGAACAAACCTCCCAAGGCCCAAGGTATGAAGACAGACAAAGGCGCATAGATAGCGCATCCACCTGTGCACTCGCTCTTCTGATCAGCAGTGTCCAGAGGCCTAGCTAAGCTCAGGCCTCCTTTGCAGCTGGACAGTGGGCTTCCCAAATGTCATGCCCACTATTGCAGGGCAGACACTTGGCACCTGACATCAGTGATTACAAGAGAAAACAAAATGATTATTTGGAATACATGCTTATAGTGTAAGTTCAGTGATTACTGAATAAACAAGCAAAAACCTGAGTAAGAATATCTAGTACTGTACTAATCAAAACTGCCCCTGGACATTGTAGAAGAGAGTCCTGTCTAATTCTATTCCCTGCACTTATTCGTTCTGATCTTTCACACCTTTTCCTCAACATCAATCCCAGTCAATCCCAGAGAACTCCCAGAGAGCTATGACAAAAAGGTGTGTGTGTGTGTGTGTGTGTATGTGTGTGTATATGTGTGTATGTATATGTGAGTGTATACAGGGATGGTGGATATAAATACATATATGCTTTTATGTGCATATGTATAGAAACATATATTTCTATGTGCATATATAACACAATGCAAATATATACATATATGCATTTGTGTACATGTCTGTGTATGTGTATATATGTACACATATGTGTATATAGATGTGTGTATCAAAGTATTATTTTCTCAGAAGAGAAATTGGAAGGATGAATTCAACTAGAGGGAAGACAACTCTACTAAGGATTTCAAAATAGAAAAATAGGAAATTTTGCCCCAAACTGATCTTGCCAGAATACTACCCCTGCTTACCTAGTAACAGAATGCTAATGTTATTGGAGGAGCAATATGCCCAGCTAAGAGATGACATTTCTCAACTTCCTCTGCAGATGACAGTTGTCGTGAAGCTAAAAGCAGAAGTAGCAGAAGCAGGCTTTGGGGAAAATGCTCTTTTTGCTTTTTGCCTTCCCCTTCTTCCTGGTTGGAACTTAAATGTGATTGTTGAACACCAGCAGCCACATGGTGAACCTAAGAAAGGAAGCCACAGGCTTAAAAAGACATACTAGAATGACAGAAGAAAAAAAATAGTCCAACAATGAACCAATCTTACAACTTTATTTCGTGGATTCAGCAAATATTTATGAAGAATTGATTGTGAGTTTTACCCCTCATTGGGTACCAGGAATACAAAGTTAATTTGTCCAGTCCTTCCCCTTGAGAAATTCATAGTCTAGTGGAGGAGAGAGATATGTAAAGCAGTAATTATGGGATGTTAATCTTAAAAGTATTTCAAAATATTTCTCTTCTGCCATTATATATTTGATTCATATCATTTTTGTTTTCCAGGAACTTGTAAGTACACTGAGAGTTCATTGACCACATCCATGATAGCATTTGAGACTCATTCTTAAATTAAATTAAATTCAATAAATAATTACTGAATACTTGTCATATGCAAGACATTGGCTAGGTTTTATGAGGCATACAAAATGATGGAGTAACAGTCAGTTACATGTAGCTTTCTGTGAGTCCCTGAGAGGCACAAAGCATAACAAATCCACATGGTGAGAGTCATTCTTTTCTTTAGAATCCTCCATTGCAAGAAAGACTATTAAAAAAATACAGCAAAATGATACCTGTTACAGAGGAAGGCCAGTTAATAAATGTGGAAAGAATGCTAAACTAGAAAATCAGCATTTTCATGCCCAAGTGTAATCACTGATTTAGGCAAGGGTCATTAACAGATGTTAAAATCTTGAGGTGCATTGCACATTTAGTAGAATGGCTAAAATTCAAAGCACTGACAATACCACATGCTGATGGAGACGTGGAGCAACAGGAACTCCTATTAATTGCTGAAGGAAAGCAAAATGGTTATAGCCACTTTGGAAGACAGTCTGGAAGCTTCTTACTAAACTAAACATACTCTTACCACATGATCCAGCAGTTGTGCTCCTTGGTATTTATCCAAAGGACTTGAAAAGTTATGTTGACACAAAAACCTGCACATAGATATTTATAGAAGTTTTATTTGTAATTGTTAATATTCAGAAGCAACAAAGATGTCTTTAAGTGAATGGATAAACTGTGGTACATCCAGATAAAATAATATTATTTAGTGCTAAAAAGAAATAAACTATCAAGCCATGAAAAGACACAGACGAATCTTAAATGCATATTACTAAGTGAAAGAAACTAATCTAAAAAGGCTATATACTGTATGATTCCAACAATATGACATTCTAGGAAATGCAAAACTATGGAGACAGTAAAAAGTTCTGTGGTTCCCCAGGGTTAGGAGGAAGTGGGGATAAATAGGCAGAGAACAGACTATTTTTTAGGGCAGTAAAACTACTCTGTATGATACTGTAATCATGGATACATGTCATTACACACTTGTCAAAATCCATAGAACATACAACACCAAGAGTGAGCCCTAATGTAAACTACGGACTTTGAGTGATAATAATGTGTCAATGTAGGTTCATCAATTGTAACAAATGGACCACTCTGGTGGGGGATGTTGATGTTGGGAGGACTGGGGCAGGTGGGGATTATGTGGGAAATCTGTGCTTTCAATTTCCTGTGAACCTAAAACTGCTCTAAAAAATAAAGACTATAGTTTAAAGAACCATTAGGTGAAAGATTATGGGGAGCAAGAGTCACATGGTGCCCAAGTACCATTCCGCAGACTTCTAGCAATTATAAAGTGGGAAATGTGCCCGAACAAGGGAGAAATCTTGTGGTCACCACTTTCCCTAGTGACTGAATTTGCCATCATTAATAATGGAACAACAGCCTGACACTAGACATTTTAATGTTTTGCAATAAAGTGTTCCACATCATGTATGACATTTTCTTGATAAAAATATTTAATCTGAGTATAATCAACTCTCTAATTCTAACTTGAAGTTTGAAGAAGATACAGGGAACAGAAGTCCAGTTAAATGACACCATGAGAAAAGAAAGACAAATCAAGAATATGGGGCACTCTACATGACATTTGGCCTGGACTCTTCAAAAAGTCAGTGAATAGATAAATCAATAATTTTTTTAGAAAGATGAAGCAGAGCTGTTCCAGACAAAAGGATATTGAAGAGATATCACAACCAAATGCAATGCATGACTCTTAATTGGATCTTTGAGACAAATGGGGAACTTTGAATATGGATTAGATGATAGTATGAAATTGTTAATTTTATCAGGTCTC
Organism: Homo sapiens; assembly: GCF_000001405.40. Lineage (NCBI taxonomy): Eukaryota > Metazoa > Chordata > Mammalia > Primates > Hominidae > Homo > Homo sapiens. Next base: position 56,399,034 of record NC_000008.11, on the reverse strand, counting down.
ATCATTTTATTGGGGTTATATAGAATAACTCCTTCTTAGGAGATGAGGGCTCAGTATTTGCAGTATAATATGATATTTGCTTATTTTCAAACGGTTCAGCCAGAGATAGAGAGGAGGAGATAGAAAGCAAATATGGTGTCCAGACATGGTGGCTCACGCCTGTAATCCCAGCACTTTGGGAGGCCAAGGCGGGCAGATCCCCTGAGGTCAGGAGTTCCAGACCAGCCTGACCAACATGGTGAAACCTCATCTCTACTAAAACTACAAAAATTAGCCAGACGCAGTGGCATGCACCTGTAGTCCCAGCTACTTGGGAGACTGAGGCAGGAGAATCACTTGAACCCAGGAGGTGGAGGTTGCAGTGAGCAGAGATTGGGCCACTACACCCCAGCCTGGGTAACAGAGTGAGATTCTGTCTCAAAAAAAAAAAAAAGAAAGCAGTCAGGCACAGTGGCTAATGCCTGTAATCCCAGCACTTTGGGAGGCCAAGGTGGGCAAATCACAAGGTCAAGAGATCAAGATCTATGGTCTGGTCAACATGGTGAAACCCCGTCTCTACTAAAAACACAAAAAATTAGCTGGGTGTGGTGGCACGTGCCTATAGTCCCAGCTACTCGGGAGGCTGAGGCAGGAGAATTGCTTGAAGCTAGGAGGTGGAGGCTGCAGTGAGCCGAGATCACACCACTGCACTCCAGCCAGGTGACAGAGTGAGACTCCATCTCAAAAAAAAAAAAGCAGAAAAGTAGAGAATGAGAGGTGAGGGAGAGATAAGGGAGGCCATGACAGGCAACTGTATGTTATTCTTAGTGCATTTGGAAGTCTCAATATTTTTGAGCTGGGGAGTGAGATGATTATTGATGAATCTGTTGAAAAAAAAAAAAGGTAAAATGTTTGGCTTGACTGTTTGGTTCAAGTTTGGGTTCTTAGAACATTTATGTGCCATTTCCCAAAGTTTTCTGTATTGATAAGTTTTCATAATACAAATTGGGAGAAAATATTGAATCCTGACAATCAACTTGTTTAGATGATGCTGCAACTGTGTTTCACATTTTCCTAACAGAACTAAGGAGGTGTTTGTGTCCTCAGTGTAGAAATAAAGATTTCAAGATACCCACGGGAAGCCTGACATAAAACCAGTGTTATGCCTATAAATTACTTCACAGGACGCACCTTTCCTCCAGGCCACTTTGGGAGTTGAAAGTGCAGGCTGTATGCCATATATTGCACTAATACAAGCACAAGTGAAGCCCAGGCAAATTCTCATGGTTGACACTCCTTTATCTTGCACACAGACAGATCTCAGAAGTTGTGGGAGAAATAGTAAACCCAAAGTTATTTAAGAGCGAGCTTTTAGCTACCGACATGAGTGGTGTTTGCTTCAGCCCCTGTAAGGACGCCCGTGCTACCAGAGTGCAGCATTTCTGCAGGTAAGATTCATTTATTTAGCCATTCAGGAGAACATTCTAAGTGTCTGCAGCTGAGAATGAGTTTCTCTGAGCATGATTTAGTGCAATTTCTAAATAGGGGTGTGAAGTCATTCTATGATCATCTCTTTATTCCTCTTTTCTAATTGTTGTTCGCTAGCGTGGCTTTTGGCAAGTTGAGAAGAGGTGGTTAAGGACATGAGAGAAAGCCAAGAGATAGTGGAGGGAACGTGCTTGTGTGTGCCACACACATGTGCCTGAATTCCTGTCCTGGCCCCTCAGTGGAGCCCTACACCTGTCAACAAACTCGTCTCCCATGCCCTCCTCAGCAATTTCATAGTTGAGGCACAACGCTAAACAGTAGAGAAAAGCTTCCCATGCCTGCGTGTTTGGCATCTTTATGGCCAGCTGGCTGCAAACTCAGTGTCATCATCAAAGAGGCTCCTGTGCAAGTGATAGAAGCTAATATTTGCATGGCATTTTACAATTTATAAAATGCTTTGTTACATTTGATATTTGAAAATGTATAGCATTTCTGGGAGTTAAATATCATGCCAACTTCGCAGACAAATACCCAGAGGCTCACAAAGGCAAACCTTGCCCAAAGCCCTCAACTGGTCGGTGGCAGGGCCAGCAGTTGAGTCCACGTCTCCAGAGTGAATCCTACTCATTCCACCCTACATAATGTGGGTGAACATGGTACTAATACTTCCTCCATTCTCATGGCCTATTCTTCAACCTGAAGCACTCAGTACATGCCTGAAAAATGAAAGACGATCCTTGTGATTCAAGGCCCAGTTAACTGAAGTCATTTGGGGAGTTACATGTGTAGTAGTCAAAAGAAAAGGAGTTCTGGAATCATAGAATCTGGGCTCAAATCCCACTTCTACCTACAAATGGTGCAACCCTCAGCAAGTTATGTCCCCATTTAAGCCTCATAGTTACCCCACAGGGCTATTCTGAGAATGAAATAAGCACATGGTGCCATTTAGCACTTAAGTGTTTGCTCATGGGAATGCTTCACGATTTTTTTTTTTCTAACTGCCTGGTTGCCACAGCCGCCCCAGGACCTGCATAGGAATAATTGTCTTTTCTGGCCAGCACTCTCTCTATCAAGGCTTATTTGTACTTTTTTCTTTTATTCCAAAATTGAACACTTTCAGTGGTCTGAGGGTGTGAGCTATTAGTTCAGGTTTGAAGAAATGTCAAAACTCTTGTCCTCAAAGTGGTCCCAAAGCATAACAATATGTTGCTGCAATTTAGTGATTTTCATAGAAAGCTACTTGAATTTCTTTCAAGATAAATCATCTACCTTGAAAACAGACTTTCTTATACAGAAAAGTTATGAGGAAAGTCCCAATTCTCTCTTGTTCTCCACACAAAAATCCTGTGGCCCAGAATGCCTTCTCCATAATACCTGTATTTTTTTATAGGTGATAAGATACAGCTTCGTTTCATCATTGTAATGTACTATATGTTTCTAGGGTTGTGCTTGAATCAGAAAAGTCTATATAAGCTTAGAGAAGAGAGTGAATTTTTCATGGCTTAATCTTTTTGATGATTGTAAGCTTGAAATCTCCAAGTGAACACTCTAAGTCCCTAAAATTTTCCAAGGAGAATACCTTTTAGAATATAGTTAATATTTTCAATAAGTTAACAAGGGGAAGCTGTAATACCCTTTCTCCTTGTTCTTAGAGGCAGCCTTCTAGCTAAAACTCAAATGCAATCCTCCCTGCCCATTTTTCTCAGTGTCTCCACTATCCCACTGAAAACCAGACTCCCTGCCACACAACCCTGGGTCCAAGTCCTTTGTGGGATTGTAGTGGCACCACTTAACTGTTCTGCAACCCTGAGAGCACTTGATGTACTTCCAACGTCTTAGTTTACTAGTCAAATAATACTGGGCAACTCAAGGCTCGAAGATTTTATATCTTTACCTGTAAAATTGGCCTAGTAATCTGTGACCTACCTATGGGTTAAATTAGATTAGTGTAAGCAAGTGCCCTGTAGGGAAAGGTACTTGTTGACAAAAAATATTTCCATAATCATTATTTATATAAATTTTAAGTTTGACAATTGTGTCAATTGTTGTTAATTTGTATGTTTTGGAGAATGAAAGGTAAATCTCAAAGGTAAATTTCTTTGTGCAAAATGTTCTCTGTGTACTGTAATAGTTGCCATAGTATCATGGATTTATCACTTACGTTTTTCCTTATTAGAACATTCCTTTCTGCAGTCAATAAACATGGATGTGATTGCAGACACCTCAGTACTTTTGGGAAAATTTCCATATTACTTTTTGGAATCTTTGGTTTACAAGATAATTCCCAAGAAGAAAAAGAATGTTGCTGGAGAGATTGTACTTACAACGGGAGCTGGAAGTGGACTTGGGAGGCAATTGGCTATATATTTTGCCAGGTTTGGAGCCATTTTAGTTCTATGGGATGTTAATCAAGAAGGCAATATGGAAACGTGTCGACTGGCCAAAGAAAAGGGTGGTAAGAAAGTGTTTCCCTACACGTGTGACTGTAGCAACAGACAAGAGGTCTACAGAGTTGCTGATCAGGTAAGCTGACTGGTGTTCTCTGCTTCTGTTCCCAAAGAAAATACTGCATCTTGTATGCACTTTTACAGATAGAAGTTTGTCATAAATTTCCCTCAAGCTCTCTATGTGTTTCCTGCTTGATTCTGCATGTCAGAAATCAGACTATGTAACCTTCAAAAGGGAGAACAGTGTAAACAAGGCAAGTGGGGATCTGAGAAGCCTGAGCCCAGCGCTGCCCAGCTGTGTTTCCGGGAGACTCATTCACTGGCAGGAGGTGGTAGAAAAGCGGCCTACTCCTGGCTTTGCAGCTCATTGGTTGTGCAATGTTTAACAAGTTACTGGCCCTCTCTAGGTCCCTGTTTCTTCGTCTGTAAAACAAAAGGATTGAACCAAATGATCTTTAAGATCATATCCAGCTTTAACTTAACTTTCTATGTTTTGTGATTCTTTTTTTTTTTTTTTTTTTTTTTGAGACATAGTCTTGCTCTGTTGCCCAGGCTGGAGTGCAGTGGCGCCCATCTCAGCTCACTGCAACCTCCATCTCCCAGGTTCATGCAATTCTCCTGCCTCAGTAGCTGGGATTACAGGCCCACACCACCATGCCCAGCTAATTTTTATATATTGTTTTTAGTAGAGATGGGTTTTCACCATGTTGGCCAGGCTGGTCTGGAACTCCTGAGCTCAAGTGATCCGCCCACCTTGGCCTCCCAAAGTGCTGGGATTACAGGCGTGCACCAGCACACCGGGCCAGTGGTTTGTGATTCTAATGCATCATATCCATTATCATCATGTACTGAGGCTATATATGAAATATACAGTAAAAACAAAAATAAAAATAAATATAAATATGCATTTAGCATATTTTAGATCAAATTTCCTCTTAGACTTAGCCTGTTGATATTTGTTCTAACTCCACATTAACTATTGACAAATACTCTAAATTGTAGCTACCATCTGTTACGTAGCTAGCAGGTACCCTAACAGCAATGGGTCAGCTTTTGAGTAGCGTTTCAACCATGTTACCTCGAGTACGGTGTGGTGAGGCCAGACGCAGATGGAGAGAAAGAAACAGAATCGAGCATTTCCATTTTGTTTTGCTCACAGTCCCCAGGGGCAAACACAGCACAGCCTACAGGACCATGAAGGGGAGCACTGGGGTCACTCATGAAGCAGGGAGGTCGGGCCAGTGGTGGGGGCCTTTATGTGTTTTCCTCAGGAAGGAATGGGCAAGGCAGGGTAAGCATGTTCAGGACTGGTTAATTTGAATAACTTCAGGGGGCTCTAGGGCCTGGAGGCTGCCCCTGGTTGTCTGGTACCTGGCCCTGGTGTAACTGTGGTGGGCATAGAGCAGCCCAGAGTGTGAGGACTCAATAAGTGAAGTGTTTGGATATGTGGACTTAACTGGCTGCTCAGGAAGGGGAACTGATCAGCCTCTAGCCATGGCCTCAAATTGGTCAAGACAGCACTAGAAAAAAACCAAAAGCCCACTATATTACAAATAGTTACTATTCTAAGCACATTACACACATCACAATTCATTTAATCAACACAATATCACCTTCTTAGGTATACATCATTATCATCATCCCCACTTACAAATGAGAAAACTGAGGACCGAATGAATATGTAATTTGCCCAAGATCATAAAACTAATGATTAGCCAAGATTCCAACCCAGGCAGGTTGAAGCCAAAGTCTGTTCTCTTATCCACTATGCTATGGCCCAAAGGGGTGCAAACACTTTGATAACAGAATCTCCAAGGGATTTTCCTCCCCTTTGACAATCAATCTAAGCTCTATATATGGAATTCACTTATTGATCCATTCAAAAAATATTGATTGAGTCCTACTTTGTGACACTTAACCTTCTGAAGCACCCTCTTCACCCTTGACCTTCATTTTCTATTGCCTTCTTCTTTATTCGTTGGTCCCATAGGATTTGTTCTTTATAATTCATCACCAGCTAATGCAAGTATTGTTTTGTAGATCCTTAGGCATATTTTAGTACAAAGCAAGTGGGATCAAAGTTAGTCCTCATTTGTAAAAAGGAAAGACACATGGCTGGAAAAGTTAGTAGACGAATATATCCGGGATGAGCTTGGGAAGTAGTCTAACAGAGCTCCAGTCCCAGTACCACTAACTAGCCAGATCAGGACCCTGGAAAAAGTGTTTTCTTCCAAAGTATTATCCCATATAATCTTCACAACGAAGTAGGTACTATCATTTTCTCCATTTTACTAGTGATGGAGCAGAGGCAGAGAGAGTTTAAGGAACTTACCCAGGCCATAGAGCAGACAAGTGAGGGACCCCATTGCCTAGGTCAGACCCCATGCTGCATTCCCAAAGGGACATCAACAATATGTGCATAATCGAAAGACCCCTTCATAATCCTCTTTCTTTGATCAAAAGTATTGTAATCTCCTGCCTTCTTCCCCCACTGCCAACCCCTAACAAATCTTTCCTTCTTGGTCAACATTTTCTTGTTACTTAGTAGAAACCAGACTAAAACTTTAACCTAAAATTATCTTTTCATATTAAAATGTTCTTTTCCGCACTCCTATAAATAGAATTTTTCTCAGCCAACTACTTTATATGTGTTTTTTGTATTATTTCAATTATGTAGCAACTTCCAAGAAACCTAAATACTAGGGTTGTGCTTCAAGACGTTCAACAAACCACAGGCTTTACCAGATTCCTTGAAATTCGTGGAAAAGTGAATAGCAATAACAGCATTCTAAAGGTGCATGGTAATTAACTTCCCAAAATTAGAGTGAGGTAACATTCATAGAAAACCAATATATTAATAAATTGCTTTTGTTAAAATAAGTAGGTTCACAATTTATTTTCAAATGTCCAGGTCCAATCAATGATTAATATTTATCTGTATGTGTGTGAGTGTGTGTGTGCGCATGTGCACACACATGAGACTGGCTTGTTACAGCAATAATCATTTTTACTAGAAAGAGTAGTAAATTTGGAGGGAAACAGCTTTTTTGTGTGTATTTAAATTGGGTGTGAATCACTGTTGCTCTTCTCAAAAGCTATGGGTCTTTTGGCAAGATGTTAATTTCTCAGAGCCTGTTTCCTCATCTGTATACTAGGATAATGATGCCTCCCTAGACTGCCTCTTGGAGATAAAGTAAAAATTAAATCCCATGATCTAAATAAAATTTCTCTTGTCCCTGTTGTCCCTAAGGCTCAAGGCTTCTTAAACTGCATGACAGCAGCCACTGGGCTTTTCTTAAGTGTTCAGGAACGTATTAAGCTGAAGATTCTACCTCTTTCTTGGGTCCCTGTTACCACCTCATTGGTCTTGAGCACTTGCTCACACTGATTGCTTCACCAAGCCAATGAGATGCCCTTCTTTAAAAGTTAGTCTCCTGTGGATGTTTGCCTCTGCCCTGCCTCTCTCCCTAGTAGAGGAGTCTAATTCCTCAGCCCAGCATCAGCTCAGCAGTATTAACTATTCCTTTCCTAGCTCATTCCAACCTACTACATCAGCAGCAATATTTACCTTATTCTCCAAATCGTGTTATCTGGCAGGCTCAACTAGCAGTGCATGGACCAGGAATTAGAAAACAAAATCAGGGCAGGTAGTGCTCCTTGTTTAGAAAAAAAGAAACAGATAGTTGTAGCAGCTGAGAGATCCATTTCAGGGGAGGAAAGTCTTAATTGCTGTTTAAACATACTTCATGATTTGCCATTGGGTCACCTTTCTCAATGTCACCTACAAAGTCATAATAATGTGAGTCAAAACGGTGAAGAGAGGAAACCAGTCCCTCAGGTGTTTCCTGGAGCATACTCTTCTCTGATCAGCGCTTGTGGTATATTGGGGTTCGTGCAGGCAGATGAGGTGGGCAATTTAGGAGGGAAGGGTGAAGGAAAATGATGAGGACTTAGGAGGCACAATAGCGGCACAGCTGAGGAACTCAAGGCAACATCAGTCACAGAGAGTAATTCGATTCTACGGGGTCCATTGGATAGAAGAGCACAGAAACATGGAAGTCCATCGGCAGCGGATCAAAGGCATCCATGTTTAGGATGTGTTCATGCAAAACTCACCCGGCTTGAGGGGATGAGATATGTCTTGCCTTCCTCCTCAGAGAGAAGTAGGGGAGATGACGCCCACAGAAGCAGGCATCAGACACCTGCTGATGTGCTGCGGGAAAACCTGAAGGCCATCTAAAGGGAGCCGTTCTGAGACATGCAGGCAGGCAGTGTCACTCAGACTCCACTGCCATTAGTGACCCGGGAACGGGCAGTCAGGTAACAGAAATGGGAGGTGAGGAAAATATGCTGCAGGTCGTCTCCACACAAAAAATCCAGAATCTGGCTAAATCTGTTTTTTTTTTTTTAAGCTGAAGAATTTCTACATGCAAGATAAAAATATCTAGCTTCGACCGGACGCGGTTGCTCACGCTTGTAATCCCACCACTTTGGGAGGCTGAGGCGGGCAGATCACAAGGTCAGGAGATAGAGACCATCCTGGCTAACACGGTGAAACTCCGTCTCTACTAAAAATACAAAAAATTAGCTGGGCGTGGTGGCGGGCGCCTGTAGTTCCAGCTACTCGGGAGGCTGAGGCAGGAGAATGGTGTGAGCCCAGGAGGCGGAGCTTGCAGTGAGCCGAGATTGTGCCACTGCACTCCAGCCTGGGCGACAGAATGAGACTCTGTCTCAAAAAAAAAAAAAAAAAAATCTAGCTTCAGAGAAACTACATGAAGAAAATGAGAAAAAAAAATCGCAACTTGAGAAAATAAATGTCAAAATGCAGTGCCTCAATTGAACCAATGCTTGCCTCCCTCTGACCAGGTCAGGAAAGAATTTGGTGACGTGACCATCCTCGTTAACAATGCTGACTTAGTCACGGGAAAGCCCTTCCTCGATATTCCAGATCACATGGTGGAAAAATCCTTTCTTGTAAATGCCATCACTCATTTCTGGGTAAACCTCTTTCTTTATCATTTTATTTTGTTGGTGAGTACGAAAATTCCATGCAGTCCTATAAACACTTGTTCATGCATTTCTTTATAAACATACCATTTGGGGATTTTCCATTGAAAGATGTGGGGTCTCAATCCTTGCAGGGTTTATCTGTTGTGCTTTTCCTGATCTTGTTTTCTTCCAAATTATCAGAGAAATTTTTTTTCCCTCTACCCTCTGCAGTTTGTTCCCAAGACTTATTAGGCTGTCAGAAATCTTCCCACCTAAATACAAACTGAAAGTGACAGCAATTATACAAGAGAGATTTAATTTGGCCATGAGTGCAAAAGGAGCTTGTGCAGAGACAGGGGCTATTTTTAGAGTGGTGGTTTATGGGCATGCAGGACTGGGCATTCTAATAGAGGAATTAAGGGGGGGATGAATCACAATCACCACTATTTGTTGAGTACTTGCAGCCATTATGCCATTTTCACTCTCATTTTACAAATAAGGAAACTGAGGCCCAAAGTATTTAAATGAATTCCCCAAGGTCAGGCAACTGGTAAATGGTGGCCCATGCTTACAGAAGGAAGAAGTACAGAGTGAAAAATTACAGAAAAAGATGAGTTAATTCATGGCTCAGGAGTGTCTTTCCTGAGGCCTGGAGTGGTTTACACAATGCTGCCCAGTAGAGCTGTCTTTGATGGGGGAAATGGCCTTCATCTGTGCTTCCCAATATGAAAGCCTCTAGTCATCTGTGGCTACTGAGCACTTGAAGTGTGGTTAATGGGATTAAGCACTAAACTTTTAACTTTATATCATATAATCTATTGAAATGCATATTTATTTATTTATTTATTGAGACAGAGTCTCACTCTGTTGCCCAGGCTGGAGTGCAGTGGCACAATCTCAGCTCACTGCAACTTCTATCTCCTGGGTTCAAGCGATTCTCCTGCCTCAGCCTCCTGAGTAGCTGGGACTACAGGCACCCGCCACTGTGCCGGCTAATTTTTGTATTTTTAGGAGAGATGGGGTTCCACCATGTTGACCAGGCTGGTCTCGAACTCCTGACCTCAGGTGATCCACCTGCCTTGGCCTCCTTAAGTGCTGGGATTACAGCTGTGAGCCACCGCACCCAACCTTAAATGCATATTTAAACAGCCACACATGCCTAAAGGCTACCTCCTTGGTCAGTGCAACTCTAGAAAGTGGGTAGAGGCTAAAGGAGAGAAGAGTTACCAGAGATGTTTCCACTAAGAGGGTTCATACTTGATGCTGCCAAGGAATGAACAGGGATCAGCGGCAAATGGGGCCTGTGGGAGAAACAGGTGCTGAAACCAGGGCATTGGGAGACATGGGGAAGTGGGGACAGGTATGGCCCTAGTTCTCTGTGTCTCCAAAAATAGGACCTTGGAATGGGCTTCCTTTACATGTCTCCTGATTCCTCCCTCTTTCCACTGTACACTTTTATACCACTCTCCATGGAACTCAGAACTATTTCCTTGGTCTTCTTCCTTGGTCACTGGGAAGATAATGGGAACCCCCACTAACCTGTTTTAACCAATATTCCTTGAGCACTTACCACAGTGCTTGCCGTATAATATGTTTTCCAGAAACATTTGTGAAAACCATTGATTTCCTTCCCTGTACTACCCTACCCCAAACATTTCCTTCAGAAAGGGGAAATGTCATCTTGTTAAATGGAGCTAGGGTGCACCCATTACAATCACATCACAAATCTATAAATCATCCTGATTCCTCCCCTTCCCTCAACACCAGCAACCTTGGCTGTCCCTGCACAACATGCCCAAGTGCATGTCTCTCCTTTCTGCTGCCAGCCCCTGGATGAAGCCATCCTCATCTCTCACCAACAGCTCCTCAGGGCCTTCCACCCTCAACACTGGTGACTTCCAACACATCTTTTTTTGTTTGTTTGTTTGAGATGGAGTCTCATTCTGTCACCCAGGCTGGAGTGCAGTGGTGCGATCTCAGCTCACTGCAAGCTCCGCCTCCCAGGTTCACGCCATTCTCCTGCCTCAGCCTCCTGAGTAGCTGGGACTACAGGCAGGTACCACCATGCCAGCTAATTTTTTGTATTTTCAGTAGAGACGGGGTTTCAATTTGTTGGCCAGGATGGTCTCTATCTCTTGACCTTGTGATCCGCCCGCCTCGGCCTCCCAAAGTGCTGGGATTACAGGCTTGAGCCACCACAGCCAGCTACTTTCTGCTAATTTTCTACAAGCCAAGGATCCTGATTAAACTCCAGAGAACATCAAGCTCTTTCCCACCTGAGGGTTTTTGCACAAGCTGTTCTCTCTCCAACAGGAATATTCTTTCTCCTCACTCACATAGTAGCTCCTTCTCATTCTTTAGGCTTCATGTAGCCTCTGAACTTGTATCTTTACGTTGTGTATGTGCTCTGTTGTTTGCCTTGAATCAGCTCCATAGGTAGTGGTAAGAGCTATTAATAAACACACATAAGCCTTCTGGTTGTGTGTCAGCAAACCTAGAGACAGATGATACTGAGCAACCACTGAAACCAGGAAATCAACTTCCATCTGAAGATGATGGAAAGAATCTTGATTCATCTCAAGAATTAGAGAGATTTTTAAAATTTTGTTCTACTGCTCTTACTAGCTCATCTATTCCAAGGGTTTATGAGACCAAACCCAATAAATATATCTCCACCGGGTGCTGCCTGCAGTACTTCTGGGGAGAAATTGTACTGCAATTCTTCTAGTGAGAGATTTGCCTTTTTTTTCTTGAGGTCTCCCAAACCTGCCAAGGCTCCTGGTCTACCAGGAAGTGACCTCCCTTAATACCTGTAAGGCTGGAAGGGGACTTGTGACCCATAAAGCAGGTATCAGTTCAATTTCCTGAGGAGGCAGCTGGTTCAATATATGAATAGCAACCATCATCCCTAAAGAATAGGCTTGTCATACATGATTAAATTAAACTTATTCTTAAACTGGGCACACCTGTGCTCTGGTTGCATTATCAAACTACTCATTATATCCTGGGAAAAGAAGGCCTCGCTCTACTTATTGAACAGGTACAGATAGGCACATCACCATGAAAGATAAAGGATCTCAGTAAGTCATTATAATAGAATCTACCGACTGCCATCAGTAGGTTTGTGCACAATGGCAATTAATAGCTTTCATATTATCTGTAAAATTAGTTTGATTGTATATGAATGTACAATGATTAGAATAAGTTAAATTTCATTCCACACATTTTTCTAAGCTTAACCTATTGTGAAAACATTTATCTGAATTTCAAGTACTAAAATTATTATCATCCTTACATTCCTTCAAATCTTCACTCAGTTTATAATCTAAATCAAGATCCCCATAAGATATTTTTCCTTGAATTAAGATAGCATTCAAAAAGTTTCATGCCACTTTGCATTAGCTTCCTGAAGAGAGAACTGAAAACACATCAAGAAGTAAAAAGGGCTTGCTCACATGCCCATTAGAAAATAGAACTTCGACCACATTAAATTTCCCTCACTGATGCTGTGACCCAGACATATACCATTAATTCTGTTCTGCCTGATGCTGGTGAGGGCCTGCTTTCACATAGCCATCTACTCCTGTACTAAACAGGTTCTGTGGACCTGGCTCAGCCCCAGACATGACCTTGCAGGGGCCTCCTCACTGTGGCAACGTCAGCCCACACTGGGAAGCCCATTCCAATGAGTCGATCCTTGGCACGGTCCAGGCCACACTGCGACTCTGAGTGTGTCCTTCTGGGCTGTCTTGACAAGGCACAGTTTCCAGTTTGTACTTCTAGAAGACTCCAGGCAAGAACAGGAAGACTAGAAATTACCTACTGATGACAAAACTCAATGGCTCTAGTTAATTCATTTCAATAACCAAAGATACCAAATTAAGAAAATAGAAACTGGTATTGGGGTATAAGACATAATTATTTTATAAGAATTTGGTTACTTATTATAGCAAGAGCACTGACAAATCCTCAGGGTCTTTCTAACTGTCCTGGCAAGTGTGCAATTTCTGGTTAAATATATTTGTGTTAATGAATTCATCCAAGAAAATGTTGAGTTTCTCTTTTGGAGTTGACAATTTTTCCCCACATTTTCTCAGGGCAGGTCCTAAATAGGGTTCAGCTAATGAAGAAATGTGGAGCATACCCAGTGTACCTCATTTTCTCTAGCCACCCTGCTGCTGCTAATTGCCGTGTAATGAAATCAGGCCAAGGGAACAGACCATGGGTGATTTGGTCACCTAAGAAGTACCAAAGATGACTTTGAATGCAAAAACACCTCTATAGACTTATTTTTCTAAACAAAAACTATGGAAGAGCTGTAATTGGCTGCCTTAAGAGCCAGAGTGACAATAGTTTTGTTTTGATTTTTAAATACACCTAACAGCACATCACAGTATAATTATTAAGGGATTTTAGATCTTTCAGATGTGGCCAGTTTTGGTTATTTGATTTAACAAAAAGTTAAGTAGGTCTCAAGTGCTCAGAGTAAGAATATTTTGACAAGATAAGAATCCATGCTCTCTGGGCAGACTACACAAAGGTCAAAAATAACCTTCCAATACCTCTTGTTTACAACAGACTGGAATATTCCAAGAGATTTTAAGCTATCAGGTCCATCATCTTTATCATACTGAAGTTTCTTTTGTTCATTAGTTTTAATATGCTCTTATATGTGTATACGAGCTTAAACACACACAAAAAAATGTATCACTATGTAACTATATCACTTTTGGCTTTCAATGATCACTTTAAAATATAAACAACTTTATCATATTAAAAGTTAAGGTGTATATTACATTGAATTTACTATCTCAAATGAAGCTTTACGAAAAGCAGGTCGAAATGGTGCTGAGTGACTCAATACCTTTTCTCTATGAATTTAAATTTTTTTAATTGTATTGGTAACCAAAAATTTCTCATAAATTTACCCAACTTAATATTATCCTAAAATATTCAAGCCATTTAAGTTACACTACAGAGCAATACAATCACTGGTGATATTAAAAGGTGGTCAAAGGGATGACACTGAAAAATTATAAAAGGCAATGCAAGTGCAGTAATTAAGTGAAAGCAACTTGCAAAACTAAAGTTCAAAAACATCAATCTTTTTTTGATAGTAAAGTCATCATTCATTATAGTTCAATTTAACTGTATGCATATTTGTATTCTTTGTAACCAGAAATATTTTGTGGAAACAAAGATAATCTGTCTGACCCATAAACCAGTATTGAAAAAATTAGAAAGTTTATTAATTTGGCTTTTCCATGAAAAAAAAAAGAAGTCTTACATAAATGCAATAAAATGAAATCAAGCAAATCTGATGTTTGTTTTCATTACATCCCACATGTGATAAAATCAGGAAATCCTGATTAACAGAATATAGCTGTTTAGCAAACAAATCTGATTTGTTCACAGATTTACTTTGATTAGGAGTAATGTGCAAACCTAGATCCATATGTAATTTTCTATTAATTTCTCAGGCACTAAAAATATTTTACAAAAGGTAAAATACATTTTTGGCAACTAATTGCTGACTCAACACTTAATTATATTCCTTTTTCTTTCCTTTAGTAATAGATATACATCTAGTGAGCACTAGGTATGGGTCCCTATGAGCAATTCATCTTCTAGAATGTCCTAAAAAAGTGCTCTACTGGTACATAGGCCTGCAAATTCAAACAGACCCTTGTCATTACCTATTCCTTTTCCCTCTAGGAGGGAGAACTTTTTTCTCAACTGAACATACGAGAAGCTAGCCACAAATTCAGCCACAGCCAAAAGTAAATACATATACAGAAAACTTTGCAGGAAAAAAAAAAATGTTGATAGAGAAAAGCAAACAAAATTGAATTCCTAGGCTGGGTACTGTGGCTCATGCTTGTAATCCCAGCACTTTGGGAGGCCAAGGCAGGTGGATCACTTGAGCCCAAGAGTTCGAGACCAGCCTCCCCAACATGGTGAAACCCCATCTCTGCAAAAATTACAAAAATAAGCCAGGCGTGGTGGTGCGTGCCTGTAATCCCAGCTACTAGGGAGGCTGAGTCACGAGAATGGCTTGAACCTGGGAGGCAGAGGTTGCAGTGAACTGAGATCACACCACTGCACTCCAGCCTGGGTGACAGAGAAAGACTCTGTCTCAAAAACCAAAACTCCTAAAAGTGGCTACATCCCTGTGAACAGGTAACTTCCCACCGTCATCATTGTTTTTTATAATTTCACCAGTGTTCGGCTGTATGATAAACTATTGTAGGTCACTGCTTTCTCTCCCTTACTCTGGGGAGTTTCACTGTCCCCAGCCATGGGATTTCTTACAAAGGTAGCACTGATACTCACCTTCAACTCCATTTCTCAGCTTCATTTTCTTGAAAGTTTCATAAACTTTTAGATATCAATAGTGGTGCCACTGCTGGGCCTCCATACCTAGGCTTCCTGTCCTTAAACCTAACTGGGTCTACCAGACAGTCACTGAGATGTCCTCTGGGCATCTGGCCGGATCTTTCACACTTTTGTGTTGAAAGACAATAACCAGCTCTTGTCATTTCTAACTAGTCTACAGTCATGACTGATGCAACAAGAATTTAATTTTTGAAAGACAAAGATGTTACAACTATAAGACACATGTATAAATTGCCACCGCGTTTGGATGGGAAATGTCAAAAGAGGCCAATTGTTCACATCTAAGCAGAAACTTGCCAATTAGTTCAGCAGCTCTGGGACAAGGTTACTGAGATGAAGAATATCTCAAAAACAAATATGTCATTCTTTGATCCAGTGTCTGCTT
Source organism: Homo sapiens (assembly GCF_000001405.40). Lineage (NCBI taxonomy): Eukaryota > Metazoa > Chordata > Mammalia > Primates > Hominidae > Homo > Homo sapiens. Next base: position 56,383,350 of record NC_000008.11, on the reverse strand, counting down.
TCTATTCTACTGGCCCCTTGTAGGTGAGCACATCTTGGCACTCTCCAAAACTATACATACCAAATTCTGACAATGTTAACATTGCAAACTCATAGAAACAGATCAGAGCATTGTCAAGGTTAGGTTGAAATCATTTATAAGAGAACCAGTAGAATAACACAGCCAACAAGATAATGATATTAGAAACTTGGATTTACATAGTGAATGAGAAAAGGAGTGCTGAAATAAGAATAGATCTAAGATATGGTAGTGCTTTACTTACCTGGGTGTGTTTAGCTTGCACTGAAATTCACTTTTCCTTAAACAATTCCTCCCATTCTGCCAAACCATCAGGGCAAGGGCAAATCTTGTTTAGGGTAAAGCCAGGAAGGTAAATGCAATTAAATTTTAATATAAATTGCTAAAAACTACATGGAAAAGTTCAGCATACCAGAAAAACTAGGTTTTAAGATTTTTAGCCAACCACAAATATAAAATGTTCATTTGAGTCAATTAGTATAGTTTACCTCAAAAGAAAAAGAAATCAAATAATACAGATTAGTAGATAATAACCTCTAATCTCACTGAAAACAATGATTATATGGTACCTACTTTTCTACTGCCACAGAATTTAACACATTATGGTGTTAAATAAATATTTGTTAAATTAGTAAACTCATCAAATACTTATGAAGCAAATATAGTAATAAATGAATGAAATATTGACAAAGTGCATTTATACCTTTCAGACTTGTAAGGCCTTCCTTCCTGCCGTGATTAAAGCTAACCATGGTCACCTGGTTTGTATTTCAAGTATAGCAGGAGTAGTTGGTATTAATGGACTATCAGATGAGTACTTTGTTTCACCATGTGTCACAGAAGTCAGAAATTAGGACTCTTCCAAGATAGATAGAAGCTGTTCCTGCATCAAGGGGAAATCTCTGGAATATTGAACTCTATTTATAATTCCAGCATTCTCTTCTATTTCCAGAAGGAGATATATTCTCTTCTAAAAAAAAAAAACAGCCAGAATATGCCTATTGGCTTTGGTCTTCTTGGGTTAGGAAACACTGATATGATTTCCATCTTTTTGTTGGGTGTAGAGTGTGGATATGTAGGAGTGGAGTGTTTGGCCACATAAATTGACTCTGACAGGAATGCTTTGTCCCCAAGGACAAGCCACAAAAAGGGGAAGGAGATTCAATTTTTAAAATAATTCCAAGAATTAACTTGTCAAGCTCTATTACTAATAGTTCCTCACTTTTTTTTCAGATTATTCTGCAAGTAAATTTGCAGCCTTTGGCTTTGCTGAATCTCTCTTTTTTGAATTAACTATGATAAAGAAAACTGAAGTTAAAAGCACCATCGTGTGCCCACATTTCATCAACACTGGAATGTTTGAGGGCTGTACAAGCAAGTTAACTCTTAAAGTAATCTTTGCTCTTATAACAAACTTCCACTATATGTCATCATCTGATCATTTTGAAGTTTTGAAATTGGAGAGTAAAACAAAAGAAACAATGTGAATGACTAATTTAGTAAAAGAAAATTTCAATATGTATGACATTTATAAATTTATTCAATTTAAAGACAATAATATAGTTATGAGGCTTATGGTATAGTAAAAATTTAAACCTAAAATACTAATCAGTATATTAAAATATAAAATAAATTAATACTGAGAACTTTGAAAATATTTGGTATTGTAGTATTGAGAAGACAACTTTTTCCTAAAGAGAATATAAAGGTATAAATAACCTCTGAAATAAAATATTTTGTAAAATTGATTAATATATGGGGGTAAATAATGCAGAGTGACATTTTGGTATGAAGGTTAAATTTATCTAGAACAGCCCAAACTAGGATGCAAATGTGATATGAGAGCTTTTACATACGGATCCAGTCAGTGAGTATATTGGAAAGTGTAAACTGGATATGAGGACGAGTGTAGTCGTTATGATCATTAAAAAAGAGACTGACACAATCCAAATGACATGAATCAACTTTATTTGTGAGACATGGAGACAGCCAACAGAAAGCCTGGCTTAGAGGCAATGAAACTATTTAGAGTCTAGTGAAGCTTTAAAATTAAATAGAAAGTTCCAAAACAAGTGGTCAAGAGCTGACAGAATGTATAGGGGAAAGCTCTCCCCAAAGAGCCATGTATTAAGCTGGTCAAAATTAGCAAAGACAATCATTTAAAATTTAAATGTTAAAAGACACAAACAAAGCTATATCTTGAAACCAGCAAAAGGAAAAAAAAGGTCTCATCATGTACAAAGGAAACCAAATGTGATTAATGGCTGACACCTCAACAGAAATAATGAAAGTCAAAAGGCAGTGGTATAACATATTCAAAGTACTGGGGGAAAAATTACCCACCAAGAATCTTATATCCAGCAAAAGTTTCTTTCAAAAATGAAAGCAAAAGGAAGGCAAACTGAAACAGAGAATTTGTTGCTTAGCATACTACCTCACAAGAAATATTAATGGAAATTCTTCAAGATGAAAACAAGTGACTCCTGAGAGTAATCTGAATCCACATGAAATAAAGTGACAGTAAAGGTGACAAAGTAGGTAATTTTTAAAAGACAGTATAAATGCCTATTTCTTTTCCTTTCTTCTCTTCATTGATTATAAATACAATTGTATAAATAAAAGGTACATAATAGTTTTATTTGGCCTACTACATATAGAAATGTAATATTTTTGAAAATAACAGCAAAAAGGACGTGAGTGGGGACAAAATTATATTGAAGTAAGTAAACGATACCAGATAGTAACTCAAATCCACAGGAAGAGCTGAAGAGAACCAGAAATGAAGAAGAGTGGAAAACTAAGAAAAATCAATGAAACCAACAACATTAATGATCAACAAAATTAACAAAACTTTAGTTAGACTGACCAAGAAAGAAAAAACAGAGAAGTCTCAAACTACTAAAATCAGGAATAAAAAAGAGGACCTCACTACTGGTAATGCTGCAGAAAGGAAAAGGACCATAAGGAAATACTACGAAAAATTATGTGCCAAGAAACTAGATAACTTAGATGAAATGGAATAATTTCTACAGAGACACAAGCTAACAAAACTGACTCATGAAGGAAAAAACATCTGAATAGACTTAAAGATATTAAATTAGTAATCTAAAAAAATTCCCACAAGAAAAATCCCAGATCCAGAGGGCTTCATGGGAAATTCTATAAAACCTTTTAAGAAGAATAGCTACCAAAATTTCAAAAATTTCCAAAAAGATAGAAAAGGACTGACCACTTCCCAACTCACTCTATGAGGGCAGGATGACCTTGATACTAAAACTACACAGAGACATCACAAGAAAATAAAACCAAAGATCAATACCTGTTATGAACATAAACACAAAAATCCTCAATAAAATACCAGCAAACTGAATCCAGCAACCTATCACATTAAGACATAATGATTAAAGAGGATTTATCCTGGGAATGTAAGATTGGGTTAATATTTAAAGAGAATTTAATACAGTACATCATTCAGTAGAACAACAAAAGCTGCATGATCATGTCAAAACACACAGAAAAAGCATTAGACAAAATCCAGCACACTTTCAAGATAAAAAGACCAAGAAAGTAGAAATAAAAGGGAACTTCCACGACCTGATAAGTGGCATCTATGAAAAAGCCAGAGCTAACATCATGTTTAATGCTGAAAGATTGGATGCTTTCCCCACAAGATCAAGAACAAGACAAGGCTATCCATATTCACCACTCTGATTCAACTACTGTTCAATAGAACATTTAGACAAAATATAAAAAAAAGATATTCAGATTGGAAAAAAGGAGCAAAATTATCTTTATTCTCAGATGACATGATCTTGTATATAGAAAATCCTGAAGAATACATATGTGCACACACACAGACACACACAATTACATCTACAAAATGAATTCAGCAAAGGATCAATATTCATAATCAATGTACTAAACTCATTTGTATTTCCATACATCTGAAATGAATAATCCAAAAATGAAATTAGTAAAACAAGTCCATTTAACAATAGCTTCAAAAATAATAAAATACTTAGGAACAAATTTAACAAAAAAAGTACAAAACTTATCCTATGAAAATTACAAAACATCTTCAAAAGAGATTAAAGAAAACTTAAATAAAAATAAATCCCACGTTCACGGATTGGAAGACTTAATATTGTTAAGACACTAATACTCCCCAAATTGATCTACAGATTGAATGTAATTCCTATCAAAATTCTAGCTGCTTTTTTTGCATGCCTCGACAAGTGGATTCTAAAATTTATGTGGAAATGCAAGGTACTCAGAAAGCCAAAGCCATCTTGAAAAAGAAGAAAATCGGATGGAATCACACTTCCCCATTTCAAAACTTACTATAAAACTATACTAATCAAGACAGTGTCAAACTTTCTTAAGGATAGACATATATAGATCAACAGAATAGAACTGAGAGTCCAGAAATAAGCTCTTACATTTTTGCTCAATTGCTTTTCAACAAGGGTGTCAAGACAATTCCAATAGTGCTGGGACAACTTGATAGCCATATGCAAAACAACGAAGTTGAACCTCAACCCCTACATCATATACAAAAATTAACTCAAAATAAATCCAAAAGCTACCTATAAGAGATAAAATCATAAAACTCTTAAAGAAAAATGATGTAAATTTCCATGACCTTGAATTAAGCAATGGTTTGTTAGCTATGATGTCAAAATACAAGCAACAACAGAAGATAAATAAAGTAGTTTCATCAAAATTAAGTACTCTTATGCTTCAAAGGACAACATCGGTAAAGTAAAAATACAACTCAAAGAATGAGAAAAGATTTTTGCAAATCTTAGAGCTAATAAGGGACTTGTGTCCAGAATATATAAATAATTCCTGATGACTCAACAATTTTTAAAAGCCCAACTTTTAAGAATAGCAAAAGCTCTGAACAGATATTTCTTCAAATAAAGATGGCCAGGCATGGTGGCTAATGCCTCTAATCCCACTTTGGGAAGCTTAGGTGGGTGGATCACCTGAGGTCAAGAGTTTGAGACTAGCCTGGCCAACATAGTGAAACCCCATCCCTACTAAAAATACAAAAATCAGCCAGGTGTGGTGGTGCACGCCTGTAATCCCAGCTATTGAGGAGGCTGGGGCATGAGAATCACTTGAACCCAGGAGGAGGAGGTTGCAATGAGCCGAGATTGTGCCACTGCACTCCAGCCTGGGCCACAGAGTGAGACTCCATTAAAAAAAAAAAAAAAAAGATATAAGTGGTCAGTGGTCAATGTGTACATAAAATGATATTCACCATCATCAATCACCAGGGAAATGCAAATCAAAAGCACAATGAGAAAGTACTTCAAACACCCTAAGATGGCTAAACTCAAATAGATAGATAGATAATAACAAGTGTTGATGAGAATGTGGAGAAACTGGAATCCTCATACATTGCTGATGGAATTATAAAATGGTCCAGCCGCATTGGAAAACAGTTTGACAATTCTTCAAAAAGCCAAACAGTAAGTTAGCATATTTGAACTCCTAGCCATATACCTAAGAGAAATGAAAAGGAAATTTTTTATACAAATGTTCATAGCAGCAATATCCAAATTGTGAAAACAACCCAAATGTTCATCAAGTGATGAATGAATGAATAAACAAAATGTGGTATGTTGATACAACTAAATATTATTCAACCATAAAAAGCAATGAAATTTGAAACATGCTCCCACATGGATATCCCTTGAAAACGTTATTTTAAGCAAAAGAAGCCAGACACAAAAAGCCACATATTGTATGATTCCATTTATATGAAATAGCCAGAATAGGCAAATCTACAAAAACAGAAAGTAGACTATCGATTGCCAGGGACTGAAGGAAAGGCCAAGGAGAAAATGACTGCTAATGTGTACGAAGTTTTTTGGGGGAGTGATGAAAATATTCTAGAATTAGATAGCAATGAACAATTTACTGAATATACTAAAAATCACCACATTTTATGTTTTAAGGAAGTGAATTTTACGGTATATGAATTATTTCTCAATAAAGCTGTTATTTAAAAACAATGAATAACTTCACATTAATTTGGAAGGCATAATATAAAAGACAGACAATAACAGTGTTGTAAGGATATGGATAAATTGGAACCCTCGAACACTGATGGTGGTACTGTAAATTGGTGCAACTGTTTTGGAAAATACTTTGATAGTTCCTCAAAATGTTAAACATAGAATTACCACATGGCCTAGCAATTCCACTCCTAGGTATATATCCAAGAGAAATGAAAATACATGTCCCCACAAAAAACTTGTACACAAATGTTTATGCAGCATTATTCATAACAGCTGAAAGGTAAAAACAATCTAAATATCCATCAACTGATGAATGGTTAACCAAAGTGTGTCACATCCATGTGACAGAATATATGTGATGCAAGAATTCAACAAAAATTAGCAAAACATTCTGTGAAAAGTAATTGATTATATGGTGTTTATAACAAAAAGTAATGTATATTTTATTAGTAGTAATAAATCATGTACTATACATGTTTTATCTCAGTAACATTTATAATAAACTTATGTATATGTACATATGTAGTTATATCTAATGTAAGTATACTTATATACATTTTTAAGCTATTTACTTTGTTTCTAACATTATTATTAAAATAATATTAGTAAGAATTGTTAATATGTGACTAAGTCTTATTAAAAGCTCGAATGTTAAGATCACAGAAAGAATATGACCAGCCAGGATAAGGGGGCATGGTAGCCAGAGAAGTCAGTGATGTTAAATGATAACTTGTATAAAATTGGTGTCCTTAGATAAACAAACGTAAAAAAAAACAGTCTCCAGAAAAAGATTCACAATCCTAAAATGGTAGAGAATTAAACAATGATCTGTAGATTCTATTTTTAAATAATCATTAGAGCCCTTTAGGCTATAGTTCTGGAAAACTTTAGGAGAATAAAATATAAAGACTAACTGTCAACATTCAGTTGTGGAAAATTGATCAGATTCCCAAAATCAGCTGAGATAAACAGAATTTTTGAGGGAAGTGTGGTTCAACTAATTAAGCAGAACAATATAAAAGTATAAAATATCTTATGTGATATTTATTTATATTCTGATCCATTTCAACTATTGATTTCACAAACATCTATTTCTGCTTAATGTTGTAACAATGATCTACCTAAACTGACACATTACACATGTTCAAGAGATTTTTTTTTTTTGGTAAGATAATTTTTGCTATTTTGCTTTTTTTTTTTTTTTTTTTTTTTGAGATGGAGTCTCACTCTGTCACCCAGGCTGGAGTCAGTGAGGCAATCTCTGCTCACTGCAACCTCCACCTCCTGGGTTCAAGTGATTCTCCTGCCTCAGCCTCCCAAGTAGTTGGGATTACAGGCATGGGCCACCACACCCAGCTAATTTTTGTATTTTTAGTAGAGATGGGGTTTCACCATGTTGGCCAGGCTGGTCTTGAACTCCTGACCTCAGGTGATCCATCCACCTCAGCCTCCCAAAGTGCTGGCATTAGCAATTGGGCTGTGCCTGGCTGCAATTTTGCTTCTTAATAGTATACAACTATGGGATGTTTGGGAGGGACAGAGAGGGAAGAAAGAAGAAAAAAATCTAAAAGCTAATCCCAGCACTTTGGGAGGCTGAGGTGGGCAGATCACGAGGTCAGGAGATCAAGACCACCCTAGCTAACACGGTGAAACCCCGTCTTTACTAAAAATACAAAAAAAATTAGCCGAGCGTGGTGGTGGGCACCTGTAGTCCCAGCTACTCAGGAGGCTGAGGCAGGAGAATGGTGTGAACCGGGGAGGCGGAGCTCGCAATGAGCCAAGACTGTGCCACTGCACTCCAGCGTGAGCGACAGAGCGAGACTCTGTATTAAAACAAACAAACAAAAAAATCTAAAAGCAATTACTTCCATATGTTTAGACCATCACACAGCAGAAAATCAACAAAAGCAGGAAGTTTACTCCAGGAAATTAAATATATTAGCACTAGTCCTATTACTGATCATAAGAGAAAACACAAGGCAATTCCTAAGATTTGCATTTTGTTTGACTAGTTTTTGTTTGTTTGTTTGTTTGTTATTATTATTATTATTTTTTTAGATGGAGTCTCACCCTGTTGCCCAGGCTGGAGTGCAGGGGTGCGATCTCGGCTCACTGCAAACTCCACCTCCCGGGTTCAAGCGATTCTCCTGCCTCAGCCTCCTGAATAGCTAGGATTACAGGCGCCCACCACCACACCCGGTTAACTTTTGTATTTTTAGTAGAGATGGCATGTCTCCATGTTGGCCAGGCTGGTCTCAAACTCCTGACCTCAGGTGATCTGCCCACCTCGGCCTCCCAAAGTGCTGGGATTACAGGCGTGAGCCACTGCAGCTGGCCTTTGTTTGACTGTTTAAAGCTGTATGTTATAGTTCCATATCTGAAATTTCATAATCAATGCCCTATGATGACAGCAAAAAGATACCAGTCTGATGATATCACTATTTGTTATTGTTATTCCAGGTATCCGTTTCTGTTACCAATTCTGGAGCAGGAGTATGTGGCCAAAAAAATTTTAAATGCTATTTTAGAGGAACAAGTTTATTTAATGATACCCAAATTTGCATATATCGGATTGATTCTTAAACAGTAAGTTAATAATGACCTCACTATCATTCTGGTTATTGTGAACAAATTGTCCAATCACTGCTACCTCTTTTGCATAGAAAGCAACTTTATATATTTACTTAATGGTAAGAGGAAGAACCTTAATAGTGCAAAAACAACTTTTCGGACTATTGCTGTGTCTTGGTTGCTTCAGACACTGACTAAATTTAACAATTATTTAGGTCTTGCAAAACACACATTTTTTGTTTCAACACAAATAAGTAACAAATTATTTGGGGTTTTTTGTTTGTTTTTTATGTTTTTGGTTTTGGTCAACTATTTAGTTTGGTTAGTGTAGAGCTCTACTTTGAAAACAAGGGACAAAAAAACACAAGTATGTTGCCAGAAAAATATTAAGAGTATTTTACAAGTTCTTCATTTTATTTTGCGAAATAGCTCCAGCAACTTCATACAAGGCCCATGCTATGAATTCCAGGTATTTGTTCATGGATTCCACCCAGGTCCAGATTTAGCATTTATGGGGTGACTACTACATGCCAGCTACTGTGCTAATAGCTTTGTGTGAATTTTATCAATTTAGGAAATCTGAGGTTTAAAGACAGTAATTTTTGCAGGGTTAAACAACTAATAATATGTGCTGCAACAAAGTTTCAAACTGAAGTTTCCAATTTGATTACAGAGCTTAAGGTCTTACCGTCAAGAAATACTCCTCCTCTGCTGTAAGTAGTAGCAGAGTAGAAAGCACAAGCAGAGATTCACTATTACAAAATTATGTTACTGATAAATAAAGTACTTTCTTTACTATTTATATCTATTTAACATATTTCCTATTCATCCTTAGCTACCCTGATTGCTCAGCTAGGTCAAAGTCCCACATTGTACATTCCATCACACCTGACCCTGGTTTTTGGCGCACTCATTTCACCCGTGGTTACTTGCTACCTTGCATGATCCCTAAGAACAGAAAATATTGTCTGAATTGTTTCCTGCTCCTTGCCCCAGCCTAGGACAATACCTAACGTGTAATTAGCATGCCATAAATATTTGCCACATCGAGCTGAATTGAGCATAACTGAGCTGGACACAGCCTCTATCCTCAAGGAACTAAAACAATGGTTCTTCATCTCGGATGCACATTGTAATCACCCAGGGAACATTTAAAACTACAGATTCCTGGCCCCTACCCTCCAGAAATTCTGCTTTAACTGGTCCAGTTTTTTTTCTAGTTTTGCTACCTTTTGTTAGTCTAGTAAATAAGGATATACATAGTCTCTCCACAGAACTCAGGGGGTGTGATACAGGGATAAATTGTGGCTTGAACTTTGGGGCTTTTCAAAGCTCTGGTGATTCCAAGGTGTAGCCAGGGTTGAGAGCCATTGGTGTTGAGGATGGTGATGGCACTTGGGGATGACACAGCACTTTTCTCTTCAGCCCTCCCATTAAGTGACATTTTGAACTTTGTATAATTTGCACTTACTCTTTGCAAAGTAGTTTATTTGATTCCTCTTAAAGGATCATAATTTTTTTCTCTGCTTTTCTTCTAGAATAATATCTCCAAAAATGTTGATTGCCTTTGGTGAGTACCTTGGAGTGGACACTTGCATGGCTTCTTTCAAAGGGAGAAAGAAAGCAAATGAACTTCAGACTGAAACTGAAGGGAAACACCAGTAGCTCAAGACTCAAACATGAGAATCAAAAAGTGTTCTAAGGATAAACTATTCACAATTCCTCCTAATGCTTAAAGGATTGCAGTCTACCAAGGATTAGTGAAGCTTTCAAAAGTGTCAATTGTGTTTCCTGGACATAGTTTACGCACCAATTATTTTTCTAAGCATTCAAGTTATCTATCAAGTTTTTCTTATCATTTTTTAGCATTATAAATCAGGACATTACAGTCTTTTCAATGGACTTTGAACATAATATGTTTATAAAAACATATTAATGCAAGTTGACCTTAATTTAATTTTAAAATAGATAATATATAATACCTTTGGAAGAGAGATAATTATAAATAATGACCTTATAAGTCAGTTTTTTATTTTGATAATTTTTAAACATCAGCTTTAAAGGTACATATTAGTTTCATAATTAAGAAAAATAATGTTTGCCTCACAAAGTAAAGGCATATTTGTGTTGCCTATTCATTCCTAATAGAATTAGATGTTCATTTCAAGACCCTTAGTGGGATTGAAACTGAATATTTGATAAAACATATCTGTAACTTATCATTTCTTTTGCATCTGAATATGTCAAACTTTTAGCTCTTTTACTCCACTAAAAAAAAGTACAAATTAGAATTATATACACTATTGGTTTGAAAATGAAACATTTTCATACTTAATTCAACAGAGTGCCATTTTAACTGATGTATTTGAATACATGACATAACCTTTCTTTTAAAATCCTTTATCCTCATGAGAAATGGGCACAACATATGCCACCTATGTGGCAAACATTCCTAACAATCTCACCTCTGGGCTGGGAATAGTTCTTGAGCTGTAATCACTCTACAATAGTCTAGCTTTATCTCCATTGGGCTCCAGACCTACTGAGTAATGGTAACACCAAAAATTGAAATTTCAAGTAAATTAAAGCACATATTCAGTTAACCAAAAAGTGAGCACTCATTTTATCAGATCTATCCTAGTATTAGGGACATAATATTTCTATGTTCATGCAAATAAAAAGCATAGTTTAACTTGAGATGAAAAGTGAGAAAAAAATTTTAAGACAGAAATAAAACATTCTAAACAAGCAATATTTGTAAGAAAATGAAACTTATCTTTTAACAGGTTTGTGAGTAAAACCTTTCTAAAATGTTGATATCTTTCTGCCTTCTTAAATGAAGTATTCAAAGCACAGTTTAACTTTTCTTTCATGCTGCAAGAGCATTAACACATTTTTGCCTAGCTCAGTTGACACCCAGCAGTGGTTTTTGAAGGGCCATTTTCTTCTAAATAAACTGATCCACAACCCCTCACTCAGGTGTCAGAAGATCTGACATATCAGCTTTTGCTTCACTCAGCCAAGAATGTATCCTGCTACTTGTAAAGCTGAATCTATAAGATGGACTTCTATTGGCATGCCTAACATGTCTATGCATTTATGTGTTGTGTACACAATGTTTCAGTACTGAAAATATACTTTAAAAATCTCTAATTAAAAAGTGGGCAAAGGATATGAACAGACACTTCTCAAAAGAAGACATTTACGCAGCCAAAACACACATGAAAAAATGCTCATGATCACTGGCCATCAGAGAAATGCAAATCAAAACCACAATGAGATACCATCTCACACCAATTAGAATGGCGATCATTAAAAAGTCAGGAAACAACAGGTGCTGGAGAGGATGTGGAGAAATAGGAACACTTTTACACTGTTGGTGGGATTGTAAACTAGCTCAACCATTGCGGAAGTCGGTGTGGTGTTTCCTCAAGGATCTAGAACTAGAAATACCATTCGACCCAGCCATCCTATTACTGGGTATATACCCAAAGGATTATAAATCATGCTGCTATAAAGACACATGCACACGTATGTTTATTGCGGCACTATTCACAATAGCAAAGACTTGGAACCAACCTAAATGTCCAACGATAGACTGGATTAAGAAAATGTGGCACATATAAACCATGGAATACTATGCAGCCATAAAAAAGGATGAGTTCATGTCCTTTGTAGGGACATGGATGAAGCTGGAAACCATCATTCTCAGCAAACTATCGCAAGGACAAAAAACCAAACACCGCATGTTCTCGCTCATAGGTGGGAATTGAACAATGAGAACACATGGACACAGGAAGGGGAACATCACACACCGAGCACTGTTGTGGGTGGGGGGAGGGGGTAAGGGGGGAGGGATAGCATTAGGAGATATACCTAATGCTAAATGATGAGCTAATGGGTGCAGCACAACAACATGGCACATGTATACATATGTAACAAACCTGCAAGTTGTGCACATGTATCCTAAAACTTAAAGTATAATAATAATTTTAAAAAGAGGAAACAAAAATCAGTCAAAAAGAGCTAAAAAAAAAAAAAAAGAAGAAAGCTCTAATTAATTGGCTTAAGAAAATAAAAGCACTTGAATCAAATACTTTATGTGGAAAAAAGACTAGTCAAATGCTTTTTCAAGTTTATGCAACTTAACTAAAATCTTTAATAAATAAGCTAGCTTTAAGATTATTGGTAAAGTATAATTATATTAGAAAATGTCTTAAGAATTGCCAGCATACATTTTTGTTTGCATTTATTAATTAAGCAATTTCATACTTATTCCTGCTAAATACTATAAGGTGTCAAAATTTGGCATAGGGGTTATAAAGCTATAAACACAGCTCAAGACAGAATGATCTTTGCTGTGTAATCTTTAATAAATAAGACATTGATATTAGTTTAATAAAAATAGCTACATTTTGAATTTAGTAAGATTACCATAACTGCTAATCTTGTGGCTTTAGGCAGTCTAGTCTGCAGGCAGTAAGGTTTGTTTTGGGAAGGAACTGTTATCACCTTTGTTTCAAAGTGAAACTATAAACCAAGTTCCTCCCAAATTTGCCCAAAAATCAACAAGGACAGATTGGAGGTTAGAAGCAAGATGCAGTCAGTTACATCAAATCTTTTTCACCTTCTCAGTTATAATTTTGCAATGGCAGTTTCATAACTTTAAATAATGACTATGGCAGTTTTCATAAATAATCTAGGTAAATGATTAAAATAAAATAAGTAGGTAAATGTAACGGGATAAATACTTGTAGAAAAACTTGTCATAATTTAGAAACTAAAGTTATAGTAAATTAAACAATAGCTATTTCATTATTTGGGTATTTTCCAATAAAATATATTTGTAGAAAAACATTCTTTCTAAAAAATAGTTGTGTCCTTTTTTAAAAAGTTGAAAAATTTTTGTCTAATTTGAAGATCTTTTTTTTTCTGAGACAGATTCTCACTCTGTCCCCTAGGCTGGAGTGCAGTGGCATGATATCAGCTCATTGCAACCTCTGCCTCCCAGGTTCAAGCGATTCTCTTGCCTCAGCCTCCTGAGTAGCTGGGATTACAGGTGTGTGCCACCACACTTGGCTAATTTTTGTATTTTAATATAGACAGGGTTTCACTATGTTGGCCAGGCTGGTCTCAAACTCCTTATCTGATGTGATTCGCCTGCCTCGGCCTCCCAAATTGCTGGGATTACAGGCATGTGCCACCACACCCAGCCTCAAAGCTTATTTAAGGGTTATGTATAAAACAAGGTGAAAGGAACCAGAAAATAAGAGAGAAGTTTAAAAACTTATAAAAATAAAGAGTTTTTTTGTAAGAAAGCTGAAGGAGAAATAATTTTATATGAGAAATAATCTTGTACAGATTTAGTGCTGGAATAAAATGACTGGCTTTTTAAGAAAGAGGGATGTTCAGGAGGAACCAGAAGGTCCAAGCATGTCATGAATGGTCTGTGTAAGTCAAAATAAGCAGATATACTTTTTAAAAAACCAAGAAACAAGTTGTCTATAACTAAAGGGAGATTATAGATCTTTCTAGAGATTGGGTTTGATGTAAAAAAAACTTATACACTAAATAATTGGATAGAACAATGAAATTTTCTTAAGGATTGATTTGCTCTTAATAAATTATAAGAGTTTTTTGGTTTTTTTTTTTTTTTGAGACGGAGTTTTGTTCTTGTCGCCCACGCTGGAGTGCAATGGCATGATCTTGGCTCACCACAACCTCTGCCTCCCAGATTCAAGCAATTCTCCTGCCTCAGCCACTCGAGTAGCTGGGATTACAGGCATGCATCACCATGCCTGGCTACTTTTGTATTTTCCGTAGAGATGGGATTTCCCCGTGTTGGTTAGGCTGGTCTTGAACTCCTGACCTCAAGTGATCTGCCCACCTCAGCCTCCCAAAGTGCTGAGATTACAGGTGTGAGCCACCACACCCAGCTTCAAGAGTTTTTCTTAAAAAGCAAAGTTCAACTTTTGTTGTATCTTAGTGTTTTCAGTTTTATCTCCCCCTTTCAAAGGTGCAAAATTGTAACACTCTCCTTACTCATTTTCAGCTCATATAAGTTTTTTTCCTTGAGTTCTGTTTGTTGTGGCCTGATGCTAGCAATGTTTTCTTAAAGGTCTAAAGGAAATGTTTTCTTCCAACATAATATTCTGTGCAGTGCAGAATGTCTTTTCTTTTGCCTTTGGTAAGTGGCCTAACAGATTTTACAGGGTATTGAAACAATTCCTATGACATTATTATTAAGTTTTGGTTTGCTTAGGAAAAAACTGAGATTAATTTTTTTTTTTTTTTTGAGAGGGAGTCTCGCTTTGTCACCCAGGCTGCAGTGCAGTGGCGCAATCTTGGCTCACTGCAACCTCTGCCTCCCAGATTCAAGCAATTCTCCTGCCTCAGCCTCCCAAGTAGCTAGGATTTAATCAAGGTTATTATGTCCACATATCTCTCCGTGTGTGCTTTTAAAGTACTTGTGACATTAAATTACAGGGCTTTGACTGCTGGGTCTAAAAAGAACACCAAGTCCTGCTAAATCTTAAACACTGACAGCAATTAAAGCCTCATCTTCAGGCAGGCCCAGTAGAAGATGTAAATCAAAATAAACTGGATTCCTGAGACACAGGGCCAGAAATTAAAGCTATTCAACTCTTGAAGGCCCAGGGACTATTGCAGAAGAGGTGGGCATGTGAGATTGTAAGGGCCAATTTTTGATAAAATAAATTCAGTTTCTCTATAAATTAATCATTAATGTCAAAGGCATACTGATGTTAGACCAGCGTACGGGCCCCTATGTCAGATTAACAAGGTTTTCTTCAAGCATTAACTGACTCCTTAATAAAGGTTATAAAGGTTATAAAAGGCTTATGGAAGTGATATCTTATGGTCAAGATTAAAATTTTATAGATTGTTTATAAAATTTTAAAGAACAAATTTAATTGGCTTCATGCTGTTTTTATTAGGGCTTCTCATTTGGAAAATTAAGTCTCCTCTCTCAAAAAATGAGGGTTCACCTTTTTTGAAATCCTTGAGTTATCACTTTGGTTAAATGAATGACTTGTTTTACAGTGATCTGTGATTCTATTTTGTGATATCAAGTGTTTTAAACCTTTGATATTTGACAGACTTTTCAAAATCAAATTATAAATTATGCCTTTTACTGACCTAATTAATCCTTTAAGATGTTAGGTTCCCTAAAGTCCAAAAATAACATAATTTGGCTTATTTGGTACAAAAATTATATAGGAAGCATTGTCAAATATGAAATGGTATTTGGTTTTGGTGGGGGGCTGTACTTGTATAAATATGTTATTGGTATGTGTTCCAAAACCATGAGCTTTTGTAATTCTGATATGACCTTGTTTACATTATTAGTAATAATTATAATTGTTGGCCGGGCGTAGTGGCTCACTCCAGTAATCCCAGCACTTTGGGAGGCCGAGGCAGGTGGATCATGAGGTCAGGAGATCAAGACCATCCTGGCTAACATGGTGAAACCCCATCTCTACTAAAAATACAAAAAATAGCTGGGTGTGGTGGCAGGCACTTGTAGTCCTAGCTACTCGGGAGGCTGAGGCAGGAGAATGGCATGAACCCAGGAGGCGGAGCTTGCAGTGAGCTGAGATAGCACCACTGCACTCCAGCCTGGGTGACACAGTGAGACTCCGTCTCAAAATAATAATAATTATTATTATAATTGTCATGTTAAATTATTGTGTGCCACAGAGGTAATAAATTTCCTTGTCAATTGTGTCTTTAACTATTGCTGCCCTAAAACTTTTGTCATCCACTGACAATTGTCTTGTTTATGTCCTCTTTAGAAGGTGGTTTTATAATAAGCTATAAAAACTAACAGATGCTCTTGAATTGAGGTTTCTGATAACTTTCGAGATTGTGACATCAGAACAAAGAAAAAAATTGTCAGGACTACTGGAGAGCTGAAATGTTCATGAATATCAGGGTGAATGGGAATTAACTGCATGAACTGAATAAATGACTGAAGTAATCTTTTTAACTTTTTGCTTAAAATGTTGTTAATCCTTTGCTTTGTTTTTCAAAGTCAAGAAAACCTTTCTTTTGAGCTATTGACAGCTTTCCACAATTTAGAATACTCCTATGAACAAAATTTGGAGCATATTTTTTTTCTTTCTACCTGATTTCTACAGATTTTGGAAACTATTTGTGAGTATTCTTAACTTATGGCAATACAGTTATTTGCATAAGTGCAGTAAGAATCTGTTTTCATTTGTAACAGGACACACTTAGAGAAGCTGTTTATTTTACCAAGGCTTTGACTGGAATGGTGTGCTTTCTTCTAAGGAATCAAACTTGACTTATGGAGCCAATAAAAGCCCCTTGGAAAAACTGGCCTCATATCTTTTTTACACCATGCATGTACAGGGTTCCTGACCTGTATTAAGTAAAGAATGTCACTTTCTGACAGGCCCAGGACCCCAAGTTTATCTTGGAACCTAAAGAGAAGAGGAATTAACCCTTCGTAAGTATTTGATGGTACAAGTCCATGGCTGGGTTCAGCTTTTACAAAGTGTTATGTGAGATTCCTTCTATGGAAAAAGTTGGTTCACAGTCAATTTTAAAACCTCTGTTAAAAAAATTAATCTTGCTGCACTATATACAAATAATCAGGCCAAGTAAAATAAGGCAAATGAGTCCTACAATGACTTGTCTTTAGTAAAATTGGGAAGCTGGAGAGAGAAAAATTATGTTTCAAAAACTATAGTACACCTCATGTTAGATTCTTGTCTTGCCTAATGTTTTTCAAATTTTATTATTTTCTACACTTTGGACCAAATTCTGATTTTTCTTGGCTACAAGTCTGCAAAATAATGTTTTCCATTTTTTTCTCTTTTCCTTCATTTTTCCTAATTTGGAGTCACCAAAAACTAAGTTGTGCTTTTGTAAAGTCTTGCAAACTAAAGCTAACCAACTTAAACTTCAGAAAAAAATAACAGCAACCTGTTTACATACATAAGCCACTTTCATACCTACCTACTGATGTATGGACTTCAGAATAATGTGACCTACATTGATTTTCCAGAATTGTCCTTTCCTTCATTATTGTTTTTCTCCTTTCCACCTCCTATTTTCTCTCATAGAACATAAGACTTCACAACCTGCTAAAACTGAGCTTTCCTAATAACTCAGGACCTGCCCATCTAGAAATAAACCATCCTAGCTATGAGAGATCAGATGAAACCTGAGACCAGAGACTCATTTTCTTCTAAAATGTTTTCTTCAAAAGACTTTTTAAAAGAAAAGGGGGAAAATGTGAAAGGAAAATAAATATTGGAGCCCCAAATCACTAAGCTAAAAGGAAAAGTCAAGCTGGGAACTGCTTAGGGCCAACCTGCCTCCCATTCTATTCAAATTCACCCCTCTGCACATTGAGATAAATGCATATCTGATTGCCTTCTTTGGAGAGGCTAATCAGAAATACAAAAGAATGTAACCATTTGTCTCTTATCTGTCTATAACCTGGAAGCCCCCTCCCAGCTTCGAGTCTTCCAGCCTTTGCTTTGAGTTGTCCCACCTTTCCAAACCAAACCAATGTTTATCTTGCATATGTTGATTGATGTCGTCTCCCTAAAATGTATAAAACCAAACTGCTCTAACCACCTTGGGCACATTTTGTCAGAACTTCCTGAGGCTGTGTCATGGGTGCACATCCTCAACTTTGGCAAAATAAACTTTCTAAATTAACTGAGACCTGTCTCAGATTTTTGGGGTTCACAGTTCTAATGACTGTGATCCTATTCTCCACTTTAATGAGCTCAGCGTTTTTAGGTTCCACATATGAATGGGAACATGCAGTATTTAATTTATGTGCCTGATTTATTTCACTTAACATAATGTCCTCCAGGCTCATTCACATTGTTGGGAATGATGGGATTCATTGCTCTTTATTGCTGAATAGTATTCCATTGTGTATATATACATTCTCTTTATCCATTCATCCACTGATGGACATTTAGGCTGATTCCATATCTCTGCTACTGTGAACAGAGGAGCAATAAACACAAGTGTGCAGATATCTCTTTGACATACCTATATCTTTTCCTTTGGCTAATATCTAATAGTGGGATTGCTGGATCATATGGTGGTTCTGTTTTTAGTTTTTTGAGGAGTGATATGGTTTGGCTCTGTCTCCCCCCATATCTCATCTTGAATTATAGCTCCCATAATTCCCATGTGTCATGGGAGGGGCCCAGTGGGAGGTAATTGAATCATGAGGGCAGGCATGAGCCACTGCACCTGGCCCACTTCAATTTCTTTCATCAGTATTTTTGTAGTTTTCATTGAAGAGATCTTTTGCCTCCTTAGATAAATTTTTTCCTTGATACTTTTATTTTTATAGCTATTATAAGTAGGATTGCTTTCTTAATTTCTTTTTTAGCTATTTCATTATTGATGTAGAGAAACATCACTAAATTTTGTATGTCAATTCTATATCCTGCAACTAACTGATTTTGTTTACAAGTTCTAAGAGTTTTTTGATGGAGTCTTTAGGTTTTTCTATACATAAGATCATGTAGTCTGCAAAGAGGGGACAATTTGACTTTCTTTTCTCCAATTTAGATGCCCTTTTCTTTCTCTTGCTTAATTGCCCTGGCTAGACCTTCCATTACTATGTTAAATAATAGTGATAAAAGTGAATGTCCTTGTCTTATTCTAGTTCTTAGAGGAAAAGCTTACAGCTTTTCTCAAATCAGTATGATGTTAGCTGTGAGTTTGTCATGTATGGCCCTTTTTGTGTTGAGGTATGTTCCTTCTATAAATAATTTATTAAGAGTTTTTATTATGAAGGGATGCTGAATTTTATCAAATGCTTTGCTACATCTATTGAGGTAATCATATGGTTTTTGTTCTTTTTCCTGTTGATGTGATGTATCAGGCTTATTGATTTGCATGTGTTGAAACATCCTTCCACCCCCAGGATAAATCCCACTTGATCATGGTGTATAATATTTTTGAGACAGAGGAGGATCAATATGGCTGACTAGACACAGGTACTATGTGCCTCCTCCATAAAAAGGAACCAGAATAGTAAATAGATGCTCACATTTTGGACATATTATCTAGGAGAGAACACTAAGATTTACCAGAAAAGAGACAGGAAGCACTAGAAGTAAGGAAGGAAAGGGTTCAAGGCAGGTTGCCCAACCAGGGACCGACTGAGAGCCAAGAGAGTCTCCTGGATGAAAAGGAACAGTAAGAGAGAAACCCCCTTGGCTTGTATGATATAGCTATGGGGAAACTCTTGGCCCACTGGGCCTTGGGCCTGAAATAAAGAGCTTTCTAAAGATTATACAGAGCTCTCTAAAGATTGCACAGAGACGTTGATTCAGAAAGGGAATCAACACACAATCTTACAGGCATCTGTGACTAGACCAGCCTCCAAAAGCTGCCATTTTTAGAGCCTAGATAATGAAGATCTACAGACATGGCTGCAGCTGATGCACTGCTCCAAGAAAGTAGAGGGGAGACTGGGGGCTCCCATGTACCCCTGAGAGGGTCCCCACTGCCCTGCTATAGGCTCCCATTGAAACAAAGACATTAGTGGACTGCACTCCCCAAAGTTTCTTGCTCACATGCTTGCCTGGCAAGGATCCCACTCTCCCTGATTTGAGGCCCAAGCTGCCATTTTGAGAGTTTAATGCTGGGCTGCACCCCACACTTGGGCTGCATTTGGGCTGACATGGCTGAAGCTGCTGCCTGGCCAAAGGGGAACATGGAACAAGGCTATAATATGCATATCCAGGACAGTATCCACTGCCCTGCCACAGGCTGCTGTGAGAATGAAAAATGAGGAGACCATACTACTCACAGCTTTTTGCCTATGCTGCCTGGCTGAGGAGGACACTGCCCTCCCTGGCCACAGGCCCAAGGTGCCAATTTGAGAATTTAAGGCTGGGCTTCACCCCCTCTTCAGGTCGTTTGAGTTGATGTGGCTACAGCTACCACCCAGCCAAGGAAGGAAAAGAAAAATCAAGCTCCTCTTTACATATCTAGGACAATACCCACTGCCCTGCCACAAGCTGCTGTGAGACTCAAGCAACCACAATCCCCACAGCCTCTTGCCCATGCTGCTTAGGTAAGGGGGGCTCTGCCCCTTCTGGTCACAAACCCACAGTTGGCACCATTTTGAGAGTTTAATGCTGGGCTCTGTCACACCCATGGACCAAGTTCAAGCTAATGCAGCTGCAGCCATCACTTAGCCAGTTCAAGGAGAGAGGGGATGGAATTCTCCTAAGCACACTTAGGACAATACTCACCACCCTACTATGAGCAGCTTTGGAACAGGGGACTAGCCTGCCCAACCCATTGCAGCTATGAGGAACACCAACATGGACCACTTGGATACCCATGGGTTTCTCCACCACTACTGCTGTGACAACGGCTGTCCAGCAGCCTCAGAACCTACCTACACACTTGGCCCACCAATCCCCATACTACCTTCTAAGCAAGCCATCTAGAAACCCAAGAATAAGCCCCCTAGGACCCACTAACAATGGAGCCAGTGTAAGCCACCCTGTGGCATAAAAGCAGGCATATTCATCCCATTGCTTCCACTATTGGGCCCAAAGGCTGGCACAATTGGCATCCAAGTTCCCAGAAAAACTTCAACACAATCTCAACTAACTCTAAGCCACCAAGGAAATTACAGATACCAAGATACCACTGACCTGTGTATTGGCAAAGAAGTCATACAAAGATCACACTATTGCAGGCAACCAAATCAAAGCCAAAGTATTCTACTCAACCAACCCACATGTATTTGCAAGAAAAATTCTCCCCTACAAAAGCAATTTCAAAAAATTGGAACAAGTGACTGCTACAACCAATGCACAGATATCAAAAGAAAGAAACAGAAAACATGAAAAAGCAGGGAAATATGACACCACCAAAGGACCATAATTGTCCAGAAACAGATCCCAATCAAAAAAATTCCTTGAAATGCCAGATAAATAATTCAAAATATTGATTTTCAAGAAGCCCAATGAGATGAAAGACAAATCTGAAAACAAATACAACAAAGTCAGAAAATCAATTCAGAAAATGAATGAGAAATTTACCAAGGAGATAGATATTTTTAAAAAACAAGAAGAAATTCTGGAATTAAAAAAAATTAATTGAGAGAAAAAATACATTCAAAAGCTTCAATAATAGACTAGACCAAGCAGACAAAAGAATGTCAGAAGTTGAAAACAGATCTTTTGATATAATTCAGCCAGACAAAAATAAGATAACAGGAATTAAAAAGACTTTCAGATGTCTGGTTATTGCGGGATCTGGCCAGCAGCCTGCAATGCAATGGGGCTGTCTCTTTGTTCCCAGGTGGATCAGCAGGCCAAGAAATAATAGACACAAACAAGATGGCAAAAGTTGGGTCCAGGGGGTCACCAGCTTCTGGTCCCAAGGTGCCAACAATGCACTGAATATACCAGCATTTATTATTAAGTTTAGTGAGGGCGGGGGTAGGTTAGTGAGGGATTTAGGGTCATTTGACTATGAGGTGAGATGGTCACATGGGGATGAAGTAATTCTTTAACATAACATCTGAATGCAGAAGTACAGTATACAGGGATAAGAATTTATAATATAGTGTGTGCATCAATAATTTCTAACAGAGCTTTAAAACAGAAACACAGTCTTTCCATAACCTATGATTAGCAAGATATTAATCAGCAGTAACAGCTGCATCAAAAGCTGATTACAAACAATCCATAGAAACAAGACATGAAGCTGGACAACTGGTTAGACCAGAAATTCTCAGAAGGGAGTATGCCTTAACCCTGAAGAGGCCTAGAAGAGCTGTGGCAAGATGAGGGCATTTATAGCCCTATCTTATTCATATGGACAGGAGCCCCCACTCCCATGCATCCGTTTATAGGCTCTCCACAAGGGTCGCATTCCATTCCCAGAGCTATAAACATCTGCTTTTCTGGGATAGGAATCTTGGTGATGTGAAACCTCCCTGACTGCACATCCGTTCATAGGCTCTCTGCAGGGGAAAGCACATCACATGCTGTTGGCTCATTCTGGCAGTCCAACCTGGCATTGTCTTTACACAATCCTGCATGCAACTTTGTATTTACAATAATCAAAAGCATTTCATCTTTTATTCAGTAGCACTAGTTTCAAGGGGTCTTCCTACATCTGGTATTGCATAAGGTGACAGAACATATGAATAATCAGTATTCCTGGGGATGAAGAGAGATCACAATGTTAAGAAAACCTATTTAAGAAAATAATTCATGAAAACTTCCCCCAAGACCAGCAGGAGAGTCAGACATCAAGATACAGATACTCAACAATTCCCAGTAAAATACACTGCAAAAAAGACTTCACCACAGCATATTATATTTAGAATGCCTAAAGTCAAAGTGAAAAAAGAATTTGAAAATTAGCAAGAGAAGAGGATCTAGTCACCTATAAAGGAAACCTGATCAGACTAACAGTGGACATTTTAGCAGAAACCTTACAGGCCAGAAGAGGATGAGATGCGATTTTCAAAATGTTAAAAGAAAAAAAAAAAACTGTCAGCCAAGAATTTTATATGCTGCCAGAATAAGCTTCATCAATGAAGGAGAAATAAAGTCTTTCCCAGACAAGCAAATACTGAGGGGCTTTGTCACCTCCAGACTGACTCTACAAGAATGCTCAAAGTAGTCTTCAATATGAAAAGAAAGGTTGATATTTGCCACCATGAAAACACAGTGAAATATAAACTCACAGTTCTTATAAAGAACAAACACACAAAGGACATAGAGAAAGGAATCAAATGGCAACACAACAAAGTCTCATCAAACCACAAAGACAAAAAGAGAAAAAGAAAGGAACAAAGAATTTATGAAATAACTTGAAAACAATCAACAATACGGCAGGAACAAGGCCTCAATATCAATATTAGCCTTGAATGTAGATGGATTAAATGCTCCACTTAAAAGATACAGACTGGTAGGATGGATAAAAAAATATAATACGGCCAGGAGCGGTGGCTCATGCCTGTAATCCCAGCACTTTGGGAGGCCAAGGTGGGCGGATCACAAGGTCAGGAGATTGAGACCATCCTAACACGATGAAACCCCGTCTCTACTAAAAATATGAAAAATTAGCCAGGTGTGATGGCAGGTGCCTATAGTCCCAGCTACTCCGGAGGCTGAGGCAGGAGAATGGTGTGAACCTGGGAGGCATAACTTGCAGTGAGCTGAGATTGTGCCACTGCAATCAGCCTGGGCAACAGAGCGAGACTCCATTTCAAAATATATATTCGTATATATATAATCCAACAATATGCTGCCTACAACAAATTCACCTTACCTGAAAAGACACATATAGACTGAAAGTAAAGGGGTGGAAAATGATATTTGCAGCTGCCTTATGGAAAAGTGGCCAGACTGTTTTCCATATGGGTCCCTGGACCTTACTACTCACTGGACAGGGCCTATTGACCTGGGCCTCCAGCACCAACTATCCTGCCCCCACCAGATTTGTTTTGTCACTGGCAGCTATACATTTCTCTGGGAAGGAAATCCCATAGACAACCCTCAGCTCTTCTGTCATTGGAGTTGCAGCAATACTGTCCTTACTGCCTTCAGACTGGGGAAGGAAGGACCTGGTTGCTTCACTGGGACCTCCAGCATGCTGTAGCTGCCATACAGAAAGAACCCCAGTCACTCTTCCCTGTGAGCCCCTAGGTCGCTGCTCTTCACCAGACAGAACCCCTGGTTCAGGCCTGCAGTGCAGCAGCCCCCCACCCAGATAAACATTCACATTGGCAGCAGCTCTACACTTCTCTGGGCTGGTGCTCCCAGAAGCAACTGAAAGGCCCTCTGTCATTGTCACTGCAGTGTGTATTGACCTCAGCCTGGAAAGCAACAAAGACCCTAAGTGCTATACTCACATCTCCAGCATGCCACAGCCACCCTAGAAAGAAGAGGCTGGTCTGTCTTCCCTGTGAGGCCCCCATCCTTTTGGCTCATCACCAGGTGGAGCCCCCAGACTTGGGCCCACAACAATTGCCCCATCCCAGGCTTGTCTTTCCAATTAACATCAGCTCAGTGTTTCTCTGAAGTGGAGTCCCAAGAGAAAAGTGAAAGGTCCTCTGCTTTTGTGACTGTCAAGGTTCTTGTCCCTGCTGGCCCCAAGCTGGGGAGGGAACAAAGAGCCTTAGCTCATGCCAGAAAGTCCTAAGCCAAGATCTTCCAGGCCTCAAGTGGGAAAGGAGCCCAAACTCTCAGAAGACTGAGAGGGGGCATGGCTACAAATTCAAAGAAATACAAAGGAGCCACATGGCTAAACAAGAACCTACTTACCAGCCATTATGCTCAAGTGCCATGTACTAGATCACAGACCAAGCTTCAACACCAAAAATGCTTTGCTAATATACCTTCTGTGAAACCAAGAACAAGAATTCAACCACATATAAAGGTCTTAGAAAAAGTCTTGACCCTCTGAAAATATCTAGAATCAGTCAGTGACTATACTCAAATTACACCACAGTTAATGGAACATCAGCCCACACTGATAAGAAAAAACCGGTGCAAGAATTCTGACAACTCTAAAAACAAGAGTGTCTCATTACCTCCAAATGGTCACACTAGTTCCCCATCAAGGGGTTCTTAACCAGAAGGAAATGGCTGAAATGACAGACATAAAACTCAGAATCGGGATAGCAATAAAGATCATTGAGTTTCAGGGGAAAATTGAAACCCATTCCAAAATATCCAGTAAAACTATTCAAGAGATAGAAGATGAAGTAGCAATTTTAAGAAAGAACAAAACCAAGCTTATAGAACTGAAAACCTCACTACAATAATTTCATAACACAATCAAAAGTACTAACAGCAAAATGAGCAAGCTGAGGGAAGGCTCTCAGGGCTCAAAGACTGATTATTTGAACTAAGTCAGAAGAAAGTAAAGAAAAAATATTCTTTAATGAAAAAAACCTTTGAGAAATATAGGATTACATAAATAGACTGAATCTGACTCATTGGTGTCACTTTAACAGTAGACACCTGGCAAGGCTGAGTGTGCACCTTCTGTTGCAGATTAGCCACTTGTATGATAAGAGCTTGTGTCTGATTTTCAGCAATTTCAGCACTTTATCTACAGAAAAGAAGACTCTTATCCAGGGCACCCCTAGAAACTGAGGCTAAGTTATATGCTTCTGGAGCCAGGAGACATAATCCCTCAGCTCATCCTTTTGTTTCATGGCTGAGTCCAGTAAACTTTGGAGCAACTAACCAACTTCATTATAAAATGAATGAAAACAAACATACAACATACCCAAGTCTCTGGGACACAGCTAAAGCAATCTTAAGATGAATGTTTATAGTGCTCAACATCCACATCAAAAAGTCAAAAGATGGGTGGAGCCAAGATGTCTGAATAGGAACAGCTCCAGTCTACAGCTCCCAGCATGAGTGACACAGATGATGGGTGATTTCTGCATTTCCAACTGAGGTACTGGGTTCATCTCACTGGGGAGTGCCAGAGAGTGGGTGCAGGACAGTGGGTGCAGTGCACTGTATGTGAGCCAAAGCAGGGAGAGGCATCGCCTCACACAGGAAGTGCAAGGGGTCAGGGTATTCCCTTTCCTAGTCAAAGAAAGGGGTGACAGACGGCACCTGGAAAATCAGGTCATTTCCACGCTAATACTGTGCTTTTCCAATGGACTTATCAAACGGCACACCAGGAGATTATATCCCGCACCTGGCTCAGAGGGTCCTACGCCCATGGAGCCTCACGCTTTGCTAGCACAGCAGTCTGAGATCAAACTGCAAGGCAGCAGCGAGGCTGGGGTAAGGGTGCCTGCCATTGCTCAGGCTTGAGTAGGTAAACAAAGCCGCCAGAAGCTCGAACTGGGTGGAGTCCACCACAGCTCAAGGAGGCCTGTCTGCCTCTGTAGGCTCCACCTCTGGGGGCAGGGCACAGACAAACAAAAGACAGCAATAACCTCTGCAGACTTAAATGTCCCTGTCTGACAGCTTGGAAGAGAGTAGTGGTTCCCCCAGCACGTAGCTTGAGATCTGAGAACGGGCAGACTGCCTCCTCAAGTGGGTCCCTGACCCCCAAGTAGCCTAACTGGGAGGCACCCCCCCCAGTAGGGGTGGACTGACACCTCACACGGCCGGGTACTCCTCTGAGACAAAACTTCCAGAGGAACGATCAGGCAGCAGCATTAGCAGTTCACCAATATCCACTGTTCTGCAGCCACGGCTGTTGATACCCAGGCAAACAGGGTCGGGAGTGGACCTCCAGTAAACTCCAACAGACCTGCATCTGAGGGTCCTGACTGTTAGAAGGAAAACTAACAAAGAGAAAGGACATCCACACCAAAATCCCATCTGTACGTCACCATCAACAAAGACCAAAGGTAGATAAAACCACAAAGATGGGGAAAAAACAGAGCAGAAACACCAGAAACTACAAATCAGAGCACCTCTCCTCCTCCAAAGGAATGCAGCTCCTCACCAGCAAAGGAACAAAGCTGGACAGATAATGACTTTGATGAGTTGAGAGAAGAAGGCTTCAGAAGATCAAACTACTCTGAGCTAAAGGAGGAAGTTCGAACCAATGGCAAAGAAGTTAAAAACTTTGAAAAAAAATTAGATGCATAACTACAATGGATAACTAGAATAACCAATGCAGAGAAGTCCTTAAAGGACCTGATGGAGCTGAAAACCATGGTATGAGAACTACATGACGAAAGTACAAGCCTCAGTAACCAATGAGATCAACTGGAAGAAAGGGTAACAGCGATGGAAGACGAAATGAATGAAATGAAGTGTGAAGAGAAGTTTAGAGAAAAAAGAATAAAAAGAAATCAACAAAGCCTCCAAAAAATATGGGACAATATGAAAAGACCAAATCTATGTATAATTGGTGTACCTGAAAGTGATGGGGAGAATGGAACCAAGTTGGAGAACACTCTGCAGGATATTATCCAGGAGAACTTTCCCAATCTAGCAAGGCAGGCCAACATTCAAATTCAGGAAATACAGAGAATGCCACAAAGATACTCCTCGAGAAGAGCAACTCCAAGACACATAATTGTCAGATTCACCAAAGTTGAAATGAAGGAAAAAATGTTAAGGGCAGCCAGAGAGAAAGGTCGGGTTACCCACTAAAAGAAGCCCATCAGACTAACAGTGGATCTCTTGGCAGAAACTCTACAAGCCAGAAGAGAGTGGGGGCCAATATTCAACATTCTTAAAGCAAAGAATTTTCAACCCAGAATTTCATATCCAGCCAAACTAAGCTTCATAAGTGAAGGAGAAATAAAATACTTCGCAGACAAGCAAATGCTGAGAGATTTTGTCATCACCAGGCCTGCCCTAAAAGAGCTCCTGAAGGAAACACTAAACATGGAAAGGAACAACCAGTACCAGCCACTGCAAAAACATGCCAAATTGTAAAGACCATCAAGGCTAGGAAGAAACTGCATCAACTAGTGAGCAAAATAACCAGCTAACATCATAATGACAGGATCAAATTCACACATAACAACACTCATCTTAAATGGAAATGGGCTAAATGCTCCAATTAAAAGGCACAGACTGACAAATTAGATAAAGGGTCAAGGCCCATCAGTTTGCTGTATTCAGGAAACACATCTCATGTGCAGAGACCCACATAGGCTCAAAATAAAGGGATGGAGGAAGATCTACCAAGCAAATGGAAAACAAAAAAAAAGCAGGGGTTGCAATCCTAGTCTTGGATAAAACAGACTTTAAACCAACAAAGATCAAAAGACACAAAGAAGGCCATTACATAATGGTACAGGGATCAATTCAAGAAGAAGAGCTAACTCTCCTAAATATATATGCACCCAATACAGGAGCACCCAGATTCATATAGCAACTCCTTAGTGATGTACAAAGAGACTTAGACTCCCACACAATAATAATGAGAGACTTTAACACACCACTGTCAACATTAGACAGATCAACGAGACAGAAAGTTAACAAGGATATCCAGGAACTGAACTCAGCTCTGCACCAAGCGGACCTAATAGACATCTACAGAACTCTCCACCCCAAATCAACAAAATATACATTCTTTTCAGCACCACACCACACCGATTCCAAAATTGACCACATAGGTGAAAGTAAAGCACTCCTCAGCAAATGTAAAAGAACAGAAATTATAACAAACTGTCTCTCAGACCACAGTGCAATCAAACTAGAAATCAGGATTAAGAAACTCACTCAAAACTGCTCAACTACATGGAAACAGAACAACCTGCACCTGAATGACTACTGGGTACATAATGAAATGAAGGCAGAAATAAAGATGTTCTTTGAAACCAATGAGAACAAAGACACAACATACCAGAATCTCTGGGACACATTCAAAGCAGTGTGTAGAGGGAAATTTATAGCACTAAATGCCCATAAGAGAAAACAGGAAAGATCTAAAATTGACACCCTAACATCACAATTAAAAGAACTAGAGAAGAAAGAGCAAACACATTCAAAAGCTAGTAGAAGGCAAGAAATAACTAAGATCAGAGCAGAACTGAAGGAAATAGAGACAGAAAAAACCCTTCAGAAAATCAATGGATCCAGGAGCTGGTTTTTTGAAAAGATCAACAAAATTGATAGACCACTAGCAAGACTAATAAAGAAGAAAAGAGAGAAGAATCAAATAGATGCAATAAAACATGACAAAGGGGATATCACCACTGATCCCACAGAAATACAAACTACCATCAGAAAATACTATAAACACTTCTATGCAAATAAACTAGAAAATCTAGAAGAAATGGATAAATTCCTCGACACATACACCCTCCCAAGACTAAACCAGGAAGAAGTTGAATCTCTGAATAGACCAAAAGCAGGCTCTGAAATTGAGCCAATAATTAATAACTTATAAACCAAAAAAAGTCCAGGACCAGATGGATTCACAACCAAATTTTACCAGAGGTACAAGGAGGAGCTGGTACCATTCCTTCTGAAACTATTCCAATCAACAGAAAAAGAGGGAATCCTCCCTAACTCATTTTATGAGGCCACCATCATCCTGATACCAAAGCCTGGCAAAGACACAACAAAGAAAGAGAATTTTAGACCAACATCCCTGATGAACATTGATGCAAAAATCCTCAATAAAATACTGGCAAACCGAATAGAGCAACACATCAAAAAGCTTACCCACCATGGTGAAGTGGGCTTCATCCCTGGGATGTAAGGCTGGTTCAACATATGAAAATCAATAAACGTAATCCAGCATATAAACAGAACCAAAGACAAAAACCACATGATTATCTCAACAGATGCAAAAAAGGCCTTCATACAAAAAAACTCTTCATACTAAAAACTCTCAATAAATTAGGTATTGACAGGATGTATCTCAAAATAATAATAGCTATCTATGACAAACCCACAGCCAATATCATATTGAATGGACAAAAACTGGAAGCATTCCCTTTGAAAACTGGCACAAGACAGGGATGCCCTCTCTCACCACTCCTATTCAACATAGTTTTGGAAGTTCTGGCCAGGGAAATCAGGCAGGAAAAGGAAATAAAGGGCATTCAATTAGGAAAAGAGGAGGTCAAATTGTCCCTGTTTGCAGATGACATGATTGTATATTTAGAAAACCCCATTGTCTCAGCCCAAAATCTCCTTAAGCTGATAAGGAACTTCAGCAAAGTCTCAGGATACAAAATCAATGTGCAAAAATCACAAGCATTCTTATACACCAAAAACAGACAGACAAACAGAGAACCAAATCATGAGTGAATTCCCATTCACAATTGCTTCAAAGAGAATAAAATACCTAGGAATCCAACTTACAAGGAATGTGCAGGACCTCTTCAAGGAGAACTACAAACCACTACTCAATGAAATAAAAGAGGATAAAAACAAATTGAAGAACCTTCCATGCTCATGGATAGGAAGAATCAATATTGTGAAAATGGCCATATTGCCAAAGGTAATTTATAGATTCAATGCCATCCCCATCAAGCTACCAATGACTTTCTTCACAGAATTGGAAAAAACTACTTTAAAGTTCATATGGAACCAAAAAAGAGCCCGCATTGCCAAGACAATCCTAAGCCAAAAGAACAAAGCTGGAGGCATCATGCTACCTGACTTCAAACCATACTACAAGGCTACAGTAACCAAAACAGCATGGTACTGGTACAAAAACAGCTTTATAGACCAATGGAACAGAACAGAGCCCTCAGAAATAATGCCGCATATCTACAACTATCTGATCTTTGACAAACCTGACAAAAACAAGCAATGGGGAAAGGATTCCCTATTTAATAAATGGTGCTGGGAAAACTGGCTAGCCATATGTAGAAAGCTGAAACTGGATCCCTTCCTTACACCTTATACAAAAATTAATTCAAGATGGATTAAAGACTTACTTGTTAGACCTAAAACCATAAAAGAAGAAAACATAGGCAATAGCATTTAGGACATAGGTATGGGCAAGGACTTCCTGTCTAAAACACCAAAAGCAATGGCAACAAAAGCCAAAATTGACAAATGGGATTTATTTAAACTAAAGAGCTTCTGCACAGCAAAAGAAACCACCATCAGGTGAACAGGCAACCTACAGAACTGGAGAAAATTTTTTCTGTCTACTCATCTGACAAAGGGCTAATATCCAGAATCTACAATGAACTCAAACAAATTTACAAGAAAAAAACAAACAATCAACAAGTGGGCAAAGGATATGAACAGACACTTCTCAAAAGAAGACATTTATGTAGCCAAAAAACACATGAAAAAGTGCTCATCATCACTGGCCATCAGAGAAATGCAAATCAAAACCACAATGAGATACCATCTCACACCCGTTAGAATGGTGATCATTAAAAAGTCAGGAAACAACAGGTGCTGGAGAGGATGTGGAGAAATAGGAACACTTTTACACTGTTGGTGGGACTGTAAACTAGTTCAACAATTGTGGAAGTCGGTGTGGTGATTCCTCAGGGATCTAGAACTAGAAATACCATTTGACCAGCCATCCCATTACTGGGTATATACCCAAAGGATTATAAATCATGCTGCTATAAAGACACATGCACACGTATGTTTATTGCGGCACTATTCACAATAGCAAAGACTTGGAACCAACCCAAATGTCCAACAATGATAGACTGGATTAAGAAAATGTGGCACATATACACCATGGAATACTATACAGCCATAAAAAAGGATGAGTTCATGTCCTTTGTAGGGACATGGATGAAACTGGAAACCATCATTCTCAGCAAACTATCACAAGGACAAAAAAACCAAACACCGCATGTTCTCATTCATAGGTGGGAATTGAACAATGAGAACACATGGACACAGGAAGCAGAACATCACACACTGGGGACTGCTTTTGGGTGGGGGGAGTGGGGAGGGATAGCATTAGGAGATATACCTAATACTGAGTGACGAGTTAATGGGTGCAGCACACCAACATGGCACATGTATACATATGTAACAAACCTGCACGTTGTGCACATGTACCCTAAAACTTAAAGTATAATAAAAAAAAGTCAAAAGATCTCACACTAACAACATAACATCACACACAGAGGAATTTGAAAAATAAGAGCAAACCAACTCCAAAGGTAGCAAAAGAAAAGAAATGACCAAAATCAGAGCTGAATTGAACAAAATGGAGATGAGAAAAGGCATAAAAAAGATCAACAAAACAAAAACTTGGATCGTTGAAAGAATAAATAAGATGGATAGACCTCTAGCTAGACTAATAAAGAAATAGAAGATCCAAATAAACACAATCAGAAATGACAAAGGGAACATTACCATTGACCCCACAGAAATAAATTTTTTAAAACCCTCAGAGACTGTTATAAACACCTCTATGCACACAACCTAGAAAACCTAGAAGAAATGGATACATTCCGGGAAACATACAACCTCCCAAGATTGAACTAGGAAGAAATTGAAACCCTAAAAAGACCAGTAACAAGTTCTGAAATTGAATAAGTAAAAAAAAACCTAACACCCAGAAAAATCCTGGGCCACTGGGATTTACAGCCAAATTTTTACCAGACATACAAAGAAGAGCTGGTACCAATCCTACTGAAACTATTCCAAAAAACTGAGAAGGAGAGACTCCTCTCTAACTCATCCTATGAGACCAGCATTACTCAGATACCAAAGCCAGGCAGAGACACAATAAAAAAAGAAAACTTCAGACCAATATCCCTGATGACCGTAGATGCAAAAATCATCAACAAAATACTAGTAAACTAATCCAGCAGCATATTAAAAAGCTAATCCACTACAATCAAGTAGGCTTTATCCCTGGGATGCAAGGTTGGTTCAACACACACAAATCAATAAATGTTAATCATCACATACACAGAACAAAAACCGCATGATCATCTCAATAAATGCAGAAAAAGCTTTCGACAAAATTCAACATCCTTTCATGTCAAAAACCCTCAACAGACTAGGCATCAAAGGTATATACATCAAAAATAATAAGAGCTATCTTATTATTCTGATGCCCAACATCATACTGAATGGGCAAAAGCTGGAAGCATTCCCTTTGATAAACAGAATAAGACAAGGATGCCCAATCTCAACACTCCAATTCGGCATAGTACTAGAAGTCATAGCCAGAGCAACCAGGCAAGAGAAAGAAATAAAAGGCATCCAAATAGAAAGAGAGAAAGTCAAACTATCTTTATTCACAGGTGATATAATACTATATATAGAAAACCCCATAGTCTCTTCTCAAAGTTTCCTAGATCTGATAAACTTCAACAAAGTTTCAGGATAAAAAAATCAATGCATGAAAATTAGTAACATTTCTATACACAAATAATGTCAAAGCTGAGAGCCAAATCAAAAACACAATCCCATTCAAAATGGACACAAAAAGAATACCTTGGAATACAGCTGATCAGGGAGGTGAAAAATCGCTACAATGAGCATTATAAAACACTGCTGAGAGAAATCAGGGATGACACAAACAAATCATTAAGTAAATGCAAATAAAAACCACAATGAGACACCATCTCACACCAGTCAGACTATTATTAAAAAGCCAAAAATCAACAGATGTTGAAGAGATTGCAGAGAAAGGGGAATACTTATGCACTTTTGGTGGGAAGATAAATTGGTTCAGCCACTGTGAAAAGCAGTCTGGAGACTTCTGAAAGAACTTACAATAGAAATACCATTTGATTCAGAAATCCTATTACTGGGTATATACCAAAAGGAATATAAATTTTTCTACCATAAAGACACATACCATGTATGTTCATCAGAACACTATTCACAATAGCAAAGACATAGAATCAACTTAGATGGCCATCTGTGGTGGATTGGATAAAGAAAACGTGGTGCACGTACACCATGAAATACTGCACAGATATTAAAAAAGTGAGATTATGTCTTTTGCAGCAACATGGATGGAGCTGGAGGCCATTATCCTAAGCACATTAATGCAGGAACAGAAAACATTCTCATTTATAAGTGGGAGCCAAACATTGAGTACACGTGGACACAAAGAAGGAAAGAATAGGCACTGGAGCCTATTTAATGATGGAGGGTGGAAGGAGGGTAAGAAATAAAAAACTACCTCTCAGGTACTATGCTGATTACCTGGGTGACCAAACCCAAGGGACATGCAATTTACTCATGTAACAAAGCTGCATACGTATCCATTGAACCTAAAAAAAAAGTTGGAAAAAAAATTGACAACACATAAAGAAGATAATAAAAACCAGCAGCAACCGAGCAAAACAAGTATTACTAGACCTAAAGAAAGAGATAGACAGTAATACAGTAGTAGTGGGGGACTTCACTCACAACACTAGACAGATCATCTAGAGAAAAAATTAACAAAGAAACATTGGACTGAAATTGTACATTAGGCCAAATGGACTTAATAGACATTTTACAGAACATTCTACCCAACAACTACAGAATATACATTCTATCCACCATCACATGGAAAATTCTCCAAGATAGACCACCTGTTAGGCCACAAAGTAAGTCTTAACAAATTTTTAAATATCAAAGTCATAGGAAGTATAGTCTCAGACCACAGTGAAATAAAGCTAGAAATCAATGCAAAGAGGAACTTTGGAAACTATACACATACATCGAAATTAAACAGAATGCTCCTAAATGATTACTGGGTCAAGAATTAAAATGAAAACTTAACAGTTTTTTGAAATTAATGAAAATGAAAACACGACATACCAAAACCTGTGGATACAGCAAAAGCAATGCTAAAAGCAAAGTTTAGTGCATTAAATGGCTACATCAAGCCAGCATAAATATCACTAATTAAAAACCTAACATCACATCTCAAGGAACTAGAAAAACAAGAACAAACAATGCCCAAAGTCAGCAGAAGGAAAGAAATAATAAAGATCAGAGCACAACTGAATAGTATAGAGACAAAAAAAGTACAAAACATCAATAAAATGAAAAGTTGGGGTTCAAAAAGTTAAAGATAATTGATAAACCACTAGCTAGACTAGCTAAGAAAGGAAGAGAGAAAATCCAAATAAACATAATCAGAAAGGATAATGGTGACATGACAACTAATACCACAGAAATACAAAAGATCATCAGAGACTATTATGAACAAGCGTATGCTCACAAACTGGAGAACCCAGAGGAAATTAATTCCTGAAAACATACAACCTCCTAAGATTGAACTAAGAAGAAACAGAACTTCTTAAAAGACCAATAATTAGTAGCAAGATTGAATCAGTAATAAAATATCTCCCAACAATAAAAAGCCTAGGACAAGATAGATTCACAACTGAATTCTACCAAACATACAAAGAACTAATACCAATGCTCCTGAAACTATTCCAAAAAATCAAAACAGGGGGAATTCTCCCTAATTCATTCTATGAGGCCAGGATCACCTTGATACCAAAACCAGAGAAAGACACAACAAAAAAAGAAAATTACAGACCAATATCCATAATGAAATAGACACAAAATTCCTTAACAAAATACTAGCAAATCAAATCCGACAGAACATCAAAAAGATAATACACTATAGTCAGGTAGATTTAACCCAGGGATGCAAGGATGGTTCAATATAGGCACATAAATAAATGTGATACATCACATAAACAGAATTAATGACAAAAACCATATAATCTTCTTAATAGAAACAGAAAAGCATTTGATAAAATTCAGCATCCCTTCATGACAAAAATCCTCAACAAACTAGACATAGAAGGAATATACCTCAAAATAATAAGAGTCATCTATGACAAATCCACAGCCAACATCATACTTAACAGGTAAAAATTGAAAGCATTCCCTCTAAGAATTGGAAGAAGACAAGGGTGCTCACTTTTACCACTATTCAACATAGTACTGGAAGTCCTTGCCAAAGTAATCAGGCAAAAGAAAAAAATAAATGTCATACGAACTGGAAAAGAGGAAGTCAAATCATTTCTGTTCACTGATGATATAATCTTACACCTAGAAAACCCTAAAGACTACCAAAAACCTTTGGAACCGATAAACTCATTAAAGTAGCAGAATACAAAATTAACATACAGAATTCAGCAGGGTTTCTATATACCAATAATGATCTAGTCAAGGACCAAATCAATAAGGCAATCCTATTTACAATAGCTACCAAAAAAAAAAAAAAATCCTAGGAATATATTCAA
The DNA here is from genome assembly GCF_000001405.40 of Homo sapiens. Taxonomy (NCBI): domain Eukaryota; kingdom Metazoa; phylum Chordata; class Mammalia; order Primates; family Hominidae; genus Homo; species Homo sapiens. The sequence goes on along the minus strand of NC_000008.11, from coordinate 56,347,071 downwards.
CCAAGGAGGTGAAAGATCGCTATAAGGAAAACTACAAAGCAATGGTGAAAAAAATGTAGATGACACAAACAAATAGGAAAACATACCATGCTCATAGAGTGGAAAAATCAACATTGTTAAAATGATCAATGCAACTAAAGCATTCTACAGATTCATCAAAATCTCTATCAAATTATCAACATTATTTTTCATAGAATTAGAGAAAACAATCCTAAAATTCATATGGAACCCCCCCCAACAAAAAAAACCCAAATAGCCAAAGCAATACTAAGAAAAAGAACAAAGCTGAAATCACTGCAGTACCTGACGTCAAATTAAAATACAAGGCTATAACAACCAAAACAGCATGGTACTCGTATAGAAATACACACATAGATCAATGGAGCAGAATAAAGAACCCCAAAATAAAGCCACACAACTTTCACCAACTGGTCTTTGACAAAATCAACAAAAATATAAACTGAGAAAAGGACACTCTATTTCCTAAATGGTGCTGAGAAAATTTGATAACTATATGCAGAAGAATGAAACTTAACCCACACTTCTCACCATATACAAAAATGAACTCAAGATGGATTAAAAACCTAAATGTAAGACCTGAAACTATAAAAACCCTAGAAGAAAACAGGAAAAACTCTTTTGTACATTGGCCTAGGAAAAGAATTTATGACCAATTCCTCAAAAGAAACATAACAAAAACAAAAATAGACAAATGGGACTTAAACTAAAAACCTTCTGCACAACAAAGGAAACAATCAACAAAGTAAACAGACAACCTACAGAATGGGAAAAAAGTATCTGCAAACTATGCATCCAAAGAAAAGCTAATATCCAGAATATATAAGGAACTCAAATAGCTCAACAGGAAAAAAATAAACAACCTCATTAAAAACTGAGCAAGGGACATGAATAGACATTTTTCAAAAGAAGACATACAAATGGCCAACAAATATGCAAAAAAATGCTCAAGATGATTAGTCATCAGAGAAATACAAATTAAAACCACAATGAGACACTAACTTATACCAGTTAGAATGGCTATTATTAAAAAGTCAAAAAAAATGGCTAGCCAGTTTTCCCAGAACCATTTATTAAATAGGGAATCGTTTCCCCATTTCTTGTTTTTGTCAGGTTTGTCAAAGATCAGATAGTTGTAGATATGTGGCATTATTTCTGAGGGCTCTGTTCCGTTCCATTGGTCTATATCTCTGTTTTGGTACCAGTACCATGTTGTTTGGGTTACTGTAGCATTGTAGTATAGTTTGAAGTCAGGTAGCGTGTTGCCTCCAGCTTTGTTCTTTTGGCTTAGGATTGTCTTGGCAATGTGGGCTCTTTTTTGGGTCTATATGAACTTTAAAGTAGTTTTTTCCAATTCCGTGAAGTCATTGATAGCTTGATGGGGATGGCATTGAATCTACAAATTACCTTGGGCAGTATGGCCATTTTCACGATATTGATTCTTCCTATCCATGAGCATGGAATGTTCTACCATTTGTTTGCATCCTCTTTTATTTCATTGAGAAGAAGTTTGTAGTTCTCCTTGAAGAGGTCCTTCACATCCCTTGTAAGTTGTATTCCTAGGTATTTTATTCTCTTTGAAGCAATTGAGAATGGCAGTTCACTCATGATTTGGCTCTCTCTTTGTCTGTTATTGGTGTATAAGAATGCTTGTGATTTCTGCAAACTGATTTGGTATCCTGAGACTTTGCTGAAGTTGCTTATCAGCTTAAGAAGATTTTGGGCTGAGACAATGGGGTTTTCCAGATATACAATCATGTCATCTGCAAACAGAGACAATTTGACTTCCTCTTTTCCTAATTGAACACCCTTTATTTCCTTCTCCTGCCTGATTGCCCTGGCCAGAACTTCCAACACTATGTTGAATAGGAGTGGTGAGAGAGGGCATCCCTGTCTTGTGCCAGTTTTCAAAGGGAACACTTCCAGTTTTTGCCCATTCAGTATGACATTGGTTGTGGGTTTGTCATAGATAGCTCTTATTATTTTGAGATACATCCCATCAATGCCTAATTTATTGAGACTTTTTAGCATGAAGGCTTGTTGAATTTTGTCAAAAGATCCCTTCCTTACACCTTATACAAAAATTAATTCAAGATGGAATAAAGACTTACCTGTTAGACCTAAAACCATAAAAACCCTAGAAGAAAATCTAGGCAATACCTTTCAGGACATAGGCATAGGCAAGAACTTCATGTCTAAAACACCAAAAGCAATGGCAACAAAAGCCAAAATTGACAAATGGGATCTAATTAAACTAAAGAGCTTCTGCACAACAAAAGAAACTACCATCAGAGTGAACAGGCAACCTACAAAATGGGAGAAAATTTTTGCTGTCTACTCATCTGACAAAGGGCTAATATCCAGAATCTACAATGAACTCAAACAAATTTACAAGAAAAAAACAAACAATCAACAAGTGGGCAAAGGATATGAACAGACACTTCTCAAAAGAAGACATTTATGCAGCCAAAAGACATATGAAAAAATGCTCATCATCACTGGCCATCAGAGAAATGCAAATCAAAACCACAATGAGATACCATCTCACACCAATTAGAATGGCGATCATTAAAAAGTCAGGAAACAACAGGTGCTGGAGAGGATGTGGAGAAATAGGAACACTTTTACACTGTTGGTGGGACTGTAAACTAGTTCAACCATTGTGGAAGTCGGTGTGGTGATTCCTCAGGGATCTAGAACTAGAAATACCATTTGACCCAGCCATCCCATTACTGGGTATATACCCAAAGGACTATAAATCATGCTGCTATAAAGACACATGCACACGTATGTTTATTGCGGCATTATTCACAATAGCAAAGACTTGGAACCAACCCAAATGTCCAACAATGATAGACTGGATTAAGAAAATGTGGCACATATACATCATGGAATACTATGCAGCCATAAAAAAGGATGAGTTCATGTCCTTTGTAGGGACATGGATGAAACTGGAAACCATCATTCTCAGCAAACTATCGCAAGGACAAAAAACCAAACCCCACATGTTCTCGCTCATAAGTGGGAATTGAACAATGAGAACACATGGACACAGGAAGGGGAACATCACACACAGGGGCCTGTTGTGGGGTCGGGGGAGTGGGGAGGGATAGCATTCAGAGATATGCCTAATGTTAAATGATGAGTTAATGGGTGCAGCACACCAATATGGCACATGTATACATATGTAACAAACCTGCATATTGTGCACATGTACCCTAAAACTTAAAGTATAATTTTAAAAAAGGAAAAAATAAAAAAATAAAAATAAAATAACTAAAAAAGTCAAAAAAAAATACAAGATGTTGGTGAAGATGTGGAGAAAAGGAAACACACACTGTTGGTGGGAAAGTAAATTGGTACAATATTTGTTGAAAATAATATGGGGATTTCTCATAGAACTGAAAAATAAAACTATTGTTTGATCCACCAATCTCATTACTGGGCATATATCCAAAGGAAAGAAATCATTATACCAAAAAGATATTTGCATTGCTATGTTTTTCACAGCACTATTCACAATAGCAAAGATATGGAATCAACCTAAGTATCCATCAATAAAGGACTGGATAAAGAAAATGTTTATATATATATATATATATATATATATATATATTTTTCTTTTCAGCATGGAATACTACTATACCACTATATATAGAATACTACTACTATAAAGAAAATATTTATAAATAACATTTTATATATTTATAAAATATATATACTATATATACCTCTATACTTATATCTATAATGTCATATATACATATATATACAGATAGATAGATAGATTATAGATAGATTAAAAAAAACACTGAACCAGACACTGGTTCTGGTGTCAAGGTAATGCTGCCTTATAGAATGAATTAGGAAGAATTCCCTTCCCTTCAATTTTCTAGCATAGTTTGAGAATTGGTATTAGTCCTTCTTTATAAGTTTGGTAGCATTCAGTAGTAAAACCTTGAGGTCCTGAGCTTTTCTTTGTTAGGAGAAATGTTACCACTGATTCATTATCATTACTCATTATTGGTCTCCAAGTTTTCTATTTATTTTTGGTTGACTCTTGGTAGGTTGTGAACCTCAAGGAATTTATGTCTTTCCTCTCAATTTATCAATTTGTTGGTGAATAGTTGTTAACAATATTCTCTCATGATCCTTTGTATATCTGTGGCATCAGCTTCATGCCTCCTTTTTTGTTTCTGATTTATTTGTGCCTTCTTTTTTTTCTTAGTCAGCCTTGCTATTAGACTATTAATGGATTGTTAATTTTATCTTTTCAAAAAACCAATTTTGTTTTGTTGATCTCTTTTATTGTCTTTTTGGTCTCTATTTTGTTTACGTTCTGATCTTTATTGTTTCTTTCCTTCCACTAATTTGGAGTTTGGTTTATTTTCTCTTTTCTAGTCCCTTGAGGTGATTCATTGGGTCATTTATTTAAAATTTTTCTACCTTTTTGATGTGGGCATTTATTGCTATAAATTAACCTCTTAGTACTGCTTTTGCTGTATCCCATATATTTGGTGTTTTTCTTGTTGTTGTTGTTGTTGCTGCTGGTTTTTTGTTGTTGTTGTTGTTGTTGTTTTTTAGACATAGTTTCTCTCTTGTTGCCTAGGCTGGAGTGCAATGGTGCAATCTTGGCTTACTTCAACCTCCACCTCCCAGGTTCAAGCGATTCTCCTGCTTCAGCCTCCTGAGTAGCTGGGACTGCAGGTGCATGCCAACATGCCCGGCTAATTTTTGTATTTTTATTAGAGATGGGTTTTCACCATGTTCACCAGGCTGGTCTCAAACCCCTGACCTCAGGTGATCTGCACACCTCAGCCTCCCAAAGTGCTAGGATTAGAGGTGTGAGCCACTGCGCCCAGACTCCCATATGTTTTAGTATGTTGTGTTTCAATTTTCATCTTTCATGAAATGTTTTCATTGTAAAGAATATCTTCTCTTACAAGAATTGTACCTAGGGCGAAACATTCTTTTTCTAGGAGGAATTTGAGAAACTTCTCAGAAAAGAGAATGAGCCCTCTCTGATCCAAGAAGCAGGAATGAGAACAGCAGGCAATACTTGGCTCGCTTTTGCCCTTTGATTTACTCAAGTGTACAACCTTAAGGATAAATATGAATTGTTTAGGACATTAGAAGGGTTCTTGAGAGACTGTGTGGATTAAAAAGATAGTGATACACTAGCTAGATAAAAGATAAACTTTCAGGGGAAGGACAAACCCTAACACGGGAATTTCATTGTGTTTCTGTTGTGTGTTATGGGATATGGATTATCTTTCTCATATATTCTCAAAATTTTTCAGTTAGTGCCCTGTGGAGATAAATCTGTTTTGAGTGATGCTATTGATATAAAGTGCTAAGTATGGCCTTCAAGTGCAGCCAGGATAAAAGTAGTTTGGCCCATAAAAGCCCCCCATACTTGGATCACATAGAAGCAAAAAAAATATATGTGTGTGTGTGTGTGTGTGTGTGTACATATATATACACACACACACATATATACACATATATATAGATATACATATATACTATATATACACACACACACATATATATATACACACACACTGGAGGCAAATCAAAGAAAATGATGAGGAAAGTAAATCATAGACTATACACAATTCTTCTCAAAATGAAGAAAAGATGCCTCTAGCAAGCACCCCAGGGTCTGAAGCAGGAGACGGGGTTTCTCAGGGGGCTCTGGTCACAGTCAGCTTCAAGTCATTCAGTGACAAAGGACCTAAGAGTTGAGAGAATAGCTGTGCAAAGCTGGAACAGGAAGAGCAGGGCCATTGCAAAATTAAAATGTGGAGCCTTTTGTTCAAAAAGCATGAAAAAAGTGCCATAAAATGTCCTAAAATATAAAGCTTTCTCTTTTAAAAAATATTATATTATTAATATAACATGCTAGTGATAATTTTCATATATGGGTACCAACAGAAACTTAAAAATTACCCAAAAAAATTTTTTGCTTTAATAATTTTATATAATGCAATAAGTAATAATTTATCAATATGATAACTTGATTAGTCATGAGATTATTCTCACTCTTTTTTTGCAACTTCATTTGTTAGATCATCAAAATCTGTATCTTTTGTCACTTCATTTTCAATCGATATAATTGAAAGAAACATTTGTCACTCTAGGCAAATAAAAGATTGATGAAAATTTTTAATAATTTTTAATTTTGAGAAGAAACTTTCTGCCAACGTGACTGTCAAGAGTATCTTATAGACTCTAATAATATTGAGATGTATTTCTGACAAATTATTTCAAAACATAAATTTTAGTACATCTACAGCTGATCAATCTCATGGAATAATTTTTCTAAGATATAACTCCTCATACACATCAATTATATGTAACTATGATATTAAACACAAATTCAGACCAGGCGCTGTGGCTCATGCCTGTAATCCCAGCACTTTGGGAGGCTGAGGTGGGTGGATCGTTTGAGGTCAGGAGTTCCAGACCAGCCTGGCTGACATGGTGAAACCGAATCTCTACTACAAATACAAAAATTAGTTGGGGGTGGTGGCAGGTGCCTGTAATCCCAGCTATTCAGGAGGCTGAGGCAGGAGAATCACTTGAACCAAGGAGGCAGAGGTTGCAGTGAGCCGAGGTCACGCCACTGCACTCCAGCCTGGGCATGAGTGAGACTCCTCTCTAAATAAATAAATAAACACACAAATTCATACAATGGCATTTTAATGTTTCCTCTGATTCGTGAATGCCATGCAAGGAACCCAAAGTGGCTTGATGATTTTTACATAATTCAAAATACCTGTTTATGAATTCTGTCACTTACCTTCAGTGACAAGGAAAAGACTAATTTTAAAATTGTCTTCCTTACTAATTACTGGTTCATGTGAAGCTTCAAATGAAAATAGTGTTTTTTCCATCCAACACAATGATCTTAAGATATAATTTCTATTTCTAAGCCTGTGAATATTTGCTTTGTAATGTGGCAGTTCTCAAAAACAGAAATTCTAAATATTCTAATAAATCTTTGATATGCTTTATTGAAATGTCCACGCTTACAATCTTATTTTGTAATGACTTACCACAAAGCTTACTGCCTAAACACTGGCCGTTCCTATTCTGGTGCTCAGATGGGAGAGTTAATGCTTGTGCAGATACCTCAGGGAGAGACTCTGGAGATGACAGGCAAGCCAGCCTTTCACTGCGGGTCTTGGTGCTGTCCCCATGTGGAACTGTTCTCTCTCCTGTGGGTACAGCCACTGTCATGGCCGATTCTGCTGCTGCTACCACCATAGCAGCACCAATCTGGGCCCACTTACAGGTTTAACCCTCTCCTTGGGGCTCTGCAGCACTCTAGACTCCCCCAAGGCATGCATCTGCATATAGAACCAACTACTATGTGTGCACTGCTTGCTCTGCCTGGAGCCTGAGCCCACTCATGTGTGGTCTGTTCCTGGACCAACCCTGTGTGCACACTGCCACCAGGCACATCCTCTGTGCTCATGCCCAGCCTCCATTATCCCATCGCATTTCTCTTACAAAACACAAGTTCATAGATAAATTATGTGTAATGTTAATACAGTAAAGGCAAAACATTAAACCAAGCATAAGGTCCTGCTGAGCACAAGACCGGGTGTGGCCCTGGAGGTCCCTGAAGCTGGCCCTATCCCTATGTGTCACATACTGTGCTGGAACTTCCATAAGAAAGGCCATATGGTGGAGTCAAACTCCCTTATTCAAATTCAGAATCCCAATTTACCAACTAGATAACTATTACTGAGGTTGCTAAGCCCTAGCTTTCTTATCTGTAAAATGCAAATAATAACATGCCACAACTCAATTGCTGTAGAAATGACTTTACAACAATCCATGTAAATCTCTTAGCACAGTGACTCAAGCATAGTAAGTGCTCAATAAATTGTAGGGCTCAATATGTTATTACCCATGAAAACAGGCAGGAGATCCTCATGATTGAAATTGTGGCCTTGTTTAGAATACAATCCTGGTGCTAATTGCTAATGGTAAGTCTGGGCAGGTTAACTTCTCTGGGCTTCAGGTGCCTCATCTGCAATAAAACTAATTGATTAATACGTGTAAAGAACTTAGAAATTTTCTGATGCCTTACAAGTACTCAGTAAGTGTTAGCTAAGAATATTTTTTTGTCATAATTTATTCCTCACAATGCCAGGTTCCAAGATGGCCAAATAGGAACAGCTCCAGTCTACAGATCCCAGCGTGACTGATGCAGAAGATGGGTGATTTCTGCATTTCCAACTGAGGTACTGGGTTCATCTCACTGCGGCTTGTCGCACAGTGTGTGCAGCCCATGGAGCATGAGCCAAAACAAGGTGGGGCATCGCCTCACCAGGGAAGCACAAGGGGTCGGGAAATTCCCTTTCCTAGCCAAGGGAAGCAGTGACAGATGGTACCTGGAAAATTGGGACACTCCCACCCTAATACTGCACTTTTCCAACAGTCTTAGCAAATGACACTCCAGGAGACTATATCCCACTCCTGGCTTGGAGGGTCCCACGCCCATGGAGCCTTGCTCACTGCTAGCACAACAGCCTGAGATTGAACTGCAAGGCAGCAGTGAGCCTGGGGAGGGGTGTCTGCCATTGCTGACGCTTGAGTAGGTAAACAAAGCGGCCAGGAAGTTTGAACTGGGTGGAGCCCACCACAGCTCAAGGAGGCCTGCCTGCCTCTGTAGACTCTACCTCTGGGGGTGGGGCATAGCTGAACAAAAGGCAGTAGAAACATCTGCAGACTTAAACATCCCTGACACCTTTGAGGAGAGTAGTGGTTCTCCCAGCACACAGCTTGAGATCTGAGAACAGACAGACTGCCTCCTCAAGTGGGTCCCTGACACCCGAATAGCCTAACTGGGAGGCACCTCCCAGTAGGGGCTGACTGACATATGGCCAGGTGCCCCTATGAGACAAAGCTTCCAGAGGAAGGAACAGGCAGCAACATTTGCTGTTCTGCAATATTTGCTGTTCTGCAGCCTCTGCTGGTGATACCCAGGCAAACAGGGTCTGGAATGGACCTCTAGCAAACTCCAAAAGACCTGCAGCTGAGGGTCCTGACTGTTAGAAGGAAAACTAACAAACAGAAAAGACATCCACACCAAAATTCCATCTGTACATCACCATCATCAAAGACCAAAGGTAGATAACACCACAAAGATGGGGAGAAACCAGAGCAGAAAAGCTGAAAATTCTCAAAATCAGAGCACCTCTTCTCCTTCAAAGGAACACAGCTCCTCACCAGCAATGGAACAAAGCTGGATGGAGAATGACTTTGACGAGTTGAGAGAAGAAAGCTTCAGATGATTGGTAACAACAAACTTCTCCAAGCTAAAGTAGGATATTCGAACCCATAGCAAAGAGGCTAAAAACCTTGAAAAAAGATTAGATGAATGGCTAAACAGAATAAACAGCCTAGAGAAGACGTTAAATGACCTGATGGAGCTGAAAACCATGGCACAAAAACTATGTGATGCATGTACAAGCTTCAGTAGCTGATTCGATCAAGTGGAAGAAAGTGTATCAGTGACTGAAGATCAAATGAATGAAATAAAGAGAGAAGAGAAGTTTAGAGAAAAAACAGTAAAAAGAAATGAACAAAGCCTCCAAGAAATATGGGACTATGTGAAAAGACCAAATCTACATCTGATTGATGTACCTAAAAGTGACAGGGAGAATGGAACCAAGTTGGAAAACACTCTGCAGGATATTATTCAGGAGAACATCCTCAACCTAGCGAGGCAGGCCAACATTCAAATTCAGGAAATACAGAGAACACCACAAAGATACTCCTTGACAAGAGCAACTCCAAGACACATAATTGTCAGATTCACCAAAGTTGAAATGAAGGAAAAAGTGTTAAGGGCAGCCAGAGAGAAAGGTTGGGTTACCCACAAAGGGAAGCCCATCAGACTAACAGCAGGTCTCTCAGCAGAAACTCTACAAGCCAGAAGAGAGTGGGGGCCAATATTCAACATTCTTAAAGCAAAGAATTTTCAACCCAGAATTTCATATCCAGCCAAACTAAGCTTCATAAGTGAAGGAGAAATAAAATCCTTTACAGACAAGCATATGCTGAGAGATTTTGTCACCACCAGGCCTGCCTTACAAGAGCTCCTGAAGGAAGCACTAAACATGGAAAGGAAAAACAGGTACCAGCCACTGCAAAAACATGCCAAATTGTAAAGACCATCAGTGATAGGAAGAAACTGCATCAACTAATGAGCAAAATAACCAGCTAACATCATAATGACAAGAACAAATTCACACACAACAATATTAACCTTAAATGCAAATGGGTTAAATGCTCCAATTAAAAGATGCAGACGGGCAAATTGGATAAAGGGTCAAGACCCATCAGTGTGCTGTATTCAGGAGACCCATCTCACATGCAGAGACACACATAGGCTCAAAATAAAGGGATGGAGGAAGATCTACCAAGCAAATGGAAAACAAAAAAAGCAGGGGTTGCAATCCTCATCTCTGATAAAACAGACTAAACCAACGAAGATCAAAAGAGACAAAGAAGGCCATTACATAATGGTAAAGGGATCAATTCAACAAGAAGAGCTAACTATCCTAAATATATATGCACCCAATACAGGAGCACCAAGATTCATAAAGCAAGTCCTTAGAGACATACAAAGAGACTTAGTCTTCCACACAATAATAATGGGAGACGTTAACACCCCACTGTCAACATTAGGCAGATCAACGAGACAGAAAGTTAACAAGGATATCCAGGAATTGAACTCAGCTCTGCACCACGTGGACCTAATAGACATCTACAGAACTCTCCACCCTAAATCAACAGAATATACATTCTTCTCAGCACCACATCACACTTATTCCAAAATTGACCACATAGGTGGAAGTAAAGCACTCCTCAGCAAATGAAAAAGAACAGAAATTATAACAAACTGTCTCTCAGACCACAGTGCAATCAAACTAGAAATCAGGATTAAGAAACTCACTCAAAACTGCTCAACTATATGGAAACTGAACAACCTTCTCCTGAATGACTACTGGGTACATAACGAAATGAAGGCAGAAATAAAGATGTTCTTTGAAACCAATGAGAACAAAGACACAACATACCAGAATCTCTGGGACACATTCAAAGCAGTGTGTAGAGGGAAATTTATAGCACTAAATGCCCACAAGAGAAAGCAGGAAAGATCTAAAATTGACACCCTAACATCACAATTAAAAGAACTAGAGAAGCAAGAGCAAACACATTCAAAAGCCAGCAGAAGGCAAGAAATAACAAAGATCAGAGCAGAAATGAAGGAAATAGAGACAGAAAAAACTCTTCAAAAAATCAGTGAATCCAGGAGCTGGTTTTTTGAAAAGATCAACAAAATTGATAGACCACTAGCAAGACTAATAAAGAAGAAAAGAGAGAAGAATCAAATAGACGCAATAAAAAATGATAAAGGGGATACCACCACTGATCCCACAGAAATACAAACTACCATCAGAAAATACTATAAACACCTCTACACAAATAAACTAGAAAATCTGGAAGAAATGGATAAATTTCTGGACACATACGCCCTTCCAAGACTAAACTAGGAAGAGGTCGAATCTCTGAATAAACCAATAACAGGCTTTGAAATTGAGGCAATAATTAATAGCCTACCAACCAAAAAAAAGCCCAGGACCAGAAGGATTCACAACAAAATTCCACCAGAGGTACAAACAGGAGCTGGTACCATTCCTTCAGAAACTATTCCAATCAATAGAAAAAGAGGGAATCCTCCCTAACTCATTTTATGAGGCCACAATCATCTTGATACCAAAGCCTGGCAGAGACACAACAAAAAAAGAGAATTTTAGACCAATATCCTTGATGAACATTGATGCAAAAATCCTCAATAAAATACTGGCAAACCGAATCCAGCAGCACATCAAAAAGCTTAGCCACCATGATCAAGTGAGCTTCATCCTTGGGATACAAGGCTGGTTCAACATAAGCAAATCAATAAATGTAACCCAGCATATAAACAGAACCAAAGACAAAAACCACATGATTATCTCAATAGATGCAGAAAAGGCCTTCAGCAAAATTCAACAACCTTCATGCTAAAAACTCTCAATAAACTAGGTATTGATGGGACTTATCTCAAAATAATAAGAGCTATTTATGACAAACCAACAGCCAATATCATACTGAATGGGCAAACACTGGAAGCATTCCCTTTGAAAACTGGCACAAGACAGGGATGCCCTCTCTCATCACTTCTATTCAACACAGTGTTGGAAGATCTGGCCAGAGCAATCAGGCAGGAGAAAGAAATAAAGGGTATTCAATTAGGAAAAGAGGAAGTCAAATTGTCCCTGTTTGCAGATGACATAATTATATATTTAGAAAACCCCCTCATCTCAGCCCAAAATCTCCTCAAGCTGATTAGCAACTTCAGCAAAGTCTCAGGATACAAAATCAATGTGCAAAAATCACAAGCATTCTTATACACCAATAACAGACAAACAGAGAGCCAAATCATGAGTGAACTCCCATTCACAATTCCTTCAAAGAGAATAAAATACCTCAGAATCCAACTTACAAGGGATGTGAAGGATCTCTTCAAGGAGAACTACAGACCACTGCTCAATGAAATAACAGAGGACACAAACAAATGGAAGAATATTCCATGCTCATGGATAGGAAGAATCAGTATCGTGAAAATGGCCATACTGCCCAAGGTAATTTATAGATTCAATGCCATCCCCATCAAGCTACCAAGGACTTTCTTCACAGAATTGGAAAAAACTACTTTAAAGTTCATATGGAACCAAAAAAGAGACTGCATTGCCAAGACAATCCTAAGCCAAAAGAACAAAGCTGGAGGCATCACGCTACCTGACTTCAAACTATACTACAAGGCTACAGTAACCAAAACAGCATGGTACTGGTACCAAAACAGAGATATAGACCAATGGAACAGATCAGAGCCATCAGAAATAATACCACACATCTACAACCATCAGATCTTTGACAAACCTGACAAAAACAAGCAATGGGGAAAGGATTCCCTATTTAATAAATGGTGCTGGGAAAACTGGCTAGCCATATGTAGAAAGTTGAAATTGAATCCCTTCCTTCCACCTTATACAGAAATTAATTCAGGATGGATTAAAGAGTTAAATATTAGACCTAAAACCATAAAAACCCTAGAAGAAAACCTAGGCAATACCTTTCAGGACATAGGCATAGGCAAGGACTTCATGACTAAAACACCAAAAGTAATGGCAACAAAAATGGGGTGGGAAGCCTCCTAGCCAGAACTCCAGGGTGCAGACTTCACAGGAGGGGGGAAGAACTAAAGCTCTTCTTTCACAGCTGGGAGGCAGATACCTCCAGCAAGTTTTCAAAGTGGTCTCCCCCTCTGCCTGGAAACAGACTTGGGGACGTTGGTGGGGGCACTGTGGGAGTGAGTCGGGTCCTTTGGTTTGCATGGGAACTGGGTGAGGCCTGTGACTGCCAGCTTTCCCCCACTTCCCTGACAACCTGCATGACTCCAGGGGCAGCCATAATCCTCCTAGGTACACAACTCCCCCCATCCCCCACAGCAGCCACAGCAAGACCCACCCAAGGAGAGCCTGAGTTCAGACATGCCTAGCCCCGCCCCCACCTGATGGTCCTTCTCTATCCACCCTGGTATCAGAAGACAAAGGGCATATAATCTCAGTCCCTTTCCATACTACTGCAGAGGATGCTTTCTGGAAAATGCTACCTTCTGGCAGTAGGCCAACCAGCACAAAAATAGAGCATTAGGGCTGGGCACGGTGGCTCACGCTTGTAATCCCAGCACTTGGGAGGCCAAGGCGGGTGGATCACCAGGTCAAGAGATCGAGACCATCTTGGCTAACACGGTGAAACCCCACCTGTACTAAAAATACAAAAAATTAGCTGTGTGTGGTGGCAGGCGCCTGTAGTCCCAGCTACTCAGGAGGCTGAGGCAGGAGAATGGTGTGAACCCTGGAGGCGGAGGTTGCAGTGAGCCAAGATCACGCCACTGCACTCAAACCTGGGTGACAGAGCGAGGCTCAGTCTCAAAAACAAATAAATAAATAAATAGAGCATTAAACACCAAAGCTAAGGACCCTCACAGAGTCCATTGCACCTTCCCCCACCACCACCAGAACAGGTGCTGGTATCCACAGCTGAAAGATCCATAGATGGTTCACACCACAGGACTCTGGCAGACAACCTCCAGTACCAGCCTGGAGAAGGGTAGATTCGCTGAGTGGCTAGACCCAGAAGAGAGACAACAAGCACTGCAGTTCAGCTCACAGGAAGCCACTTCCATAGGAAAAGGGGGAGAGTACTACATCAAGGGAACACCCCGTGGGACAAAAGAATCTGAGCAACAGCCTTCAGCCCTAGATCTTCCCTCTGACAAACCCTACCCATATGAGAAGGAACCAGAAAACCAACCCTGGTAATATGACAAAACAAGACTCTTAAACACCCCCCCCAAAAAATCACACTAGTTCACCAGCAATGGATCCAAACCAAGATGAAATCCTTGATTTACCTGAAAAAGAATTCAGGAGGTTAGTTATTAAGCTAACCAGGGAGGGACCAGAGAAAGGCGAAGCCAAGTGCAAGGAAATTCAAAAAATGATACAGGAAGTGAAGGGAAAAATATACAAGGAAATAGATAGCTTAAAGAAAAAACAGCTGGCCAGATGCAGTGGCTCACTCCTGTAATCCCAGCACTTTGGGAGACTGAGGCGGGTGGATCGCCTGAGGTCAGGAGTTCAAGACCAGCCTGGCCAACGTGGTGAAACCCCGTCTCTACTAAATATACAAAAAAATTAGCCAGGCGTGGTGGCGGGCACCTGTAGTCCCAGCTATTCAGGAGACTGAGGCAGGAGAATCCCTTGAATTCAGGAGGCAGAGGTTGCAGTGAGCCAAGATTGTGCCACTGCACTCCAGCCTGGGTGACAGAGCAAGACTGTGTCTAAAAAACAAAAAAAGAAAAAACAGTCAAAAATTCAGGAAACTTTGGACACACTTTTAGAAATGCGAAATGCTCTGGAAAGTCTCAGCAACAGAATTGAACAAGTAGAAGAAAGAAATTCAGAGCTCAAAGACAAAGTCTTTGAATTAACCCAATCCAACAAAGACAAAGAAAACAGAATAAGAAAATGTGAACAAAGCTTCCAAGAAGTCTGGGATTATGTTAAATGACCAAACCTAAGAATAATTGGTGTTCCTGAGGAAGAAGAGAATTCTGAAAGCTTGGAAAACATATTTGGGGGAATAATCGAGGAAAACTTCCCCAGCCTTGCCAGAGAGACCTAGACATGCAAATACAAGAAGCACAAAGAACACATGGGAAATTCATTGCAAAAAGATCTTCACCTAGGCACATTATAATCAGGTTATCCAAAGTTAAGACAAAGGAAAGAATCTTAAAAGCTATGAGACAGAAGCACCAGGTAACCTATAAAGGAAAATCTATCAGATGAACAGCAGACTTCTCAGCAGAAACCCTACAAGCTAGAAGGGATTGGGGACCTATCTTCAGTTTCCTCAAACAAAACAATTATCACCCAAGGATTTTGTATCCAGTGAAACTAAGCATCAAATATGAAGGAAAGACATTGTTGTTTTCAGACAAGCCACCACTACAAGAACTGCTAAAAGGAGCTCTAAATCTTGAAACAAATCCTGGAAACACATCAAAACAGAACCTCTTTAAAGCATAAATCACACAGGACCTATAAAACAAAATACAAGTTAAAAAGCAAAAAAAGAAAAACAAAAAAAATAGTCTAAGTACACAGGCAACAAGTAGCACGATGAATGCAATAGTACCTCACATTTCAACACTAACATTGAATGTAAATGACCTAAATGCTCCACTTAAAAGATACAGAACCATAGAATGAATAAGAAGTCATCAACCAACTATCTGCTGCCTTCAGGAAACTCACCTAACACATAAGGACTCATATAAACTTAAAGTAAAGAGGTAGAAAAAGGCATTTCATGTAAATGGACACCAAAATCGAGCAGGGGTAGCTATTCTTATAACAGACAAAACAAACTTTAATGCAACAGCAGTTAAAAGAGACAAAGAGGCACATTATATAATGGTAAAGGGTAAAATATCACAATCCTAAACATATATGCACTTAACACTGGAGCTCCCAAATGTGTAAAATAATTACTAATAGACCTAAGAAATGAGATACACAGCAACACGGGAACAGTGGTGGACTTCAATACTCCATTGACAGCACTAGACAGGACATCAAGACAGAAAGTCAGCAAAGAAACAATGAATTTAAACCAACCTTGGAACAAATTGACTTAATAGATACATACAGAACATTTTCCCCAACAACCACAGAATACACATTCTATTCAACAGTGCGTGGAACTTTCTCTCCAAAATAGACCATATGATAGGCCATTAAATTAGCCTCAATAAATTTAAGAAAATTGAAATTATATCAAGCACTCTCTCAGACCACAGTGGAATAAAACTGGAAATCAACTCTAAAAGTAACCTTCAAAACCATGTAAAAACATGGAAATTAAATAACCTGCTTGTGAATGAGCATTGGGTCATTGTCAAAAACAAAATCAAGATGGAAACTGAAAAATTCTTTGAACTGAATGACAATAATGACACAATCTATCAAAACCTCTGGAATACAGCAAAGGCAGTTCTAAGAGGAAAGCTCATAGCCCTAAACACCTACATCAAACAGTCTGAAAGAGCATGAACAGACAATCTAAGGTCACACCTCAAGGAACTAGAGAAACAAGAACAAGCCAAACCCAAGCCCAGCAGAAGAAAGGAAATAACCAAGATCAGAGCAGAACTAACGTAAATTGAAACAGAAAAAAAATACAAAAGATATATGAATCAAAAAGCTGGTTCTTTGAAAAGATAAATAAAATTGATAGACCATTACCAAGATTAACCAAGAAAAAAGAGAGAAAATCCAAATAACCTCACTAACAAATGAAACAGGAGATATTACAACTGACACCACTGAAATACAAAAGATCAGTCAAGGTTATTATGAACATCTTTATGCACATAAACTAGAAAACCTAGAAGAGATGGATAAATTCTTGGAAAATTACAACCATCCTAGCTTAAATCAGGAAGAATTAGATACCCAGAACAGACCAATAACAAGCAGCAAAATTGAAATGGTAATTAAGAAATTACCAACAAAAAATAGTTCTGGACCAGACGGATTCACAGCACAACTCTACTAGGCATTCAAAGAAGAATTGGGACGAACCCTTTTGACACTATTCCACAAGACAGAGAAGGAAGGAACCTCCCTAATTCATTCTATGAAGCCAGCATCACCCTAATACCAAAACCAGGAAAGGACACAACCAAAAAATAAAACTACAGACCGATATCCTTGATAAACATAGATACTAAAGTCCTTAACAAAATACTAGCTAACTTAATCCAATGACATATCAAAAAGATAATCCACCATGATCAACTGGTCTCATACCAGGGATGCAGCAATGGTTTAACATAAGCAAGTCAATGAATGTGATACACCACATAAAAAGAATCGCTGACGACATGATCGTTTACCTTGAAAAACCCTAAGGATTCCTCCAGAAAGCTCCTAGAACTGATAAAAGAATTCAGCAAAGTTTCTGGATACAAGATTAATACACACAAATCAGTAGCTCTTCTATACACCAACAGCAACCAAGTGGAGAATCAGATCAAGAACTCAACACATTTTACAATAGCTGCAAAATAAATAAATAAATAAATAAATAAATAAATAAATAAATACTTAGGAATATACCTAACCAAGGAGACAAAAGACCTCTACAAGGAAAACTACAAAACACTGCTGAAAGAAATCATAGATGACACAAAGAAATGGAAAAACATCCCATGCTCATGGATGAGTAGAATCAATATTGTGAAAATGACCATACTGCCAAAAGCCATCTACAAATTCAATGCAATCCCCATCAAAATACTACCATCATTTTTCACAGAATTAGAAAAAACAAGTCTAAAATTCATATGGAACCAAAAAAGAGCCTGAATAAACAAAGCAACACTAAGTGAAAAGAACAAATCTGGAGGCATCACTCTACCTGATTTCAAACTATACTATAAGGCTATAGTCACCAAAACAGCATGGTACTGATATAAAAATAGGCACATAGACCAATGGAACAGAATAGAGATCCCAGAAATAAACCCAAATACTTAACAGCCAACTGGTCTTTGACAAAGCAAACAAAAACATAAAGTGGGGAAAGGACACCCTTTTCAACAAATGATGCTGGGATAATTGGCTAGCCACATGTAGAAGAGTGAAACTGGATCCTTATCTCTCAGCTTACATAAAAATCAACTCAAGATGGATTAAGAACTTAAACCTAAGACCTGAAACTATAAAAATTCTAGAAGATAACATTGGAAAACCCTTTCTAGACATTGGCTTAGGCAAGGATTTCATGACCAAGAACCCAAAAGCAAATGCAGTAAAAACAAAGGTAAATAACTGGGACCTAATAAAACTAAAGAGCTTTTGCACTGCAAAAGGAACAGTCAGCAGAGTAAACAGACAACCCACAGAATGGGAGAAAATCTTCACAACCTATACACTTGACAAAGGACTAATATCCAGAATCTACAATGAACTCAAACAAATGAGTAAGAAAAAAAACAAACAATTCCATCAAAAAGTAGGCTAAGGGCATGAATAGACAATTTTCAAAAGAAGACGTACAAATGGCCAACAAACATATGAAAAAAATGGCCAACATCACTAATGATCAGAGAAATGCAAATCAAAACCACAATGTGATACCACCACATTCCTGCAAGAATGGCCGTAATCAAAAAATCAAAAAACAGTAGATGTTGGCGTGGATGCAGTGAACATGGAACACTTCTGCACTGCTGATGGGAATGTAAACTAGTACAATGTAAACTAGTACAATCACTATGGAAAAGAGTGTCAAGATTCCTTAAAGAACTAAAAGTAGAACTACCATTTGATCCAGAAATCCCACTACTGGGTATCTGCCCAGAGAAAAAGAACTCATTATTCGAAAAAGATACTTTTACGTGCATGTTTATAGCAGCACAATTCACAATTGCAAAATTGTGGAACCAACCCAAATGGCCATCAATCAATGAGTGGATAAAGAAACTGTGATATATATATATTTATATATATATTTATATATATATTTATATATATATTTATATATATATTTATATATATATTTATATATATATTTATATATATATTTATATATATTTATATATATATTTATATATATATTATATATTTATATATATTTATATATTTTTATATATTTATATATATTTATATATTTATATATATTTATATATATTTATATATTTATATATGTATATATTTATATATTTATATTTTATATATTTTTATATATTTATATTTACATATATAATGGAATTCTACACAGCCATAAAAAGGAATGAATTAACAGCATTTCCAGTGACCTCAATGAGATTCGAGACTATTATTCTAAGTGAAGTAACTCAGGAATGGAAAACCAAATATTGTATGTTCTCACTGATATGTGGGACCCAAGCTATGAGGACGCAAAGGCATTAGAATGATACAATAGACTTTGGGGACTTGGGAGGAAGAGTGGGACAGGGGTGAGGGATAAAAGACTACAAATATGGTCGAGTGTATAATGCTCAGGTAATGGGTGCACCAAAATCTCACAAATCACCACTAAAAAACACTCAAGCAACCAAATACCACCTGTACCCCGATAACTTAAGGGAAAAAAAAGAAAGAAAATGAATATATTAGCTCAAGGAAAAAAAAAAAAGATAAGTTCAATGGTCCTAGCCTTTGACTCTTTCTGTACATAATATCTGACAGGATTGATGGTTACACCTCTGAAATCTATAACCAGATCTACTCTTGAACCCAAACTTTGATGAAATTTTGCTGTAATGTAAGTTAATAGCACACGCAGAATCTCCACCACCTGATATACAAGCTGTGGACTGAAACACTGGTTTGGAGCCACGTAGAAACCCTCTGTAAAACACTCCCAGGTTGCAATCCTCAGTAAGACTGAACAAAATGAACTTTAACTGTTTGAAAGCCTAATTTTTTCTTTAGTTCACAGTCAGGAGGGTGGAAGGACTTGGAATACAGGAACTTTTATTGAAATAGAACATACATTAAAAAAAATGCATAGAAGTGTATACAGCTAGATACGTTTTTAGATAGTGAACATAACTGTGTAACCACTGCCCAGGTCAAGATGTAGAACATGGATGCCACCTCAGAAACTTCCCATTTACCCTCTCTTGGTCACGACTCCTCAAAGGTAACCATTGTTCTGACTTTATCACATGGATTAGTATTGCTGTTTTTGAACTTTATGTAAGTACAATCACATAGTATGTACTTAGGTGTGTCATTTTTTTTTTTTTGCTCAGTATTATGTTTGTGAGAGTCATCTACAAATTGTATGTAGTAGTAGTCCATCCCTTTTCATTGCTGTATAGTATTCCATTGTGGAAATATACAACAAGTTATTTGGGTATTCAGTCCAGTTTTGGGCCATTACAAATAATGCCAAAATTAGCACTTTGTACAAGTCATTCAAATGAAGTGTACCCTAAACTACTAAAGCCTCTTTCAACTCAGAACTAATTTCTAACCATAGCTTTATTGTATTTGGTAACTGGATAGGCCCTCTGCTAATTTTTTTTCATAGTTTCCAGCTAGGTGAAAAAGTTTTGCAGAATAAGAACTGTCTCTATAAAAAATAAAACAAAAACTCAAAGAAAATGTTTACAAAGATGACTATGATGACAGCCATTTCTGGCTGTAGGAATTACTAGATGTTCAGAGAAAGTGTTTCAGTATAGATCTAAAAATTATGCATAAAAATTTTTGTTTAATCCTCTAAAGTAATCAATGAACTGTTGGGGAAAGAAGTAAGATATGTACCCTAGATAATAAGAAACTAATAATCCCGAAAGTTAAGGCATTATCAGCTAATGCCAGATTGCCATCCATATAGGACACACCTCCTCATTGTCAGGAGGTAGTGACAGGGGGTATATTCATTATCCCAGATGCTCATGTGATGGGGAGAACAGACAAAAACATGAAACCAAGAGGATGGACTGGAAAACCACATGACTCCAGAATCCCAGAAAGGTTGTACTGTCAGAGGCTTGACCTGAAAAATGGTGGTGAGTGAGGGCAGGAAGGAGGGTTCTAGAGAAAACAATGGAGAAACTTACTTATCGTCTTTAGATCTAAATAAAAAAATAAAAATGAGAGGTGGGAATCCTTGGAGAACACCTAACCACAAGTTTGTTACCACATGGGTTGGGGCCATGGGGCCCATGAGTGGGGCTACTTTCACTCTCCAATAAATCTAAGTCAAATATTTTGTTTAAAATATTCCCAGGTGTGATGGAAGCATTCTGAAACTGGAATGAAGTAATGCACAACTGCACAACCCTGTAAATTTACTACAACACAGACTATACACTTAAAATGGGTACATTATAGCATATAAATTATACTTCAGTAAAACAGAGTAAGGGAGAGAGCATGCCTGTCATACTCCTCATCCTAATCATATATCCATCAAAAGTTTTTTTTCTATAACTGTATAAGCAAAAAATGCCCTTCACAAATAGTATTTCCACTGATCACAGAGAGAGTCAGAAAGGAAGAGAAATTCCTGATGAGAAAAGCAGAATGAAAATGAAAATAGGAGAAAATGTATCTGGGCCCATAAGTCTCTGGCTGTAAGTAACCTTGGCACAACAAGCCAGGTCAAATCTACATAAATGAGCGGTAGCTCATTCTATGATTATTCAGGGGAAAAAAAATTTGTTAGAGGTGATAATGACCATGGGATAAATAGAAGAGCTAGAACAAACATAAAACAACACATCCTTTTGTCTTTTCGGCAAGAGATGAAATGAGGAGTGTCGGGCTTCATGCCCAGTTTTTCTGAAAAATGTAGTAAACAGGGAAATCCAGTCATGTGCCCAGTCCTATCACTGTCTTCCTTGAGTCTTGGCTTTCTGAAACTTTTGCATTTCTTTGGTATATAGTTACTTTCCCCAACAAAGTGACAGGGCACGTGTCCCCTTTCTCCTTCAACTCTTGGATTTATTATCAGTATGTATTATTCATCCTACTCTTTCACATGTTCGTTTACTACTTCTGTTCCAGCCTAACACTGCTCTCTTCCTGTCATTGAACAAATAAGTCTACCTTTACACTAATCATGTACTTCTCTGAGGATTTCACAATCTCCTTCTGCCAAATAATGCATTTTGGTTAAACATATATATTTGTGAAAGTATCATCTGCTGACTGTACTTACTCTACTGTTTTACCAAGTAATCCCCAAAGACAACATGTTCTTTAAACGAGTCTTTTAAAAGTAGGCATTTTTTTCATCTTTTTCTGTTTTTAATATAACAAAATATTGCACGCCATTTATAAAAAGTCAAACAATACAGAAATATATATCATAATGGAGGCGACTCTCCTTGCCCCTTACTCAATTCTGTGCCCCTCCCGAGGTAACTACTGCCAACGGTTTGGTGTGTAGCCTTCCAGATCCATTCTTCTGTGCATTTCCATCTGTTTTACACACATGTGAACACACATGTGCATGCACAATGCACAGTAATCATCAATTTAATTTCAGTGGAATAATTCTGTACTTTTTTTTCACTGACCACAGCCTGGAGATTTCTCCCTGCCACTAAATATATTTCTAACTTCATCCTTTTTTTCAGCTTCAGAGAATTCTATTACATGACTATATCGTGATTAATGGAATAGCTGTGCATTCAAGTAGCTTCTCATTTTTTACTATCACAATCTTCAATAAACATGGGTCAATTTTTTTTTTTTTTTTTTTTTTTGAGACAGAGTCTCACTCTGTCACCCAGGCTGGAGTGCGTGATCTCGGCTCAATGCAACCTCTGCCTACCAGGTTCAAGCGATTCTCCTGCCTCAGCCTCTTGAGTAGCTGAGACTACAGGTGCGTGCCACCACACCCAGCTAATTTTTTGTATTTTTAGTAGAGATGGAGTTTCACCATGTTAGCCAGGATGGTCTCGATCTCCTGACCTCATTATCCACCCACTTCGGCCTCCCAGAGTGCTGGAAGTGTCAATATTCTTATGTGATAGATTCCTAAATGTGAAATAGCAGTCAAAAGTTATGATAGCTACTGCCCAATTACTGTCCATAAAAGACTCAAAGACAAATATCCCCACATTGTTTGAGAATGTCTGTGTTCCCACACCCTTGCCAATCCTGAATTCTTTTTTTTTTTCTTTTTTCCCAAGATGGAGTCTTGCTCTGTTACCCAGGCTAGAGTACAATGGCGCGATCTCTGCTCACTGCAACCTCCACCTCCCGGGTTCAAGCAATTCTCCCTGCCTCAGACTAGTGAGTAGCTGGGATTACAAGCGCCCACCACCACCCCTGGCTAATTTTGGTATTTTTTAGTAGAGACGGGTTTTCACCATGTTAGCCAGGCTGGTCTTGAACTCCTGACTTCAGGTGATCCACCTGCCTTGGCCTCCCAAAGTGTTGGGATTACAGGCATGAGCCACCATGCACAGCCCCAATCCTAAATTCTTATCTGACTTTTTAATATGTGGATATTAATGAATGAAAAAAAGGTTATTCCTTTTCCAATTTCCTTTTCCTGAATATGAGTGAAATTTCGCATCTTTTTAGGCATTTTCAGTAATTTATATTTATTTGCCTATAAATTTCTTTATCAATTTTTCCCACTGTCTTATTTCAATCAGTTTATAGAAATGCTATATATTATGACAAATTATCAATGGTCAACTCTTTATGCAAAACTATTTTCTCCTAGTCTGTTGTTTATCATCTTACTTTGCTTATGATATTTCCTTGCCTAGTCCCAAATTTCAAAACAATTTTTCAATATTGTATTTCAATACCTTCAGAGTGTTGTTTTTTATATTAACACTCTTATTCCATCTGAGTGTCCCGTGTCCTATTTACACTCTGCGTTTGTTTACTGAATTGTGGTTACTCAGGCTTTCTGTTGGGAAGAATGACTCATTTTTGCAGTACCTTCCGTGTGTCATAGCTTAAAGTATCTTTTGCTCTGGTTTCTGGAAATAGGATCCATCTGCTTAATGAAGTCAACCCTCACTGGTAGCTCCTTTCTTTTTTCTAGCACTAATGTGTTTATTTGCATTTTTATATTTTCTCTTTTATTTCAATGGAATTTTGGAAGAAAATAGGATATGAATGCGTATGCTCACTGTGCTATCTGGAATGGAAGCATCTGTGTATGTGTGGCCACAGAAACATTTTTATTATGAGATAAAGATATACACATAATGGAAAATTTGGAAAATACAAAAAGATACAAAGAAATAAATTCAACCAACATTCCACTACTATATTACAAAAAGTGTTAAGATGTTGATGAACTCTCTTCCAGTGTTTCTAATGCATGTACATAAAATTTTCATAGAAATTAGAATCATAGCAAATATATTTAGTCTTGTACTGTGTTTTTTAAACTCATATTCTGTGAAGTGTACTTCATACCCTTGAAAAACATGATTTTATAAAGATGGCTGTAGAGTACTCCATCGGCACATACTTCTTAGGAATTAAAGATCAATTTATTTTGATTAATATACTTGTTTCCTAAAAAGGTACTACTTCACATGATTCAGTGGAGTGGAAAGTCTCTTTCCCATCCCTGACTCTCAGTGACCCAGTTTCCCTTCCTGAAAGGCCACAGACAATACCTGGGTATTTGGTAAAGATAAAGGTGGAATTGGGTCAGAGGATATATCCCTTTCTAATTCCTGAAACATATTTGTTTTCCAGAAATGTATAATTTATACCCCCATATGAAGGCATTCTTTTAAAAAAAAAAAAAAACTTTCAATTTGTAAGGTAAGAAATGTTTTCATATGCATCTCTTTGGCCCTAAGATCAAAGAAATTGAGAATAAGATTAAACCACTTTTTCATGTTTATTAGCCCATGACACATGTTCTATCATAAACTGTCCATTCCTAGCCTTTGCCAAAAGAGACCCTTTAGAAATCCTTTCCCAGCTTTCAGGATTATGGTCAGTCCTCTGAGTTTCCCCCACATCAAGTCAAAGCAGGACCCTTTCCAACCAGCAGGGCCTCTGGCTTCTTTCACTGCGTCACCGGTGCATCCCCCACTACTCACTCTCATCTTTTGTACTGATGAGATTTCTAATAATGCTCCAAATTTCTTTCTTGAGGTCCACCCAGGGCTTCTGACCAGAAAGAAGAGTGACAGCCTAGGATTCTGCTCAGAGAAGCCATGAAGATAATAGGAGGCTGGTGTTTCCCAGTGTCCACTCATCTGAACTCTTGCAGGCAGGCTGCACCATCAAGGGCCCATTACCCGACGTCTCTCTGCCTCAGTCCACTCTCACTCCCAGGTGCTGCTCACCTCCACACCTTAGCCCATTCTGGAAGGCCCTTTGAGTCCAACTGCCTCTCCTCCTGCAGGCTGGTTGTGGACTCTGGAAGCACCTGGGGTGCATGTCTATCACCCGCACTGTTTATGAATGTGTCTCCCTTCTCCCTCAGAAGCCCTGCAACTCCCCAGAGCCCCACACAGCAGTGTCGCTGTGTGGTGACGGCTGACTTGAAACCAATGCACGCACATTTACCCACTCACCTTCCCACACGCCTCGCATAGCTTGCCACAGCTCGCTGCTGCTGCCTAAAGCACACAAGTAACCTCTTAAGTACTGAAAAGACAGTCGAGGGTTTCCCCTGCACCTACTTTTCCAAGCTTATACGACCTGCCTGTTTCTTCTGTCACCCAAATAAAGAACAAATGTGCAGTTCCTCTACTCCAGACCTGTCCCAGATATGGGCTGGCTAAGGCTGCTCTTCGACCCCTCACCACTTTTCCTGTCCTACTCAGCCCCGGGATAAATTTCAAACCCAATCTCATCATGACTCCCCTGTTTTTCTTTCAACATCCCATAATTTATTGTCATTTCTGCCCCTCATTGCCCCCAGAAAAGTTCACCCTCTATTATTAGCATCTCAGTGGTGTCTTGTGCTTATATTAACTCTTTTATTGATTTATTAATGAATGTTTTTCCTTTTTTTTTTTCTTGACAGATATATCATCGCTGTTATCTTCTGGATCGCTGTACACCCAGATGCTTAATATATCTTGATTGGGTCAGAGTGCCTGGTGACTCTTACGCTAGCCTCATTTCTCGGCTTCATCTTGTTAGAACAAATTTCCTCGCCCTCTTCTCCTAGGCCGCCTGCCAGCGCCGCACCCACTCCTGCCCCTGCCTGCACCCCACCCACTTCCCGGGGACTTCCGAGCCCACGCCCACATCCTTTACCTCCAAGGGGCAAGGAAGCTGTTGACTTAAGATCCCATGTGGAGCAGTCAGATGCTGCTGGAGAACTCCCCGCACTGCAGGCTCCAGACACACGACCTGGCCCCTCCCCCGTGGACGCCTATACTGCTCTGTTCTCTAATTCCAGGGTTCCCAACCTCGGGGTTGTGCCTTGCAAATACCTGGGAAACTTTTCTAGCTAATGCCTAGGCCCCTACCAACCCAGAAATTCCCATCTAATAATCTAGGGTACAGCCTAGGCATTGAAACGTTAAGCCTAAGAGAAATCCGGCGCACGCATCCAGTTTCCACCACCGAATTTCCAGCTTCTTAAATCTGCAGGTCCAGAAAAAGAAGATGGGAGTGCTGCCCACGTCGCGCACTGGGGCTACGGCCGGCCCCACCCCTGGCGCTGCCGCGGCAGTCCCGCCCTTGGACTTGGGCGGCGCCTGGATAAACACCTGAACCTGACTGAGCTCCGAGCCAGGGACTCGGGTGCCTGGGGCAGACGAGGCCGGCTTCTCCGCGGACAGCTAGGGAGAGTGTCCTGGGTAAGTTGCCGAGGTCGTCGGTCCTGGGTGCTGGCTCCCGGAGGAGGTCGCGCTGGCGGGGGTCGGGCGAGGCCGCCCTTTGGGCTGGTTTCACGCTGGGTCGCTCGCAAGGGGGCGCGGGTCGCCGAGCCGCGGCAGGACCCACCCGCGAGCTGGTGAGAAAGCAGCTGCACCGGGTAGCGCACGGCTGAGCGTCCCAGAAGCCCGGGCTCCCGTGGCTACGGCTAACGCAGACCCCTCGCCCCCGGGGGTGAGCTGCCAGCCTCCCTCCCCACCCGGAGCAGAGGGCAGGATGCCTCCCCGGACCCTCTTCTTCGGTCCGTTCTGCCCAGGTTCCCTGCTCTCTGCTGCTCAGTGCATCCACCTTCCGGGTGGATATCAACCCCCATATCACCCCTTTCAACCCAAGCTGTGATTGTCAGTCTGTCTGCCCTCCCGTTTCGTCCGGGTGCCCTCACCAGAGCCGACTTGCTGCCGCGCACTGGTATGGGAAGCCGAGGGCGCCTGTTTGGATTGGGTAGGCCGCGAGATAGGGACACCTAGAAGACTTCTGCCAGATTAAATTGTATACGCTCCGTAACATTCTAGGAAAGTCTTTGCAGTAAAATGGAACCGTACATTCACTCTTGTTTGTAAGTATACTATAACCATATTTAATTGATATAGCCAGGGATTATTAATTCATATGCTTAACAGGACCAGTGGAAGTTCTAGCCATTAATTATTTTGCTGTCATTCTGTGCCTGGCACTGTTCTAGAAAGGCCTCCATGTTTTATGGCTGTGCCACATTATTATGGGGATTGAGGAGCAGAGGGGGAGACATGTAAGCTGGCAGGTGTTGAAATCCAAACAGCTCCTCTTGCACCCCCTCCCCAACCCCTTGCACCCCGCAGAGGACTTTGTGCAGGGCAATGCCTTTTTTTTTTTTTTTTTCTAATTTGTTCGAAGGTTTCACACAAGCTAGTAGTGACCACATAATGCTCCTTAAAACTTTACCTATATAAACTGGTTTAATTCTCACAGCTCCTCTGTGTGGTAAGTATTCCTATGCACTATTAGAAACTCCCTTTTTAGAGGAGGAAACTGAGGCACAAGAGATTAAATCATTTCTACCAAAGTTGCAGGGAAAATCAGTGATATATCTGGAATTCCAACCCAAACTTTAATCTCTAGACCTCATTGCCTGTGTGGGTACCCAGCAGGCACCCTAAACTTCAACTGGGGAAGGGAGGTAACTCAGGCTGACAAGCTCTTAGAAATCTAGTAAGCATCTGCCAAGACAGGGTTAAAAGATGGACATATTTTAGGTCTTGCATCAAGCCAACATTGAGACAGTGGAACACTGAAATCTAGAATGTCCTGACATTAAGAGCGTTCATGTCACCCAGGTCAATGTTGAGACTTCTGGCCACTGCTGAGGTGCTGGAGCCCTGTGATGGGAGAAGTAGACCTCTGTCCCTCTATGTGAATTCACATAGTGATATAAAAGGGAATGTGGTGGTCTGACCAACTACTCCTGGTGTGGATTTTCCAAAGTTGGCGACGCCCAGGCTGCTGTCTGAGAAGGGCGCCTAGGGTTTCCCATTACTGTGTGCACAGTCTGACCCTCATCCTTGCAGATCCACAGGTACAGGCTCCATGTATTTGATATGAGAGTCCTCTTTCAGGACACCTTTTCAAGTTCTGCAGTGCCTGAGAGGCCTGATCAATCATTCAAAAGTTACTCTGTGAATGTAAATCAGAGCAAAGATCACAGAGAGTTTGAGGTCTATTTCATCAAAGCATGGATGAAAACGTTCTTCATTTGACCAGAGCATCCATGTTCCTTAGAGCAAACATTCTTATTCTCTGGACAGCCCTGGACACACAGGTCAAACCTGCCTTAAAACAAACTATTTTGTCCCTCTGCCAGGAAAGCTACTGCTCAATATCCCTACCTCCCACCATCATCATTTGGATATCCACTCAAAGGGTCACTTTCCAGCAGACATCTGTTGCTTCCTCTCCCAAGCCCAATCTGAATCAGCTCTCCGATCATCCTCTCCATAGCACACTGCACTTTTCTTTATAACACTATGGCTTATAACGATCTGTTTATTTGTTGAATACGTCTCTTCAACTAGATTACTTGGCTCACCTGCACAGAGATTATGAGAGGCTGCCCATCCCCTCAGCCCCAGTGCCCAGATAGAACCAGCACAGGGTGGATACTCAATAAACATAACACATGAACCAATCTGGCCCTCACCAGCTAACCAGCACAGGGACCCTGAACAAGTCACATACATCTTCTCTTCGATCCTCAGTCTCATCTGTACAATAAGCCAGGAACAACAGCCTGGGTTGCATCGACTCTCGACATTTCCTAAGGGTGTGACCACATACCAAGTCCTCCTGTAGATGAATCTATCCACCCTTACTCATTAACCGCAACTAGGCTGACTTCAGCCAAACTGTGAAGACCTGCTCTTTTTTCATTACTCCCCTCCTGTCTCCTCACACCTGTGCCTTTGTCTGAGCCTCTCAATTAAACACCCCATTCAGAGAAGGCTCCCACCCCCAGCACAGTATGCTGTCTGCTAAATATGTCTTCTGTTCCCATCCTGAAGGAAATAAGACCTTCCCTTCTTTCTCAGCTAGTGGTTAGTAAAGCACACCTTATATATTCATTCACACTAAAGTGTGAGTAACTGGTAGCAGGATGTAAGCACTAAGCTCTGTATGAGTTTGTCAAGGGGAGGCCTTTTATTCATTCAGCAGACCTAGTGGATGCCTTCTTGGTGGGCAGCACTATGAATCTGAGAAATGTGATAACATCTGTAAAGCACTGACTATAAGCCAGGCATTGTGGTCATACGTGGAACATTCTCATTTCATCTGCAAAAACACCCTATGCCACGGGACCAATATAGATGAAGAGACCAAGGCCCAGTGTAAGGCCAAGAGAACCCCCGCCATGGGGTTCACAGGTAGGCAGAGGCAGTGCAGGGCAGGAGTCCAGGTCTGCCTCGCCTGTGACCTTTAATCACACAGAGTGGTAAGTGATATAGAGCTGTTGGTGCGGGGACCTCAGAGCCTAGGGAAGGGCTATCTGGTGCTGATTGCAAATCTGTCGGAAAAGGTCTAGAACATCTGGTTACTTCCTGTCAAATGCTTTCTACAAATAGGACTTTACATTTTCCTCTCAAATCTCAGATTTTAAATAGTAATGCAAAATTAACGAGAATGCAAATGAGAAAGCACAAACATCAAAGGAGAGAAACATAAAGCCAGAGAGGTAGTAATGATGTTATAAACATTGTGATGTGGTCAAGACTTTGAACATAAAATCAGCCAACAGGATTCATTATTATTATGAAGAAAGGCTAACTATGAGCAATAATGAACTTATTCTTTTGTGTTAAATTTGGGTGTGGTGGTTACAGTTCCTGGTTAACAAACATTTCTGTTGTGTACTGCACATAGCAGGCATGCAAATAACATGCTGAGCCTGGGGCCAAGTAAGAAAGCCGAATAAGTATAGTCCCTGTGGCTTCCTCCTCCCACTTTCTGAATACAGAGTCTGCTACCAGGAGAGCTGTTTAAATCACATATCTCAGTTACTTTCACTGTTTCAGAAAATAGGAGCTCCGTGGAGTAAACAACTCAGAGGAAATGGACAAATAAGTCTTCATGTGAATCTGTCTTTCTTCACAGGTGTCAGCCAGAACATGTCTTTCAACCTGCAATCATCAAAGAAACTGTTCATTTTCTTAGGAAAATCACTGTTTAGTCTTCTGGAGGCTATGATTTTTGCCTTACTCCCAAAGCCACGGAAGAACGTTGCTGGTGAAATAGTCCTCATCACAGGTGCTGGAAGTGGACTCGGAAGGCTCTTAGCCTTGCAGTTTGCCCGGCTGGGATCTGTTCTTGTTCTCTGGGATATCAATAAGGAGGGGAATGAGGAAACATGTAAGATGGCTCGGGAAGCTGGAGCCACAAGAGTGCACGCCTATACCTGCGATTGCAGCCAAAAGGAAGGAGTGTATAGAGTAGCCGACCAGGTAACTCTTGTGTGTTTACTATTATAATTTGATACACATCACACTCTTTTTCACTTGCCTTTCTCAGTGCCTATTAGCCTGTCTCCAGTGTCCCTTTAATGTAAACAAGATTATGGGAGAATGGGAATTGGGATTTTTGAATTCTTATTGTATGCAAAGACACTGTACTAACTACCATGTATGTATTATAACCTTATAAAGTAAAACCCATTATTATCCCTATTTCACAAGTAAGGAGACTAAGGCTTAGGGCAGGTATGTAGCTGCCCTAAGAAACACAGTTAGTAAACAGCAAGACTATAGCTGCCACTTGCATCTATTGACACCTGAGTACCTGCTTCTAACATTACACTGCACGGACCATACCGGCCCCTATTACAGTGTAAGTTAATGGAGGGATAGAGGCATCCTTCTTTAAGAATAAGGACTCGAGATACAGAGACATTAAATAACCTGTCCAGCGGTCACAGACCTGGTGTGTGATGGAAGCAGGATTTGAATCCATATTCTGTCTGATTTTAAATTTAGGCTGTGTCCACTCCACCACAGTACCCTACGTTCGAATGTGTATTGCTCTTAAGTAGTCATAAGACAATCAGAATCTTTTATTAATCCTAAAGACTCAGCTATATTTTCTTCTTTGGGGTTTATACAGATACACACATAAAGCTTTCAGGAAACCAAAGCTCTGACATGAAGATGGTAGGGATTTTCTTACCATCATAGAGGCACGTGCCCGTCCCTCACAAGGAATTTTTTTTTTTTTTTTGAGATGGAGTTTCACTCTTGTTGCCCAGACTGGAGTGCAATGGCACCATCTCGGCTCACCACAACCTCTGTCTCCTGGGTTCGAGCGATTCTCTTGCCTCAGCCCCCCGAGTAGCTGGGATTACAGGCCTGTGCCACCATGCCTGGCTAATTGTTTTGTATTTTTAGTAGAGACGGGGTTTCTCCATGTTGGTCAGGCTGGTCGAACTCCCGACCTCAGGTGATCCACCCACTTTGGCCTCCCAAAGTGCTGGGATTACAGGCATGAGCCACTGTGCCCGTCCTAAGGATTTTTGTGTCCTCATATTGGCTTGAGTACTTCACTCATCACTCTCCTGGGACACTTTGTGCCTCCCAGAATTGCCCAACTTATTGAGAAGGGAAGAACCAACCAAGCCTGCCGTGAGCAGCCTGACTACATTGTAAAGTTGCTCCTTAGCTTCTAGGCTCAATCAGGATTTCCTTGCTAAGGTTTGCAGGTCCCTGGCAGATAAGTTTATGACTTTCAAGTTTGTCTTTACATTTTACCTCTCTGCCACCACCATCTCCAAACACAGGCTGCCCAGTACAGGCTGGAGATCCACACCTGACAAATTTGCTCGGGCCTACGCTGGGCCCACTCTTCCAAGCACAGCTGATCTCACAAATTCAGCTACTTAGAAGTTAAGCACTGATCACCTGGCATGTTGACTTACACTGACTACAATTTATCTGGCCAGCCTTAAGCAATAACCGGTTGATGTTCAAACGATGAAGATTGTTAGCTATGGGATAAACTAGTATGAAGCACTCTATAAATAATTACTTCCCTTTTCCCTGTAACTGTGATTTAGTTCTGCCCCAGGTGCTTGACTTCAGAAACAGCCAAACATGTCATATTACTAGCTTATTATTCAGGTTTTATCACTGTGGGGTCTTGAGGGAATTACTTATGTGCTCCTCTGAATTCAGGGGAAGGAAATTACTCCCCATCCTTATAAACCCACCATTTCCACTTTTTATTCTGGATAGAAAGGAAAGTACCAGATAATTTTTTTTTTTGAGACAGAGTCTTGCTCTGTCGCCAGGCTGGAGTGCAGTGGCATGATCTTGGCTCACTGCAAACTCCACCTCCCGGGTTCAAGCGGTACTCCTGCCTCAGCCTCCCAAGTAGCTGGGACTACAGGTGCACGCTACCACGCCCAGCTAATTTTTGTATTTTTAGTAGAGACGGGGTTTCACCATGTTGGCCAGGATGGTCTCCATCTCTTGACATCATTATCCACCCGCCTCGGCCTCCCAAAGTGCTGGGATTACAGGTGTGAGCTACCGCGCCCGGCCAATACCAGAGAGTTTTTAAGAAGTAGCCCTTAGACGAGCAATCAAAGAGAAAGCTTTCAGAGTGATATGACAGCGTTTTGTCTCTGCTGAGTCTCCAATAACTTTGAAAGCTTGTATCCCTAGGCCATAGCTTAGCCTTGAGTTCAGGAAGTCCATCCTTGGAAAGAAGAAAACCAGCCAGTTGATGAAAACAGGACAGGCAGATTCTAATCTGTGCTGTGTGTTTAAAATATATACAGTCGTGCACCATATAATGACATTTTGGTCAGTGATGGACCATATACAAAATGGTGGTCCCACATTATGGGACAGATTATTACAGTATTTTTACTGTCCCAATGTTCTATGATTAGATACACAAATACTTAACCAATGTGTTAACAGTTGCCTACAGTGTTCAGTATAGTAACACACTGTACAGGTGGGTAGCCTAGGAGCAATAGGCTCTACCATATGGCCTAAGATGTGTAGTAGCCACACATCTAGGTTTATTAAGTACACTCTGTGATCTTCACATAGCAACCAAGTCACCTAACAATGCACTTCTCAGAATGTATCTCCATTGTTAAGTGATTTATGACTGTACTTTCTCTTTTCCTCTATTTATTCCCTAATCCAGCCCCTTCTCCGTGTGTGAGGTCTTGATCTATGTCACATTTGGCTATAATGAAGCTATTCTTATGTCCCATCATATTGATTAAAATGAAATGCCACATACAGAGCACAGAACAAAGTTACTAACCACTGAGTAGAAGAACAGCTCTAACTGTAAACAGAAAGTAGCATTTTGAACATGGACTCATTTTAAGAAGAGAAAAATGGGAAAAGCACATCAAAACTTGATCTCTGGAGGTCAGGCGCAGTGGCTCATGCCTGTAATCCCAACACTTTGGGAGGCCAAGACGGGTGGATCATGAGGTCAGGAGATCGAGACCATCCTGGCTAACACGGTGAAAACCTGTCTCTACTAAAAATACAAAAAATTAGCCGGGTGTGGTGGTGGGCACCTGTAGTCCTAGCTACTTGGGAGGCTGAGGCGGGAGAATGGTGGGAACCCAGGAGGCGGAGCTTGCAGTGAGCCAAGATCGTGCCACTGCACTCCAGCCTGGTCGACAGAGCAAGACTCCATCTCAAAAAAAAAAAAAAAAACTTGGTGTGTGGTGCATTGTAGACTCAGCAATGGAAATAAACCAACCTGTATTTATTTCTTTATTTATTTTTTTAGATGCAGTCTCACTCTGTCACCCAGGCTGGAGTGCAGTGGTGTGATCTTGGCTCACTACAACCTCCACCTCCCTGGTTTAAGCAATTCTCCTGCCTCAGCCTCCCGAGTAGCTGGGGCTAGAGGCACGCATCACCATGCCTGGCTAATTTTTGTAATTTTAATAGAGACAGGATTTTGCCATGTTGGCCAGGCTGGTCTCAAACTCCTGTCCTCAAGTCACCCCCCTGCCTCGGCCTGCCAGAGTGCTGGGATTACAGGTGTGAGCCACTGCGCCTGGCCCCAAGCTGTATTTTTAGAGTGCATAAACTCAGTATGAATTAACCAGGATAAAAAAAACATAAAACTCTGGGAAAATAAAACCTAGCCCATGTAAGGAATTACTACATTGGTGGTGTTGCTCTTATTCAATTCAGGTTAAAAAAGAAGTCGGCGATGTTTCCATCCTAATCAACAATGCCGGAATCGTAACAGGCAAAAAGTTCCTTGACTGTCCAGATGAGCTTATGGAAAAGTCATTTGATGTGAATTTCAAAGCACATTTATGGGTAATAATTGTTTCTTCTCATCATAAATGTAAAATTATTCTGGCATTTGGAAGTATTTTCCTCTTGCTCTTTTACAATATTATTAGCCTCTAAGTAAAGCAGAGACTTCTCAGTTTTGG
The DNA here is from genome assembly GCF_000001405.40 of Homo sapiens. Lineage (NCBI taxonomy): Eukaryota > Metazoa > Chordata > Mammalia > Primates > Hominidae > Homo > Homo sapiens. The sequence goes on along the minus strand of NC_000008.11, from coordinate 56,312,037 downwards.
ACTTGTCCTGTTCTACACAGTTGTCCTTTTCTGATGCCACTTAATCTACAGCCCCCAGGACCTCTGCTTAGGGAATTCTACAAGGACAGAACTGTCCTCATGGTCCTGCTACCATGTATTGATTAGCTGCAAATGTTAGGAAATACTCCAGGTGGCTCACATATTTTCCTTAAAACAGCTCGGTGAGATAAGGGATCATAGAACTTAAAAGATTTGCTCCAGGCTACATAGCGAGCAACTGCACTTAGACAGGACCAGGGTAGCTTTGTAATTTGCCTAAGCTGGGACACTTTTGGAAGTGAAATTCAGCATTATTAATGAGCAAGTGTTAATCAGGTCTGTTATGGGCAAACCAAAACCTATAGTCACCTTAGTTAGTACCCAACCAGAGAAATTAGAGGTTCCACTGGTAACCCAGGTTACCACCTGCTACCAGCGCTAAAAGCACAGTCCTGACTTCTAAAGCCACCCACTCAATTCCAGAAGTTGCATGTTTCTGGCCTTTGCTGAGACCAGCCATCTCAGGCCTCCCCACACTATGCATGCACCCTCTTGCTGCCTCTCCCAGCTTTTATTAAAAGTTGTATTTTTATTTTACTTTATCATTTTATTTTAATTTTTTGAGACAGAGTCTCATTCTGTCTCCCAGGCTGGAGTTCAGTGGTGTGATCTCAGCTCACTGCAACCTCCAACCTCCCGGATTCAAGCGATTCTCGTGCCTCAGCCACCTGAGTAGCTGGGATTACAGGTGCGCGCCACCACACCCAACTAATTTTTTGTGTTTTTAGTAGAGACAGGGTTTCACCACATTGGCCAAGCTGGTCTTGAACTCCTGGCCTCAAGTGTTCCGCCTGCCTTGGCCTCCCACAGTGCTGGGATCACAGGACTTTTGACCTGTTTGGTTCCAGCCCTGCTCGTAGCTCGTCATTCCTGGGCAAGGCTCTCTCTTGGGAGTCTTTGCTGGAGATTTCTGAGCTCCTCCTCCATTCTCCTCACACCTTTCCACCCAAGTCTTCTTTAGCAGCCTTCAAATGTAATTTGGAATTTGTAGATTTTCTGTCCCCTATTTCCACCAAAAATGTAATGGTGCTGGTGCTATTCTTGGTGTTTTGTAAAGTTTTCAGGAGAAAAATGGAAAGATTCAGAATTTAGTGGCTACCATGTTCCTACAAGAACTACTGCAAATGATTTATCTTGTCCCAAATGTCCCTCTCCTTGGTGCTTGCTTATACTCATATATAGTCAGAATGAAGATAAAGACCATGGTCCCTGGAAGTCTCCACTCCCATGGCTTTGTGTTCTTTTTCTTTTTTTTTTTTTTGAGATAGAGTATCACTTTGCCGCCAGGCTGGAGTGCAGTGGCGCGATCTCGGCTCACTGCAACCTCCACCTCCCGGGTTCAAGCAATTCTCCTACCTCAGCCTCCCAGGTATCTGGGACTATGGGCGCACGCCACCACACCCAGCTAATTTTTGTACTTTTAGTAGAGACAGGGTTTTGCCATGTTGGCCAGGCTGGTCTCCATCTCTTGACCTTGTGATCCGCCCGCCTCAGCCTCCCAAAGTGCTTGGATTACAGGTGTGAGCCACTGCGCTTGGCCTGGCTTTGTGTTCTTTTCCTACCTCTCTGTTTTTCCCCAGGTGCCTTCATGGTGTCTGTCTCTCTCTTTTCTTCTTTTCTTCTTCTTCCTCTTCCTCCTTCCTCCTCCTCCTCCTTCCTCCTCCTCCTTCCTCCTCCTCCTCCTTCCTCCTCCTCCTCCTTCCTCCTCCTCCTCCTTCCTCCTCCTCCTCCTTCCTCCTCCTCCTCCTTCCTCCTCCTCCTCCTTCCTCCTCCTCCTCCTTCCTCCTCCTCCTTCCTCCTCCTCCTCCTCCCTCCTCCTCCTCCTTCCTCCTCCTCCTCCTCCCTCCTCCTCCTCCTTCCTTCTCCTCCTCCTTCCTCCTCTTCCTCCTTCTTCTTCTTCCTCCAACTCCAACTCCTCCTCTACCTCCTCTTCCTCTTCCTCCTCTTCCTTCAGTGCTGGTGTTTCCCTGGCTCCTACCACTCCTCATGTCATCTCACTCCCTTTACTTCTTCTGGGCAAGTTCATGTACATTCTTTGAGCATCTGCACATTGCCAGGCACAAAGACAGTGACTTAACTGCTAGAGCGTCCAAGAGCTACCTGAAGGCTGGGCTCTCAAAGGCAGTGTCCCTACTGAGAAGTGTCCCAACTCATGGCAGACCCCAGAGTGTTTGCTGCACTGCTTCCTTTTGCTTTGTTTTGATTTCCCACCTCTCTCTACCTGTTAGTTTCTCTCTGAGACTTATTGCAATGCAGGCAAACAAGTGAGGTTTGGCCTTTGTAAGAGATCCCTTTTCTCACCTCCTTGTCTTTGGTGTGATTAGTTACTCCTTTGATGCAGAAGATGTCTTCCTTAAAAGCTCATTTCTGTCTCTTTTACCTTCTTTCTCCAGGCCCCCAATCAAGGGTGAAGGTGTTGGACAGAATACAGATGTGTCCTCTTTCTAATAGATATTCTGTTTTACGAAATGGAACAAAAATAAGAGATGAGTTTAAAACAAAGTGCTCTTTTAAAATTGAAGTCAACAGCCAGATGTCCTGTGAACAATGTTCAGGGAAAATTTGAAACTCAAAATCAAGCTAAGCAGAGAGAAGGCAATCTAAATCTAAAGCATCATGTTTGTGAGGTTTGGGGTTGTGGCTGCCACAACAAAGATTTACTCCTTCAATTCTTGTTTTAATATTGTGTCGTTAAAAGTCAAATATGAGCAAAAACATAAGTCTGAATAAATTATTTTAATAATACTGGAATTGCCATAAAAAACTGATTTAACAGGTTAAATAAGTTAAAATGATTACTTTCCAGATGTTTAAGTTTTTATATCCCCATACCTTCAGATATTTTACAGGCTGAAAAAAAAAGATTTTTTAATCACAATGAGTATATAAATATCTGAGAAAATTATACAATGTGGCATTAAACATTAAAAGTTTTCCTTTGTATTCTTAGACTTATAAAGCCTTTCTACCTGCTATGATTGCTAATGACCATGGACATTTGGTTTGCATTTCAAGTTCAGCTGGATTAAGTGGAGTAAATGGGCTGGCAGGTAAGAAAAACATAGCAATTTACAATTGCAAAATTCCCTATAACTTTAACTTACACAATAGCTCTGAATAATTAGCACTGACTTGATGCCCTAAGATAAAGGATAATAAACTAAAAAGTATAGTCAATAAGTGGTTGATAACTTCATCGTGTAGCAAAACTGCCCATCAGATAGACTTACATGAAATTGGACTATGCCCTTTGGAATCATTAGGTCTTATGCAGTACCCTGTGTTTAAAAGAGAGAGAGGCCTCACTGATAAATTTTTTGCACAAGTGATCAACAAAACAACTGTCCACCAAAGTTCACACTGACACTGTCACAGATGGTAAGGAGGATGACCCTGTCTTCTCCTGAAGTTTCCTTTAAGTGGTCTCCCCACTGCTGTGAGTTTGGATAAAGTTTCTACACCTCAAGATACCTAAAGTTAACTGCTTTGTTTTTCCACTGGTTGAAGACCTGCAGGAAGTGGTGGGCATTTTCATCTCCCTTGCAACAACCAACTGACTTGACAGTAGCAGTGGGGAGAGGGCAAAGAGATCCTTCAAGACCCTCAACCAAGGAGGCCCAACTTGGGAGCTGGCTCTAGAAGGAATAGAAATCTTGACCTAACCTACCACAGCATCCCCTAGAGGAAATGTCCCAAGTCCTGGCTTACAAACATTGCTAAAACTCATCCAACAGAACTGTAGCAGCAACATTCGGATAACAGATAAGCCAGTTTGCCAGTTGGGTGGTTCCTAATGCTTTTGAAGCAAAGTGGCGTAGTTCAAGATTCACAAAACCAGTCTTAGCTCAGTATATCTATTACATGAATAGGTTTTTCAGGACCACCAGTCACCCCAAATATCACCAGTCTATCCTCCTTATGACCCAGGACTTCCCTTCCTCTCTCCTTCTTAGAACTTATCAGGTATTATTCTTACCTCCCTCTTATATATCTGTTGTCACGGGCCTTTGAAATCATTCAGGTATATTTACAGCTCCTTATCAATCCTTTTCAGACAGAACATTCCTGTCTTGAGATACAGGACTCTCGCACCTGCAGCTCATCTTAGAAACAAGTATAAGCCTTTTGTATTTCCCACCGTGTGAGTCTTTACTCCCCTGCATCAGAACCACCGGGGTGCCAGTTTAGCATGCAGATTCCTTGGGTCATGGGCCATATCTGCTCATCAGAATCTCAGGGGTCAAGGGACTCAGCTGCATTTATACCTGATGACTCCAATGACCCTAGAAGCTGCTCTGGACTCCTCGTCCCCCTTCCCAGTCTCTAGCCTCTGACCCACTGTCTGGACAGCACTAGGGCTGGACAACCCCACGCCTGGCGCTTATAAACTGGCTCTTGCCAGTTGCAGTAGCTGCACCGTAACATAGCAAGTTTAAATATGCCTCCTCTGAATGTGTGGAGCAAAGGAAAGTGTTAATGTACCTCAATGCCATTTCTTCTCCAAACTTCTTCACTTAGTCAACTGAATAGTCAGATGTTTTGTTAAAACAGGTATGATTAAAGACAAAAAGCTGAAAATGGACACAAATGCCACTTTCCACTCCTTCCTCTGCCCCCACCCTACATTTTCAAGGTATTTAAGAGGTGGAGGTTGAAGCTACCAAGCCCTTTTTTTTTTTCTGGAAGTGAAGGAAAGAGTTATAGTTGGAAGAAAACTTCATCTGAGAATCACAACCCATGCTGGCCTCTCTTGCCTAGATTCCTATATCACTTAGTGTTTTATTTCTTCTTTTGAATGTCTTCATGCCCCAATGGGATTGCAATTTTTTGAGACAAGGCACCATGTAAGAACTAGCACAGGGGCTCACAATGCATTTACTTGTAAGTAAAGTCCAGCAGTGTGACCTGAGACAGGATCTCTGCAGCCCTTCTTGTGCTGGGCTCTACTTGGTCATTGTCAACTGACCCTGATCTTCAGTTAACCATGTCCCTTCCCACTCCCTGCTCACTTCTTCCAGTGGGAGTAGACCAAGATTACACAAAAGGAGAACTCTGAAATTGTCTTATTTTCTGTCGCTGTTAGCGTTATGGGTAAACCTTAATGTAATGCCATTTTAAAACTTTGGAATATACGTTATCATGCTTTGTCTTTTTCAGATTACTGTGCAAGTAAATTTGCAGCCTTTGGGTTTGCTGAATCTGTATTTGTAGAAACATTTGTCCAAAAACAAAAGGGGATCAAAACCACGATTGTGTGCCCCTTTTTTATAAAAACTGGAATGTTTGAAGGTTGTACTACAGGGTAAGTATGTCCTTTAATTTCAAAGAATCTACACTCTTAAAAATGTTTTGCTATTTTATTTTGTTCTTTTTTTTAAGTTGTTTAAAATATATTGTTCTGGGATTCAGTATGATTTATAAATGGTTTTAGAATTCTGTCTTTCTTAGTATGTGTTTGTGTGAAGGATACCAAGTTGAATGGGAATGGTTTATCAAGGCAGTGTCTCTCAGCTCCCCCAGGCCCTGGATCTGCTCCTCCATTTCCCAGACTCTCAGGGCCACATCCCCTTCCTGCCATCCAATCCCATTCTGCTCCCTCTCTGATTCCAGGAGGACTAGAAATAACTGGAGAGACATTGTCTTGGTCATATAGAAGGAGCTGCTATAATGAAGTATCATACACTAGGTGGCTTAAACAAGAAAAATGCCTTTCTCACAGTTCTGGAGGCTAGAAGTCCAAGATCAAAGTGCTGATAGGCTCTTCTCAGACAGGCACTAATCCCATTCATGAGGGCTCCACACTGGTGACCTAGCTACACCTCAAAAGCCCCACCTCCAAATGCCGTCACATTGGGAGTTTAGGCTTCAACATGTGAATTTTTGGGGGGACACAAATACCCAGTCCGTAGCAGTCACAGATGCCCAATTCTGTATCTCATGGAGACTACAGGCAATGTGTTTTCAACAACTTGCCTTACAAATATTTGGAATATTTGTTTAATATGGTTTCACGTATATGTATATTGTAATATCAGTGTATTAATAATCATTTTTCATTTCATATTTTAGTTATGTTACTACTTACTGCATTGACACATTGATAATAAAGGAGTAAATATAAAAATAAATGAAATTGAAAAGCAAAGAAATAAGTGATAACGTCTTAAAACCTTTTATCCCTAATTTGAAAAATTATCTTTATTTATGAATTTGGCCTTCAGGGTTTTTTTTAATTGTTGTCATTTTATATCCTAGCTGTCCTTCTCTGTTGCCAATTCTGGAACCAAAATATGCAGTTGAAAAAATAGTAGAAGCTATTCTACAAGAAAAAATGTACTTGTATATGCCAAAGTTGTTATACTTCATGATGTTTCTTAAAAGGTAATTACATCAGCTTCTATTACTTCCCTAACATGCCAGTCTACAGTTTACTCCAAATCCCACCAGGAGAAGCCACTTTAAAAATACCTGATAAATTAAAATTCATTAATTTAATTCTATTAAGTCCTGTTAGTCCTATCATTGTGCCCATTGCTGACACAATACCAAATTTACACAGTTGCAGTGCCCGCCATGAGTCAAGAAAATGGGGTCTAATCCTTCCTGCCACCTTAGTATCGAATTATTCTGAAAAAGAAGTGGATGTACTGATAGATGGAAAGATCGAAATGATTTTTTTAGGAGAGATTTTCTTGCGCTCATGATAAAATAATCCTGTTGGAATAGATATTGTATCCATGCCTCCTCAAGTACAGGGTCCCAAAGTCAAGGCCAGACAGTAAGCCAAGTGCTATAGAAATTTGTGGTATGGGTACAATTAGCAATACATAATAAATTTGAGCTCTTAGGATGGTTAAAGAATTTGAGGGAAAAAACTTAAAACCACCTCTTAAAAGCAAAAGAACAGGCTGGGAGCAGCAGCTCACGTTTGTAATCCCAGCACTTTGGGAGTCCAAGGTGAGAGGATTGCTTGAGGCCAGGAGTTCAAGACTAGCTTGGGAAACAAAGGAAGACCCCATCTCTCCAAAAATAATGAATAAATAAGCCAGGCATGGTGGTGCACCCCTGTAGTCCCAGCTACTTAGGAGTCTGAGGCAGGAGGATTGGTTGAGCCCAGGAGTTTGAGGCTGGTATACACCTATAGTCCCAGCTAGTCAGGAGGCTGAGGCAGGAGGATTGCTTGAACCCAGGGGTTTGAGGCTGCAGTGAGCCATGATCAGACCACTGCACTCCATCTTGGCAACAGAGTGAGACCCTGTCTCTTAAAAAATAAAAAACGTACATGGTGGTGCACACCTGTAATCCCAGCTACCCAGGAGGCTGAGGCAGGAGAATCGCTTGAAACAGGGAGGCAGAGTTTGCAGTGAGCTGAGATCGCGCGATTGCCCTCCAACTTGGGCAATAAGAGCAAAAACTCCGTCTCAAAAAAAAAAAAAGTGCAAAAAACATTCTTGTGCACCCTTCCCTGCTCTCCATGGAGTTTCAGTGCTGAAATTCATAGGCACTGAATGAACATTTGACCCACTTACAAGGATAGTGGTGAGCTGCTGATTCCTGTTATCTCAATTCATTTTCTAGACTGTAACAGGTCATCTAATTAAATCTTTCCTCACTGGGCTTTCTGCTGTGTGAGGAAGCACCTTGAGTTGAAATCTGCCTCATTTGAACTTCCCCTCATTGGTTTGTGCTTCTCCCCCAGCTCCATGTGCAATTCCATCAGTCTTGCCAATGACAATTCCTAGTTATTTGAAGATAGATATTATACCTCACTTCCACTACATGGCCAGCAGCCATTGTCCATCCTGTGTACAGAAATTTCTTTTCTCATTAGCTAATTATATCTACTTTGTGCAATGAACCAAATGTCATTCTTGCATACTATCATTTTTCCAGGCTTCATCTGGCACAGGATGGGTCAGAATGCCTGACTGAGGCTATGTGGGACAGAGCAAAGGATCCTGGACAAGCAATTCGAAATTCAGGCTTACGATCCCACTATTCACTAAGTCTGTGACTCTGAGCGTGCCCTTTATTCTCCAGGTCTTGGCTTCTTCATTTACATTGTAGAGACAATGTTTGTCGTAGCTTGTAGATTCGTGTAATGCACTGTTTATTGGGCAGGGTGTGCATTCACAACACACTAAGTTCTTTTTGCTTAATAGATGGCAGATTATAGTATAGTAATGCCAATGGTAAGAACACGGAACTTAATTTTTCTACTTTGAATAACTGTGGAGATTATGTTTAGTTTTATGCAATACTAGTTATGGGACATGTTTTGAGAGAGGGCTAGATAGCTGCTGAGTAAGCTAAAGGCAAGGTGAAGAAGATCAGTAAAGGCAATCACATCAAACACTCCACCAAACATTCATTCAGCAAATATTCAGAGAGTGCTTTGTGTGTCATGAATCACCCACCATCCAAGGATCTGCGCTTAGGGTTACAACAAAGAACAAGACAAACAGTGGTCCCTGCCCATGTGGAAATCACTTCCTGTGGGGTGAGGGGGCAGAAAAGAAACAAACAAAAAAGTAAGGTAAAAGAAAAGACCATAAGTGCTCTGAAGAAATATAAAGCAGGAAAGGGAAAAAAGGAAACCCCACAGTGGGAGGTAGATGGGTGCAAGTTGAGTTTTACTTTTTTTTTTCTTTTTTTTTTTTTTTAAAGATGGAGTTTCGCTCATCACCCGGGCTGGAGTGCAATGGCGCAATCTTGGCTCACTGCAACCCCCGCCTTCCCTGGTTCAAGTGATTCTCCTGTCTCAGCCTCTCGAGTAGCTGGGATTACAGGTGCCCATCACCATGCCTGGCTAATTTTTGTATTTTTAGTAGAGATGGGGTTTCACCACATTGGCCAGGCTGGTCTTGAACTCTCGACCTCAGGTCATCCACCCACCTCAGCCTCCCAAAGTGCTGGGATTACAAGCATGGGCCACTGCACCCGGCCAAGATTTACGTTGTTGTTTTTTTTTTAATTTTACTCTTTAATTTTTTTTGGAGACAAGGTCTTGTTCTGTCACCCAGGCTAGAGTGCAGTGGCTTGATCATAGCCCACAGCAGCCTCAAACTCCCAGGCTCAAGCCATCCTCCCACCTCAGCCTCCCAAATAGCTGGGACTATAGTTGTGCACCATTATGCACAGCTAATTTATTTTTATTTTTTTAGAGATGGGGTCTTGCTATGTTGCCCAGGCTGGTCTCAAATTCCTGGCTTCAAGCAATCCTCCCACCTCAGCCTCCCAAAGCACTGGGATTACAAGCATGAGCCACCACATCTAAGTGAGATTTAATTTTTTTTTTTTTTTTTGAGATGGACTCTTGCTCTGTTGCCTAGGCTGGAGTGCAGTGGTGCAATCATGCCTCACTGCAACCCCCACCTCCCGGGTTCAAGTGATTCTCCTGCCTCAGCCTCCTGAGTAGCTAGGATTACAGGCGTGCACCACCACACCTGGCTAATTTTTGTATTTTTAGTAGAGATGGGGTTTCACCATGTTGGCCAGGCTGGTCTCAAACTCCTGACCTTGTGATCTGCCCACCTCAGCCTCCTAAAGTGCTGGGATTACAGGCGTGAGCCACTGCGCCCGGCCGGTGAGAATTAATTTTAAGAATGGTGTTTGGTGGGTGGAGGGAGTCTCATAAAGAAGGTAGTACTTGACCAGAGACTTGAAGCTGTGGGAGGGATGAACCACCTGGAGATCTTGGGGTGCCCAAACAGGGGAACAAGGAGCATGGGGTCCTTTCCTTTACCCCCACCTTAGGATGAGTCTCAGGTTTCCCGTGCCTGCTTTGTTTCCTTGCTCTGCAGTATTGAATGCAAAGGCCAGTGGAGCAGAGTGCTCTGTTGGGATGATGATCATGCATGTATATGGCTTTGCAGAGGGGCAGGTGTGGATGGAGAAGATGGACAGTGTTAGTTGGGTCTTGCCCAAGGTTTGAGGAGCTATTGCATCTCATCCTCACAGTAGCGCCAGAAAGGCAGACTGATGACCTCATTTTACAGTTGAGGAAACTGAGGTCTATGAGCTGAGTCGATTGCCTAAGGCGGCACTGCAAATGACAGAGCTAGGATTCCAGCCAGGCTCATCTGCCCCCAAAGCGCATGCCTACAGGACAAGACTTCACTGCTTCCTCTGTGTCATTGTACAGTGGAGTGATGCTTTGGAAACCGAAATGAGAAGTGAATTGAATAACTTAAGCCAGAAGACCTGTCAAGGCCCTGGGCGAGTGTCCCCGGATATAGTGAACAAGGCCCAGTGACCCTGAGGCGGGTAGCACTCAGGCTGCATAGTGTGTGCATGAGTGAGTGACTTCATCTGCCACAAGAGGTGACACTGCTTTTCAGTAGAGGTGGTAAAGAGGCTTTCATGAATGATAATAAAGAAAGTTTATTCTTGTGTTCTCTTTAGCTTTTTGCCCCTCAAGACAGGACTGCTTATAGCTGACTATTTGGGCATCCTTCATGCAATGGATGGCTTTGTTGACCAAAAGAAGAAGCTCTAAAGACCAACTCTATGGCTAAGGTCATCTGATACACAGTGTTACATAATGCGTACTTCAATGAAGAAAAGTATTTTTGTCTGACAGTGGAATATATCTGGAGACCACAAGTACCACTCCTATTCTGTTATCTGGACTAGAATTTTCAATCAATGTGTTTGAAAATAATGTTGCTATCACCTATTTGGTTGAGTTTTGGTTTTTTCTTTTTCTTTTTTTTTCCAAAAATAAAGACAGCCCATTTTTGTCATTTCCATTACCACAGATGTAAGAAAGTGATAAGCCATGGCCATGAGCTGCCCTGAGCTTTGGTCGTTGGGGAGGTGGCTCAAATGGAGCCAGCGGCTGTGGTTGACCTGCCTTGGGGAGCAGGGCTGAGGGGCGAAGAGGACATGTGGATATCCAGCCAGAATGCCCTCTCTCCAGAGGACACACAGCTCTGGATTTCTACCCCCTTGCTATCCTCTCTGGCCATTTTGAACCTGTACCACCTAATGTAGAAAAGGCCCGCCTCCAGTGCCCTTCTTTCCAAAACAGCTACACAAATGCTTCTGAATGCCCTGGATACGCAGACCGAGTGGCAGTCTGGCTAAAGGCCCATCCAGCACTATTGTGCCCAAGAGCCTTACCGGGCATTCCCTGAAGCCCCCTCATAGGCAGTGATCCTAGACCAAACTCTTAAATAGAATCACTTTTGTTTCCTAGAAGAGATCAAAGAGTGGTTGCTTCTTACTTTGAAGATGAAATTATACCAAGTTAGGTTTTTTGCTATCTATTGATCCAAAAAATATATTCGTGCAATTAAAGTTAAGTGTTCAACTTAGTATTTCAAGTTGGGATTCAGGTTGAGGCATTTTCCTGCAGAATGGGCAATTTTATGCATTTATATTCATCAGTGCTGCCCTCACTTTGGATCTATTGTATTCTTACAGTTTAATCAACTGGCAAAGTGCTTTCATGCTTTGGAGATTAACTATAAAAGCAAGATTAAGAAAAATATGTTAATTACCATATCCCTGGAACTCCTTCTCAGGCTGGTGGGGGCAGCCTTGCAAGAGAAACAGCAGCCTTTGTCTCTTCCCTCTTGTGGGGAGCAAGGAGGGGATGAGCGGTACCTTGGGAGACCCGGTAAAAGTCTAAAGAATTGAGAATTTGACTATCTTGGGGGTAAAATGCTGTCATAGGGGCAGCAGTCTCAGGGGGTGTAAACTCTGGAATCCACTATGGTTTACCTTGAGTGGCCTGCACGAACATGACAGCCCTGATCTGTATTTCCTTTCCATTCAGAAAACCTTAAAAAAAAAAAACTTGTTTTATGATAATATTATAACAATCATAACTAACATTTACTGTGCCCGGCAGCAAATTAAGTATTTGACAAACATTATTTCATTAAACGAGACTGTCAATCATTACTCAAAGAATGATGAAGGTATTTGGTGTATGCCAAAGAATAAAGGCGTTTTATTTCACAGTGACATCTTATTCCACTGTAGATGTATACTGAGAGGATCAAAGGCCCTCTCAGAGTCACCCACTGATGTTCCAAATCCTTGGTTAACAAGGTTAATTAAGAGAGAAGCACAATATTGCTGTAATATTACAATTCCAGAAGCGTATCTTCTAGGGTCCTGTCTATTTAGTTAAAGAATAAAGCTCAGACTCTTCGGGGATTCAGTACAACAAAGGTCCAGGAGCACTGCAGGCATCCTCCACATCATAACAGCATTAATAGCAATTATTTCTAATTGGAGTGCATCTTGGCTGGACTGCGACAAAGGCCTGAAATTCAATTGTGGTTTTAAAATACCCATAAAATTGTCTAAACAAATTCAGATTTACTTGAGATGCTTCTATGAGAAGAGACCACATGTAAATTAGTGGATTCTAGAGGGCACTAAATAACAAGGTGATTTAATGCCCTGGGGAGCAAGGAGTGCTCTTGGCATGTGTGTCATGCCCGTTTCCATCAAAATTTAGTCCTAATGAAGCCATGACCAAGAGCCCAACACCTAAGCCAGGCTGAGGAAACAGAAGGACACAGGGCCAGGGCTGTGCCCCATGCCTGGGCATTCTGCCCTGCAGGGCGCATCTTCCAGCATCTTGTACTCACTGAGCTGCTCCAAAGCAGAGAAGAATTCTTGGTGTAAGATGGAGTTTTGCTGGGTAAAAATGTGTGTCATGCCGTGTGTGTGTGTGTGTGTGTGTGTGTGTGTGTGTGTGGTTTTACATTGTGATGCTGTCTTAGTCCATTAGGGCCACCATAACAAAATGCCACAAATTGAGTACTTTAAACAACAGAAATTTAATTCTCAGAATTCTGGAAGCTAGGAGTTCAAGATCAAGGTGCCAGCTGGTTCATTTTCTGGTGAGGGCTCTCTTGCTGGCTTGTGGAGAACTTCTTGCTGTGTCTTCACAGAGTCTTTCCTTGGTGTGTGTGTGTGGAGAGAGAGAGAGAAAGACATATTTCTTCTTCTAAGGACACCAGTTCCATCATAAGGGCTCTACTTTCTTGACCTCATCTAACCCTAATTACCTCCCAAAGTCCCACATCATCCCATATGAATTTTGGGGTAACACAGACATGCAGTCCATAACAGATGCCAAGATAGAAAAAAACCAGACCACAAATGACATTTACACTCCTTAGAGTCCTCATGCTGAGATGGTCACAGTTCATCAGATGAAATAATTCTGAATCTTGGAGGCAGAGTGAATTGAGAATGCCTGAAAGAAATTAATTCCAACCTGCCAGAGTCAGCACTTGAGAAAAATATGACTGAAAATCTGGGCCACCAGACAAAAACTGTTGTGAAGCCAGACGTCCCATGCAGAGCAGCTCTGGGACGAACATGTCTGGTGCTAGGCACCCTCAACATTCCAGGCTCATGAACCATGTTGGACCGGGAGCAGGGCTCACATATGTAATTCCAGCTCTTTGGGAGGCCAAGGCAGGAGGATAGCTTGAGGCCAGGAATTCAAGACCAGCCTGGGCAACACAGCAAGACCCTGTTTCTACAAAAAATTTAAATATTAGCCCGATGTGGTGGTGCACACTTGTAGTCCCAGCTACTCAGGAGGCTAAGGTAGGAGGATTGCTGGAGCCCAGGAGTTCAAGGCAGCAGTGAGCTATGATCACACCACTGTACCCCAACCTGGGTGACAGAGTGAGACTTTGTCTCTAAAATATTAAATAAAAAATAAGTAAAATGCAGCCTCAGGTAATTTGTCCATCTCTTTGATTCACATTGGCTTCTAAGCCCCCCAGCTTTCATGTCTACCATGTCATGGTGATTTTTATGGAAAGATCCCCAGGGATTTCATTCCTCATGAGATTTTATTTCTCATGACTGACATTATTAATCTCTCAAGCAGGTGGTCCTGGTGACACTTCTACCTACTGGTCTCTTCTGCTGTTCACTCCTTAAATTGTTTGTGTTCTTCAAGTTTCTATCTTTGGATTTCTTTGACTTTGTAGATTCCTTCTGAGGACTCTTAACCATGCCCATTGCTCCTCCACACCATCCAAGCTAGAAACCCAGGTATAATGCTCTACTTTTACTTTATCTGTCATCTCCTTGTCCAATCAGTAATTAAATCCAGTCTGTGCTACCTCTCGACCTCATTAGCATGTTGTCCTCACCATCCCAACTGCTATTGCCTTAGTTCAGACTCTCATTGTCAGTTCCCTGCCGGGGCAATAGTTTCCTGGCCACTCTTTCTGCATCAAGGCTTGCTTGCTCTGTCAGCGAGGATTTCATTCAGCTGGGGTAACTGAAAACTCCAGTGTAATAAGGGCTTGAAGAAAGTAGAAGTGTGTTTCTCCGTTATGTTTAAAAGCCTTGGGGTAGCCATTAAGGGTTGGTAGGGTGCTCCACAGAGTCAGGGACCCAAGCTCCTTCTGTGCATTTGCTCGGCTATGCAGGCTCACGTCCTGAACATCAGTGATAAGTGTGATCTACAGTGACCACTGAAACCTCAGCCATTATGCTCACATTCCAGGCCGCAAGACCCCAGAGGGCATAAGGCACCCCTGCACTCTTTCAGTACAATCTGTGGGCATTGCACACCCCAAAACACCACATCCTATTGGTCAGATTTCATCACATGACTAAAGCAGCCCTCAAATGATGCTGAGAAATATGGTCTTTATTTTGCACCACCCTGAGCCACCTAAACACCAGGGATCCTATTACTGTGGGAAAAGATAAGATCCAGATGTTGGATGTTAACTTAAAAGTTTCTGCCACAGTCTTCCCCATACATTTATGTATTCTCTTCTAATCAGACAGAACGCACAGACCCTCTCCACTGTAAAGATCTGCCCAGTCACTGCAGGTCACTAGAAGTCCAGAACCTATGGCGCTAGGCAGCACCCTCCATCAGATCCTAATATGACTCTTCATGGCCGAATGACCAAGAAGAGACAAGGTGAGTGATTCACCCCCATCTCACTCTACATACAGTGGTGCAGAGAAGCAGAATAGCCATGATTAGAGTCAGAAATGAGAAGGAAAGGAGACAGGAGGAGAAAGAAAGGGAGGGGAAGGAAGGGGAGGAGAGGGGTAAAAAAAAGAAAAGAGAAGGGGAGGGGAAGGAAAAGACGAGAAGAGAGGAGGGGATTCGAGGGAAGGGGAGAAGAGAAGGGGAAGAGGGAGGGGAGCAGAATGAGGGGAGGCCAGGAGACTTTCCATTCAAAACCAGGAAGGGGACAGAAGAAACACAGTGATGGTCCACAGTGATGGGATTTTGCTGGGCAGGAATCACAAGTGCTTCCTTTCTCAGGCAGCCCTGCTTGCTTCTACTCTGTGATATGCCATCTTGTCCATTGTCCTCCATGAACCTAGAGGGTTCTTTGTTGTTTAACATTTTCCCCGCAGCTGAGGTGAGCTTTGCAGACTATATTCTCTCTCAAGGCTACACAGATTGTATAGTCTCAAACTAGAGGGAAGAAGAATTATAGCCTGTGTCAAGGCTGTCTTCACTTTTGCAATACAATTGGCTCCAATAACTCAATTGGCTTCTTGTGTATTTATTTCATCCTCCTCATTGGCCGTTTAAACCACTGCCACAGATCTTGCTTGGACGAAGCTTTAAGACTGAAAGCTGCTCTGTAACTGGCACCTGTGCTCTGCCCATGCCTGCCTCTGTCTCTGGTAGATGTGGTGGGAAAGGTTTAGGGGAAAGGCCATACCCATGGTGTGATGTTTATTGCTGACTGGATCCCAGGTCTGGCAGTCAACCCTTAACGGAAGGTGCTGGGGAAAAACTTAGGACCACAATGTTTCTTCCCCTAAGGCCATTGTCTGGGATCTACACTTCTGAGGGCCTCCCATCAGGCACAGAGGGTGTTGGCTGTTTCAACCCTCCAAGGCTCCAAATTGCCATGCTCTCAGTCAACTTGGCTTGCAGGTAGAGAGGGCTGGGTTCCCTCCCTCCTCTGCTTGCATGCTATGCTTTCCAGACTGAGCTCCCTTCTGTGAGTTTCTGCTCAAAGCTGCAGAGCACCCAAGCCACAGAAAAATTCTGAATTTGTCTTACCTTTTCCCTTCATGCTACAGTCATACTCAGCAGGTAATACATTTTCCAAGGTAGAGTAGGATCCATTTGAACCAAATGTTTCCACTGCCAAACAAGTATGCCCAGATTTCTGCAGAATCTGGAAGATTCTGAACACTTACCACCTCTCACCTACGACACGACCTTCATTATACCACATATTTCCATTTCCGTTATGGGCAGCACTTCCTGTATGGTACTAAGTTCTATATTCACTATAACTGTGGCCCCAAGTAAACAGCCATGTAAGAGCTATGAAAGTCTGCTCTTGTCAGGTGAAAGTCCAGAGGAAGACAAACCATGTCTTCTATGTTGGTTCTGCTATAACAAGAAGGAACCCAGGCTACTGACAGCTCCTCGCTCTGCCATCCCAAGAATGTGACCATCATCATTAGGGTCAAGAGAGCAGCAGACCTAGGAAGGGATAAAGACGAAAGCAATCAAGGCACCGATTTGCCTTTTAAGAATATTTCTATTCCCTAGAAAGCAGACCCACATTAAAAAAACATAATAAAAAGACTATTTCTAGAAGCTCACACAACACTCCCCTCAAATACTATTAGTTGAGATGCAAGGATGCAAGGGAGACAGGTGATTGTAGTTTCTAGGACAGTAGCCATGATTCTGTCGAATGACTGTGAAGATTTCTAAGAGTAGGAAAGCAGGCATCAGTAATCTTGGCCATGGGCTCTCTCAAGTCACAGATGTGGATTCAAATCAATCAGTTTAGCTATGCAACTAAACTGATTGAAATCAAGTGATTTGAACTTTCTGAGACCCTTTTCCCATATCTGTAAATGGCTGCAGTTCTTCATATGACTGTCCCAAGGATTAAATGAGTTGACAGTTGTAAAATGCCAAATGCAGGGTTTGACACATGCTAATGCTCAACAGACATCAGTATCTACTGTGTCCCCTATCTAAACTCTGACCTTGAACTTCTGGTATCATTTGAAATCTCTTTATATTAACATTTATATATCTACTCACTTTTTCCCTCTATATGTTAAGAATATTTTGATATTTCACTGTGGGAAGTAGAATTGCTTAAAGCTATGGATTTTAATTCTTTTTAATAGAAAATTGTTTGCCTCACTCTTTTTTTAGTATGTTTATTTAAAAAAGAGAAAATATAATGCCTCACTTTGAACTTCTGCTTATGCTGCTATTCAACATACTCTATGTATGCCATTTACGTTGATATAATTTTTGATAAATTTTGAATCTTGGCCCTCTTTGCCCTTATGCTTCCTATTTTATCTCCATTTCTTCCTTACCTGCTCCCTTCTCACTGCCCTGTCTCTTTTCCTCTCCTTATTTTTCCATTCAAAAATATGTAGTGAGTGCCTGTTATGTTTCAGTCCCTTTACCACGTGTTACATAATAGGTATATAAATATAGGTTACAGGATGTCAAATGGAACTTTTTTGATGTCTTGAAATTTTGGCTGAAGCCACAAAGCTGAGAAAGAATATGGGTGGTAAGTACTTTATGTTCTTAAAAAAAGGTCCTGGCCGGGCACGATGGCTCATGCCTGTAATCCCAGCACTTTGGGAGGCCGAGGCAGATGGATCATGAGGTCAGGAGTTCGAGACCAGCCTGATCAACGTGGTGAAACCCCGTCTCTACTAAAAATACAAAAATTAGCCGGGCGTGGTGGCACGTACCTGTAATCCCGGCTACTCGGGAGGCTGAGGCAGGAGAATCACTTGAACCCAGGAGATGGAGGTTGCAATGAGCCAAAATCACGCCACTGCACTCCAGCCTGGGCGACAGAGCAAAAACTCTGTCTCAAAAAAAAAAAAAAAAAAAAAAGGTCCTAGACATATCTGTGAAAGGACAATAAAAATCTGAGGACCCCAAACTCTGCCAAAAGGAAAGTAAAGCTTGATAACTGAGTCATGCAAAAACCGCCTTCCTTTTGTTCCCAAACAGCTGTGATTTCACATGCTTGCTTTATCTAACCTAAAATACAGATCTACTGAGTGCAAGATGAATGTGTAATTCACACCCCCCAACTCCGTTCTTTTCACATGTAAACTGTAGGTCCATTGAGTGCTAATCAGAGCCTCACAAGAATGCAATCATTGGCGTCATTGCCTACTCACCTCTTTTTTCCTTTCCTCCTTCCCCTCATGCTCACTCTTCCCCCTTTAAATATTGAAGTCCTCAAAACTCTCTTTGGAAAAACCCCAGGACACAGATCCTGCTGTGTGTGTTTCTTTTTCCTGGTTGCATTATCAACCTGGGCAGAATAAATTTCTAAATCAATTGAGGTTTGCTTCAGTCACTTTTTGGGTTACTTATCTTTGTAGAGCTTGTGAAAAACATATCAAAACCAGACTTCAGATTTCATTTCCAACATGTAAAGGACTTGAAAGTCCCACTCCTTTCCTTACAATAATAAAAAGCTGGATAAATGGAAAATAAATCACTTTTCTTGGACCCATCAGAGAATAGAGGCCACAGGACAAACTGCCAACCAAAAAAATCTGGGGAAACAGGCATATTTAGAAACACACAGCCAAGATTTGCTCATCTGGAGCAGAAGCTGCCTGGAGCTCTTGACTGGTGGGAGCCTTGACATGAAGATTTCAACAAATTGCTGGAGGAGTGTGAATTAGCATAAGAGTGAGAAGCTCTTGGGGATCAAAGTCTTAGTAGGACCTCCACAAAAATGTGGGCTTCACATCCAGGAATCCCAGCAGGTTCTCACAGGGAAGCTCTAAGAAAGATCCCCTCCTGGCTCTGGAGCAGAGTAATCACTGTGAAATAAGGCCAGAACCTTCCCCATGCAAAGGTTTACCCTCCAGGAAAAAGGAGTCTGCCAGCCTTAGCCCAGCTGCAGGAAGGGTATTCCTCCCTGCTCACTCTCTCCAGCCCTGCTGTCTCACCTAAGGGGAAACAAGATTCAAAATGGGCCAGGGCTTCAGGGAAGGAAGAGGAGATGGGAAAAGCTATACACCTGGACAAACACTTGTGAATGTCAGCTCTCAGAAGCAGGGCCTCCAAGGCTAAGGTTTAAACAA
The DNA here is from genome assembly GCF_000001405.40 of Homo sapiens. Lineage (NCBI taxonomy): Eukaryota > Metazoa > Chordata > Mammalia > Primates > Hominidae > Homo > Homo sapiens. The sequence goes on along the minus strand of NC_000008.11, from coordinate 56,292,894 downwards.
AAGATAATACAATATTATTCCTCCCCCTGCACCTTGCCTCTGCACCAACAGAGCTCCAGTATAACAGTGGATCGCAGCTGCAAAAGCTACAAGACATAGGCTCTCTCTGAAAAGAAACACTTATGGAAACCCAAAGACAATACAGGAGACACAAACAAGCACCCAAGAGGAATTTGAAGCCTCTGGCATTTAAAGCTACAGCAAACATTAAATATCGCCCAACTCCTAGCCAGATTAACATAAATCCCCACGCCAAGGGCCTATTTACCTCAGTTCCCATAACCCAATAAAACATGTTCAGCTTTCAAGAAAAAGTTACAAAGCATACCAAAACCAAGAAATAGTACAGCCTCAAGAGATAAATTGTCAGAACCAAACTCAGACATGACACAAATGTTTGATTTGTCAGACAGGGAATTTAAAATAACTATGATTTGTATTTTAAGGACTGTAATGGAAAAAGTAAATAATACGCACAAGCATATGGATAATGAAAACAGGGCAATGGCAATGCTAAGAAAGATATCTAAAGAAAATCCTAGAAATTGAAAATGCCATAACAAAAATGAAGAATACCTTTGATGGTATTCTCATCAATAGACTAGATACAGCTGAGGAAAAATTTTAAACTCAGTGAGAGTGAAGACAGGTCAATAGAAATTTCCCAGAGTGAAACACAAGAGAAAAACATACATGTCAGATGTGTAATTAGAATATCAAAAGATAAAGTAAGGCAGGAGGAAGCAGAAGAAATACTTAAAGTAATTATAGCTGAGAACTTTCCAAAATTAATGGCATACACCAAATCCTTACTACAGTAGAATTGGACTAGAAACAAATAACAGAAAAATAGCTGGAAAGACCCTAAATATTTGGAAGTTAGCCTCACACTTCAAAATAACCCATGGATCAAAGACCTCTCAAAAGAAACTTAAAAATATTTCAAACTAAATAAAAATGGAAATACAACTTACCAAAATGTGTGAAATCCAAGAAAAGCGGTGCTTAAAAGGAAATTTATCTCGTTAAATGTATTGAATAGAAAAGAAAAAGCTCACAAACCAATAACCTAAGCCTCCACCTTAAGAAACCATACAAAGAGAACCATTTAAGCCTAAAGCAAACAGAAAAATAAAAATAAAAATTATAACAGAAATCAATAAAATTCAAAACAGGAAAACAATTTTTTAAAATCAATGAAATGCTAAGTGATAAAATTGTATCATATAAAATGCTCAATTAAAACCGGAGAAGGCAGAAAAACTAATCAACAAAATTGATTGTCCGCTAGCCAGATTAAGGGAAAAAAAGGAAGACACAAATTACCAATGTCAGAAATGAAAAAGGAGTCATCACTACTGATCCTGTGAAAATTAAAAGGATAATCAAAGATAGCAAAGCCAGTTCAGCAACTACTCTTCTCAACAACCACAAAAGAGAACTGGAGTTTTAAAAGGAGCTTAAATGAAGAGGCACTTTGAAGTGTGAGTCCCTCAGATCAGAGAGCACTTTACATTTCTCCTCCCCACCACTCCCTGCACTGTCCTTCCCCACCACCACGTCTGACGCATATTCTCCAAACAGGTTATTGGTGGCAAACTAGGAGATGTCCATGAAGATAGGGAATTTACAATTTCATGGTCCAGCTGGAGGCTTGCTAAGCTGCCAGGATCATAGGCAGCATTCGGGTAGAAACGCTATTGAGAGAACTTGACATGTGTCCACAGGGGTTTCAGGCCTACATGAAAAAGGTTCTTGCCTCTTGGTTGAAGAATTCTAACTCCAGGAGACTGACTAGAGCTGCTCAGTATGGCAGGATCCTGGGAAGCGATTCAGCAGTTGGTCAAGCAGAAATGTAATGTGGTGGGTCAAGAAGCACAAATGGATGTTTAAGCCTCCTTGAAGCAAAGAGGGTTGCCAGCCAGGGAAAAGAGATCCCTGCAGAAAGAATTTGTAAACATTTACTACTGGTGTACAGGAGCTGGGATGTGCATGCAGCTCAGTGAGAAATCTTACCTCATTGGAGAATGGTGGCATAAAGGGGCAGGGCTTCCCAAGACTGCCAAAATCAAGCCCCTAAGAGAGAGAGCATTTGGACACCTGTTATTGCAGACATTGACAACTGCATCACATCAGCAGCCATCCCACCGTTCTTATGACTTTATTCCTGCCCGTTTGTTTCCTCCTCACCACTGACGCGTGCATGGAAAGCATCAACAGAACAAGATATAAGAAGAGAAAAAGTAGATCGTACCGCCCCACCCACCATCTCCAGGACAGATCTTAAAGAGGCTTTGATTTAGAGTGGATTCGACTTTAAAATCTCCAAAAATGAGCTTAAAAATGACTGAAAACCATGAGATCTGCTAATTATGCTATTAAAAGGTGGGAAAGGGAGCTCTGGCAGAACACAGGAGTGAGAAGAAAAGGCAGCTGTCTGCTGACCTGTCCCACTGAGTGGAGCCACTGAATAATCAGGTTACCAATCATTGCTTAAAGAATAGTAGAGGGAATTGGACATCTGAAAAACAAGGGCTATAGCTATCACATAGTTGATTCTCATTATTCACAGTAGTTAAGTTCTAGAAAATTGTACAAACCCTGAATTTGTGAATACTGAACCATTGCTCCCAACAGGATATACAAGTTTAGGTTCCTAAAAGCCTCTGGTGATACTTTTGTCAACCCATCAGTACTCAACCTTGTTTTATGTGTGTTTCTGTTTAAAGATACCTTATTTTATATTATATATGTATATATGTATACACATAAACACACACGTGCACACATATATATGTATAGTTGATTCATTAACATTGAACCCACTCCAACAACACTGTAACTCATTCCTGAAGGAAGCTTATGTAACACACATATTTTCTCCGCAAGACACGTCACAGTCTCTTGGCTTAGCAACACTAGACAGCACTTCACCTGGAGGCCATTTTAAACACCAAAATCACCAAACATTCCAAAAATGCAAAAAATGTGATACTAAATAGATTGTTAAAAGGACAGTTGTTTACAGTATGGGAGCACAAACAAGAAAGCATAGTGTTCAATCTTGTTCAACCTCAGCTAAAAACATGCATGTTGGAAGACTCAAATTTTTCATTGCTTTTTGCATGTCCACAAATGACCATGAAAGCACCATAAGTGCTGATTTGGGAGTTATAGATAAATTTTAGCAAGTAGGCAAATTCACAAATATGAAATTCATGAATAATGAGGATGAACAGTACATGCTGGGTCTGGGGTGTGGGAGGGGACCTGAAACCCCACACTTGCCATTATCCTGGTTTTCAGTATTACTCTGTCTAATAATGGTCAAGTCATATCATTGTTTAAATAAATTAACATTTCTCTAATTTTTTAGCATCTCTGATATGCTTATTAGCCCTTGGTGATTCCTCTTCTGTAAATTGCCAGTTCATATTCTTTCCCTTTTTGTCTGCTGGGATTGTTCATTTGCAGTTTCTTCTCTATGCCAGGCACTAACTGCTTATTGATATTACATACAGCCACCTACGACCATACCACCCTGAATGCGCCCTATCTCATCTGATATTACATACAGCAAATATCTTCTCCCAGCTTACCATCTTCTTAATTCTCTCGTTTTGATGGAATCAAGCCACTAGTTTGTTTTTTAAGTTTTGATTAAGAAGTTCCTCCCTCTTTGGGAGGCCGAGGCAGGCAGATCACCTGAAGTCGGGAGTTCAAGACAAGCCTGACCAACATGGAGAAACTCCAACTCTACTAAAAATACAAAATTAGCCGGGCATGGTGGCGCATGCCTGTAATCCCAGCTACTCAGGATGCTGAGGCAGGAGAATCGCTTGAACCCGGGAGGCAGAGGTTGCAGTGAGCCAAGATCATGCCATTGCACTCCAACCTGGGCAACGAGAGTGAAACTCCATCTCAAAAAAAAGAAGTTCCTCCCTGCCCATAGGTTATAATAATATATTTTTCTGCTTTTAATTTATATTTCATGTAGGCTTTTAATCCATCTAGACTCTACCTTCATATGTGGCATTGAGTACTAATCTATTTTTGATATTCTCCGCATGTTGAGCCTATCTGTTTGTTCCTTATTATTCCTCCTTCATCATATTTTAAGTTGTTATATCTACGTGAGTCTCTGGACTCACTATTTTGTTCCATTGGTCTTGTCTGTCCATGCACCAGTACTAATGGTTTTTCTAAGTAGAGCTTTGTAGTTTTATTAATGTCTAGTAGAAAAGGCATTGTTTTTAAGATTGAGTTAAATGGACTTTAGACTTTAATTCCATCATATAATTTTTACATGTATAAAAGTTCACTTAAAAATCTGGGTTTTAGGGGTATTGAACACATTTATGGGTTCTTTCAAGAAGATTTGACATCTTTATGATATTAAATCACCCCCTCATCCTATGCAAAAGAATAGAGTGATAATTTATTTGAATGATTTTTAATGTCTTTTAATAGTTTTAAATTTTTTCTCCATAGAGGTCTTGTGCATTCTTGGTTAATTCCTAGATATCATTACAGTTTTTGCTGCTGTTTGTGAGTACAATCTTATTAACAAATTTTTTCAAGTTGATTATTACTTATTAGAGAAATGCTTTTGATTTTTATAGGCTATTCTCATATCTGAGAAAGTTGCTGATTTTTCATTAGTTCTGATAGTTTATCTGTTGAATATGTCAGGTTTTCTAGGTAGGTGATCTTATCCACTGCATCACCTCCAATCTTTACATCTCTCTTTTTGTTTTGTTTTGTTTGTTTTGAGACGGAGTTTCACACTTGTTGCCCAGGCTGGAGTGCAACGGCGTGATCTCGGCTCACGGCAACCTCCGCCTCCTGGGTTCAAGCGATTCTCCTGCCTCAGCCTCCCGAGTAGCTGAGATTACAGGCATGCACCACCATGCCCGGCAAATTTTGTATTTTTAGTAGAGATGGGGTTTCTCCATGTTGGCCAGGCTAGTCTCAAACTCCCGACCTCAGGTGATCCGCCGGCCTCGGCCTCCCAAAGTGCTGGGATTCCAGGCATGAGCCACTGTGCCTGGCCCAATCTTTACATCTCTTATTTCACTTTCCTTTCAATATTGGTTAGGATCTTCACTAGTGGTAATAGTGAGCATATATATCTTGTTCTTGTTTTTAAAAGAAATGTGCATAAAGCTTCTTAATTAAGTTTAAAGTTTATTATAGGTCTTTTGCTACATAAACTTTATCAAATGAAGAAAGTTTCCTTGCAGTCCAAATTTTCCAAGGGTTTCTAAACTTATAAATATGATTTTTCAACTTTGTGATATAACTTGTATAAAACTGGAATTGGTACAAATTTACCAAATTTGTACATAAAAAGTTTGGCAAACTTTACTGCATGGGCTTGTAGGCTTTTGAGAGGGAGGTACTTTGATCATTATTTTCACTCATTTAATTCACATTGGTTGATTCAAGTTCTCTATTTTCCCTTGCATAAATTTTATTTTTTAATTTTAGACTCAGGGGTTACATGTGCATGTTTTTTATGTAGGTATATTGCCTGATACTGAAGTTTGGGCTTCTAAATGATTCTGTTGCAAAATAGCGAACATAGTACCTGATAGTTTTTCAACCCTTACCCCTTCTCTGCCTCCCCCTTTTTGGAATCCCCAGTGTTTATTATTCCCATTTTTGTGTCCATATGTACCTTATGTTTAGCTCCCACTTATAAGTGAGAACATGAAGTATTTGGTTTTCTGTTTCTACATTAATTTGCTTAAAATAATGGCGTCCAGCTGCAAAGTACGTGATTTTGCTCTTTTTTATGGCTGCGTAGTATTGCATGGTGTATAGGTACCACAGTTTCTTTATCCAATCCACTGTTAATGGACACCTGGGTTGATTGTATGTATTTGCTATTGTGAATAGTGCTGCTATAAACATATAAGTGCATGTGTCTTTTTGATAGAATGATTTATTTTCCTTTGAGTATATACTCAGTAATGGGATTACTGGGTCAAATGGCAGTTCTATTTTTAGTTCTTGAGAAATCTCAGAACTTCTTTCCACAATGGCTGAATCTGCATTCCCACCAACTGTGTATAGGTGTCCCCTTTCTCTGCAATCTCACCAATATCTGTTTTTTGCTGACTAATAATAGCCATTCTGACTGGTATGAGATAGTATCTCATTGTGATTTTGATTTGCATCTCTCTGATGATTAGTGACGTTGAGTATTTTTTCATATGTTTGTTGGCCACTTGTATGTCTTCTTTTGAGAAGCGTGTTTTCATCTTTTGCTCACTTTTAGTGAGGTTATTTGTTTTTTTCCTGTTGATTTGTTTAAGTTCTTTATAGATTCTGGATATTAGTTCTTTGTTGGACACAGGGCTTTCAAATATTTTCTCTCATTCTGTAGGTTGTCTGTTTACTCTGTTGATAGTTTCTTTTGTTGTCTTGCATTAATTTTTAAACTGTATATTTTTCTAGGAATGTAGTAATTTCATTCCAGTTTTCAGTTATCATATAGCTATTTATAATACTCTTTTATTAATTTTAAATCTCTTTTTTTTCTGTAATTGTTTCCCCTTCTTCTGTATTGAAAATGATGGCTAATGCAGCTCTTTCTTCTACACCATATTGCCGTTATTAGAAGTTGACGTTCCCATATTTATTTTAACATGTACATAATTTTTTTCTAGAAAAAAAAAATAAAGCTTGGCCTTGTTAAAGAGGCTGCCTTTTCAACAGGGATGTTCACTGTTGACCCTCCCAAGGCAAGTAGCGTAGCCAGGTCCTGAGACTTAATTTGAAGCTGAGGTAAGGGCTGAGGCTGCTGCAAGAATGATTCGATAGGGCCAAAATTCAGAAAGTACTGAGATTAAAAGATTAGAGACCCAGATGCTGTGATTGTACAACCTGATTTCTTAATCTGTCACCTGCATGCAGCATATGAGGCCTCTGAGTGTGAGGACAGCATTCTGTGACTGCTCCCAAACAGCACAGAGTTCAGTGCACACATCTGAACTGAGGCTGCCACTCACTGCTGAATGTGACCTGAACCCTGTCTGAAGAAAATGGGCCAATCCTTAAAACTCAAGAGGTTTCATACACATCACACACACAATTCTTACTCAAGTCATCAGAAGGCACTGCATGGCAGTATTTGCTTCAGCAACTATCCTTTTGGGGCATCTTTCCTTTCTGTTGGTATGACATCGCACCTGTTTGTGTTACCTGCCTTCCCATGCTGACATTCAAAGTTTTGGACCCTAGTATAATATTGGCCCTTAACAGTCCTCATCGACCCATTATCCAGGAATGTACATGCACAGACCCTCCATCTCCTCCAGTTTACAGGCTGACCAGGGATGGTATGGACTTGGTATCCCCAGGAAAGCCCTAGCCACACCCTTATTTTTGAAAATGTCATATGAAATTAGAGGTTGCTTCTTGTTCTTAAATTTAACTTTTCATTATGATGATAAGTGTTTAAATATTTATATTGCATTAAAAATATGTTTCTAAAAATCTTATGGTGAATGAGAAGTGCTAGTGACGATATAAGAAATAGGTTAATAAATTGTGTATAATCACAACTATATCAAATATGAGTTAAAACAATTCAAACTCATTTGGGGAAAACTTTATGGCTTAGATGCTGCTTCAATGGGTAGCATGACTATGGGTGATTTTTTTTTTTTTTTTTTTTTTTTTTTGCAGACGGAATTTTGTTCTTGTTTCCTAGGCTGCAGTGCAGTGGCACAATCCTGGCTCATTGCAACCTCCAGCTCCCAGGTTCAAGTGATTCTCTGGCCTCAGCCTCCCGAGTAGCTAGGATTACAAGTGTGCACCACCACACCCAGCTAATTTTTTTTTGTATTATTAGTAGAGACAGGGTTTTACCATGTTGGCCAGGTTGGTCTCAAACTCCTGACCTCAGGCGATCCACCCACCTCAGCCTCCCAAATTGCTGGGATTACAGGCGTGAGCCACCACACCTGGCCGACTATGGGTGACTGTATATTTTTTTGTTTTTTTGTTTTTTTGGTTTTTTTGAGATGGATTCTCGCTCTGTCTCCCAGGCTAGAGTGCAGTGGCACGGATATGGGTGACTTTTTAAAATTTTTCTGTTTCCTGTGTCTTCAATGAAAATGAGGATGCATAGATACTGTTGATGCCCTGCCCAGACCTCTACCTACTGATACCTTGTCCCCAGCTACTGCAAGTGATTGCTAACGGTTTACCCCTGTGGTCTTCTCCAAAGACTTCTGCTTGCCTTACTAGAGCCAGTGATAACCGCCCTGGTGGCCAATGTCTATTTGACTCAGGATACAAGGGGGACAACTCTGTGATACAATTTCAGCTCTAAAATGACCCCTCCTCCCCCATCATGTCAAAGTGAGACTTTACTTAGCCAAACCCTTGCTTAGCTCTTACCCCTTCCCTAAAGCTTCCCTCTCTCTGCCTTACAGGTTTTTAACAATCAACCCATTTTTTATGGAGTGATGTCCATATAACTGCTAGTGTTTAGGCTGCTAGTTTTAAGTGGCCCAGAATAAGAAGGGGCTCTGAAGCACAGCCAAGCTCCACTACTTGGACCATAGGACCCAGAAGTTCCCACGATAGTAGATGTACAACAGATGCAGGCATGCTTCTAGATCTCCGGAGCAAGATTCTGCTATCCACAATAGAAAATCACCTCCTAACATCTCACCAGGCCCTGGAGCATCTGACTATGGGACATCAAGTAAATACACAACCGAACTTCCCATATGAGATGAGGACTCTCAGATTACCAAGTAAGTCATAAGATCAGGCAAACCCAATATTAATAGATCTCATACACTTAGATCTCATCTCAGGCTCTGCTGCTGGGGAATCTGATCTAAGACAGTTGTTGACACTAGGAATGGGCCTACAAGGCAGGTTCTAAGGAAGGAAGTCTGGAATTGAATCAACTGCTATCAAGGAGGACCCTCCTAGCAAAAAAGTTTGGCATGTTATATCAATGGAGTTGTTCAAACATCCCCCTGTGATGAGCTGGGATGGGATGCGCTGATTGGTACAACATCCCTGCATATGACATATACAGGAGAAATGGTAATTATAAAAACTGTGGAATTGGGTGGCTGTTTCTGGATACCCTTGATGCATTAGAGGAAGAAAATGACTGGCTCAGTTTGGTTAATCCCCATATAAAGCAAATTGTGAAGGTCAAAGGGCAGCCTTGGTGCTATTTGAAAAGACCCTCATCACCTGTAGATGTAGGACAGACAGAGCTGAAGAGAAGCACAGAGCTTAATTCAAAGAATCTCAGAACTGCAGACAGTGAGAGACTCTGTCTCAAAAAAAAGAAAAGTAATCCACTATTGCATGCCAATTTGGCACAAGGTGTCAGATACAAAGAAAAACAGATGGGGTATTTCTGATGTGCATTTCAACCTTAAAAGTGAGAAACTAACTTCACTATTCCAGTAAAGACCTAGGGAAAACCTCCTTCCTAATCTGCTTGTTTCTCCAGTTATTTATTTCAGTAATTAAAACAACTTAGTTTTTTTACTTTTTATCTTGAGCTCTAAAGACCCTGGTAAGGAAGCGGTGGGACCCGGGAACTAGGGCAGAGAACCCAGGTTGGTACAGTTGAGACTCTTGATCCTCCAGCTTGTCTTGGGCCACTCTCCTTTGTTAGGGAAGAAAGCCCTCCTTTCTGGAATAGTGGCTCCTCCCCATACTTGAAGACCATACTAAGCCTCAAAGGAGGTCCTTCAACTTTACCCTTGCCTTCCTCAAGATATGCTCCCTTCTCCCAGCCACCATGCCAATAACTAGCATCAAATCTCAGCATGGTCCTACCAAGAAAGTTATGGGACTGCTGAGGAAGAACAGAAATTATGAGGCAGCAGTGTTACAGTGCCTGGCCCAAGTGGCTGGCCAGTATCAGGAGAGCAGAATCGGGAGCGACGTCTTAGGGACTGGATTGAGATGAGAGACAGAAAGACACAGCTGTGACCAGGCACGGTGGCTCATGCCTGTAATTGCAGCACTTTGGGAGGGCGAGGCAGGCAGATCACCTGAGGCCAGGAGTTCCAGACCAGCCTAGCCAACATGGTGAAACCCCATCTCTACTAAAATACAAACAATTAGCCAGACGTGGTGGCAGGCACCTATAATTCCAGCTACTCGGGAGGCTGAGGCAGGAGAATCACTTGAACCCAGGAGGCGGAGGCTGCAGTGAGCCAAGATTGCACCATTGCACTCCAGCCTCGGCAACAAGAGCAAAATTCTGTCTCAAAAAAAAAAGGAAAGAAAGAAAGAAAAAAAGAAAGAAAGAAAGAAAGAAAGAAAGAAAGAAAGAAAGAAAGAAAGAAAGAAAGAAAGAAAGAAAGAAAGAAAGAAAGAGAAAGAAGGAAAGAAAGAAAGAAAGAAAGAAAAGAAAGAAAGAAAGAAAGAAAGAAAGAAAGAAAGAAAGAAAGAAAGAAAGAAAGACACAGCTGGATAAGCAGAGCCCACCAGTTAGGAAGAACTCTCCCATGACACAAGAGCTGACACCCTATCAAGGGCCCAAGGAAACATTTCCAGGTTCTTACATAGTGCTAAGGTAGCCATATTAAATGAAGGAGAAATGCTCAAATACCCCATGACAGACTTTGGAGGAAGGGATCAAAAGATGCAGAGAAGTGGGCCTGCTGGGGAAATAAGAGCCATTGGTTGGCAATATCCTTGGGGACGGACCAAGTGAGACGTGGCTCACTGAGATGGTAACAAATTTACTGGCCAGAAGCATCACTGAGGATCTCAGTAGTGTCTGCCGTCTACTAGCTGGAGCTGAAGGTTAGAGATATTGTTACTGAGCAACCTAGTAGAATAAAGATGCTAGAAGCCCCCAAATAGCAGAAGCAAATGGGAGGAATTTCAGCACTGGCAGCCAGAGACCTGAGCCACTGGGCTCTCTGGGGATGGCTCTTAGAATTCAGTACTTCAAATCCTGCTACGGGGTATATATCCAAAATAAATTGTTCTACCAAAAAGACACATGCACATATATGTTCATCACAACACTATTCACAATAGCAAAGAAATAGAATACACCTAGGTGCCAATCAACAGTGGACTGGATAAAGAAAATGTGGTATCTATATACCATGTGATATGGCTTGGATCTATGTCCCCACCAAATCTCATGTCAAATTGTAATTCCCAATGTTGGAGGTGGGGCCTGGTGGGCGGTGACTGGATCATGAAGGCAATTTCTCATGAATAGTTTAGCACCATCTCTGCCTTGGTACTGTACTCACAGTAGTGAGTTAGTTCTCACAGGATTTGATCATTTAAAAGTGTGTGGCACCTCCCTACTCACTCTCTCTTGCCCCTGCCCCTGTCATGTGACACTCCTCACTCCCCTTTTGCCTTCTGCCATGATTGGAAGCTTCCTGAGGCCTCCCTAGAAGCAGATGCCCCTATGCTTCCTGTACAGCCTGCAGAACCGAGAGCCAATTAAACCTCTTTTCTTTATAAATTACCCAGTCTCAGGTATTTATTTATAGCAATGTGAGAATGGACCAATACACCATGGAATACTATGCAGCCATAAAACAAGAAGAAAATCATGTCCTTTACAGCAATATGGATGCAGCTGGAGGCCATTACCCTAAGCAAATTAACACAGGAACAGAAAACCAAAAATCACATGTTCTCACTTGTAAATGGGTATTCATGGACATAAAAATGGTAACAATAGACACTAGAGACTACTAGAGAGGGGAGGGAGAGAGAGGAGCAAGGGCTGAAAAGCTAACTGTTGGGTACTATGCGCACTACCTGGCTGATGGGATCATTGGCATCCCAAACCTCAGCATCACAAAATATATTCATGTAACAAACCTGCATGTGCACCCCCTGAATCTAAAATGAAAGTTGAAAATATTTTTTTAAAAAGAGTTTAGTACTTCTAGAGCAAAACAGATAGGTAGCCCATAAAGATACTGCTATTATATATAATAATCAAATATATATAGTATGTAATATACATATAATTTATATACAGATTATATAATTATATGTATATATAATCAAAAGATAGCAAGAACAGATAAGCAGAAAGCTGGGGTCAGCTGCTCCAGTGGAAATCCTTTGTCTAATTTTCAGACTAGAGCTAGTTCTCAGAGACCAAGTCCTCTGAGGACGGGCCTGGAATTCTGCAACAAAGGTGTATAAACAATGACAGCCCCCTTCCTAGGCTTCCCTCAAAAAAACCTATGAAAATCTGCAGTCACTTGCGTAACTGTATTCTGGGGAAAGAGAATGCCCAGACTTTTTGAAGGCTGTCAGAGCAAGTTTGAGTTGGTACTGATATCTGGAGACTCAAAATGCCATCATTGTCCTCCCTTTGAGTAAGGACTTACGGGGACCAAGGAATAAACAAAGCGTGGACTCAGGTCCATTTCACGTGGGTCCACTGGATCCACAAGTCCACCCAGGAGTGTTTACCTTGCTTCCAGAATGTAAGACTGAAATGAACATACTTAGTAATTGGCAGAACCCCCACATAGATTTCTTGATCTGTGCAGTAAGAGCTGCTGTAATAGCAAAGCGCAAACCACTCACTGTCCACACCACTGACCCAGTCAAGATAGTAAATCAATACCAAAGTCACTTCCTAGGGGAAATGGCAGAGTGTAGTGCCACCCTCAGAAACTAACAGGAGGCAGAGATGTGGTGCTCCTCTAATATGCACTTAGCTCATTAGTCTGATCCTTACCCATATTAGGTGGATCATGGCAGATGACAAAGGACTGCTTACTGCAGGAAGTAAATTCTTACCATAAGAACTCCACATGTGGCTGTTAATTAGATCCCATTTGTCAGTTTTGGCTTTTGTTGCCATTGCTTTTGGTATTTTAGTCAAGAAGTCTTTGCCCATGCCTACGTCCTGAATGGTATTGCCTAGGTTTTCTTCTAGGGTTTTTATGGTTTTAGGTTTTACATTTAAGTCTTTAATCCATCCTGAGCTAATTTTTGTGTAAGGCGTAAGGAAGGAGTCCAGTTCCTGTTTTCTGCATATGGCTACCCAGTTTTCCCAGCACCACTTATTAAATAGGGAATCCTTTCCCCATTGCTTATTTTTGTCAGGTTTGTCGAAGATCAGATGGTTGTAGATGTGTGGTGTTATTTCTGAGGCCTCTGTTCTGTTCCATTGGTCTATATATCTGTTTTGGTACCAGTACCATGCTGTTTTGGTTGTAGTATAGTTTGAAGTCAGGTAGCGTGATGCCTCCCGCTTTGTTCTTTTTGCTTAGGATTGTTTTAGCCATATGGGCTCTTTTTTGGTTCCATATGAAATTTAAAGTAGTTTTTTTAGTTCTGTGAAGAAAGTCAATGGTAGCTTGATGGGAATAGCATTGAACCTAAAAATTACTTTTTCGTGATATTGATTCTTCCTATCCATGAGCACGGAATTTTTTTCCATTTGTTTGTGTCCTCTCTTATTTCCTTGAGCAGTGGTTTGTAGTTTTCCTTGAAGAGGTCCTTCACGTCCCTTGTAGGTTGGATTCCTAGGTATTTTATTCTCTTAGTAGCAATTGTGAATGGGAGTTCACTCATGATTTGGCTCTCAGCTTGTCTATTATTGTTGTATAGGAATGCTCATGATTTTTGCACATTAATTTTGTATCCTGAGACTTTGCTGAAGTTGTTTATCCGCTTAAGAAGTTTTGGGGCTGAGATGGTGGGGTTTTCTAAATATGCAATCATGTCATCTGCAAACAGGACAATTTGACTTCCTCTCTTCCTATTTGAATACCCTTTGTTTCTTTCTCTGGCCTGATTGCCCTGGCCAGAACTTCCAATACTATGTTGAATAGGAGTGGTGAGAGAGGTCATCCTTGCCTTGTGCTGGTTTTCAAAGGGATTGCTTCCAGCTTTTGCTCATTCAGTATGATATTGGCTATGGGTTTGTCATAAATAGCTCTTATTATTTTGAGATATGTGCCATCAATACATAGTTCATTGAGAGTTTTTAGCATGAAGCGGTGTTGAATTTTGTCAAAGGCCTTTTCTGCATCTATTGAGATAATCATGTGGTTTTTGTCATTGGTTCTGTTTATGTGATGGATTACATTTATTGATTTACATATGTTGGACCAGCCTTGCATCCCAGGGAGGAAGCCAACTTTGTCTTGGCTTTTGATGTGCTGCTGGATTCAGTTTGCCCGTGTTTTACTGAGGATTTTTGCATCGATGTTTATCAGAGATGTTGGCCTGAAATTTTCTTTTTTTGATGTGTGTCTGCCAGGTTTTGAAATCAGGATGATACTGGCCTCATAAAATGAGTTAGGGAGGAGTCCCTCTTTTGCTATTGTTTGGATTCATTTCAGAAGGAATGGTACAATCTCCTCTTTGTACCTCTGGTAGAATTCAGCTGTGAATCTGTCTAGTCCTGGGCTTTTTTTGGTTGGTAGGCTATTAATTACTGTCTCAATTTCAGAACTTGTTATTGGTCTATTCAGGGATTCGACTTCTTCCTGGTTTAGTCATGGGAGTGTGTATGTGTCCAGGAATTTATCCATTTCTTCTAGATTTTCTTTTTTTTTGTGGGGGGGGAGGGGGGAGGACAGAGTTTCCCTCTTGTTGCACAGGCTGGAGTGCAATGGCACAATCTCGGCTCACCGCAACCTCCGACTCCCGGGTTCAAGTGATTCTCCTGCCTCAGCTTCCCGAGTAGCTGGGATTACAGACATGCGCCACCATGCCTTGCTAATTTTCTATTTTTTAGTAGAGACAAGGTTTCTCCATGTTGGTCAGGCTGGTCTTGAACTCCCAACCCCACGTGATTTGCCCACCTTGGCTTCCCAAAGTGCTGGGATTACAGGTGTGAGCCACTGTGTCTGGCCAATTTTCTAGTTTATTTGCATAGAGGTGTTTATAGTATTCTCTGATGGTAGATTGTATTTCTTTGGAATCAGTGGTGATATCTCCTTTATCATTTTTTATTGTGTTTATTTGATTTTTCTCTCTTATCTCTTTTATTAGTCCAGCTAGTGGTCTATCTATTTTGTTAATCTCTTCAAAAAACCAGCTCCTGGATTCATTGATTTTTTAAAGGGTTTTTCGTATCTCTATCTTCTTCAGTTCTGCTCTGATCTTAGTTATTTCTTGTCTTCTGCTAGCTTTTATTTGTTTGCTCTTCCTTCTCTAGTTCTTTTAATTGTGATTTTAGGATGTCGATATTAGAGCTTTCCCACTTTCTGATGTGGGCATTTAGTGCTATAAATTTCCCTCTAAACACTGCTTTAGCTCTGTCCCAGAGATTACAGTAAGTTGTTTCTTTGTTCTCATTGGTTTCAAAGAACTTCATTATTTCTGCCTTAATTTCATTATTTACCCAGTAGTCATCCAGGAGCAGGTGGTTCAGTTTCCATGTAGTTGTACAGTTTTGAGTGAGTTTCCTAATCCTGAGTTCTAATTTTATTGCACTGTGGTCTGAGAGACTGTTTGTTAGGATTTCCACTCTTTTGCATTTGCTGAGGAGTGTTTTACTTCCAATTTTGTGGTCGATTTTAGAATAAGTGCAATGTGGTGCTGAGAAGAACGTATATTCTGTTGATTTGGGGTGGAGAGTTCTGTAGATATCTATTAGGTCTGCTTGGTCCAAAGCTGAGTTCAAGTCCTGAATATCCTTGTTAATTTTCTGTCTCATTGATCTGTCTAATATTGACAGTGGGATGTTAAATTCTCTCACTATTATTGTGTGGGAGTCTAAGTCTCTTTGTAGGTCTCTAAGAACTTGTTTTATGCATCTGGGTGCTCCTGTACTGGGTGCATATATATTTAGGATAGTTAGCTCTTCTTGTTGCATTGATCCCTTTACCATTATGTAATGCCCTTCTTTGTCTTTTTTGACCTTTGTTGGTTTAAAATATGTTTTATCATAGACTAGGATTGCAACTCCTGCATTTCTTGCTTTCCATTTGCTTGGTAAATATTCCTCCATTCCTTTATTTTGAGCCTATGTGTGTCTTTGCACATGAGATGAGTCTGATGAATACAGCACAGCAATGGGTCTTGATTCTTTATCCAATTTGCCAATCTGTGCCTTTTAATTGGGGCATTTAGCCCATTTACATTTAAGGTTAATATTGTTATGTGTGAATTTGATCCTGTCATCATGACACTAGCTGGTTATTTTGCACATTCATTGATGCAGTTTCTTCATAGTGTCGATAGTCATTATATTTTGGTGTGTTTTTGCAGTGGCTGGTACCAGTTTTTCCTTTCCATATTTAGTGCTTCCTTCAGGAGTTCTTGTAAGGCAGGCCTGGTGGTGACAAAATCCCTCAGCATTTGCTTGTATGTAAAGGCTTTTATTTCTCCTTCGCTTATGAAGCTTAGTTTGGCTGGATATGAAATTCTGGTTTGAAAATTCTTTTCTTTAAGAATGTTGAATATTGGCCCCCACTCTCTTCTGGCTTGTATGGTTTCTGCAGAGAGATCCACTGCTAGTCTGATGGGCTTCCCTTTATGGGTAACCTGATCTTTCTCTCTGGCTGCCCTTAACATTTTTTCCTCTGTTTTAACCTTGGAGAACCTGATGATTATGTGTCTTGGGGTTGCTCTTCTCGAGGAGTATCTTGGTGTTCTCTGTATTTCCTGAATTTGAATGTTGGCCTGTCTTGCTAGGTTGGAGAAGTTTTTCTGGATAATATCCTGATGTGTGTTTTCCAACTTGGTTCCATTCTCCCTGTCACTTTCGGGGACCCCAATCAATTGTAGGTTTGGTCTTTTCACATAGTCCCATATTTCTTGGAGGCTTTGTTCATTCCTTTTCATTCTTTTTTCTCTAGTCTTGTCTTCACACTTTATTTCAGTAAGTTGGTCTTCAAACTCTGATATCCTTTCTTCTGTTTGATCAATTCATCTATTGATACTTTGTATGCTTCACCAAGTTCTTGTGCTGTGTTTTTCAGCTCCATCAGATCATTTATGTTCTTCTCTAAACAGCTTATTCTAGTTAGCAGTTCCTGTAACCTTTTGTCAAGGTTCTTAGCTTCCCTGCGATGGGTTAGAACATGCTCCTTTAGCTTAGAGGTATCAGGGAACCAGCCCCCAATATTTCAATATAGGTTCTTTCTATTTTTCCCTAAGTGTCGGCCAGTCTGAGAAATAAAGAGTACAAAGAGAGAAATTTTACAGCTGGGCCTTCTGAGGTGTCATCACATATTGGTAGGACTGTGATGGTGACCTCGAGCTGTAAAACCAGCAAGTTTTTATTAGGGATTTTGAAAGGGGAGGAGGTGTACAAACAGGGAGTAGGTCACAAGGATCACATGCTTCAAAAGGCTGTAAAGATCACAAGGCAAAGGCAAAATTAGAATTACTGATGAGGGTCCATGTCCCGCTGTGCATGCATTGTCTTGATAAACATCTTAACAGGAAACAGGGTTTGAGAGCAGACAACTGGTCTGACTTGAGAGCAGACAACCCATCTGACTAGAATTTACCAGGCTGGAATTTCCCAATCCTAGTAAGCCTGAGGGTACTGCAGGAGACCAGGGCATATTTCAGTCCTAATCTCAACTGCATAAGACAGACACTCCCAGAGCGGCTGTCTACAGACCTACCCCCAGGAATGCATTCCTTCCCTGGGGTCTCAATTATTAACATTCCTTGCTGGGAAAAGAATTCAGCGATATTTCTCCTACTTGCACTTCCATTTATAGGCTCCCTGCAAGACAAAAAATATGGCTCTATTCTGCCCAACCCCACAGGCAGTCAGACCTTATGGTTATCTTCCCTTGTTCCCTGAAAATTGCTGTTATTCTGTTCTTTTTCAGGGTGTACTGATTTCATATTGTGCAAACACATATTTTTTACAATTAGATTTCATATTGTTCAAACACATGTTCTACAATCAGTTTGTCAATAGTGGTCCTGAGGCAACATATGTTCTCAGCTTACGAAGATAACAGGATTAAGAGATTAAAGTAAAGACAGGCATAAGAAATTATAAGAGTATTGATTGGGGAAGTGATAAATGTCCATGAAATCTTCACAATTTGTGTTCAGAGATTGCAGTAAAGACAGGTGTAAGAAATTATAAAAGTATTAATTTTGGGAATGGATAAAAGTCCATGAAATCTTTACAATTTATGTTCTTCTGCCTCAGCTCCAGCCGGTCCCTCTATTCGGGGTCCCTGACTTCCTGCAACACAGAGGAGTTTGTTATTACCCATCTTCTGCAGCCTATTTCTGTCAATTTGTCAAACTCATTCTCTGTCCAGTTTTATGCCCTTGCTGGAGAAGAGTTGCGATCATTTGAAGAAGAGACGTTTTGATTTTAGGAATTTTCAGCCTTTTTGCACTAGTTTTTCCTCATCTTCCTGGATTCATCTACCTTTGATTTTTGAGGCTGATGATCTTTGGATGGGGTTTCTGTGTCGGGGTCCTTTTTGCTGATGTTGACGTTATTGCTTTCTGTTTGTTAGTTTATATTGTAGCAGTCAGGCCTCTCTTCTGCAGTTTGCTGGAGGTCCACTCCAGACCCTATTTGCCTAGGTATCACCAGCAGAGGCTGCAGAACAGCAAAGATTGCTGCCTGCTTCTTCCTCTGGAAGCTTCATCCCAGAGGGGCACTGACATGATGCCAGCCAGAGCTCTCCTCTGTGATGTGTCTGTCGACTCCTGTTGGGAGGTCTCTCCCAGTCAGGAGGCACTGGGGTCAGGGACCCACTTGAGGAGGCAGTCTGTTCCTTAGCAGTGCTCGAGCACTGTGCTGGGAGAACCCTCCTTGTTAGGATCTGCTGATCTCTTCAGAGCAGGAAGGCAGGGATGTTTAAGTCCACTGAAGCTGCGCCTTCCCCCAGGTGCTCTGTCCCAGGGAGATGTGAGTTTTATCTTTAAGCCCCTGACGGGGGCTGCTGCTTTCTTTTGGAGATGCCCTGCCCATTGAGGAGGAATCTAGAGAGGCAGTCTGGCCACAGCCACTTTGCTGTGCTGTGTTGAGTTCTGCCCAGTCCAAACTTCCAGGCCTCCTTAGTGTTGTCAGGGAAAAACTGCCTACTCAAGCCTCAGTAATGGTGGATGTCCCCCTCCCCCACCAAGCTTAATTGTACCAGGTCAACTTTAGACTTCTGTGCTGACAGTGAGAATTTCAAGCCAGTGGTTCTTAGTTTGGTCGACTCCATGGGAGTGGGACCCGCTGAGAAAGACCACTTGGCTCACTGGCTTCAGCACCCTTTCCAGGGGAGTCAACAGCTCTGTCTCACTGGGGTTCCAGGCACCACTGGAAACTCCTGTGCTAGCTCAGTGTCTGCCTGAACAGCTGCCCAGTTTTATGCTTGAAACCAGGGCCCTGGTGGTGTAAACACATGAGAGAATCTCCTGGTCTGTGGACTGCAAAAGCCATGGGGAAAGTGTAGTATCTGGGCTATATAGCACAGTCCCTCACAGCCTCCCTTGGCTGGGAAAAGGAGACCCCCCTACCCCGCTCCTTGCACTTCCTGGGCAAGGTGACACCCCACCCTGCTTCTGCTCGCCCTCCATGGGCTGCATCCACTGCCTAACCAGTCCCAATGAGATGAAGAGGGTACCTCAGTTGGAAATATAGAAATCACCTGCCTTCTGCATTGGTCTTGCTGGGAGCTACAGGCTGGAGCTGTGCCTATTCTGCCATCTTTCCCAGCAATTCAAGAATGTATTAAACGTGATCTGGGTACAATGGTGTGAGCCTGTAATCTCAGCTACTTGGGAGCCTGAGGTGGAAGGATCACACTTAAGCCCAGGAGTTTGAGTCCAGCCTCACAACATAGCAAGACCCCTTCTCAAACCAATAAAATCATGTCATATATTAAATGTGAAAAGCAAGGAATACTATATTCACTTTTTCAAAGGTAACAATTTGGGCTCTCCCTCTCCCTCTCCCTCTCCCCACGGTCTCCCTCTCCCTCTCTTTCCACGGTCTCCCTCTGATGCCGAGCCGAAGCTGGACGGTACTGCTGCCATCTCGGCTCACTGCAACCTCCCTGCCTGATTCTCCTGCCTCAGCTTGCCGAGTGCCTGCGATTGCAGGCGCGCGCCGCCACGCCTGACTGGTTTTCGTATTTTTTTGGTGGAGACGGGGTTTTGCTGTGTTGGCCGGGCTGGTCTCCAGCTCCTAACCGCGAGTGATCCGCCAGCCTCGGCCTCCCGAGGTGCCGGGATTGCAGATGGAGTCTCGTTCACTCGGTGCTCAATGGTGCCCAGGCTGGAGTGCAGTGGCGTGATCTCGGCTCGCTACAACCTCCACCTCCCAGCAGCCTGCCTTGGCCTCCCAAAGTGCCAAGATTGCAGCCTCTGCCCGGCCGCCACCCCGTCTGGGAAGTGAGGAGCGTCTCCGCCCGGCCGCCATCCCATCTAGGAAGTGAGGAGCGCCTCTTCCCAGCCGCCATCACATCTGGGAAGTGAGGAGCGTCTCTGCCCGGCCGCCCATCGTCTGAGATGTGGGGAGCACCTCTGCCCTGCCGCCCCATCTGGGATGTGAGGAGCCCCTCCGCCCAGCAGCCACCCCGTCTGGGAAGTGAGGAGCGTCTCCGCCCGGCAGCCACCTCGTCCGGGAGGGAGGTGGGGGGATCAGCCCCCCGCCCAGCCAGCCGCCCCGTCCAGGAGGTGAGGGGCGCCTCTGCCTGGCCGCCCCTACTGGGAAGTGAGGAGCCCCCCTGCCCGGCCAGCCGCCCTGTCCAGGAGGGAGGTGGGGGGGTCAGCCCCCCACCCAGCCAGCTGCCCTGTCCGGGAGGGAGGTGGGGGGGTCAGCCCCCCGCCCGGCCAGCCGACCCATCTGGGAAGTGAGGGGCGCCTCTGCCTGGCTGCCGCCCCTACTGGGAAGTGAGGAGCCCCTCTGCCCGGCCAGCTGCCCCGTCCAGGAGGGAGGTGGGGGGGGTCAGCCCCCCGTCCAGCCAGACGCCCCATCCGGGAGGTTAGGGGCGCCTCTGCCCGGCCGCACCTACTGGGAAGTGAGGAGCCCCTCTGCCCGGCCACCACCCCGTCTGGGAGGTGTACCCAACAGCTCATTGAGAACGGGCCATGATGACAATGGCGGTTTTGTGGAATAGAATGGGGGGAAAGGTGGGGAAAAGATTGAGAAATCGGATGGTTGCCGTGTCTGTGTAGAGAGAAGTAGACATGGGAGACTTTTCATTTTGTTCTGTACTAAGAAAAATTCTTCTGCCTTGGGATCCTGTTGATCGGTGACCTTACCCCCAACCCTGTGCTCTCTGAAACATGTGCTGTGTCCACTCAGGGTTGAATGGATTAAGGGCGGTGCAAGATGTGCTTTGTTAAACAGATGCTTGAAGGCAGCATGCTCGTTAAGAGTCATCACCACTCCCTAATCTCAAGTACCCAGGGACACAAACACTGCAGAAGGCCACAGGGTCCTCTGCCTAGGAAAACCAGAGACCTTTGTTCACTTGTTTATCTGCTGACCTTCCCTCCACTATTGTCCTGTGACCCTGCCAAATCCCCCTCTGCGAGAAACACCCAAGAATGATCAATAAAAAAAAAAAGAAGACACATTCTAAAACATACAAAAATAGAAACAAAAAACAATGAGAGCTAAAGGTGAAAAACAGTACCTTAAAAACACTCTTGGATTTTATTGGTTAATAATGCAAAACGCTTTTTGATCTCATTAAAAATTAAAGAAGGATATTTTGGGAAGAGCAATGAAAAAAAAAAAACAATTTGGGATTTCTCAGGCATCTTCATTATAGTTAGAACAAGTTTCAGATAAAAGACAACTCTTCTGAGTTGTGCTGTTGAAAATGTTCTCCACTCTGAGCTTCAGCACTGTGAAGGATTAAACTCCTATTCAGCAAATATTCATTCCCTTCTTCTTCAAGGTTCAGGCAGAGTATAATTCCATGCTTCATTGACCTTGGACTTGGTTAGGTAAGGTGTCTTGCTTTTGCTTTGGACAGAGGAGCTTCAGTGAAAATGATGTAAGCAGATGTCTTAAGAGGCATGGCAATAGGCTGACTCACACCCTAAAGCAAAGCCTCTCCTGTAAGCAAAAAAATGAATACATAAACAAATGCTTATCTTTGTAATCCCTAGAGCTTTGGGGTGGTTCCTTGTGCAACGTTATTGGGCAATAGCTGGCAATTACAAATATTATTTACATTGTCTAAGTATGATTCTAGGTAAAGACCATTCACCTGAAAGTAGCTGAGCTGTCAAACCAGAAGATGTGGAGCTCCACCTTGAAAAGACTTGGATGAGATTATTCACCTAGAGAATGACCTGTTTTGTAAGCCTGGAATTATATAGATTACACTGAATCTTATGAAACTGAAGGCTCCATAGATTACCATTGGCTTAGCTTGATTTTATCAATTTTATCGATTTTATCAATGTGCCATGTACATCACACCTGGAAACCCTAAAAAATGACTTTGCCCTTGTTCTGTACCTTATAGAGAATCTACAGTCATTTTCTAGTTCACACCACACAATTCCTATCTTCAAATATCCTGCAGCCATATTCTACCCTTAACACAAATAACATGTCCAAAGTTTATCTGTAACTGACACTAGTTGTGAAAGAATTAGGAAAGGAAGTTTGGGCCCAAATAAGACAAATGCAAAATAAATAAAATCAGCCACAGGGAGATGCAGGCAGTTTCCAATCAACTATTTCCCAAACGGAAAGATGACTTGAGCAAATGTTGCTGCTGTCTATAGCAAGCACATGACAGTTGAGAGAAGGCTGAGGTAATTGGACACTTGATTATATATATAATTGATTATGTATATAATCAATGCCCAGAATTACACTTAGCAACTGTGGTATAATAAATAATAATAAATAATATTTGGTCTTTGTTCCCAGTTCCAGGCCCACAATTCCTATAATCCTTGGCAATTTAAGCTTTTAAATAGGAATGGGAAACAAGGTATTCTGTGACTCAGAGATGGAGCCATTGATGAAAACAGAAGAATCAAAAAGAAGAACTATTTATATTAGAAGTGGTTTTTTAGAAATACAAAGTTGAGGTGTTTACTATTACAACATCCATGCATGGCTACTTAACAATCAGTAGGAAATTTGAAATTAAATATATAAACTTGAGGGTTTTCTGGGTGGATGCAATTGTTAAAATCATAGAAATTTTAAAATACAGAAAAAGAACAAGGTTAGAGAACAGAACTTTGAAAAATGCCTAAACTTCTACACTGAGTAGAAGAAAGGAATTTAGTGAGAAAGTTTATTAAAAAACAGTTAGACCTAAAGGAAGGACTGAAGTAGTAAAATATATTGAAAGCAACAAAGGAAAGAGTTATAAGAATAAGGCAGAGGTCAACTTTCTCCATTATAAGAAAAATGCAAAGCAAAATTTGAATAAGATTCTACTTTCACCTATCAGATAAGTGGAGATATAAACATTTTATATTATTCTATGTTAATGAAAGTCTAAGGGAAAAGGCACTGCTGTACATTTTTAGTGGAGTGTAACTTGGTTCAATATCATTGGAGACAATTTGGCAGAAACAATTGTTATAATAATTTGTGATAGTCATTTGACCCAAAAATTTCCTTAGAGAAAAAATTTAGCCCACAGACATATTTACATACTCAAGCAATTATTGTAGAAGATAATTTATTATAGGATTATTTATTGTAAATAAAGGTAATAAACAAGTAACCTTTAATAAGGGCAAGTTAAAGAAATTATAGTACATACATAAAATGAAACCATATGCACTTTTTAAAAATAATGACTTGTGTCTGTATGCACTGATATGGGCAATTCTCAAGATGTATTATTAATGAAAAAAAACAGGTGCACACAGGATGCTACCACTTCTCCTACAAAAGGCTGTCTCGTGGAAGAGCGGGTGGGTGTGAATAGGTATGCTTTTATACACACAGACTAACTCTGGAAATCTTCACACATGCACAAACTAGTAACAGAGGGATTTGGGGGACTGGAGAAAAAGGTTTTCTTTTTCTGCATTTGTATTATTTAATATTTTTAATATAAGCGAATTTTTTAAAAATGAGAGACTTTGTTTTTTTTTTCTTGGCAAATTGGTTTCCCTGCCTTGGCCAACCAATAACAACCACTAGAAGTGCTCAAAGTTTGTTTCAAAATATCTTTTAAAATGTATAGGTAAACTGACCAAGAAGGAGGATTCCTAATTGGCCAAAAACTAAGTGGAAAGAGGAATTTGAAGAGATAAGTTGGCATTTTCCCCAACAGCATTTGCTGAACTCAAAGAACTAGAGTTTGGGTTTTCAAGTATAAAGTCTTTAGGGTTTTCCCAAGTTGGGGAGTCAAATAAGAGACACTCCTCTTAAAGACACACTCTCGGGATAAAGGTGACCTTTAAGTAACTCTTGCTCCTTCTTTCCACCCTTGGCCCCACCAGAGAACAGAAAGGATATTTTCCTATTATGAAGCTTGGTTTATGGAAAAGAAGGAAAAATTACAAACTAACCTTCACATGATTTTGTTGTCCAAATACATCCAGCATGAGAAAGCTTAAAATATATTAAGCCAAGAATTTAGCTGAAAATACCCGAAGTTTCAAGTGCTGAGAAGTCCACCATATAAGTCCCACAGATAAACTTCCAAGGAGCTGGACTTCACAATTAGAAATTATGAAAACACGAGGGAACAAAACACTATGAATGAGATAAACAGAAGAAAGAGACCCACAAATACATGTGACTTTTAGAATTTTCAGATACAAAATATAAAATAAGAATGGGTTGAAAATATTCTTGTAAGGAACAAGAAGAATTGTTCCTTACATGAACTGTTCCTAAAACGTAATTTTTTAAAGCAAGCTTATTTAAGAAATAACTAAATATAACTTCTAGACATTTTTAAAACATAATAAAAATTGAAATATCAATAAATGAATTTAGTAGAATCCAGATTTAATGAATTACAGAACAGAACTAGAGAAGTGTTTCCTAATGTAGCACAAAGAAAAGCAAAAGAGAAATGAGGGGAATGGAGTTCAGAGTGTCACGTTCCAATATAAATGTCCTGTGAGAATTTCAGCAGAAGAAAAGGGAGAAAATGGAAGAAATGTAATATTTGAGCAGATAATGACTGAGAATCTTTGAGAATTGATGAACTGGTTAAAGAACACCAGTCCTCAGATTCAGATTTGAATAATCTCAAGCACAATAAATAAAATAAATCCACACTTAGACATGTCATGGTAAATGTACTGAAAACTAATGACAAAAGTAATCTGCATGATAACTTGAAAAAAGATACCTAAACAGAAATGACAATTAGTCTGGACAATTGAACGCTCAAAAGCAAAAACTGTAGTCTGAAAGAGTGAAATAGGATCTTCAACATGAGAAAAATTAACTGTCAATATAAAACTATACAAAATATCTTTGTAGGAAACAAAAATTCCTCTTAGAAGTATCTTTTCTAAAGCTCCCTTAGAAAAATCTTTTAGAAGATTTTTTAGAAATAAAATGAGCCAAAATGTCTTTTTATCTTATTAAGAATGTCCTTTAAACACAGTATCTTTCAGAAATGAAAATTTAAAAAAAAAGTTTCAGTCAAGTAGAAACTGAGAACATTGCCACCAGCAAACCTTATAAGCAAAAAGGTCCCAGAAAGAATGATGAGCAAAGAAAGTCGTAAAATGTGAATAATAAATCTAAACAAACACTAGCTACATACAACAATAATAAATGTGTTGTTTTAAAGGGTTAAGATAAGATTGTCACATCCAAAACGATCACAGGTAGAGATGATCAAATTTGAATTGGTCTGAGGTTCTTGTACTGCTTGAGAGGAGATTGTAGATTTTAAAATAATAAATAATTGTATATGCTAACATTGCTAGGGTTATTTAAAGAAAGTAGAAATGCAGTACATAACTTATAAACAAAACTAAGAAATGATCAAGCATATTCTATCCTTTCAAAAGAAGGAATAGAAGTCACAGGAGAGAGAGAAAAAGAACCACAGAAAAGGCAGAACCAGGGCATCGTGGGGAGATGCAGAGGTTGAGCCCTGGCATTCCAGTATATCCAAATCCCCACAAGAGATTTAAAAAACCAGACAAAGCCTCCATAGCAAAGACAAGAACCCACAGATAACATTCCAACAAAATTAGGTGACAAGTGAGAACCAACCAGCAAGACCTTCATGGTATCCAGCTTCCATAGAGGGAGAGGAGGGAAGCAACAGATGGCTGACAGATCAAGGACAAGGGAACCCAAAACAGCCAACAAGTAGCACCCTAAAGTGTGTTGGGCCAATATGAGAACAGCAGCAGAAATAGAAGGGGTTGACCCACTCCTACAGAAGGTGAGTACAGTGTATCCATGGTAGGAACTGACTGTGCTACCGCAGCCTAATCCCTAGCAAGTCCACACACCCACCCACCCAGGCTCCCATCCAAGAGAGGGCCCAGCAATAAGGAGACATTTCTAACAGAGTAATTAAAGTTTTGGGGGTGGAGCCAAGATGGCCAAATAGGAACAGCTCCAGTCTACAGCTCCCAGCATGAGCGATGCAGAAGATGGGTGATTTCTGCATTTCCAACTGAGGTACCAGGTTCATCTCACAGGGGAGTGCTGGACAGTGGGTGCAGGAAAGTGAGTGCAGCACACCATGCATGAGCTGAAGCAGGGCGAGGCATCGCCTCACCCGGGAAGCACAAGGGGTCAGGGAATTCCCTTTTCTAGTCAAAGAAAGGGGTGACAGATGGCACCTGGAAAATTGGGTCACTCCCACGCTAATACTGTGCTTTCCCAATGGGCTTCACAAACGGCATGCCAGGAGATTATATTCCGCACCTGGCTCGGAGGGTCCTATGCCCACGGAGCCTCGCTCATTGCTAGCATAGCAGTCTGAGATCAAACTGCAAGGTGGCAGCGAGGCTGGGGGAGGGGCACCCGTCATTGCTCAGGCTTGAGAAGGTAAACAAAGCAGCCAGGAAGCTCGAACTGGGTGGAGCCCACCACAGCTCAAGGAGGCCTGCCTGCCTCTGTAGGATCCACCTCTGGGGGCAGGGCACAGACAAACAAAAGACAGCAATAACCTCTGCAGACTTAAATGTCCCTGTCTGACAGCTTGGAAGAGAGTAGTGGTTCTCCCAGCATGCAGCTTGAGATCTGAGAACAGGCAGACTGCCTCCTCAAGTGGTTCCCTGACCCCCAAGTAGCCTAAGTGGGAGGCACCCCCCAGTAGGGGTGGACTGACACCTCACACGGCTGGGTACTCTTCTGAGACAAAACTTCCAGAGGAAAGATCAGGCAGCAGCATTTGCGGTTCACCAATATCTGCTGTTCTGCAGCCACCGCTGCTGATACCCAGGAAAACAGGGTCTGAAGTGGACCTCCAGTAAACTCCAACAGACCTGCATCTGAGGGTCCTGACTGTTAGAAGGAAAACTAACAAACAGAAAGGACATCCACACCAAAATCCCATCTGTACATCACCATCATCAAAGACCAAAGGTAGATAAAACCACAAAGATGGGGAAAAAACAGAGCAGAAAAACCAGAAACTCTAAAAATCAGAGCACCGCTTCTCCTCCAAAGGAATGCAGCTCCTCACCAGCAATGTAACAAAGCTGGACGGAGAATGACTTTGACGAGTTGAGAGAGGAAGGCTTCAGAAGATCAAACTACTCCGAGCTAAAGGAGGAAGTTTGAACCAATGGCAAAGAAGTTAAAAACTTTGAAAAAAAATTAGATGAATGGATAACTAGAATAATCAATGCAGAGAAGTCCTTAAAGGACCTGATAGAGCTGAAAACCATGGCACGAGAACTACATGACGAATGCACAAGCCTCAGTAACTGACGTGATCAACTGGAAGAAAGGGTATCAGCGATGGAACGTGAAATGAATGAAATGAAGCATGAAGAGAAGTTTAGAGAAAAAAGAATAAAAAGAAATGAACAAAGCCTCCAAGAAATATGGGACTATGTGGATATATTCCAGGAGAATTTCCCCAATCTAGCAAGGCAGGCCAACATTCAAATTCAGAAAATACAGAGAACGCCACAAAGATACTCCCTGAGAAGAGCAACTCCAAGACACATAATTGTCATATACAACAAAGTTGAAATGAAGGAAAAAATGTTAAGGGCAGCCAGAGAGAAAGGTTGGGTTACCCACAAAGGGAAGTCCATCAGACTAACAGTGGATCTCTCGGCAGAAACTCTACAAGCCAGAAGATAGTGGGGGCCAATACTCAACATTCTAAAAGAAAAGAATTTTCAACCCAGAATTTCATATCCAGCCAAACTAAGCTTCATAAGTGAAGGAGAAATAAAATACTTTACAGACAAGCAAATGCTGAGACATTTTGTCACCAACAGGACTGCCCTGCAAGAGCTCAGGAAGGAAGCACTAAACATGGAAAGGAACAACTGGTATCAGCCACAGCAAAAACATGCCAAATTGTAAAGACCATCAAGGCTAGGAAGAAACTGCATCAACTAACGAGCAAAATAACCAGCTAACATCATAACGATGGGATCAAATTCACACATAACAATACTAACCTTAAATGTAAATGGGCTAAATGCTCCAATTAAAACACACACACTGGAAAATTGGATAAAGAGTCAAGACCCATCAGTGTGCTGTATTCAGGAAACCCATCTCACATGCAGAGACACACATAGGCTCAAAATAAAGGGATGGAGGAAGATCTACCAAGCAAATGGAAAACAAAAAAAGGCAGGAGTTGCAATGCTAGTCTCGGAAAAAACAGACTTTAAACTAACAAAGATCAAAAGAGACAAAGAAGGCCGTTACATAATGGTAAAAGGATCAATTCAACAAGAAGAACTAACTATCCTAAATATATATGCACCCAATACAGGAGCACCCAGATTCATAAAGCAAGTCCTTAGTGACATAAAAAGAGACTTAGACTCCCACACAATAATAATGGGAGACTTTAACACACCACTGTCAACATTAGACAGACCAACGAGACAGAAAGTTAACAAAGATATCCAGGAATTGAACTCAGCTCTGCACCAAGCGGACCTAATAGACATCTACAGAACTCTCCACCCCAAATCAACAGAACATACATTCTTTTCAGCACCACACGACACCTATTCCAAAATTGACCACATAATTGGAAGTAAAGCACTCCTCAGCAAATGTAAAAGAACAGAAATTATAACAAACTGTCTCTCAGACCACAGTGCAATCAAACTAGAACTCAGGATTAAGAAACTCACTCAAAACTGCTCAACTGCATGGAAATTGAACAACCTGCTCCTGAATGACTACTGGGTTCATAAGGAAATGAAGGCAGAAATAAAGATGTTCTTTGAAACCAATGAGAACAAAAACACAACATACCAGAATCTCTGGGACACATTCAAAGCAGTGTGTGGAGGGAAATTCATAGCACTAAATGCGCATAAGAGAAAGGAGGAAAGATCTAAAATTGACACCCTAACATCACAATTAAAAGAACTAGAGAAGCAAGAGCAAACACATTCAAAAGCTAGCAGAAGGCAAGAAATAACAAAGATCAGAGCAGAACTGAAGGAAATAGAGACACAAAAAACCCTTCAAAAAATCAATGAATCCAGGAGCTGGTTTTTTGAAAAGATTAACAAAATTGATAGACCGCTAGCAAGACTCATAAAGAAGAAAAGAGAGATGAATCAAATAGACGCAATAAAAAATGACAAAGGGGATATCACCACTGATCCCACAGAAATACAAACTACCATCAGAGAATACTATAGACACATCTATGCAAATAAACTAGAAAATCTAGAAGAAATGGATAAATTCCTCGACACATACACTCTCCCAAGACTAAACCAGGAAGAAGTTGAATCTCTGAATAGATCAATAACAGGCTCTGAAATTGAGGCAATAATTAATAGCTTACCAACCAAAAAAAGTCCAGGACCAGATGGATTCACAGCCAAATTCTACCAGAGGTACAAGGAGGAGCTGGTACCATTCCTTCTGAAACTATTCCGATCAATAGAAAAAGACAGAATCCTCCCTAACTCATTTTATGAGGCCAGCATCATCCTGATACCAAAGCCTGGTAGAGACACAACAAAAAAGAGAATTTTAGACCAATATCCTTGATGAACATTGATGCAAAAATCCTCAATAAAATACTGGCAAACCGAATCCAGCAACACATCAAAAAGCTTATCCACCATGATCAAGTGGGCTTCATCCCTGGGATGCAAGGCTGGTTCAACACACGAAAATCAGTAAATGTAATCCAGCATATAAACAGAACCAAAGACAAAAACCACATGATTATCTCAATAGATGCAGAAAAGGCCTTTGACAAAATTCAACAACACTTCACGCTAAAAACTCTCAATAAACTAGGTATTGATGGGATGTATCTCAAAATAATAAGAGCTATCTATGACAAACCCACAGCCAATATCATACTGAATGGACAAAAACTGGCACAAGACAGGGATGCCCTCTCTCCCCACTCCTATTCAACATAGTGTTGGAAGCTCTGGCCACAGCAATCAGGCAGGAGAGGGGAATAAAGGGCATTCAATTAGGAAAAGAGGAAGTCAAATTGTCCCTGTTTGCAGATGACATGATTGTATATTTAGAAAACCCCATTGTCTCAGCCCAAAATCTCATTAAGCTGATAAGCAACTTCAGCAAAGTCTCAGGATACAAAATCGATGTGCAAAAATCACAAGCTTTCTTATACACCAATAACAGACAAACAGAGAGCCAAATCATGAATAAACTCCCATTCACAATTGCTTCAAAGAGAATAAAATGCCTAGGAATCCAACTTACAAGGGATGTGAAGGACCTCTTCAAGGAAAACTACAAACCACTGCTCAATGAAATAAAAGAGGATACAAACAATGGAAAGAACATTCCATGCTCATGGGTAGGAAGAATCAATGTCGTGAAAATGGCCATACTGCCCAAGGTAATTTGTAGATTCAATGCCATCCCCATCCAGCTACCAATGACTTTCTTCACAGAATTGGAAAAAACTACTTTAAAGTTCATATGGAACCAAAAAGAGCCCGCATTGCCAAGTCAATCCTAAGCCAAAAGAACAAAGCCAGAGGCATCACGCTACCTGACTTCAAACTATACTATAAGGCTACAGTAACCAAAACAGCATGGTACTTGTACCAAAACAGAGATATAGACCAATGGAACAGAACAGAGCCCTCAGAAATAATGTCACATATCTACAACTATCTGATCTTTGACAAACCTGACAAAAACAAGCAATGGGGAAAGGATTCCCTATTTAATAAATGGTGCTGGGAAAACTGGCTAACCATATGTAGAAAGCTGAAACTGGATCCCTTCCTTACACCTTATACAAAAATTAATTCAAGATGGATTAAAGACTTAAATGTTAGACCTAAAACCATAAAAACTCTAGAAGAAAACCTAGTCAATACCATTCAGGACATAGGCATGGGCAAGGACTTCATGTCTAAAACATCAAAAGCAATGGCAACAAAAGCCAAAATTGACAAATGGGATCTAATTAAACTAAAGAGCTTCTGCACAGCAAAAGAAACCACCATCAGAGTGAACAGGCAACCTACAGAATGGGAGAAAATTTTTGCAACCTACTCATCTGACAAAGGGCTAATATCCAGAGTCTACAATGAACTCAAACACATTTACAAGAAAAAAACAAACAACCCCATCAAAAAGTGGGCAAAGGATATGAACAGACATTTCTCAAAAAAAACATTCATGCAGCCAAAAAACATATGAAAAAATGCTCATCATCACTGGCCATCAGAGAAATGCAAATCAAAACCACAATGAGATACCATCTCACACCAGTCAGAATGGTGATCATTAAAAAGTCAGGAAACAATAGGTGCTGGAGAGGATGTGGAGAAATAGGAACAATTTTTCACTGTTGGTGGGACTGTAAACTAGTTCAACCATTGTAGAACTCGGTGTGGCGATTCCTCAGGGATCTAGAACTAGAAATACCATTTGACCCAGCCATCCCATTCATGGGTATATACCCAAAGGATTACAAATCATGCTGCTATAAAGACACATGCACATGTATGTTTATTGTGGCACTATTCACAATAGCAAAGACTTGGAACCAACCCAAATGTCCAACAATGATAGACTGGATTAAGAAAATGTGGCACATATAAATCGTGGAATACTATGCAGCCATAAAAAAGGATGAGTTCATGTCCTTTGTAGGGACATGGATGAAGCTGGAAACCATCATTCTCAGCAAACTGTTGCAAGGCCAAAAAACCAGATACCGCATGTTCTCGCTCATAGGTGGGAATTGAACAATGAGAACACATGGACACAGGAAGGGGAACATCACACACAGGGGCCTGTTGTCGGGTGGGGGTAGGGGGGGAGGGATAGCATTAGGAGATATACCTAATGCTAAATGACCAGTTAATGGGTGCAGCACACCAACATGGCACATGTATACATATGTAACAAACCTGCACGTTGTGCACATGTACCCTAAAACTTAAAGTATAATAATTAAAAAAAAAATTTTATGGGAGAAAAACAGTAGAAAATAAGAGATGAAAAAGGTCCAGGTGAAAGAGATGAGAGGAAGAACAAGTCAGGAAATCTCAGAAAGAAAGCTACTAATTTTTAAACACTCCAAAAAAAAAAAAAAAAAAACAAACATGAAAAGGAGAGTTTGGAATTTAGAAGGGCTACCCTGAATATCACCACCTTCTAATATGCAAGAAATATACTTTCTCATAAAAAAATACAGGAGAAAACTCTCAAAGTTAAATCTCATGCAAAGTTATTTTAAGAAAAAAAAGGAACAAAACAACACCTTTAACACAATAAAAAGAAGCATGGCAAAAGAATTGCCCATAGAACAGGTCAA
This sequence comes from Homo sapiens, assembly GCF_000001405.40. Taxonomy (NCBI): domain Eukaryota; kingdom Metazoa; phylum Chordata; class Mammalia; order Primates; family Hominidae; genus Homo; species Homo sapiens. Next base: position 56,260,051 of record NC_000008.11, on the reverse strand, counting down.
ACTGTAACTTTCTATTTTAAAATTAGTCAAAAACAACCAGGCATGGTGGCTCATGCCTGTAATCCTAGCACTTTGGGAGGCTGAGGCAGGTGGATAACCTGAGGTCAGGAGTTTGAGACCAGCCTGACCAACGCGGCGAAACCCTGCTTTACTAAAAATACAAAAATTAGCCGGGTATGGTGGTGCATGCCTATAGTCCCAGCTACTCAGGAGGCTAAGGCAGGAGAATCACTTGAACCTGGGAGGCAGAGGTTGCAGTGAACTGACATCATGCCACTGTACTCTAGCCTGGGTGACAGCATGAGACTCTTATCTCAAAAAAAAAAAAAATGAAGAAAGTAATAATAATGAAGAAGGAACATGACCCAGAAACTAGAAATAGAAAAAGTGAGACATAAGTTGACATAACTAAGGAAAGAATCCAAAATAAAAGGAAAACTGATTTCAGAAGTGAAGATTAAGCTAGAAGTAACACAAGAGTGAATAAGGACAACAGGTAATACCTTAAAAGAGATAGTTAAAAGGGGGAAATGATAAAAATCCAAGCTAAATGAAAAATTTTACATGAGTATTTATAACAGCATATTCATCATAACCAAAAAGTGGAAACACCACAAACGTCTAGCAACTGATGGATGGATAAATAAAAAATAGCATACCCAATGAAACATTATTCAGCAATAAAAATAAATAAGTGCATGCCACGATATGAATGTAACTTGAAAACATACTAGGTGCAAGAAGCCAGTCACAAATGCCCACATATTGTATTATTGCACTTATATTAAATGGTCAGACTAGGCAAACTCGTAGAGAGAAAAGTTACTAATTGCTGGGGACTAAGAGAGTTGGGAGGAAATGGGGTATGATTACTTATGGGTATGGATACCTATGGTAGGGGGCTGTTAAAATGTTCTAAAATTGATTGTGGTGATGGTAGCACAACTCTGAATATACTAAAAACCATTGACCTGTCCACTTTAAGTGGGTTAGTTATATTATATAAAAGTTATATATCAATTTTAAAAGTAAATAAATGAAAAAAGGGATTTGAGAGAAATTGAGACTAATATTGAAGATAGGCTAAGAAGATTCAACATATTACATGAAAGGAGACTGTGAAGAAAACCAAAACAAGGGAGCAGAATATTTAAACTAAAATTCTAGAAAACTTTCCTAAAATATAAAATAGATTTGAAAATGTATATTGAAATAGCATGCCATATACCTGATCATATTTATCCAGAAGACTTGACACCAATACTTATTCTAGAAAAAAAATTGCTGGGCTTTAAGAAAACTAAAAAATTATTTGAATATCTAGACAAAAATATCAAGAAACTTATACAGAAACAAAAATGAATTATCTCTAGACTTTTCTACAGCAACATTTATGCAGGAAGTAATTATGTAACATATTCAAGATACTGAGGGAAAGAAAGTGTTAGCCAAGGATTTTTATATTGAGAAGAATATTAAGTATATAAAGCACAGATAAATATGCAATCAACACTCTCAGGGAATACTGTTCCTATGAATCCTTCTTGTGGAATCTACTAGAGCACAAGCTTCAGTCCAGGCGTGGTGGGCTCACGCCTGTAATCCCAGCACTTTGGGAGGCCGAGGCAGGCAGATCACTTGAAGTCAGAAGTTCAAGACCAGCCTGGCCAATGTGGAGAAACCCTGTCTCTACTAAAAATCCAAACTTAGTTGTGGCGGCATGCACCTGTAGTCCTAGCTACTCGGGAGGCTGAGGCACTGGAATCACTTGAACCCAGGAGGCAGAGCTTGCAGTGAGCTAGATCGCACCACTGCACTCCAGCCTGGGCAATACAGCAAGACTCGGTCTTGAAAAAAAAAAAAAGAACACAAGCTTCAGACAAGCAAAAAAAGGCTATTAAAAACTGTGTAGTAAAGAATTTAGTCTTGCCCAAAAAGAGTTCTGGTCCTTGCCCTCACATTCTGGGAAGCAATCTCTAGGCCCTTGGCTATCATGCCTGATGATAGTATCTCTGTTTGCCTGGGAGGATGGGGTCACACTGGATTGTCTAGCAATATGACTTAGAAGGTAGGTTGGCCCTAAACTTAGGGTAGGAGCTGGCCACTCCAGAAAGAACAACAATGTGATTTAAGGTAAGGGCTTTGAGTCATCTGATATCAGTTGAACTGGAGATCAATCACATGGGCAATCAATCAGTGATACCCTCGTGGTGGAGCACTGATAAGTACTCTGAACACCAAGGTTGGGTTAGCCTCCCTGGCTGACAAAACTGCATCTTGTCACACATCAATGCCAGAAAAGTAACACATCCTGACACCATGAAGAGAGGCCAATGGGAGCTCCATTTTTGTTACTTCCACAGATTCCACCCCATGTACTTCTTCTCTTGAATGACTTTAATCCATATTCTTTCCCTATAATAAATGATAATTGTAAGTATAATAGTTTTAGTGAGTTTTATGGGCCCTTATACCAAATCATTGAACATGAGTATGCTTTGGGAAACTCTTCTACATTTGCAGTTGGTGTCAGAAGTGAGGGCGGTCTTGTGTGAACCATGTACCCTCTAACAATTATAGCTGGCCAAGCCTTTGCAGACCACAACAAAAGGATTTGTCAGGCCAGGCACAGTGACTCACTCCTGTAATCCTAGCACTTTGGGAGGCCGAGGTGGGAGGATCACTCGAGGCTAGGAGTCCAAGACCAGCCTGGTCAACATTGTGAGATCCCGTCTCTACTGAAAATACAAAAATTAGCCAGGCACAGTGGTGCACATCTGTGGTCCCAGCTACTTGGGAGGCTGAGATACAAGATGGTGCCACTGCACTCCAGCCTGGGTGACAGAGCGAGACTCTGTCTCAAGAAAAAAAAAAAGGATTGGTGGTAAGCATTAGAAATATAATTACTATTAGAAGTAAGATTAAATAGGAGTTAAAAGGGAAAAAGTCTGGTTTGTAATGTCTGTTTGCTCAATTTAGATATTGTATAATTATAAAAATAAGGGGAAATGGGAACAGCATATACCAAAAATATTCACTCTTGTCAGTAGATATATTGAGATTGGTAATATTATTATTATTCTAAAACTTGTGTGTGTGATGTGTGATTTGAAAAGTATGAGTAATTATCATTTCAATTCTATAAACTTCTGTGTCCGTTAGAACCAGGATTCTGAGTGTGAAGAAAGGACATGCAGATATAAGAAGAAATTTCTAGAAATATTTTCTAGTCCTATTTGAATGTGTGTGTGAGGCCTAGAAAAAGTAGCCCAGTAGCAATGAATATCCCAAGTCCCCAGAAGGTGGTCTTATGTGGTCTTAAAATACCATTCACCTAGTTACTAAAGGAAACAAGGGTTTCTTGGAGCTGATTGCAAGACTGGAATATGAAATACACAAGATGTGCCTGGAAAAGTTATCATACCAGATAGCAGGGAAGCTATTTATTAAAGACTGCTAGAGTTGTGTCAAAGGACTTGGGAGACAACTTGAAGAGGCTCCCACTGGCCAGATTAAGCTTTAAAAAGCTCAAATTCATCAATAATTTATCAATTAATAATTCATCAATAGTTTAAATCCATGAGTTCATGATAACACTGTTTTGAACAAATGTGTTTTCCTTAGAGGAATGATATAGAAGAAATTATTATCTTGAAAACTAGTTCAGAAAGAGAAAGAATCAATAGTTTCTCCTGCATTTTCAACATGAACTATACCACTGGGAAACCATAGAGTAAATGGAGAAATTGATAGGCTAATCCTTGTATTTACTTAATAATGTATTCTCAAAATAGGTAAAGCTAATAATATAGTAATAAACAAAGTTATAAGTAACAGAACTAAAAGGAGCAATATACAAATTTATAATCATAAGAGATTTAACACACCCCATTCAATAATTAATTCCTTAAGGAAAAAAAATTAATGAGTAGTAATCAGTAGTCCTGAAGAAAAAATAAATAAGCTTAATCTACTGGTTGTTTCTAAAGCATTGCAACCAACAAGTGGTACATTAATTATGTATTGCCGTGTAACAAATTATCCCCAAATTTAGCAGCTTAAAATAACAGACATTTCTTATCTCACAGTTTCTATGGCTCAAGAATCCAGAAGCAACTTAACTTTTTGGGTAATTTCATCTGAAGGCTCAACTGGGGAGGATCTGCTCATTCACAGGGTTGTTAGAACGTTGGTAGGCCAGAGACTTCGTTTTCTCACCATGTGGGCCTCTCATAGCCTAGCAGCTTGCTTCCCCCAGACCAAGCAGTCTAAAAAAGGCAGGGAGTGGGTGAGAACAAGTGAGAGCATCGAAGATGGAAGCCACAGACTTTTTTTTCTTTTCTTGGTAATAGCTTTAGTGATATATAATTCACATACCATTCCAGTCACCCATTTAAGTGTACCATTTAATGGTTTTTAGTATATTCACTATTCATAGAGTTGTGCAATAATTACCACAATCAATGTCAGAACATTTTCATTACCCCAGAAAGGTATCCCCCACATACCTTTTCATTGCCATCCCGTTAGCCCATCCCTCTTCCCCATTCCTAGATAATAACCAATCTACTTTCTGTCTCTGTAGATTTTCCTATTCTGCACATTTTCATATAAATGGAATCATATAATGCACGGTCATTTGTGACTGGCTTCTTTCCCTTAGTATAATGTTTTTAAGGTTCATATATGTTGTAGTATGTATCAACACTTCACTTCTTTTTAAGGCTACACAATATTCCACATTTTGCTTATCCATTCATCAGCTGATGGACTTTCAATTGTTTCCACTTTTTAGCTATTATGAATACTGCTGCTATGAACATTCAGGTACAAGTTTTTATGTGAACATACGTTATTGTTTCTCTATCTGGGTATATGGCTATAATAGAATTTCTGTGTTGAATTGTAACTCTATGTTTAATCATTTGAGGAAATGCCAGACTGTTTTTCAAAGCAGCTGTAGCATCTTACATTTCCATCAACAATGTATTAGTGTTTCAATTTCTCCACATCCTAACCAACACTTATTATCTGACTTTTTTATTATAGCTACCCTAGTGGGTGTGAAGTGGTATTTCATTGTGGTTTTTATTTGCATTTTTATGATGACTAATGCTGTTGAACATGTTTTCACATGCCTATGGCCATTTGTGTAGTCTTCTTTGGAAAAATAGACATTTTTCAGATCCTTTACCATGTTTTAATCGGATTATTATTTTTCTTGTTATTATTGAATTATAAGAGTTTTTCTTCAGAGCTAGTCCATAAGAGGAAGAAGTTCTCTATATAATCTAAATGGAAGTTCCTTATCAGATATATGATTTGCAGATACGTTCTCCCATTTTGTGAGTTGTCTTCTCACGTTATTAATAATGTCCTTTGAAATGCAAAAGCTTTTAAATTTTGGTGAAGTTTAATTATTTTTTCTTTTGTTGTTTATGTTTTTGATGTCATATATAAAAATACTTTGCCTACTCCAAGGACACAAAGATTTACTCCTATGTTTTCTTTTAAGTAGCTCTTACATTTAAGTCTTTCATCCATTTTGAGTTAGTTTTTGTATTTGGTATGAGATAAGGGTCCAACTTCATTTTTTTGCATTTGGATATTCAGTTGTCACAACATTTATTGAAATGACTATTCTTTCCCCCATTGTATGGTCTTAGCATCCTTGTCCAAAATTAATTGACCACAAATACACGGGTTTATTTCTGGATTCCCAATTATTTCAATAATAGATATGTCTATCCTTATATTATTACCACATCATCTTGATTAGCTTTTTAGTATATTTTGAAATTGGAAATTGTGCATCTTCCAAATTTGTTCCACCTTTTAGAAGTGTTTTGGCAATTCTGGATCCCTTGAGTTTTCATATGGATTTTAGTATCAGCTTGTCAATTTCCACAAAGAATGCAAGTAAAGAGCCAGAATTGGTGGTGGACTACTGTAATCCTAGCTACTCGGGGGACTGAGGTGAGAGGATCACTTGAGGCCAGGAGTTCAAGACTAGCCTGGGCAACATAGCAAGACCTCCGTCTCTACAAAAAAAAAAAAAAAAGATGCAAGTGGGTTTCTGACAGGGATTGCATTGAATCTATAATTCAACTTGAGAGGTATTTCCATCTTAACTATATTAAGTTTTTTGACCTGTTAACATGAGATAGAGAAACTATAAGAAAATAAAGAAGTTTAATTCTTTTCTACAATATTTTGCAGCTTTCCTAGTACAAGTGTTGCACTCTTTTGTTAACTTTGTTCCTAAATATTTATTTTTATGCTATTGCAAATTTTTTCTTAAATTCATTTTGAGATTGTTCATTGCTAGTGTATAGAAATAAACCGATTTTTATATGCTGAGCTTCTATACTGCAACCTTGCTGAACTCATTTATAAATTAGTTCTGATAGGTTTTTTAGTGACTTTTATTCCATTTTCTTGCCTAATTGTCCTTGATAGAACTTTTAGTACAATATTTAATAGAAGCAGTAAGAGTGGGCATCCTTGTCTTGTTCCTAATCTCAGAGGAAACTATCTATTCTTTTGCCATTAAGTACAATGTTAACAGTGAGATGTTTGTAGATGCCCTCTATCAGGTTAAGAAAATTTCCGTCTTTTTGGAGTTTATTGAGTATTTTATCATAAAATGTTGTAGGTTCATCTATGCCACAAGGCAACACTGTCCTTCACACAGTTCTTTGTGCTGTTGCTGTGGAGCCAAAGGAAGTTGAGGAGGCTGGGGTGCCACCACAGAGGCCTGGAGAGGCATCTTTTCAAACTGGAAGGAAAAGTTGCCCACAGCACCCTGGCATGCTTCAGAAGTGATACAGGTGTCAAATGTGGCTTGACGGGACTGGAGCCCACTAAGGTGGCCCTGGATATGGAGCGCTTCTGGGAGTGGGCAGTGGTGCTGGCGGACACTGTGGTCTCCAGTGGCACATGCTACCGGGAGGTGCCAATTCTGGTGCATGGGAGCCGGGTCTTTGTGGTCCACATGCTACAGATTTCCAGAGTCCAGTGATGTCTGCCTTTGCTCTTTAGGATGGAGAGCTGCTGACCCATTCAGGGCTCAAGGCACCCAAGGACCTCTAGTATGTCCGTGACTGGAGTCCCAAATCATGCTCTTGGCCAGCCACCTTTTGAAAGAGTCAGAAGCCTTTTCACTTTGCCCCAAGCAACCTCTAGCTCCCACAGTTCAGTGCCGGGTCCTTTGTGCAGTATCCTAGTCATCTTCCTCTTTCCCACCCTGTGAAATTAGGGATACAGCCAGGCCTTCCTCCCCTCGTTTCCCAACTACTGAAAATTTCCTAGGCTATAATGAGTGTATCTTCCCTGACGTGCTTCCTTCGGGGCCTCTGCTCAGGCCTTTCTCAGAGCGTATTCAGTCCTGGGGTCTTATCCTCCAGCTTTGTTTGAATTTATTCATTATTTTGATATCTCTTCCTCCTTTTGTCCACATGTAACTTGCTTGTTCTTGGAGCTCTACCAAATCTCTCCAGAGTAAATTCTTTCTACCTCTGGGTCAAGTAGTGGTGCACTCAATGACTTGGCCCTTTCTCTATAGTACAGAGTCAGGGCTCTGGCTTCCTCCAAGAGCACTTTATTGACTCTAGGTCAGAATGAAAACAGAGCCCCACTTCCCCAGTACCTCAATGCCACAGAACCTCAGCCCCACACAGCTGCAGCTATCCTCATCCCGAGTCCACCTACCTTACTCTATACCTCTGACAGACACCTAGGGGATCTGTCATGATCATTATCCCAGTTATAATCATGACCAAAGGGGAAGGGATACTTGGGGGATATGTAGGGAATTCATGCTAGAAGCTGTTGATTCTTGAGAAGTTCCATCTTCATTTCTTCCACAGTTGGAACTTCCAGAGGAAGGAGGGAGGCCTGAGGTTTTGCACAATCCATTTTGGAACCTGTTCAGACTCAAACCTTCACTTCCCTTGGCAGCCTAATACCTAAAGCAGTATTTTGGGTTGAGAAAAACCTGGTGCAATAAGTGAACATGTATGTGAAGTATGTGTTGTTGAGGCTCACTCTGGCCCTGTGGTTCCATCTTATTCTACCTTCTATGATGAGACTGGATAGCCCTAGGGGAGAAAGAGAAGGACTGGATTTAGCAAAAATGATTTGTGTCATTAAATTTTATTTGAGCATATGCACACACATAAAGCTGTCATATACTGTAATATTGTAACATGCTTTTCAGTATTCTATTGAAATGCTCATATGGGTTTTTTGTTTTTTATTCTATTGATAGGGGACAACACTTGCTGATATTCATGTTTAAACAATCACGCATTTCTGGCATAAACTCCACTTGGTCATGGTGCGTAATTCTTTTTATATGTTTCTGTATTTAGTTTGCTAGTATTTTACTAAGTACTTTTGCATTTGTATTCATAAGAGATACTGGTTTATAGTTTTCTTTTCTTACGATATTTTTGGTTTGGGTATCAAGAAATATTGGTCCCATAAAATGAATTGGGAAGTACTTTCTTCCCCTCTATTTTTTGGAAGAATGTGTGAATAATTGATATTAATTCTTATTTAAGTGTTTGTTAGAATCCACCAGTAAAGCCATCTGGGCCTGGGCTTTTTTTCATGGGAGTTCTTGATTACTAATTCAGTTTTATTAAAAGTCTATTCACTGTTTCTTCTTGATTCAGTTTCAGTAGTTTGTGTCTTTCTAGGAATATATTCATTTCAATGAAGCTGTCTACTTTATGGGCATACAATTGTTTATAGCATTTCTTTATAAATCTTTCAATTTCTATAAAGTTGGTAGTAATGTCCCCTGTTTCCTCTCTGATTTTATTATTTGAGGTTTCTCTCTTTTCTTCCTGGTTAATTCAGCTAACAGTTTGTCAATTTTGTTGATAGTTTCAAAGATCCAATTTTTGGTCTCATTGTTTGTCTCTATTTTCCATTCTCTATTTTATCTCCTCTATAGGCTGGAGAGAGATCCGCTGAGCTGAGGTGGCAGATGCAGGGGGGCAGATGCCGGGGGGTGGGAGGGGTCATGCTTCACATGCTACAGACTCTCACTGTTCTCAGCAAGTTTTAGTGATTTTTATTGGATAAATGTTTCTTCAGTTGTAGTATATCCTTAGGATCATTTTTAGAGACTTTAGTTAGAGTTTTTATTATAATTTCCATTCATTTCACTGGGAAGTTGCTCTACAGAGCTCCTCACGTTGTCTTGCCAGAAGCAGAAGTCCTTCGTCTATTCATGAGCTAATATTGAAATGAGGTGCTGTTTTGCCATATTGCCATATTCATACTCATAGAAGTAAGTCACTAAGTCCAGCTCACACTTAAGGGGAAGGGATTACACAAAGGTATGAATACAAGAGTTGGGGATTATTGGGACTTACCTTAGAGGCTGGGGAACATAGATTAATTTTGAGTATCATGAAACATTTCTGAAAATGTTCCACTAGCTAGACCATAAATTTAAGATTCAATGTATTTCAAAAGACTGGGTCTTATACAAATCATATGCTCAAACCAAGGGTAATTAAGTTAGAGATAATAACAAAAAGATTGCAAGGTAAACTTTGTTTGAAAATTACAAAACATATTTATAAATAATATGCTGGTCAAAGACAATTATAATAGGAATAGGAAACTACCTATACCGGAACATTAATTAAAATATAAAGATTGCAACCTATATATGTATCCAAAGAAAGTCCTGGATGGAAATGCATAGACATCAGTAATTATAATAGAAAAGAGATTAAATAAAAATTGATAAGATAATTATCTAACTTACCAAGTTAGAAAATAATTTATAGAATAAACATAAAAACAGCAAAAGGAAGAAAATTATAAGGATAAGAGCAGAAATTCAAGAAATAGAAAACCTAAAATTGAGATGATAAAAAATATCAGGAGTTGGTTATTCAGAAAGTCTAATAAAAAGTGGAATGTAACTGCCAGATCCTGCAAAGACTTAAAAATTACTCAGAGAATATTTTGAGCAACCTTATGTCAATAAACTTGAAAACTTAGATGAGACAGCCAAACGATTAGGAAAATATAACCTGCCAAACAGTACTTCAAGATGAAATGGAAACCTTAAATGTACCTATAACCCTTAAGGAAAATAAACTAGCTAAAAATTTTCCCATAAAGCAAACATTAGGCACACATGGTTTTACAGGTGAGTTTGACTAATCATTTAAGAAATATAAAAGAAAAGAAGATTCCACAACTCATTTCTTGAGGTTAACATAACTTTTATAACAAAACTGACAAGTACATTCTGAAAAAGGAAAATTATAGGCCATTATTGCTGATTAGCATAGATGCAAAAATCCTAAATAAAATGATGGCAAACTGCATCCAGCAATACAAAGAAGAAGAAGAAGAAGAAGAAGAAGAAGAAGAAGAAGAAGAAGAAGAAGAAGAAGAAGAGGAAGAGGAAGAGGAAGAGGAAGAAGAGGAGGAGGAGGAGGAGGAGGAAGGGGAAGGGGAAGGGAAAGGGGAAGGGGAAGGGGAAGGGGAAGGGGAAGGGGAAAGGGAAGAGGAAGAGGAATCAATCAAGACTAACTTAAAGTTTCTAGGAAAGCAAATTTAAAGGATGTATGGTTGTCTCAATATATGCAGAAAAAGTATCTAATTACAATAAAATATCAAAGAAACTCAGCAAACTATGGACTATGGACAGAACGGTATCTTCTTTTTTTTTTTTTTTTTTTTTTGAGATGAAGTTTTGCTCTGTCAAACAGGCTGGAGTGCAGTGGCCCTACCTCGATTCACTGTAACCTCCACCTCCCGGGTTCAAGTGATTCTCCTGCCTCAGCCTCCTGAGTGCTGGGATTACAGGCATGCACCACCACACCCGGCTAATTTTTTGTATTTTTAGTAGAGACGGGGTTTCACCATGTTGGTCAGGCTGGTCTTGAACTCCTGACCTTGTAATCCACCTGCCTCGGCCTCCCAAAGTGCTGGGATTACAGGCATTAGCCACCATGCCCGGCCGAGAATGGTATCTTCTTAATAGTCTACTAGTTATGTTTCTGTTTCCTCCAAACAAGTTCAGGCTCTTTAAAGGCAAAGACCATAACTCATGCATCTTTACATCCTTTGAGCTTAACAAAGCCTAGCACACAGTAGGTACTGATTGAATGATTGTTGACTGATTATTATTATTATTCTGCCATTACTTTTAATAGCAAAACAGCAATTGCTTTTGCACCAACCTAATGAATGAATGAATGAAAAAGTGAAGGCTTGATCTTCTTGATAAAATAGTAGATGGGTCATCTGCCTAGAGTAAGAGATCTAGTAAGTCAGCATGTTGGAAAGAAGAGAATATTTAGGAATGTGGCTGCAAGTCATCAAGGGATAGAAGAATCAAATTTTGCAAACACTAAAGTAAAATGCAGGAGTAAACCTCTTTACTGTAGTTGAAATATTGACTTACCCATGCATTTCATTGTTTGTGCAAGGTACTGTAGGTGCTGTATAGGGCTACAATTAATTAGCTAATTCCCAAAGAGGATTTAGTAACTGTTGTAATGGATTATCAGCCCTTTACACCTTAGTGTAAATAAAAGCTCTGAAGGTAGGGGAAGGGTGCCATCTACTGAGAAAATGGAGCATAACAGAGCAGTGAAAGCTGAAATTTCCCATTTTTAAATTGTTTCTAGGAGTTGCCCTATCTAATTTCTAGCTCTGTCCACCACATATTTTATTAAGTATTTTTTTCAGATTATTTTAAAGCATTAATGTTTAAGAAAACCTTAGGTCTCTTCAATAAATATTTCATGCCCTTTGCAAATACATCACACTTTGTTCATATCTTTCTTAAAATTTGTAAGGTGCTTTGTCTAAATATCTGTAATTAAAAATTTAAAAATAAAAGCTAGTGAATACTACATCTCCAAAGTACAGACTATTATTTATTAACAAACAAAACTACCACTTGTTTTGTTAATAAATTCAGGAAAAGTTTTGTTAATGCGAGGAAAACATTTTCACACAAAGTGAGGACAAGGTGTGTTCACATTATTTAATGCAAAATGCAAACAAGGTGCAATTATTAACAAATGCCGAGGAGGCGGCTTTGGCAAAAAGGCATGATTGGCACTGCCGTAGACACAGGAAAGCAGATGAAATCACCAGATCAGACAAATGAGTTGTCAGTCTGAACAGACAAATAAAGAATGCCACTTAAAACACACTTTAGTTCCTAAGGGCACAGCATGGACAATACTCTCTTTAAGTTGCATGAGATATTTTGTCAAGATCCTTCCTTGTACACAGAGACTCAGTTATTATTCACCTAGGGGCTGAGCCAAACACACAGACTTTGGCTCCGTGGCATTCAAGCTGATCTCCCCTGAAAGTCCAAACATAGCAGAAATGACATTTATTGAGCACTTTCTATATGCCAGTCACTCAGCTTTTCACTTTCTATATGGTGTATCATTTACTCAAGTAACCATATGAGGCAGGTTTTACACTGAATTTAATGATAAAGTAAGAGACTCAAAGAAACTGAAGAAACTTACCCAAGTTCTTACATTTAGTAAATGGTTGAAATTCCAAGGCTAACCTCTTTGATTCTTAAACCTCTAATATTGTTTTGCACTTGTCCAGGCTGCTTAATAAGGAAAAAGTAGACAATCTAGCCAAGAAAAGTACAGTAGGCAACATCAAAGTAGACACTCTAATTCTTACATTGGGGAGATAGAGTTGAGTGAATCCCCATTAATTGGAACTCTTTGCAATATACACAAGGTAATGTTTCTCAAAGAGTTTCCATTGAAATGCTAATTCCTCACAGTGCCCCATGAAAAAGGAATTCTGCATGTTCAGTTGGGTTTGAGAAATGCTGCATCTGGTATCCTCTCTTAAAGAGCCAAAATGGGGCTACTCTGGGCACACTGCCTGTGGGGTAGCTCTGCTCCATGAGGAGCAGAAAAAAAAAAAGCAGCCAAAATGTACATTCATGTGTTAAGAAGTCCAAAAGGTAAAGAACTCTGTCTAAATGTGTTTATCCAAAGTTTCATGCAGAATTTTCCTGTGGTACATCTAACATCCCAGTGATCACCGGGTAGAAAATGCTGCCCTGGCCAGAAAGGAGTCATTGATGGGTTGAAAGTAAGGGAGTGCTAAGGTTAGATCTGCGTATTTTTTTAAGACACAGGGTCTTGCTCTGTCACCCAAGCTGGAGTGCAGTGGACAACCATAGCTCACTGCAGCCTCAAATTCCCGGGCTCAAGCAATCCTCTCACCTCAGCCACCCAAGTAGCTGCCACCACAGGTGCACACTATCATGCCCAGCCTAGATTTTCATGTTCGACATAGGATTCTGGCAGCTTGGGTTTGAGGATAGAAAAGATTGAATGTGAAGGGAAGCCAGAACCTGAAATAGGGATATTTAGGGGAATAGGGATGGAGAGAAAGGGACAAATGAAGAAATGCTTAAGAGATGGAATCAATAGCACTTGGAGATGGATCAGACATAAGAGAAAAATAAATAAACTCACAAATTGCTAGATTGGGCAACTGAATAAATGTTGTAACATATGAGATAGAGAAATTGGTTTAACTTTTTTTTTTTTTTTTAGATGGAGTCTTGCTCTGTTGCCCAGGCTGGAGTGCAGTGGCGCAATCTCAGCTCACTGCAACCTCCTTCTCCTACGTTCAAACGATTCTCCTGTCTCAGCCTCCCAAGTAGCTGGGATTACAGGCGTGAACCACCACACTTGGCTAATTTTTGTATTATTAGTAGAGACGGGGTTTCACCATGTTGGACATGCTGTTCTTGAACTTTTGACCTCGTGATCTGCCCGCCTTGGCCTCCCAAAGTGCTGGGATTACAGGCATAAGCCACTGCCCCTAGCCTAATTTGACATTTTAAACCCATTGTTTTCCAAATGTGTTTACCCTTCCCCCCCACCCCCCATGAGATATCCCATACCCTTCCCCCCCCCCCCATGAGATATCCCATGGAACTAGTGTTCTATAGAACATACTTCTGGAAACACTGCTGTGGGAGGATCATGCATCAGAAAGCCAACTGCACCATATCATCCAACTCCTACTGGGAAAATCCTAAGAAAAACTGTGTGGTGACAAAGGAATTTTGCTGTGAAAGGAACAATGTAAACATGATTTAAAGGGATATACACAGCCATCCCTTAGTATTCATAAGGGATTGGTTCCAGAACTGCCCAAAGATACCAAAATATGCACATACTCAAGTCCCAAGGTGGGACTTAAGTACATAAAGTATCTATATGCAGGTTTCAGATCCCAGAAATACTGTATTTTCCATCCACAATGTTTGGTTGTGGATGCGCAACTCACTGATAAGGAGGGCCAACTTTATTTATTGAAAAAAAATCCATATATAAGTAGGTCCTTGTGGTTAAAACCCATGTGATTCAAGAGTCAACTGTATATCTAACTTAAAACAAAAACCTAACTTTTTTTTTGAGACAGAGTCTCACTCTGTTACCCAGACTGAAATGCAGTGGTGTGATCATAGTTCACTGCTGCCTCGAATCCTTTGTCAGCCTCTCAAGTAGCTGGGACTATAGGTGGGCACCACCACATCCAGCTAATGTTTTATTTTTACTTTCTAGAGATGAGGTCTCACTATGTTACCCAGGCTGGTTTCAAACTTCTAGTCTCAAGCGATCTTCCTACCTCAGCTTCCTAAAGTGCTGGGATTACAGGTGTGAGCCACCACACCCAACCCTAACTTTTTTGTTGTTGGTGGTGGTGCCACTATAAGATCTGGAGCAAAGGATTGGCAAATAGTTCTCACACCAAATCCAGGATGTGGGCTGTTTTTGTAACCTTTTATTGGAATACAGCCATCCTTCTTTCTGTAGCTATTGTCTGTGGTTGCTTTCATGCAACAATGACAGCATGGAGTGGTTGAGGCAGAGACTGAATGGCCAGCAGAGCCCAAAATATTTACTATCTAGACTTTTATAGAAAAAGTTTGCCAAACCCTGATCTAGTGAACTGTTAAGCACATAGTGGATTCTTGGAAAGAAATGAGCTGGCTGGATGCGGTGGCTCACAACCACAATCCCAGCACTTTGGGAGGCTGAGGCGTGCAGATCACCTGAGGTCAGGAGTTTGAGACCAACCTGGCCAACATGGTGAAACCCCTTCTCTACTAAAAATACAAATTAGCCAGGCGTGGTGGCACATGCCTATAGTCCCAGCTGCTTGGGAGGCTGAGGCAGGAGAATCGCTTGAACCTGGGAGGCAGAGGTTGCAGTGAGCTGGGATCGTGCCACTGCACTACAGCCTGGGTGACAGAGTGAGACTCCATTAAAAAACAACAACAACAAAAAAAAAAAAAACCTAATTGATACATTAAAGTTCATAAATGTGAACATCAAAAAATTTGCAACCCAAGTTCCCTCAGGCTATACCAGCTGATGAGTACAAAGGAATCCCAACAACAACAAAAACCCAGCGTGTAAATCTCTGGTTCAGCCTCCCACTCCACTTGCAGAAATTAGGAATTCCATCCCTCCTAAACCTACTAAAGTTTCTAATTATGGCGCTTCTGGTGACTACCACTTGGCCTCCTTCAGTTCTTCCCCCTGCGACTCCCAGTGTTTCCTCCTGAATCTCTGGCTCCCATTCCCCAAAGTGTTGGTCCAGCTAGTACCAACACCACCCCAGTGCTCATCAGCAAACACTTAGGTTTCTCAGAGCTTTCATGAGTTAGAAATGCATTCAGTGGCAAGTAGCAGAAATTCATACTAAAGAGGCTTAAACAAAATAGGTGTTTGTTTATCCATTCAAAAAGAAGTCTAGTCATAGGTGTCCAGGGCTGATTCTGAGAAGGAAGGAAAAAGAAGGAAGGGCAAAGTGCTGAAGGAAGCATTCCAGCCAAAGTTGCCTTTTTTCAAAAACTTCACTGGTAGCCCAATCTAATGGCTTCCACTTCTATCTTGTTGTCCAGAACTAGCTCACCTGGCAACCTCTGTTTGTAAGAGCATCTGGAAAAGTTAGTGTGTGAGCTTTCCAGCCCCCGAGTAGAGGGCGGGAAAGGAAATTGGAAATGGCTTTTGGAGTAGCCAGACTCCAGTATGTGACTCAGAGCCTTGGCTGTGTTCTCCATCGTGCCCTTACCGTTGTTTGGCCAAGTGAAGACAGTGCCCCCAACCCTTGTTGGTGCCCTACTTGGATATGGACCCCACCCAACCCTGTTGGCTGTGTTCTCCATCGTGCCCTCACTGTTATTTGGCCAAGTGAAGACACTGCCCCCAACCCTTGTTGGTGCCCTACTTGGATATGGACGCCACCCAACCCTGTTCGCTGTGTTCAGTGGCTCACTGAGATGTGGAGGCTGTGGCCTCATGTGTGTCACAGCCTCAGTTCATCCCAGAGCTAGACATGGGACATAGCATGCTATGGCATATTTGGAGCAATGCCACCTTACCAGACCAACTTTGCCATGATCTCCCATCTTATTCTGAAGCTGGTCATTGAAATAAAGTTTGTAGGTATGTCAGGCATCTTAAAGAAAATTACTTCCCATGCCCTCTCTAGCATTTCATGTTAGTTCATCTTTGGGAGGTCTTCTATATCTCTCCAGACATGGCTGCGTCTATAGAGTGCATGCAGCTTGGGATCTGACTCTGGAATCTTCACAAATCTAAAAGGGGGAATGAAAGAAAGTGGAAGGAAATGGAGTTTCAGGAATGCCAGTGCTCAGGGCTTAGGTGGGGCCACAGAAGGGAGTACTGATGGAACACCTACCACTTGCCATAAGCTTAAAGTCTACATTTTAATTATAAATGTGTTGTCTATTTATAAAAAAGATCAGAAAAAAAGTCTTGGAAATACAGTGACTAGTACAACACTATATTCATAAGTTTCATAAGAATTCGTATTTGATTGGTTAGATATTGGTTTGCTGGTTGGCTATTACTTTTAGTTAGATTATATGCTAAGAAATAAAATATGTAATTTTTATTGCATGTTCTAGAAATAGCCTCACTTTAAAATCACTGATACAGAGTTCTAAATTTTTCAAATCAGAGAAGTTGTACCCAACTCAAATGCATCATGAAAACAATACTTACCCCTCCACTGGATATGTTAAATTGGTCATGTGTGAACATTAACTAGGAATATAGCAAAATTATTGCATAGTAATAATTAATTTTGGTGCAGAACATCCAAATCTCATTCATGTGCATTCTCATTTGACTTTTACAATTACTAAGTCACTCCAATTTTTCTAGATTTATCAGCCACCTCAGAAAAGTGACTGCCTTTATAGGCAGATTTTAAGGGTCACTGGTTGAGGGCCCCAGATATCCCAAAATATTTTTGCAACCTGCTCACTAAAGCTTGACATAAGAGATAAATTTTCATTCCACAATTAGAAGTGAGACCAAACAAAATTTCCACGGGATCGACCATATATTCTTCAGTGTCACACGGAGGTCCAAAGGCAATGTAGTGATTGGGAATTCAAGCTCTAGACAGACCAGCCAGTGATCAACATTGGCTCAATTATTGTTAACTACATAAAATGGAAAAATAATTCTCTCTTCCCCCATGTGTCTGTGTCCAGGATTGAAGAAAATAATATTTAGAAAGCACTCAGTGAGTCTGGCAGCTAGGAGGATTCAATAAATATTAGTCATTTTCTTGTTTTTCTGTTTGTTTTTTATTTTTGTTGTTGTTGTTTGCTGTGGTTGTTTGGGAAAGGAAAGACGATACAAAAGGCACCAAGTTATCTGAAGGGAAGTGGATACATATTCCACAGAGGAGGAGAGAAAAGGACACCAAAAGAAGGGGGAAACTTCTGTGGCACATAATGAACAAACAACCCAAACTTCCCAGTTTTTCTCTTTGGTCCACAGGGGCCAGCCAAGAGCCCATGAGCTGGAGATTAGGACTTACTGGGGGAGGCAATGCAGCAGTATACCACCAGATAGCAGCATGGAGCCACTGCTGTTTTCAGCCTTCGGCAGCATTGCGGCTTCATCATGCTGAACTCCACAAGGTTCCAAAGAATTGATTCACAGCAATGGAAATAGCAAATGTCCCAGCCAAACTCCCCTCCTTGCACCATCTAAGCCCTGAACATTGGTGTTCCTGAAATGCTATTTCTATCCACTTTCCCTCACTCAATCTTGTTGTTCTTGGGAATGTAAAATGACTAGCAAATCTGATTTACTGCAAATTCTTTTAAAAGAGAACCATTTCACACCCAAAGGAAAGAATTGCAAGGCCCATTCTGCAGCAAGTATTTGGCCTGTTTCTTTCAAATCCACAGTGGCTCAGCCACGGCTAAAATATTATTAAAACAAAACAGCTCACATGCTTATAGGCAAATCATATTTTGGCATGATTAGTTCAAAAGCAAAGATGCCAGAGAGATCCAATGGCTTTTTTGTAGAAAAGTCAAGCATTAGTCTATCAACATCTTTGAAGAAAAATTTTCAGATACTGAGAAGCTTATAAATGGATTCATACAAATAAAGTATATTTCTTCCAAAAACTCAAAAGATTTTATAAAATTTTAGCACGGATCCAAAGAAATGGGTCATTTTCCTTCATAGCTACCAATAGGAATGACTATGAAGTGATCCATCATAGATTAAAGTATACATTATTGTTTACAACAGTCATCCTACAGTGGTACAGAACACTAGGATTTATTCCTCCTATCTAGCTGTAATTTTATAACCTTTAACACATCTCTCCCTATCCCTCCCTACCTTCTACCCCTCCCAGCCTCTAGTTATCCTCTGTTCTACTTTTGAATATATTCTTTTTTAATTTTTAATTTAATATTTTAAATTGATAAATAATAATTGTATATATTCTGGAGTACCTAATGATGTTTTGAGACAAATAATGTATGGTGCTCATGAGGATCAGGGGATTTTGCATATCCATCACCTCAAAGATTCATCCTTTCTTTGTGTTAAAAACACTCAATATCCTCTTTCTAGCTCTTGAAACTATCTAATTAATACATTATTGTTTACAACAGTCATCCTACAGTGGTACAGAACACTAGAATTTATTCCTCCTATCTAGCTGTAATTTTATAACCTTTAACAATTCTCTCCTTATCCCTCCCTTTTCTCTACTCTACCCAGCCTCTAGTATCCTCTGTTCTACTTTTTACTTCCGTGACATCAACCATTTTCTAGTTTCCACATATAAATGAGAAGATGTGGCGTTCAGCTTTCCATTCTTGGCTTATTTCACTTAACATAATGTTATCCAGGCTCATCTTTGTTGCTGCAAAAGACAGGATTTCATTCTTTGTATGGCTGAATAGTATTCCATGGCATATATATTCATATTTTCTTTATCCATTTACCTGTTGTAGGACACCTAGGTTGATTCCATATCTTGGCTATTGTGAATAGTGCTGCAATAAACATAGAGGTGCAGATGTTTCTTCAATATACTGATTTCCTTTCCTTTGGATAAGTTTCCAATAGTGAGATGGCTGGATCATATGGTAGTCCCATTTGTAGTTTTTTTAGGGACCTTCATATTGTTCTTCATAGTGGCTGTACTAGTTTGCATTCCCGCCAACAGTGGATAAGAGTTCCCTCTTCTTTGCATCCTTGCCAAAGTTTGCAATTATTTTTGGTCTTTTTGATAAAGAGAAGGTCGAAAGTGTACATAATATCCCCAAATGCTACAACTTACATTTGGCTCATAGATTTAGTCAACAGATGAGAAAAACATCCAAATAACTCCCTAGAAAATAAGCACATCCAGAATCTGAAAACAAGTTATCCCTGCTTATGTCAGGATTGACTTATACTTAACCTGCTTTTGTATTGTAATAACCTAGCCTGACATAGCAATTATGTGCACACCCCTTTTCTCTGGAGATATGTGTAACTTACTGTGGGGTAAATGTGAGCCCATATTAATTTAAATAGATAATTTTAAAACACTGTTTAACAGTGACACTACTTTGAGCCAAAGAAAACAAAAGAATCTACCATTTAAAATATGTAGTCTTACCTTAAAATTAGTACCACCAGTAATTAACTTTATCAGTGATATTAACATACCACATCATGTGCCTCTAGATACAGTGCACTGGGAAGGACACAACAGCATTTAGATAGTACTATGGCTAAAAAACTCCAGGTTATTTAAACCTAGATCCAATGATGAGGAAATCACAGATAAACTCAAATTAACAGAAATTCTACAAATAAATGACCTGTACTCTGCAAAATTGCCAAACATGAAAGGCAAAAAAAAAAAAAAAAAAAAAAATGGATCACTTGATCCAGAATAAAGGAAATGAAAAAGACATGAAAACTAAATGCAATATGTGATCCTGGACTGGCTCTTTGACCAGAAAAATAAATTGCTATACAGGACATTACTGAGACAGTTGGCAAAATTCTCATAAAGACTATATATTAGACAATACTAATATATCAACATAAAACTTCCTGATTTTGATCATTGTACATAGTTACATAAGCCAAGTGTCCTTGTTCCTAGGAAATATACACTTCAAGTATTTAGGAGTAAAGGGCGATGTACTCTCAAGTGGTCCAGAAAAAATATATAATTATATGTGTAGGAGGAGAGGAAAAAAAGAAAAAGAATGTGCAAATGTAGCAAAATGTTAACAACTGGTGGATCAGAGCAGAGCGTATTTGAAAGTCCTTTGCATTATTCTTGCAACACTTCTATAAATTTTAAATTCTTTCAAAACAAAAAATAATCCATTTTAAAAATCGTAGCAACATCATCATTCCAGGCCAAAATCCTGTTATTACTTTATTAACAAAGCACCACTGTGCACAAAAAACTAGAAAATTTTTAAAAAAAAATGAAATCACCCATAATCCTCCTCCCTGTTCTCCAGGTATCACCTGTCTACAGGTTTCTTCCCCTGTCTCTAAGTCACGTGTCTCTTGCACCCTCTGCTCCAGGCCTCCATCATCTCTTGACTGGAGACTTGGGTTCTCCAGTTTTTCTTGTCCCCTTTCCATCTGATCTCGGCAGATGTGTGCCCCTCGTGCTTGGCACTTGGTAGGGGCTCAACAAACATTCGTTGAATTAATGAGTGAATGAATCACAGTAAAAACATTCTGTCATTTGCTTTTTTGGGTAAAGCAAATTGAAATGATGTTGTACACATTCACATTTTTTTAAAAAAACAGAAGTAGAGATTTGGGCAAAATGCATTCTAAAGTGCCTGCCTGAATATTTTAGCATTTGCAAAACATCCAAATGTTTAATCTCAGTTAAACTACTTCTACTGTAGCTCATCCCTAGAGTAACTAACAAGTGCCCCTGACTTTATCTTTATGCCCCCTTTTCCACACCATCTTCAGCTGGCTGCCCACATTCTACTGTACACTGTGTTTCTCTGCCTGGGCATTATAAATCAGGTGGCTATATCCAAATCTCTCAAATCAGATTAGATTGGGTTCTGCCTTCTGGTTGAACTAGAGCCTCCTGGGCCTCACTGAAATTGTGGGCCTCACTGAAATGGAAATCTGCAGGCATTTCCATAACCTGCAGGGTTGGGCACCTGATAGTAAGCATGACTCCATCACTAACCAGCTGTAGGCCTTTCTAAATTTTTAAATCTTTCCTGTTCTCAATTTTCAATAGAGTAAAAGGGAGGTGAGATTAAATAATTTTTAAAATCACCTTTAGTTCTGAAACATTATGATTCTATTATTCTAACGCTAGGAAAAGTAGAAATCAGATAACAGAAAATCAGGAGTGGAAAATTTTTTAAACTCAACAGAATGTAAGTATGATGATCATGATTTATTTTAGGGTTTGGATGCAGAGGACAAAAGAACAGGACTCCCTTCACACAAACTGGTGGAATAGAATTAAGGTAATTACAGACTGGTAGTTGCTGAAGACGATAAATGACTTAATAAAACAGTTGACCACGACTCTTAACAGCTATGGTTAAATGACACATGCCCAAATGCTATAATTAAATTCCTCTGTAACCAAATTCTGGCAGTGAGTAAGCTTTTCTTCCTTTATACTTTCAAAGGCTTGGGAAATTAAGTACAGTCAGTTTTTTAGATTACTATATCAATGGTTCTCAAAGCATGGTCTACGAATCTATTTGACGGATTAGAATAGAGATCAGAGCACTTCAGAGTGAGACAGGAAGGGTTGATGAACAAGTCCCACTTGAGAAAAGTAAAGGCCAGACTAGTTAAGTGGCTTGTCAAAGGTCACACAAAATGACACAACAGACTCACTTCCTGAATGTCTGATTGGGTATATCACCACCATGCATCTCATCCATAAAACACTTCTAACCAGTCATTCATGAGCTGGTATCTGGTGCTGTTATTGAAGTCATGGGCATATTTCACTTCTGACATTGATTCACACACTTCATCCTTGTTCACATCTCTGGGACTGCCTGTAAGCTTAGGTAGGTCTTGTACAATGAGATTCTTTGCAGTCCTGGAGTCATTGCACCACGCTGAAATGGGGGCCAAGATGGATATCCCCTGCCTCCCTGATGTGCGTCCTTCTCTAAACTGCCTGGTGAATACAATCTCAGACAACTCTTCAGGCACAAGCATTCCATTCAACTGTTTTTGCAATGGTAGTAGGAGAACAAGGCTACATATTTATTCTTCTGGGGGCTATATTTCCACCAGAGTGCATTCTGGAAATTTGGACAGTTAGAAAGCCATTGCATCACAGCACCTTGTACATGTTTTGAATTCAAACTAATATGTTAAATTAAAAAGCCAGTTCTTTTCTATAGACATTCAGCATGCCTCTTTTCTAGATTTGCCCAGATAGACAAGATGGAATTAAGAGGTACTCTCATGATGGAAGATAATTTTCTTCATTGTAACTATTGGCAAGAATAAAGATCACCTTTGCTATCTGACATGGTGATAGTAGTTTCCACTTTACCATGTGGTGGAGAAGAATGAGCACATGATCAGGCCTGTGCCAGCCTTGCAGTAAGCCACCTTCAGCACCTGGCTAATCCCTTTACCCTGCCAAAGCTAGATGAGAACTAAGGTTTTGCAGGTCCCCCCGCTCTGTGTAAAGACTCCTCTCTTCAAAGCCTTGGGATCCAGAGAGACAGCAAAAGAATCAGTCACAGAGCCCCTTGCAGTATTTTCTCACAAAAACCATATGAGGTTTTTTTAAATCAGGTCCAAAGCATCCTTAGGACAAAAAGAATGTGATTTTCTGAATCTCGTGGTCTCAGGCTTCTGCACCATCAGTAAGCCTTTCATAATCATTGGGAAGCTTCCATACATGTGGCTCCAGCCTTTCCAGGTCTCTCAAGCTCTTCTGTCATTCATAACAGTCCCATGAAACGAAAGTGATTCCTTGTCAATTCAAAAGTTTGAGCATTCCTGAGCAGGAAATTTGGATTTGGGAGGATATAATATCTAAGTCCCTTTTTCTAGAGAATTGAGACCTGTAACTTAATTTGTGAGATCATTCAAGGAAGGGGAAGTGATCAAATCGTGGGGTTCCACTCCCCTTTTTTGGGAATCAGACTGTATGAATCTGTATCCCTATTCATTGTTGTTGGTTTTATTCACATAAAGAAAATGTTCTTTTCTTCATCTTTCTGGTGGATGGAGAAGAAAAAGAATTTCCAAAAAATGCAAAATTAGCAATAGGCCCACTTATAGGTGTGTTTCTCAAGTTCCCACTATCAATGTTTCCCTAAAAATTAATAGCCAATAATTCATATTAAATGTTCCCAAATTATTAAAAAGCATATCCTCTCGAGAGAAATGTATTTACAAAGAAGTCTTACAGATAAAGTTCTAAAGAACATATTCATAATCAAAAACCACCAAACACAAACTAGAACAGGACACCACTGCATGCAAACCACATGAAACAATAGGCAAGAGAATAAGATCTGCAGAAATATTAAAAACTGGGAACTTCATACATGGAATCACATATATATGTGTGATTAATAGATTTAAATTAAAGATCTACATGATGTTCTACCTACAGCAGTGATCCCCAACCTTTTTGGCACAGGAATCGGTTTCATGAAAGAAAATTTTTCCATGGACCAGGGTAGGGGATGGTTTTAGGATGATCCAAGCACATTATATTTATTGTGAACTTTATTTATATTATTATTACATTATAATATATAATGAAATAATTATACAACTCACCATTATGTAGAATCAGTGGGAGCCCTGACCTTGTTTACCTGCAACCAGACGGTCTCATCTGGGGGTGATGGGAGACAGTGACAGATCATCAGCCATTAGATTTTTATAAGGAGCATGCAACCTAGATCCCTCACATACACAGCACTCCTATGAGACTCTAATGCCACCTCTGATCTGACAGGAGATGGAGCTCAGGCAGTAATGCAAGTGATGGAGAGCAGCTGTAAATATAGATGAAGCTTTGCTCACTCGCCCTCTGCTCACATCCTGCTGTGTGGCCCAGTTTCCAGCAAGCCACGGACCGGTACCAGTTCGTGGCACAGGGATTGAGGACCCCTGATCTACAGGATTAAACATATGAATAAAGAATGGGAGATTATGAAATAAGCAAGAATATCAAGCAAAGAATCAAAGAAAACTTCTAGTAGTTAAAATGTGGAATAATTACAAGTAATAATTAAATGGACAATTTAAAAAGCAGATTAGCCACAGATGAGGAAAAAAGCAAATTGGAAGGTAGAGTTGAAGAAATACCAAGACTGCATCTGTTGAAGAAATACCAAGACTACATCTCAGAGACATAAGGAATAGGGAAATATGAGAAGTTAAAACACTTGAGGATAGAGAACTTTCTACATTTCTAGAAGCAAAATAAAGACTGAATAAGGGATGCACAATATGTTAAAGGATAACGATGAAGTTTAATTTTTAAAAATTAATGTAAGATACAAATTTTTAAATTCAAGAAGCCTAAAGAAATACATACCTAGACAAATCAACAAGAAACTAAAAACACAAAATACAAAAAAAAAGAGTCTAAATATATCCCAAGAAATAATACAGGCTACCTATAAAGGAATAACAGCTAGACAGACAGATTTCTCCTAAACAAGAAGAGAAAAATTATGAAACTATTGTATAACAACTTCACAGTACCAAAACAATAACAAAAACAAAAAGACCCTCAACCTAGAATGATTTATCCAGAATAAGCAGCTTATAAAGAGGAGGACCCCAAAAAAGGATAATTTTGTATAGGTAAAAATGAAGATAATTTCTAAAAATTATATTATAACTAAATAAAATTATAATTAAAATTCCTTAGAAATATGAAAGATAGAAGAAATTATCATGTTTAAGTACATTCATTTTGTTTTTAAAAAGTAGATATTAATGTCTTATTAAAATATAGAGTTAACAAGATTAATTAAAAACTTAAACATAAGACCTGAAATCATAAAATCCTAGAAGAAAACCTAGGAAAATCTTTCTGGACGTTAGCCCAAGCAAAGAAGGTATAATGAAGACCCCAAAAGCAAATGCAACAAAGACAAAAATAGAGAAATGGGACGTAATTAAGGACTCTGCACGGCATAAGAAATAATCAACAGAGTAAACAGACAACCTACAGAATGAGAGAAAATATTTGCAGGTTGGGTGCGATAGCTCATGTCTGAAATCCCAGAACTTTGGGAGGCCAAGACAGGTGGATCGCTTGAGGTCAGGAGGTTGAGACCAACCTGGCCAACATGGTGAAACCCCATATTTACTAAAAATACAAAAATTAGCTGGGCCTGGTGGCATGCACCTATAATCCCAGCTACTCCGGGGGCTGAGGCAGGAGAATCGCTTGAACTTGGGAGGAGGAGGTTGCAGTGAGCCGACATCACACCACTGACCTCCAGCCTGGGTGGCATAGTGAGACTCCATCTCAAAAAAAAAAAAAGAAAATATTTGCAAATTATGCCTCTGACAAAGGACTAATATCCAGATTCTACAAGGAACTTAAACAACTCAACAAGAAAAAAACGACTCCATTAAAAGCTAGGCAAAGGACATGAACAGACATTTCTCATGAGAAGAAATTCATGCAGCCAACAATCATATGAAAAAATGCTCAATATCATCAGAGAAATGCAGATTAAAACCACAATGAAATACCATCTTACACCAGTCAGAATGGCTATTATTAAAAAGTCAAAACACAACAGATGTTGGCATGGATGCAGAGAAAAGGAAATACTTATACATTGTTGGTGGAAATGTAAATTAGTTCAACCTTTATGGAAAACAGTATGGAGATTTTTCAAATAACTAAAAATAGAACTACCATTCAACCCAGCAATCCCACTACCAGGTATCTACCCAAAAGAAAAGAAATCACTGTACAAAAGACATCTGTACTCATATGTTCATCACAGCACTATTCACAATAACAAAGTCATGGAACCAACCTTACTTAGTGTCTATCAAAGTTGGCTGGATAAAGAAAAATATGGTATATACATATCATGGAATACTATGCAGCCATAAAAAAGAATGAAATAATGTCCTTTACAGCAACATGGATGGAGCTGGAGGCCATTATCCCAAATGAAGTAACTCAGAAATAGTCAAATACTGTATGTTTTCACTTGTAAGTGGGGTCTAAACAATGGGCATGGGCATAAAGATGGAAATAATAGACACTGGGGACTCCAAAAGTGGGGAGGATGAGAGGAAGTTGAGGGTTGAAAAATTACCTATTGGGTACAATGTTCCCTTTTTGAGTAATGGGTACACTAGAAGCCACTTTTGCAATATACTTATGTAACAAACATACACACATACTCCCAAATCTAAATTTTTTTAAATAAAGTATAGAGTTAAGATATCATATAACAATTATTAAAACTGAATTGTGGATAAAGTATTCTAAATGGATCCCTATTTTCTAACTTACTAGCCATGTGAACTTGAGCAAGTCACTTCACCTCTTCAAATCTCCTTTAGTTTATTTGTGAAAACAAGTTTGATAACCAGTTTGACAATAAACAATTAATACAATTCAACTTTTATTATAAATTCTGCTGGGAAGGTAATGTCACATTACATTTATACTCATGGGTTCTGGAATTATATTGTTTGAGTTCAAATCCTGGATCCATCCCATACTACTTATGTGACTATGGGCAAATTATTTAACCTCAAGTCACAGGTTTTTCTCCTGTAATATGAGAATGAGAGTTGTCATGAAGAATAAATGAGAAGGAAAAGCAATGTACCCACAGAAAGTGCATGGCATGGTGCCTGGTGCATACTAAGCATTTTTAAAATATTGGTAATTGTTAGCCGGGCGCAGTGGCTCACACCTGTAATCGCAGCACTTTGGGAGGCAGAGCCGGTGGATCACTTGAGGCCAACCTGACCAACGTGGTGAAATCCCATCTCTACTAAAAATACAAAATTAGCCAGGTGTGGTGGTACACACCTGTAATCCGAGCTCCTTGGGAGGCTGAGGCAGGAGAATCACTTGAACCTGGGAGGCAGAAGTTGCAGTGAGCCGAGATCGCACCATTGCTCTCCAGTCTGAGCAACAAGAGCGAAACTCCATCTCAAAATATATATATATATAGGTAATTGTTGTCATTAATATTAATGTAGTAGCAGCAGCAACAGTCATGGTAGCAATATTGCTCTATTTGGGAGGCAACTTATAATTATTAACTGTGGAATATCTTTGAAAAATGTTTTTGGCAGAAGTTATGTTCCCATTCCTGACTGGAGCTCATTATAAATACCCATCTTCTCTGAATAGCGCAAGGACTTTTGAAAAAGTGTTCTGAGTAAACTAAAAGTGCTCAGCATCCAGGAACATTCTAGATGGGGAACATTCTAGATGGGGAAAAAATTTTTCCCCCTTGAGGTTCCATTTAATTCATTTAAATCTTTCTTGTGCAATTTTAACTGACAATCAGCATAATTAAAAACAACAAAACAAAAATTCCTGCCAATATTTCTAACATAAAAACTTTAAATGGCCTAACATTATGAACGTTATTTTACTTGAAGTGAACTTACTTTCTTTTTTTTTTGAGATGGAGTCTCACTCTCTTGCGGTGGCTGGAGTGCAGTGGCGTGATCTTGACTCACTGCAACCTCTGCCTCCCAGGTTCAACCGATTCTCCTGCCTCAGCCTCCTGAGTAGCTGGGACTACAGGCGCCCGCCACAACACCTGGCTAATTTTTTGTTCTTTTTTCTGAGACAGAGTCTTGCTCTGTTGCCCATACTGGAGTGCAGTGGCGTGATCTTGACTCACTGCAACCTCTGCCTCCCGGGTTCAAGAGATTCTCTTGCCTCAGCTTCCCAAGTAGCTGGGATTACAGGCGCCTGCCACCACGCCCGGCTAATTTTTGTATTCTTAGTAGAGTCGGGAGTTTCACAATGTTGGCCAGGCTGGTCTCAAACTCTTGACCTCGTGATCTGCCCGCCTCGGCCTCCCAAAGTGCTGGGATTACAGGCGTGACCCACCATGCCTGGCCGTGAATTTACTTTCGAGAGGCTTTATATTATATAATGGATGTGCACTGGATTTGAAGTTAAAACAAAACCAAACAGGCATATTTAAATGATCCTTCATCTACTGTATTAGGAAGAATATTGTGGTCCTGGACATCGCTGATTAATATTTAATCTTAACTTTCCTCAACTGTGAAAATAGAGACTTTAGAATCTGGCTTGTTTTACAAAGTTGTTATTGGATATCAGCTGAGAAAAACTTGGATTAAGTTGTAATTGAAGTCATTGTACAAATTTAAGTTTTTCTTATTTCAGAATGTGAGCTCACTCACCCATACAGATGCTGGTTCTTGAATTTTGTTTGTACTAACTGAAAAACAACTTATTTGGTTGGTTGACACATTTACGCCACTGGGGCCTGAATTCAGCTCCCTTTTAGGAGGGACAGTTTCAGAATATGCCATGAGGTGTCTGCGATGTAGATCCACGCTCTCTGCAAACGGGGCCGCGCCTCTGTAGCTGAGTCCTTTCACAGACTCCTTTAAGGAATTTCCACAGGCTTTCGCAGAGCTGTGCGCGCTCCAAAATATACATTGACATGATGATAAACCACAATGGATTTAAGTGTTTAAAGTCAGAAATACACTTTTCGAAATAAGTACTTCAGTTGGCTGGTAGAGCAGTAATACCTGGATGCTGAATTGAATTTGTTTAGAATAAACCACAGAGTAAACTTTTTCATTTTAACGTTTTGCAATGAAGCAAGGAAAAACAAAGGGGAAAATCCAATTCCATGAAACGCTTCCTTCTTTCTACAATATGAAACAATTGCAACTCGTAGCCGACTTACTCAGCCAAGCCAGAAACCCTGAAGTCTCCATAAAAATGTTTAGATTCGAATTAAAATTAAATATGCTTTCTATGCCTCCAGCTCTGTCTGCTTCTTTCTGTCTTTCACTTGTTTCTTACATCTCCTGTAATCCCTTTCTGGTGCCCAGAAAATCTGCTGCAAAAGAATCCCCTAAGCTTGAAAAAAAAATTGCAAAAACATTCAAGTGCCTATTTTTCACTTATTTATTCTGTATTTGCCTGTCAGTGTTAAGAAACTTTCTCGTCCTTTGTTGATGTATAGTTGCTATATCACTGTCTAGTTGTCTCCATTGTTTTAATTTGGGTGGAATATTGTGAAATATTTTGATGTAAGCAGCGTCTTGTGTGGCTGCGCTACCCAGAGTGAACTCCAGTGTTCTGTAGTGTGGAGGTGATTTTGTCTCATTCATTCCATTCACTCAGACATCACTGCCCCCAGCATATCCTGAGAAGTGATATATTGTTTTATTATTTTGGAAGCATTCAAGCCCCAACTTGGAACATCAGAGGCTAAAAACCCTGTTTAACTAGATAGGTGGTTCAGCAAACGCTCACCCCATATCATGTCTTCCAATCTGTGTGGTGTTTAGACGAAAGGCTGAGCTCACCCTGGGGGTAGCCCTGGGAAGGTCTGAGAACTTGGCACAAAGGCCCTTGCTCCTCTATTTCTCCTAAATTGGTTCTCTAGTCAAGAGGTGGGAATTGGAAAACAGTACTCCCACTGTGGCATCAATTTATAACAGAGTAGAGGTTGGCAAATTCTCCCTGTGGCTTAGAGGGGCCCTCCACATTTTGAAACATGGACTCACTGTGCTTGCCTCTGTCAGAAATAAAGGTCCACCACTAAACAATGTGGTTAGGATAGCATGGCCTCCGGCAGCCAGGACAACAAACGGAAGGTTTTCTAAAAGAGGGGAAAATGTTTCTTCCTTCTACCTAAGATTGCACTGCTCCAATCTCACACAGGTATCTTATACCAGCCCCCTGATCCCAGCTCCAGGCTTGACCCTGAGTACACAGTGCAATGTCCTGGAGAAGTAAGAAATTGACGCAATCATCTAGGAGCTTGGCATTATAATAGCAAAGGACTAACTGAATTTTCCACCTAGGACCTTAGAATCCCCTCTGCTAAGGGATTTTTCTTCAAAGATGTTTGGCATATTTTTTTTTAACCTTGCAAGGATGCAACAGACAGCATAGCAGAGAAGGAGCTGTCTGCCAAAGATGTTTGGCATTCTATACATTCAAAATTGAAAGTATTTTTGAACTTCATGAACAGCCTTCATTTATTTTTTGTACGACAATACACAAACTCACTCCCTGCTGTCTGTGGATTCAAAGTTCATTGCACTGTCTTTGTCCTGGCATCCCTAGAGTCCTTTTCTGCCTGAACCCTAGAAAGCTTTGACACTACTATTCACGGCTGCATTTTCATTACCTCAATAAACATTATTTCCAAGTTCCTTAAATGCCCACTCCTGCTCTCATAGGGACACTCATATGACCTCTTTTATTTGCACATTCTAAAACCCAGGAGAGGTTCAACAGATAAACAGTCAGATAGGATAGCAAGAAGCTAAGTCACCCATTTGGGTGGTAGCCAGGAAGGAACAAGCTTTGCTGCCCCTGCCCCTTGTCATGTTCAGTACAGTCACACTCCCTCCTCCCCAGCATCCCTTTATTCCCCACCCCTAACGCTCTAGGCACACACCTCCAGCCCCTCTTATCTTGCCTTATAGAACCTTTCGTTCACAGCATTTATAACTTCCTGATATTGTATCTAGTTCATTTATTGCGCTTATTGCAAATTGTCCATCTCTCTCCACTATCATATAGGTTCCATGAGGGTAGGGATCTTGCCTATTTTGTTCAGTCATGAACCTCCAGTTCCAAGGACAGTGTGACACATGGCAAGTACTCAATATTTATTGTACAAATGAACGAATGCTGAAAGATAGCTATGTCTCTAATACTCCAGTCATTATGTGTACCCTGCTCATCTCTAAATCTTTTCCTTGCTTGCTTTCCTCATTTCTAGGTGCAAAGCCTTGGCAAAATTTCAAATTAAACTTTGTCCATGTCATTCTTCTCTCTGTCTCTCTTTTTTTTTTCTTTTTTTTTGAGACAGAGTCTTGCTCTGTCACCCAGGCTAGGGTGTAAGAGCATGATCTCGGCTCACTGCAACCTCTGCCTCCCAGGTTCAAGCGATTCTCCTGCCTCAACCTCCTGAGTAGCTGGGATTACAGGCACCCGCCACCACGCCCAGCTAATTTTTGTATTTTTAGTACAGACAGGGTTTCACCATGTTGGTCAGAATGGTCTCGAACTCCCGACCTTGTGATCCACCTGCCTCGGCCTCCCAAAGTGCTGGGATTACAAGTGTGAGCCACCGTGCCTGGCCTCTTCTCTCTTTTGTTACCTTCTTCCCACATTCCACATTGCCCAGAACTTTTATTTAATCTAAACTTATCCTTTCCTTGTCCCACCCTAGCCTATATTCTTCAGAGTGCCCAATGTTTCATTATGCAATGCAGTCCCTCTTTTGGTTGCTCACCCCTTCTAAGAAAACCCATCCCATCATTTATTTTATAGTTTAGAAGGAAGGTCTCTATTCCAATTAATTGCTATAATATGCTCTGGCTATCTTTGGAAATATGTTACTGTCTTCTTGAAGATTAATGACTTGCAACACCATGCAATTTTATCGAGCTTGCCCTCTCCCTTAGAGATATCCAGATACTAAAATAACTATAATTAGTTTTGTAATCATTCAGCAATAACGAATTCTTACTCAAGACTAGGATGCAATTTTGAGAACATCAGGAGCTCAACAGCATGGCGGTTAGGGAATATTGATCTATTATTTCAGCAGATAAAAACCAAAATATAACCCCATTGTTTCAACAGAGATTTCATAAGTGTCTTTTTATTTTCCTTTCTCTTCAAAAGGTAGCAATAGAGAATAATAAAAGTAGCCAATATTTATTGGTGCTTCCTATGAACCAGTCACGGTGCTAAGTTTTTTACAGACATTGTCTTACTCAATATCCACAGGTCACTCTTTGAGGCTGGCATTTTACAGTTACAGAACTTGAGACTTTTAAATCTAAGAATGTATCCAAAGCTCCCAGTTAAAAATAAGTAAGGAGAATTATAAATCCAGCCAGTGAAGAGACCATGCCTCTAATCACCAGTGACACACCTCCCATTGTATACCCTCTTTCCTCAGCTTTTCATATCTTCTCTTCCATCCCCATACAACAATTAAAAATAAATAAGCAAATAAGTAATGAGATTTAAAAAGGAAACATAGGAAACTGACCCAAACACTAGTCTAACACCCTTGTACTAGGCATGGGAAGTCATAACGCTGAGAAGGCTGGAGATGTACAGCCTCAGCTTAGCAGGATTGCAGGAGTATTCACCAGTCTGGGTTTTATGTTGCAGTGGTGGTCCTTTGGTTTTGTTTTCCAGAGAGGGAGACAAATGCAATCTATTAAAGTTATGAAAGACATTCTTCAAAAGTAGGAATTATATACAGAAGCTGTCAAGGGTTTGGAATTCTGTTCTACAAGATGACATATATGTATATATGAAGTGAAAGAAACAGGGAGATGACACTCTGGTTGCCCAGGGTGTGTACCATAAATTCAAAACACCCCATGCCAGTCCACAACTCCCAAGTCTTTAAGGAGTCCACATATGTGTCAGGAAACACCAGCACAAGAAAATGACAAAACCAGCCTACTTATCCAGCGGGGGAGAAGTCTACTTTGCAGATGATCAAGTCTTTTTGCCTTATTCTTCCTTTTGACTTTATGACAAAGGGCATGTTATCATCTCTCACCAATGTCATCTCTCACTGTTATCAGAGGATAACAGTGGATGGGATGAGGATGTGATGAGGTTGTCAGGGTATACAGAATCCAACATTTTGAAAGATTTCTTAGAGTTCATAAGAAGGTTTAGTAGATAATCAGTTATCCAATCAATGGTATTTGTTAATTTGTAATTTTCTCCTACAGTATAAACATCCTCATTCACTTTTACATGTTCTACAGAAGCATTTTTTGTGTGTGTGTATCACTCAGTAAGTATGAAATGGTGAAATGAATAGTAATTTGAATAATAGTCACAGTCAAGAGCTGTAAAGGAAATGAAGGACACTGAGCAGGTGGAGTTCACCACAGGAGAAACTGGGGAGTGGGGGCAACATAGAACCCTGTTCAGTAGGCAGGTCACTTAAACTTTGTGAGTTTCCATCTTGCACCTACAAAGTAGGACAAATACTGACTTCATTGGGTTGTATTCCATCTTAAAGGTGATCATGTTTCTGACAATATCTTATAAACTGCAAAGGGCTGTGCAAATATGAAGTACCCCAGTGGTCTCTGCTTCTGCATTTTCATGCAGGACGTGACAGATAAAACCTATGTGTACAATGTGGGATAAAATGATAGACACCAACATATAATCATGTACAGAGCCACCTAGAGCTGTACTCAGCTCTACAGCACAGGGAAGGTGGAAAGCGAGGAAGCTGCAGTGAGGTTGAAGAGGTGCTTGAGGAACAGGACTAGGAGAGGCAGAATTAGCACACAGATTTCAGTGGAAGTGAGAAGAGACTAGAGCAGTTCTTGAAGGAAATGAAACACAGCTTTGGAAGGAAGAGAAAGGAGAGGACTTCTGGTTATGGTTAGTGGGACAATCTAGCTGACAGCTTTACCTATATATGTCGTGCTCTAAATGTTGATGGATGATATTAAGTTTCTTCTCAATGATTTGGTATATAGGTCCAATTCCTTTTACAATCTCCCCACCTCCCCCCAGTAAAATGTTTTTGTACTCCTTGCTTATTGGAGATTCCAGGTATATATTAAGGAACTATGATCATGGTAGGATGTGAAGGAGAAGAAAATTATCGAGAGAGAACATTCTGGACCAAGTCATATAATAAAACTAAAAGTAAAGGAGTGAAATAAAAGAACAAACAATTTGGCTTCTTGTAACTTTTCATAGGAGAGGTGGAGAAGTTTTTTAAATTGTCATTTTGGATTTTTGAGGGGTGGGTGGGAGAGAGGTTTAAGAGGTGGCTGAGTAAGAAGAGTAAAGTAAGTAAGAAGTAGTACTTGATATTACGGCTTTACCAGAGTCAATCAACAATTAGCTGAGGCTTTTACTTATTACAAATACATCGAGTATCTATGTAGATGCATTTCAAATATTAATAATGTCTACTTGCACAACACATGAGAACCTTCTTTGGGTTTCACAACGACCTATAGATTTTTTAAATATATATTTCACAGAAGGAAAGGTGCTGCAGATGAAGCAATCTACTCAAGACCATCCAGGTGATAAGAGGCAAGGCCAGAACTCACACCCAGATATTTGGACTCTGAATGCAACATTCTTTCCACACCCTGCTGTGTTTTACTTCTGTGTGTGCAGCAGGATTTGTGGTTGAGATTCTGGCATGAGGATCTTCATGTTTATGGTAGATGATCTTTTATCCTCAGGACCTACTGCAATCCACAGCCCCCATCCTGCACTCAGTGAACCATTCTCTTCTTCTTGCTACGGCCTCATCAGTCTCTATCACTTCCTCTCTTCCTGCTTAAACTTCCTTATAACTGGCCCTGTTTCCTTCAGCCCACCAATACTGAAGTACGAGGCTTTGCAATGAACCTGATTTTCCTTTAGTTTCCTTTAGTTTCTTACCAGGACTCGTGGGAGGAATCTGAGTCTATCTCAAGCCTATTCATTTGTGGTCACTAATCAATGACAAAAGAAGCAGAAAATAGAGTGTACAGTCACCTAAAGTTTTTGTAGGTGAACAGTTTTTTAAACGTCATTTAAGAGTTTTCCTGGAAAAAACGCATGTGTTCTGAAACAGACTTTGCATTTCGTTGCATAATAGCACCATCCAGTTGTCAGAGGAAAAGCCCAGCAGCCCTGAGAGAAACCGCGGGCTCTGAACGGGGCAGGAGGCCTGGCTTAAGACCTCACCAACACCACACTTGACACTTGCAGGGCTGTCATGTCCTGACGGACACAAGCAATGACAGACACCACTCATAACATGGAAGATTATGAGTGAAAATTGTTCTTGTGTTTATAACTGAAAAGCAGAACAAATCTGCCTCTTCTAGTCTCCTTTTTGGAATAAAGCAACTGATGCTTAAACTACATTTTATTCTTTTATTTTTCCTCTGCAAAATAAAAACTGAAGGTGAAATAATTAGAGTGCATTTAGGCGACTTGATTTGCCTGATTTTACCATGTTCAGTAATGTACCCAGCTACCCAGAGTACACAAAGTGAATATTACAGTAGAGATGAGGGGGAATTAGGAGGGGAGAAGAATTCTGACCAGGCATATGAGGAAGGCCTTAGAGAGATTTCGTATGAGCTAAGCCTTAACAGACAGGTGAAATTTTAACTGGAGCAGTCAAGAGATGGCCGTTCAAGTTCAGAAAATAGGATACATCGGGAATGGTGAGTGTGCATGGAAGGAATGCACAGGTTGAGCATCCCAAATTTGAAAATCTGAAATCTAAAGTGCTGAAATCCCAAATTTGACGCTCATAGAAAACGCTTACTAGAGCACACCAACTTCAGATTTTCAGATTTGGGATGCTCAACTGATAAGTATAATGCAAGTATTCCAAAATTTTTTAAAAAATCAAAATAAAAAACTTTTCCGGTCCTAAGTATTTCAGATAAGGGATGCTCAGCCTGCACTTAGATATTTTTATGTCTGTCTATCTAACTAAAACCTAAGGTCATTAAGGACATGGGTTGGGTCTTATGTGTCCAAAACCAAATCCCTTTCTAACTTCCTCAAGCTGCTCCCTTTATAAACGTGCCAGCTCTCAGAGGATTTTGTAAACCAAGGGAAGAAATGTGAACGTGCGCCTGAGGTGGTGAGCAGGTCTTGGGAATTTTTTCCCAAGCAGAGGAATTATTTCATTTGTGTTTTAGAAAGATTTGCCTGGCCATAGTATACAGAAGGAATGGCGGTGGGAGGTCGGGGGTAAGATTCGATGGGAGAAAAGTTAAGACAGCTGCAGTGTGATTCAGAATCACTGCAATAACCTGTCTGCCTCAATGCCTCTAGATTTTTCTAAACACAAACTAGATTTGATCCTCTCCATCTCAAAATCCTTCATAGCTTTCTCTTGCATACAGAATAAGGTCTAAAATACCAAGCATGGCATTCAAGACCCTTCATAATCTACACCCATTTTACCTTTCTAGACTTTTTCTCTTGCTACCTCCCTTCACACACCCTGGCTCCCGTGAGAACTTCTCCTCTAACATGCTATGTGTTTATTGCCCCTTTGTATTTATTGAGGCTCCCCTCTTAGAAGTTTGCTCTTATTCCTATTATGGTGATCATTTCATTTTCCCTTACAGCAGAGTGGAATTCTTTGAGGGCCAGGACAGTGTTATTCATCCATGCTCCTCCACAACGTTAGCCTAGCATTTTGCTCATTATCGACGCCTGGCAAATATCTGTTGAGCAGAATTTAACGGTAACAGCAGTACTGGTACTTGGATTCACTTAATATTTATTGAGCTCCAGAAATCATAAATAAAAAAACTGATCCACTTAATTACATTGAAATGTAAAACACTGTACAGAAATATCTTTACAAGCAGAAATTAAAGTTAAAAGACAAACTAGGGAATACACATAGAATACATACGACAAAAAGGTAATTTCTTTGATAGACCAAGGGTCCCCAAATCATTCACACCAACATTTTTTAAATGAGCAAGGGAAAACCAATAACCTGCAGTTCCATTTTTCACTGATTAGATTGGTAAGGATGAAAGAGTTTTAAAGTATCCAGTGGGACTGAGGGTGTCAGGTAAGAAACACTCACAGGCTTTGTTTATAAGCGTATAAATTGGTGTGGTCCTTTTTGGAGGGCAATTGATTTGCAGTATCTACACATTTTTAAACGCAAAAAGCTTTAACCTAGAAATTCCACTCTTAGCAATTTTACAGATAAAAACACGCACAAAGACCCAAGAACAAAGATGTTGCAACCTTGTTTATAGCACACTCATCAACAGGAGATTGCTTCAATAATGGTATATCATAAAACAGAAACTGAAGCCACTGAAAGAAATAAAGTAAATCTATAATCACAGATAGAAAATCATTCCAAACTTAATATCACTTAATATCATTAAGTGAAAAAAGCAAGGTATCCTACAGCTCACGTACTATGATGTTCTTTTTATGTAATAGATAAGCTTTTATATGCATGGAAAATCTTGAAAACTTGACACCGGCTGCTTCTGGGGCAGATTTATTGTACACTGTATACCCTTTTGCATTGTTTGAACCTGCATGTTTTTCAGTGTGGTCAATTTTAAAAGCCACCACCTCCTCAAACACACACATTTGTTGACCATTTACTATATAATAGAAGCAGACCAGGCATTATGGCTATAACCGTGAATGATATTATGTCCTCCAGGAGCTTACAAATACTAGATCCGATTCTCAAAAAGGAAAAAAAAAAAAGATGCTTTTCCGTGCTACAGACACAGTGCACCATCCTCCCCCAACCCACTGAGAATCTGTAATAAGATGGTTCCTGCAGGACAGAGATGCACATGAACACAGCAAAATGCCTTCTCTATATTTTGTCAGTTGATAATTGATATCAAAGGCTTGCCGACGCCAAAATTTCTCATGGCGCCCACTGACACAATTTATCAAATTAATTAGCTTCACCTCTCCCAAAGTAGAATCTTGGAAAGGGAAATAAATACAACAGAGGCAAATTTAACAGTGGTGATGAGAAAAACTCCCAAGACTGCCACTCAAAAGTGGTGCCATGAGATCTTGAACAACCAGGTTATAAGAAGAGTATACTGAAGTTTTCAGGGTAGGTGTAAAGAGGTAAACTAGGAATTAGGGAATTACTGAAGACAAATTTTAAACTGAACAAGTTTTGCCTGGACAGAGTCATTACATATATGTTAAGGATTTGCTGATTAAAAATCCCAAAACAATTAGTTTGTCATTGAAAGTACTTTATAAAAAACACACTTATAGAAACCAATCATCAAAGAGCTGTGCCATTACTACAAAGCTACAGTAATCAAGACAGTGTGGTGCTGGCATAAGGATAGACCTATACAGATCAATGGAATAGAATTTCAGGCCAGAAATAAACTCTCACATGTACAGTCAGCAAATTTGCAACAAGGGTGCCAAGACAATTCAATGAAGAATAGTCTTCATCAATAAACGGTGCTGGGAACACTGAATAGCCATATGCAAAAGAATGAAGCCTAACTCCTACCTCATAATGTACAAAAATTAAGTCAAAATATACAAAGACCCAAATGTAAGAGCTAAAACCATTAACACTCTATGAAAAAAGGTGGAAATCTTTGTGACCTTGGATTAGGCAATGCTTTCTTAGATATGATACCAAAAGCAACGAAAGAAAATAAGAAATTGGAGTTCATCAAAATCAAAAACTTTTATGCTTCAAAGTACACCATAAAGTGAAAATACAGCTCACGGAATGGGAGAAAAAAATTGCAAACCACGTATCTGATAAGGAATTTGTACTGGTATATATAGAACCCTTAAAACTCAGTAATTAAGACAACTCAATTTAAAAATGGGCAAAGGATCCAAATAAACATTTCTCCAAAGAAGAGATACAAACTGCCAATAGACACATTAAAATTTGGTCGACATCATTAGCCATCAAGGAAATGCAAATCAAAGCCATAAGGAGATACCAGTTCACACCCACTAGGATGGCTGTAATCCAGAGCAGATAACAAGTGTTAATGAGGAAGTTGAGAAATTTGGAACTCTCATACACTGCTGATGGGATTGTAAAACAGTGCAGCCACTTTGAAAAACTGTTTGTGCCTCAAAAGGTTAAACAGTTACCACGTGACCCAGCAATTCAACTCCTAGGTATATATCTTAAGGAGAAATTAATGTCCACATAAAAACTTGTACAAAATGTTCAAAAAACAGCATGACTCATAATAGGCAAGAAGTGGAAATCCAAATGCCCATCAGCTGATTCATGGATAAATAAAATGTGGTATAGCCATACAACAGAATGCTTAAGTACTGATACATGCAACAACATAAATGAACCTTGAAAACATTAGGCTGTCAAAGAGGCCAGTCACAAAAGACCACATATTATATGATTCCGTTTATATAAATGTCCATAAATAGGCAATAAGATAAACAGAAAGTAGATTACCAGTTGCCTAAGTGTTGGAGGTTGGCATTAGAAGAAAATGGGAGCCAGGCACGCAGATACAACTCCAGGTACTCAGGATGCTGAGGCGGAAGGATGCTTTGAGGCCAGGAGCTGAAGCCTGCAGTGAGCCATCATGACGCCAATGCACTGAAGCCTGGGCAACAGAGTGAGATCTCATCTCTAAAAAATAAAATGAGCCAGGCACGGTGGCTCACGCCTGTAATCCCAGAACTCTGGGAGGCTGAGGAGGGTGGATTACCTGAGGTCAGCAGTTTGAGACAGCCTGGCCAACATGGTGAAACCCCGTCACTACTGAAAATACAAAATTTAGCCAGGCGTGGTGGCTTATGCCTGTAATCCCAGGTACTTGGGACTCTGAGGCACAAGAATCACTTGACCCTGGCAGGCAGAGGTTGCAGTGAGTTGAGATTGTGCCACTGCACTGCAGCCTGGGCGATAGAGCAAGTCTCTCTCAAAAAAATAAATAAATAAAAAGTAAAATGAAAAGGGGAGTGAGTGCTAACAGGTACAGGGTTTCAGTTTGGGGTAATGAAATGATTACTTTCTAAAATTGATTGTGGTGATAGCTGCACAACTTCATGAATATACAAGATCACTGAATTGCATACTTTTAAGAGTTGATATACATGACATATCTCAATAAGGCTGTTATCTTTTTAAAGTCTTTCAGGAAGTCAAGTAAGAGGCATGTCTTTGTGTGGACTCCATGTGCCACAGTCCTAGGAGGGAGGCTCTGGTGATCACTCGAACCCTGCAGCTCTAGTTCTGCCCCCACATCCAGGTTTGGACTGAGCTATCCCTTGGTCCTGAGCATTTAAACGTTTCTCCCCTGGGCCAGTTGCAGTGACTCATGCCTGTAATTCTGGCACTTTAGGAGGCTGAGGCAGGTGGATCACTTGAGGCCAGGAGTTTGAGACCAGCCTGGCAACATGGTGAAACCCCATCTCTACTAAAAATACAAAAATTAGCTGGGCATGGTGATGGGTGCCTGTAGTCCCAGCTACTTGGGAGGCTGAGGCACGAGAATCACTTCAACCTGGCAGGCAGAGGTTCCAGTAAGCCAAGATAATACCGCTGCACTCCAGCCTAGGCAACAGAGCGACACTCATCTCAAAAAAAAAGTTTCTTCCGCAATCTCCAGAACTATAGCTCCCTACAGAGTGCCACTGGTAAGCCAACTGCAGTTCTTTTTTTTTCTTTCTATGATGGAGTCTCGCTCTGTCGTCCAGGCTGGAGTACAGTGGCGCCATCATGGCTCACTGCAAGCTCCGCCTCCCAGGTTCACGCCATTCTCCTGCCTCAGCCTCCCAAGTAGCTTGGACTACAGGCACCCACCACCACGCCCAGCTAATTTTTTTTTGTATTTTTAGTAGAGACAGGGTTTCACCATGTTAGCCAGGATGGTCTTGATCTTCTGACCTCGTGATCCGCCTGCCTCGGCCTCCCAAAGTGCTGGGATTACAGGCGTAAGCCACCGCGCCCGGCAGCCAACTGCAGTTCTTGAACTACATCAACCTCAACCCAGAGGCCCAGCGGGCACGAGGGCCTGGTGGGAAGGCAGGTGTCCAAGTCTTTACCTGAAGTGCTCAGCAATAAGGCAAAGGTACTGAAAATAAAGACTCAACAAGAGTGGCATCAGGACAACTAGTTACAAGATGAATGTTGATATTGGTATGTACCTTCAAAGGAGTGACATTAAAATTCCAAGCCCTTTAACAAGTGTGCTTAAAAATACAAAAATACTTCTTACACAGGTAGGCATTCATTCTTTTCTGGTCCTATTTTAATCCATCATTTTTATAGCAGTCAATACAAATCAAAAGAATTTTGGAAATGATTCATTTTTTATTCAAATATAACTACATTTAACAATCAAGGTCATGTGGCTTAGAAACCTGAGCTTGGTTTTAGACTCAGACAGACAGTTCATTGTCGGCAGCCATTAAAACAATGTTCTTGACCCAAGACCAGATGAAGAGAAGGGACAAAAGCAATGTTTTCAAGTACACATTAAATTTCATTCAATAATAGTATGTCTTCATAAAACTACCATGAATAAAACAAACGATTCTAAAAGGCAGTGGGCATAAGGAGGGCTGCTTCACAGTCTACCCCAGTCACCACATTGAATAATCGTATTGTGTTTATATCATAAAGTGAAGTTCTAGTCTCATCCCAGTGTTGAGTTCACCTGATGAACCCTGACCCTTTTCCCTGCCCAACTCATCCTGCAAATAGAAATCTTACTTCTAAGGGAATCCATTTGTCTTTCTTCCCATTACTGTGGTTCAAAAACTGATACTACAGCTGCAGAAGGCAACCCAATATTTAAGGATTTTAATCACAGAATCCTGTAACTAAGACTTTCTTTAAAGAAAGACAACCAGTTCTTTTTTATGTCATTTATTTAGAAAAACCCATTTGCCCCTAGTGAATGTACTAACCTTATTTAAACAAAGATAAGTGAGGGAAGTAAGAAGTGATTTGAGGAATGAGCCTGGGATCTGAGGCCCACCACACATTCCTTACCTTCAACTTACCTTTCCAGTCTTCTCCCACCACTGCTCCACCCACCTGAGATTCTAGGTGGAGCAATCTACAGGATACTCTCTGAATGTGGTTCCAGCTTCTCTTGCCTCACACTCTTGCTCATAACATTTCCTTTCCTTGGAAACATTGCCTTCATCTCAGCCCCATTCAGTCTTTACTTGTTCACATCATACTCTTCTTTCAAAACCCAGTGGAAAAGCTCAATTTCTCATGTAGCCTTACCTAACTCCATGCCTCCAGAAAGTCATGCAAACTCATGCCACAACACAGCCAACAGCAACATACCATCGGCATGGCACTGAGAGCAAGCAAAAAGGACACGGGGTGACTTCACTGTCTCCACTTGAAGAACTTAAGGTCTGTCTGGGTGAGGGGTGTACAGTCTTAAATATTACAGCAATCATTTATTAGAAATATTCATCTGCTTCTAAGTTATATAAACACTTTTAATGCAAACATTCAATAGGGCATATTTCCCACTGCTCTCAAGATTTCATCTCTTTCTGCTGCCGTAGGCATAAATGGCTTCACTCCGTTCTTTCTTCTCTGCATCACGATAGAATTCTGTGTACAGGCATTAAAATAAAAAAGAAGAAACCAAAATCAGTCATGTATTAAATGCTAATCATTTGCCAGTAATTTGCTATTGCTTCCTCAAAAAGGAAATTCTAAAAACCAAGTTTTTTTTAAAAAAAAAATCCCAAAACCTAATTATAGGACTCCAGATAAACGTATTTAAATTAGTAACAATTAAATAGAAGTACTCATTCCCACAGGAATACATTAACAGCAATTGGGATGAGAATATACAAAGTACAAAGTACAAAAGTATATACAGTCTGTCAAGAAGAGCTACTGAATAATCGTGAAATAAAACCAACAGTGCATTTAGCAAAGCGAAAGGAAATAGCTGGATCCCGTGGTTCAAGGAAACAGAAATTATATACCAATGTTTTCAGAAAAATGGACCATTTTAACTTCCACGGATGGCAGTGAGAGAGAAAAAGGCAGAAATTGAAGCCTAACATGATGTGTTATGACAAGGGAAGTTAAACATTCTGTTCATCTCCAGGAAAACTAAATTTATAACAAAGACATTGTTTTAGGGCTGCAGATACTTAAATGTCTAAGAAGACCCACCTATATTAAAACTGCATTCTTATAGCTTAGAGGACGACGAGGCAGCTAACAAGAGCTCTCAAGGATCTTTCACGGCTAAAGTAGCACACAGAGGATAAAGTTGAAAAGTTAAGTTTCCCTACAGCCATCAGTGGGAAAGGATTGTGGGTACTGACTAATTTTAGGCTTCAGTTTCAACCCTAGGAGATGGGTTTTAACACAAAGCTAACCAATCTAGGCTTACCCAGAATCTCCGGCAGTTTTTGTACCTCAAGAAGTAAGTGGAACACCTTTCCCTGTCATAGTTATTTTCATCCAGACATCTGGTGGAAGCATCAGATTCCTTACAGATATAAGAGAGGCATCATTTAAAAGGTAGAACAGGATCTAAAAGCAAACAAACAAACAAACAAAAGCTGCTTCCC
The DNA here is from genome assembly GCF_000001405.40 of Homo sapiens. Taxonomy (NCBI): domain Eukaryota; kingdom Metazoa; phylum Chordata; class Mammalia; order Primates; family Hominidae; genus Homo; species Homo sapiens. The sequence continues at coordinate 56,216,350 of NC_000008.11, read as the reverse complement.
CAGAAGCAAATAATGTGAAATAGTTCATTTGTGTTCATTTTGATGGGTAGACTAATAAAAACTGGACAATCTCGCCAGCTATCCCAGTATGCACTCTGCTCAGGCTAACATCTTCCTTTTTATAATGTGGGCCAGTTTTCTGAATATGTGATCACAGGAATTTGAGCCAAATAACTGTGATCAATTAATCCAGTAACCATTTTAGTAAGAAACTGAGGCAAGGTGCAATGTGTTAAATGACTACTGCACAACTAGAATCAGAATCCATCTCCTGACTCACAGTACATCTCTCCTGTTTTTCCAGATTTTCACTTTGGCTTCAATGTTTGATCATAATATTGGTTTCAAGATTCCAAGTAAATCACTAATAACTGGTCTACAACAAGACAACCTAAATTAACACCATTCATCTCAATGCATTTTTGGCTACCATTTACTCCATTATACAAATACACTATTATATAAGCAATTTTAATAGATATTACTTCAAAACCGAAGTCAACAACACAAGCTATAAATTCAAAGGAAAGTAGGTGCCACATGGGGATTAAATTTAAGCTGTGTGAACTGGAAGTAGATTGAATAACAAACTTAAAAGTGAAAGGTATGATTCTGTGAGGTCACCTAAAGCAGGGGTCCCCAACCCCCAGGCCACAAAGTGGTACTGGTCTTCGGTCTGTTAGGAACCCGGCCAGATAGCAGGAGATGAGCAATGGGCAAGTGAGCCTTACCGCCTGAGCTCCCCTTCCTGTCACATCAGTGGCAGCATTAGATTCTCATCTAATGCTATTAGATCCCTATTGTGGGATCTAATATCACGAACCCTATTGTGAACTGCGTGCATGTGAGGGATCTAGGCTGCAAGCTCCTTAGGAGAATCTAATGCCTTTTGACGCCCGCCCCCTTCCCCATCCGTGGAAAAATTGTCTTCCACAAAACCGGTCCTTGGTGCCCAAAAGGTTGGGGAACACAGATCTAAAGGAAAGCTTTAGCTATATGGGTAGACAGTTTGCAACACATATCTAAGAAACATGTTCTACGTAAACAGAACAAAGCTGAATTTCTGTGCCAAATATTTAATGAATGTATATATTTGGAAAATGCATATAACTAAAGAGTATAATTTTCATGGGACCAGTATGATAACTACATTATTCAAACGTAGCAAAGCCACAAGTAAGTATCGCAAATCATACCAAATAAATGCCAATAAAAGCTTACTCTTAAAACATTTTGTTTATCAGATACCTTTGTGAAAACCTTTAAGCTTTAAATAGGCTAATTATATTATCAGCCCATTACTCTCAGCCAGGTTGTCAAGGACATGGTGATATTATTGCTAGTGAAACAATAAATGTCAGTGACAGTTTAAAAATATCATACCTTCCAGTTTTCCATGTTTGGACTAAATATTCTCAGTGTTACATTTTCCTGTCTAGTTTTACAGTGACAACCAAATGCTTGCATATTATACAAATAAGGAAAACTAAAGAAAAGATGAATGTTTGTTAGAGAAATTATAAACATCTAAAAATGCTCTAGTTAAATAGGATATGCTGGCCAACAATATTTTTTCTAGAGAAATAACTTTATTCAACAACTGCAGAAAACAAAGGCCCACAAAACTAGAGCAGCCTGTTTTTCCAACTTAACACTCATGAAAATTAAAGCAAACCATCCTACCGACAAACAAGGATTTATGTCAGGATCTCTCAGCCTCTGTGTTACCGAGGGCATTCTAACAGTCTTCTTACTGAGGGTAGACAGAAAAAAAATAATTATACAGTAGTTGACAGAAAATAAATCAATACATCTCAATAGCACTAAAAGTACCTGAAATTTTGATTTTGGCATAATGATCACTTAGTGAGGAACTTCATGTATTCTCTGTACTTTGTGAATAAAAACTTGAACGTGTTTTTCCTTTGTATTGCCATGCCTCAACACAAAGGCCATATATTGGATTGAAATGCATCTACTGGCTGGGTGCGGTGTCTCACGCCTGTAATCCCAGCACTTTGGGAGGCTGGAGCGAGAGGGCTGCTTAAGCTCAGCAGTTCGAGATCAACCTAGGCGACACAGAGAAACCCCATTTCTACCAAAAATACAAAAATTAGCCTGGTGTCGTGCCGTGTGCCTGTGGTCCCAGCTACTTGGAAGGCTAAGTAAGGTGGGATAGCCCAGGAAGTCAAGGCTGCAGAGAGCTGTGATTGCACCAGTGCACTCCAGCCTGGGTGACAGAGAGAGACCCTGTCTCAAAAAAACGAAAAAGAAAGATAGTTCAATTATAATTCAGTTGTTGTTTACTCTTATTCTTAAGTTTAAGCAACCAAATGTACTAATAAAACCTAAGAATACAGTATGCATTCCAACAATTACTTCCTTATTTTACACCAATTAGCGTACAAAATAAGAATGAAATTCGGTACAGTCCAACTTTAGCAAAAACATTCATCAACTGAAGTACCAGAGTGCCTATTTTATGGCCAATAGTAGGGTAGCCAACACACCAAAAAGCCAAGTTATTGCTTAGTTGACATTATGAAAAGCTATACTGTTTCAAAAACAAAAGAGTTGAAATTTTACTTCCAGTGGCATCTTCTTTTTAACTATTTCCCTGCGTTGCAGGAAGTCAGGGAATGCTACTGTGCTTCAGTAATCTTCCAATTCAATTCCTAGAGATACAGCTTTGCAAAAGTTTAGGAGGCCGAGTCGGGCGGATCACGAGGTCAGGAGTTCAAGACCAGCCTGGCCAACATGGTGAAACCCCCTGTCTACTAAAAATACAAAAATTAGCTGAGCGTGGTGGCACGCGCCTGTAATCCCAACTACTCAGGAGGCTGAGGCAAGAGAATCGCCTGAACTTGGGAAGCAGAGGTTGCAGTGAGCCGAGATCGCGCCACTGCACTCCAGCCCAAGCGACAGCAGTGGAAGACGCCGTCTCAAAAAAAAAAAAAAGAGACACCCAGCCCAGTTCTACTATGGGAAAGATCAGGACGTCCAGGCCAAAGGAGACCAGCCTTTGCAAAAAAAAGAATGGAAAAGGGTTTGGTTATTCTGGTGTCCATTAAGTAATCACTGAATAATAATTTTATGATTTTCATTGAACAATACAAGAAAATAACCAGCCAACAGTAACATCTTGGCAAAAAAGAAATCAAGATGCTGTTCAATTATATCTACAAGCTTCTTCCTCTCCTGAAGACAATTTTTTTCCACACTTCCCTTCTTCCTAAGAGAGATGATGATAGTAAATAAATTCACAGCTTTCTTTTTTACACCTATCCTATGATGTGAGAACACAGAACTCTTCATACACCTTAGATTTAATAATCTCAACAAGGATCAGACAACCTTGCATTAAATTTAAGTTTCGTGCCTTACATGAAAGTATCCTACTCTATATTTTATTGTCAGTCAGAAATTCTTCAAAAATAATACCTAGGTAACATCACATATACCCAGTTCGAGTTTGGTGCATGAGTTTCTTCACATTTCATTTCCTTTTCCTTCCGGATTCTAAATACAAGGCACTCTAAGTTTGGATTTCCGAAAGTCCCCTCCTTTGCATGAGTTCCTCGTGTATTAACTGGAATTGAAGAGGAAATGTCAATTTACAGTGAGGAGCGGGGCTGAATTACAACATCGAGTGCTCCGCTAAAGGGGCCTTGTCTATTACTTTTTGAATGTACTAAATAAATGTTACAAGGCTCTACTACTTGCAGAGCATAACCAGAAAGAAAAACCAAGCAAAGATATGAAGGAGGGGCCACAAAACCATAGCACATTCAGGGGATAACTCTAAAATCCACTCCAAAGGGCAAACTGCTTAATAAAGCAGTTCCTGATTTCCCATCCAGTGGTTCACGTCCCCCCTCTCTAAGTAGCTTTGAAAGGGCAGGGGGAAGGAAACGTTTCTGAACACGTTCATGCCCACACGCCCCGTGGTCGGAGCCCAGGCAGGGTCCGCGGCTCTGCTAAACCCGGAAGCTGCACACGCCGTGCCGTTAACCCACTGCCAGGTGCAAAGTGGAAGGGGGCAAGAAGTCAAGGGTGGCCTGCCGGAGGTGGGCGCGCAGGGCAAGGAGAAACGAAGGGCGAACCCGAGGCCTCGCCGCCTTCCGCGGTGTAGCCCGTCAGCATCTGATCCTGGACGGCGCGCACAGGTGAACACACCTTGCTGTGCCGAGACCATGCCGAGAGAGACAAGGGGCGAGGAAAACGCAGGGAACTGGGGGTGGGGCCGGTAACTGCGCTTCAGAGGCTACACAGGAGAGTGGAAGAAGAGCTGGGGTTGCCCGGACTAGGCAGAGGTCATCTTCCTCGCCCCCGGAGCGAACAGACCCGTGTGGCGGGAGGAAGAGCAACGGGAAGAGGTCCGCGCTGCGGCGAAGCCTGGCGGGAGCGCCTCCGCGCCGCAGAAGTGCATTCGGGCCCCGCTACGGCCCAAGGGCACCCCTCTCTCCCCGCTTTTCTGCGGCCGCTTCGGAGGTAGGGCGGGGGAACCACTCACCTCCGGCCTCCGCTTCGCCAGCACCCAGGCCGTCTCCAGCTCCAAACACGTCAATGGCTCACGCAGCAGGACCTTAAGTAGCGCGCATCCCAACTTGCTGCCCCCGCTCCCCGGCGGCAGCCCGCCCAATCGGCGCGCGCCGCCGCCAGACTGACAGCCGCGCGGGGCCCTGGGCCGCAGGGGCGGTCGGGCCTCGCCCCGCCCCCGCCTGGCGAAAGGAGGGCCGAGGCGGGAGGAGTGGGCGGGGCGGTGAGCGCGACCCCGCCCCCTCTTCCCCCGCCCCACCGCGCCCCCCAGCCGCGGCCCGTCTCTTAACACTTCGGCTTGACGGGCGGCGTCGCGGCCCAATGGGCGGGCCAACTCCCGCCAGCGGCGGCTCCGAGTGGCCAGCTCTCGGGCGGAGCGCGCGCGGGGGGCGGGCGCAGCGGCGGGCGGGGTTTGGGGGCGGGCCGACGGGAGGCGGGGGCGGTGGCCGAACAGGCAGGGGGAGGCAGCGGTGGGCGCGACGTCGGCGGCGGCGGCGGCGGCGGCGGCGGCAGCTGCAAGTTGGGCTGCAGGGGCAGCGCATACACTACAATGGCTGCTGGAAAGAGGCGTAAGGAAACAATTTCCAGGCCCGCCGCGTCCAGCCCGAAATATGAGAAAAAAATTATTAGAAATTCCGCGGGCGGTGTAGAGGCGGCGGACGGGCCGGAGGGAGGATGTTAAAGCCCCGCGGTGAGTTCTCCGGGGGTCCGGGGCGGCGGCGAGGCGTTTAGCGGGAGAAATATCAGGGTTATTTAAATTATGGGACTAGCCGAGGGGGCAGAGGAGCAGCGGCGGCGGCAGGAGGAGGAAAAGTTTGTGCTACTCTCAGCCCCTGCTCAGGACCCCAGAGAGAAAAATAATAATAAAAAATAAAATAAAATAATTACGCGGGGCTGCGAGGACTCCCGAAGTCGCTTCTGACAGGGCAGGGGGCGATGCGGCTGGGGACCCGAAGGTGAGGTCGGTGGGAAAAAAAAAAAAACCTTTATTCAGGGTCTGGAAAGTTTGAAAAGTTTTCCTCCTCCTCCTCCTCCTCCTCCTCTCTGGTGCTGTGAATATTGTGACAGCGGCAGCGGCAGCAGCGAGAGCGGAAGACATTAGAGACCCGAAAAATAAGGGAAAAATTAATATAAATTCAGTTTTGAGAGTAAACTCTCCGCATTTTCCACCAAAACATCCCGGGGGAAGGTCGCTTCCCAAAGGGCCTGGCGGAAACCCGCAGTCGGCAATATTTGGGGGGCACTTTGAGTGACTTGGGGTAACTTTGCCCCTTTTTCAAAAGAGGTTTTTCTTTTCTGGAGAAATGAATTTGTTTTTGCCCTTTCCTCAGGTGGGCAAGCCGGGGTCGGGGTGCGGGGTCTGCAGGGAGGTGTGAGCCCGGGGTGTGTGGCTGCGAGGGGGGGTAGGGGGAGGGGGTGCTAAATGAAAGCAGGAGATCGGCACAGAGCAGGGACAGCTTGTTGTCAGTATCATAAACAACCAAAATGGAGGGAGAACTCAGGCATATAACCAAATAAAAATTTTTAAAAAATCGCAAAAAATCCCTAAAAATCCGGGATGCTCCCCCTTTTCTCGCTAAAGGTAAAAGTATGTACCGCCTTTCCCCTGAAGTCCATTTTGACTTTGCAGGGACCAAGGAGTTAATATTTATTTATTTTTTAAAACTTTCGAAGGGCAAAAGCCTTTTATAACTCAACCGACAATGAGAAAACGTGAAAATCCGATGCAAGAGAAGCAGGGGGAGCGAGGGGGGAGGTGGTAGTGCAGAAACTGCTAAACTTATTGGTAATGTGGACTGATCTCAGATAAGATAAACACTATATTTGCTATTTTATAACTCTCTTTTAATGATCTTTGCGGGGTTTTTTTGGGTGGAAAAAAAAGTGATGCCATTTTCTTAATAGAGTTAATATGTGTGATTGGAAGAATGAACCTTTCCGGCTTTAGATTGCATTTTCGTCGCATTTATGCTTCAGGTTTTGTTAGTGGCTCCCTCCTTTCTTTAAACTGGGCTCTGCAGAGGAGGGATAGAGAGGTGATGGTGCTCAGAGAGGCTGGAGTGCAAGGCTGGAGTACCTTTTGGGGAGGGATGTGGAGTTGCTTGGTTTCCCCCTTCCTGACATGTTTGCTTCACCTGTTCATCCTTCCTAAAGAATGTTAAGCTGAGGTTTTCTGGTTTTATGTGTATAAAAGGATGATGTCTCTTGCATCACATTGATGTTAATGGGAAAGTGCTGCTGATGTTGGTTCCACGTGGGATATGGGACAGAGCAGGGCATTTTAAAGGGACAGCTTCTCTTTTCTTATGGTTTTCATCACCTACACAGAATCACTGTCTGAGGACCAAAAGCAGAGGTGCTGGGAGGGTGTGGTGATGGAAGAGCCTTCCCTTTCTGTTACTCCAGTGCACCCACCCATAGGAGTGATGGAGGGACAGGAGGGATAAACAGCCTCAACCGAAGATGGATATGTGTATAGTTTGTATCCAAACTGTTCCTTTGTGTAACAAGCCCTCCCAGGAACTTTTCATGTTACATTGCTTTGCTTTGGAAGCTGATTTTGGAAGGAATTGTGGAAAAATGGAAATAGTTTAAGGTGTGTGGTGTAATGGTATAGCATTATTGAACAGTTATGAATTCTGTGCAGTGAGATCAAAGAGCTGTGTATGCCCATAATGTGATTTTACAGCCATTTTGTAAAAACTGTAAAATACCTTAATATTCAATTTGGCTTAAGGTACATTGAGGACTTCTGGTTGAAAATTACAGAGTGGTGAAGATTCTTTAAAATTGTAAGCAGTAGGCATTTCTTTAGGGGGAAGGAAAGCACACACACCAACACCATGGAAAAGTTTACACATCCATTTTTAAAGTCCATCCTATGCATGGGTTGTAACTTTGCGCCTTTGAAATGAAAAGATTTTTAAAATCCTGAGCCCTGTGAGTTTTCATTTTCTAAGTTGAATTTATTTGTGTTATTTAACAGAAAGTGTTTACTGACCATAAACTACTATCGGCTCTTATGTTTTAGATTTCCACGATATTTTCAAAATTTAAAATGTGTAAATTGTTAGCTGTACTATAATGGGGATTAAGGTTAATCTTCAGTAGAAATTACTTGTGTTCCATTTTCCACAGGTATATGGAGTTTCTGAAATAAATCCTTATTTCCTCTTGTTTTTATTATTTATAGACATGGATTAAAATTAGAGCTGAATTTTTAGACTTCTTATATAGAATGTTTTTTCTTGCCCTACTGTATAAACAAGTTATTATTTTTGTAGTCTATTGTATGTTAACTTGTGTTTACAACTGAGTTCTTCCAACTTTCTGTAAATACCTCTATACAACATCACATCAGTAACGTGTTTGAGTACATCATCTTGTGGTTTCTGATTTTGGAAGCAATTACAACTTTCTAAGAACTCATTAAAAGATTAATCTCATCACCCACAGTTAAATCAAAATTGATTGGAAAAGGATTAAGCTATCAATAGAGAAGGGAAACTCCTCCATGCCCAATGATCTTCTGTCCAGAGGTTTCAGAATGCCATTAAGACTTACAAAGCCTTTTCATTTTATCTTACGTTTTCATTGTATTTTGGCTCAAGACAGTTACATTGACTATAAGTAGTCAGAATTATGCTGTGCATTTAAAATAAATGAGACTTAGATCTTGAATAATTGCCACTTTGACAAACCAGATACTAATATCAATAAATTCAATCTCTATAAAAAAATGAAGGAATTCAAGTTATATTAGATTATCGTGTTATTCAGGTTGTTTGGACACTATGACTGGTTTATTGTCAATCTAAATAAAAGTGCTGGTATTGTGATTTTTTTTCTTCCTCTCATATAGGGTGGTGTAAAACTTTCTTCATGTTTGTATTTTATGCAACTAGCTACTTGTCTGTTCAGAAAACGCACTCAGAGTGCACCAATCTAAAATCTGTAATCGCTTAGAGAGTCTTATTTAGATGGGGCACAGCACAATATTTAATTTGAAGTGATTGTACTGAGCTTTTGTGATGCCTTAGAAATACTACCTGTTGAACATCCTTTTCTGAAGCTATTAAATTATACCAGTATACAGAAATAATGTCATGATATTGTGTAGTCAAAATCTTTATTTCAGTTGGAATCGGAGAAACCTCATATATTGATAGTCTTATTTGAAATTTATATGCCTACTTTTGCTACTTGAAATTCTATAAAGAATTTATCTGCTGTGGAAGATTTATAAGTGTGGGCTAATATTGACACATTCTATATCTGTATATTATTACCAAAATATTTTAGTAAATAGTAAATAGATATTTATAGCAAAATAAATTAGTGAATTTGCTTTATCAGTATAGTTTTAAAATTTGAAGGGTGCTGTTTGTGTTTTAATAACATGCACAGGTGGGGGTTATTCCTTCATTTTTAATGTAATCCTGATTGTCACTATGTACATTTTGGTTTGATATTCTGCAAATTTTCCTTTCTAAGGATTAAATTTGTTGTTTCCTAAATTAAATGTGATGCTCCTGTCTTAAGTGAGATTTGGAAAGCCAGATAACTAAAACATATATCTATAGCTATCTTTGAAGTTTTGTTTCAGTAATCATTTGCCTCTTGAGCTGTGTAGTCAAAATAATTTTATCTAAGAATGTTTTAATATTTTTTCTTTAGAATCCTGTTCTTTGGAAAATTAAGATATATAAAAAATTACCAGTTACACACATCCCCAAGGAAAAAAAAGTTTTACTGAAGAAACTTACTTACATTGCTTGGAATACATATTCTTTTTGGTGTGTTTGCAAGTGTATAAGAAATAAATATTAATTTTTTCTCTTTATATTGATAACATCTTAGATTCTTTAATTATTTGAGTAAGGGAAGAGTTTCAAAAGGAGGAAACTGAATCTGTTCAACAAAATCCAAGGTAGTGAATATGATCAAGGTAAAAGGGCTATAAATCATCCCTTGAGCCATTTTTAAATGTCTTAAGAACCTGATAAACACCTTTTCTGAAACATTGAATACTTTGAAACTATATCAGTCACTTCTGAAAAACAAAGGTAGACCTTTAGTTTCTTTAGTTCTACCAGGAATTAATATAGGTAGCATATTTAACCAATTAGTAAGTGTTTAGGTAGTCATGGAAAAGTATTTACAAGTAAGTAAAATATGAATGCAGGGTAAATCAGATTGATTAGCTGTAAAGTTAACCTGATTTTAGAATTCATGCATGGGAATTCTTTTCTATTTTACCGTAAGACTACTTTGGAGGTAACTAATTTTTGCTTTTTGTATTTTATTGCCTAAATTTTTTGAAATGCTCAAACCTAAAATCCACTGTTACTACTTTTCATTTATGTTAGATTAACTTTTATATCTTATTTGCAAATTTCATTGTAAAATTTGAGAAATTAAATTAAGATTTTTAGATTATAACATTTTATAAAAGTATTGAGCTATTAACATTTGAAGTTGTAAGAAATGTATGTGTATGAAAGCCTAGTAGAAATTATTACAGGGACATAATTTGATTTTTACTTTTAAATCGATTAGTCTGCTGTCCAGAGGTTTGCATTATACTCACTGTTTATAGCTATCCCTGCCTCCTCTTTACAGGGTGGTACTGACAAGGATATGGTGGTGTGGAACCTCCAAGGGCACTTGGGTATTTTTGTTTTCTGATTTTGTGTATGTATTGGTGTTTGTTGTTAAGAATTTTGCTCTTAAAAAAAAATGCTTATCAGAACATTTAAAAATTTTATAAAACAGAAATATCTTATTTTTTTAAAAAGGTAGTGTTATGCTGCATTAAAATTGTTAGTATTTAAAAGTCCCTGGATGTCTTATAAACAGAGTTACTACAGGATCATGGTATTAAAACTAACCACAGTGTGTGCTGGGAATTTGAGATGACTACCTAAAAAATGTGTGTGCATGTGTAGAATGAATGAACTTATGCAGTATGTCCTAGGTTAATAGGACAAGAAATTTGCTTAAAATATTTCCTTACATTTAAAAGTGGAATCTTCTTAATCTAAAAACATAGAAAACCTAGCAATGTGAAGGTGTTAGGAAGCAAAAATTTTTTTTGGTGCCTTTTAAAAATAAGAATTTTAAACAATGAAAGTATGTAACAATAAGTATGGACTAAAATGTCCAAAATTCATGGTAAAGAATTTGGTAGATAAGAATTTCAGAGTAAAATAACAATTGTGGTAAATTAAAAATTCATCTTATGTGAATAAATAATAACCAACTACAAGGCAAAAGTTGTAATTTTGCCTTAAAAATTAGATAATTGGGGAGATCTACCAAAGAATATTTTTAATACCAATTGCTGGTTTCATAATGACCTTTTTAAAATAGATCCCCAAAGCCTGCCTTCCTTCTCTTCTTAGATTTGAATTAAACTAAATTAAATTCTAAGAATAATTTGTAATGGTTATTCAGAATTTTTTTTAAATAAGAAAAATTACTTTTTGCTATTTTTATAAAATATTTTGAAGATTGTTTTGAATGTGTGTCTTCGTGAAGTGTCCTGAGAAAGTTAGAAATTATTGAAAATCATTTTCTTCATTGTTCATCAGAAAGTTTAAAACTTTAAGTTAATGAAATAAATTTTAAAACCTCAGTCTAAGAATAGTTTGCTTCATGGACTTTTTTAGAGCAATTTAAATAATTTGTTACAGACTTAGTCACATTTAAAAAGCCTTTCACAAGATAATGATAACATTTCACCAACAAAGCTCCTAATTTCTGGTATGTTTTTAGGTCTATGCTGCCGATTAAAGGAATTTTTTCTTTCCCGTTTATTAATTAGCAAGTGCTTTTCTGAAAGAGTATCTAAACTTTTGGTATAATCTTCTGGGATAGAAGTTGCCTTTACTATTAGAAAATATTTTGAGAGAGGAGGGGGCATCTTTTCTTAAAAGGCAACAGAATCCTTTACAGATTGTGAAGGATGTGCCATTAGAGAGTCTTGAACTCTTCTTTTTTGAGAATGAGAGCCCCCTTTTAGCCTTTCACTCATTAAATATTTGAATTATTATTGCAGACCAATATTGGAATTGCACATATATATATTGATTGTGATTTCCTATCTTTTTGTTTCTGAATGTGATAATATTCTCAGAATAAGTGCTATATGTTAAAGGCTGCCATATCAGTTTTTAAAAAATTATCTCTCTTTAACCAGTGGTTAGACATTAGAGCCCTTTAACTTTAAAATACATTTTTGGAGACTGTTAAACTAGAAATCAATTAGCAAATAAGGAATTTAGCCCCTTTGGCTCAAAGGCAAAATTGGAAGGTGTCATAATCAATTTTATTCCTTTGAAGATACATTAGTAAATATTTATTGAATTGTTCTTGATCATGAGAATTTTAAGAAATTAAACCTGGAAACTTAAGATAGTTCAAGTGTACAGTTTCAAAATAACACCGGTTGGATTTTAGTCTACCAGATTTTCTCGGTAACTTGATTTTTTCTTGTATTGTCTTAATGCTGGAGTTACATAGAGCTCACGTCACTTTTCTTCATACCCTGAGAGAGTTACAATAAGTAGGTTTTATTTTTATCAACTTTGGACAATGAAGGGAAAATGCTGTTTTATTATATATGAGCACTTTCCTTTTCTTAAGCTATCTTCTGTATTTCCTAAACATAATTCATTTAAGCACTGCATTCCATTGAAGAGAAATTAGCTCCATTATTCTGTGTTACACAACTGCAACTTATGGAACAGTTGTCACTTTATATATTTGGATTGTTATGACCTTATAACCTATTATAAGCCTAAAAACAAATATTAATATAACCAGCATATCCTATTATAAATAAGCTACACCTCAAACATGAATTTGTTTTCCTTGCACCTTTAAAATTGTTTCTAAATAAATCTGAGAAAATGTTCTTCATATGTTTTGCTAATTTGTCATAGACTGAGGTAATTTAATTGTATAAATTTCAATCTAGATTTTTCTCTTCTAATGTTGGTAGCATTTTACTTGATGTTTACTATTCAATTTCATAGGATTTTAGCATTAGAATAGAAATAGATGTATAATAAAATAGGTTAATTACACCAAGAGTGGTGGAAGCAGCCCTACTAGTTATTTGGAAGATTTTTAAAATGTTTCCAAGAAGGAAAGTTTCTGTGATGATCAGGCACACCAAACAGGAGTTAGTGACATTTTATGTTTTTCTTTATCTTGCTTCATAAAACGTGAGCATTCTCAGGGCTACTGTCATACAAACAAATAACTGATTTAACTATGCTGTATGTTAAGCACATCTATCAGGTCTAGCTTTTAATGTAATTTGCTCAGTTTATTTTTAAGAAAAAGGTGTAAGACATTTTTTCAGCAATAATTTGGCATATATTACGTTTTGAAAGATGCTGTATTAAAATATATTGTCATATTTGCTTACCCAAATCAAAATGAAAGTAAACTATCAAGTAACAGGCTTAATTAGACATAGAATGAAAGCTTTAAATATTAAACTGAATAACTTGATTTACTGCTGAAATATACATAATTTTAATTCAGATAGTTGTTTTTGTATCTGAATCTACTTTTTATGCCTAGAAATTTGTAAACAAAGTACAAAATACACATATAAAATTCTGTAGACGTTCCTAAGCAGCTAGCCTTTAACAGTTAATAAATTTATTAGTTTTTTTTCAAATATGTGGTCAAAATTACTTAAAGATCGTGATATATTCAATTATTTTCATTATTCTTCAAAGAAAAGTAGTGACAAATAGGTCAGTACTTGGTTGAATGTCTGTTGTATTTAAATTCTTAATTATCAAGCATTTAATACTTTTAATGGTATTTCAATTTTTTAAGTACAGTTACAGATGTTTTTCTTAAAAGCCCTTCTTTTGGGAAAGTATAAACTAATGTCTGTACTTCCTATCTCACAATATTGCTGCTGAGAGATTGGTGACAGACAGTTATTTTAAAACTTTACTTCTGTAACTGCTTTTATTTAATATGTTCTCAAGATCATGTTATTCTTAAATTCCTATCTAGGAGCACTTTTAATCATAGCCTGGGTTATCTTTTCAGCTGTATACCAGAGATACAGTTGCTCTACTTAAACATTAGATCTCATGTGGTGCTTGAATTTAATTATTCTTAGTTCACCTTTTATCCCTCAGTGCAGGGAAAAGTAGAGAAAGCAGTTTGTTGTGGGAGAAGTGCAATTGATCACATTCAGAGGCTGACTCATAATAGCTTTTGTACAATGCATGATACTCTTCCAGAATTAAAAGAAATTTTTTAATTGAAGCCAAAATACCCGCATGTCTAAGTTTGTCCTAATCAGATTTCAGGCACACTTGTGTGCTTCCATTGGCCCTTCCAAGTGTTCTTGCTGTTTGCATGTGTTTGGTTCTCAGTGCTGCCACCCTGTGTATGGCAGTGCCTTACGTAGACTAGTTTTCTGTGCTTTTTAAAATCAAGCAATAACATCCAAAATCACTTCTGGAAAATGAGCATATGTATTAAAATTAATATAAAAGTCATTGTGGTATACTCTGGTTCTGTGTTTAATGCTGTACTAAAATCTAGATCTTTTTCAAGTTGCACAGTTCAGAAGTGTGGTCTTCAACTGCTAAGTATAAAATTCAGAAAATTTTAAAGATAAGTAACTTTATCTCATCCATCATTTCACTGAAATAAAGTAGAATTAGACTAGTATTTTAAATCTAGCTTGAAATTGATCAAATAAGAAAGCAGAGGTTCTGATCCTTTAAAGATGAGATGTTACAAAATTTTTTATTTCAGCCAAGTTTTAGTTAAAGGTTTTTCCTAGTAAAAACAAAAAAAAAAAAAAAGAGCCCAAAAAGAAACTGTTTATGTTTAAAAGAAAAAGAAACTCAACTTGATTGGTTGAATTATTCCCTGAATCGTTAGCAACATGACTTTTATAACTCTCAAAATATTTTGAGTATTAATGCTATGCTTCAGCCATAAAATACTTTGGCTACCTATCAGTCTTTGCTTTTACCTATATTATCTCATTTAGTTTTCACAGCAATCTCATGAGATAGGAATTGCAGGGATAATGTGTATGCAAGAAGCAATAATGATTTCAGAAGGAATTCTGTTACTTTTTGTAAGTAAATCTTTAGAATGGACAGACCTATAGCAGCTAATTATTATATGTTATTTGGGTAGTATAAACCTAAATTATGTCCATATTGAAGTTCATATATTTAAGAAAATTGTACATTCTTACAAAATGAAGATTTCAGGCATAGAGTTGACAGAGTAATTCGAGTTAGAAAGTGCTAAATGTCAACTTATCTTTAAGCTGTACATAAGGAATTGGGGAAATTTATCAACTTATTAAGCTAAAGGAGATTTTTCTAAAGATATAAGTATAAACTTTGTCTCATAATAAGGATCTTAAATAGGTAATTTTATTAATTTTGGCCTTAAATTTGTTGCAAAGCTGTCTGATTTCAGAATAATGAATAAACATTTTTCCCCAAATTTTTGAATGGTCTTATTTCATTAAACAATGTAATTCTACATGATGACAATTGAAAATATTGCTTAGCTTGGTTAATTTTAGATGTTAGGCTTCCAAGCTAAAAATGCCACTGATGATCTTCCCACCCAGGAGAGTTAAAAGAATTTAATACAGTATATGGTATTGTCCCAATTACTAAAGAATTCCAAGTTTCACATCTCCATTTTGTTATTCATGTAATCTCCATGGGTTTGGGGGATTTGGGGATTTCTCTCTTCCTTTGTGTCTCCCCTATAATAAACACATAAATATTCCTTAAATTTATTTTAAAATAAAAATGTGATTGTCACGGGAAATGTGGCTAAATGTTGAATTGGGCGAAAAAGAAAAATTTTTTAAACTTCTCTGCTTTTATGCCTTTGGATGATGAGTTAATGTATAAAGAGATCCCAGAGCATTGTTTTTTAAAATGCTAAATGAATGGTAAAGACAGTAAAAACTATAGGTGCTCAAGGGAGGGAGAGGTGGAACTTGAGATGGGCTTTGAAAAAGGCATGAGTTAGGAATTGGCAAGAAGAAGCAGGGCTGTTCAGGTGAGAGGAATGGTTTTGGCAGAGGTTAGGAGACAGAGAAGACCAGTCTGACTGGAGAGGATGGTTTGCAAGGGTACAGTTCAGGAGCCGCTAGAAAGGTGTGCTGAGATCTGATTGTGAAAAGCCTTTATTACCAGCCTGAGGAATGTGCACTATGTGCTGCGGAAGGCATTGTAGCTTTTTGAGCAGAGGAGGATGAATTAGGAAAGTTAAGTTGATCCAGAGTCCAGAATAAACTGACCCCATGGATGTAAGACTAGCGTTACAGAAATGTGAATATGTTCCACATTGGAAGCGGGGCCCGCTGCACGCAGAGGTCTCCGGTCTTTACCACTAGGTCCATTCTGCTAGCAATTCAGACTTCAGCTATTCTGTGAATGGCTCTACCATTTTTTAGTTCCTTAGTCATGGAACCACCTTTTTCTATATTCAGTTGGAACTTCCGTCATGGGTTTAATACTTGTGTTATAGAGACATTAACGAAATGGACACATAGAAGAAGTTAATACCACTTGGGGGAATTAGACTCACAGAGGAGGTAGCTGTAGAGCCAAGAATGGCGGGGGAAGGCCGGGGAATCCAGGGAAGGATGCTTGGGCCCGCATATGCAGCACGTGCCCCATTCTTCTGCAGTTGAGTGTCAGGGTGTCAGGGGTGAGCAGAATGATGGTGGAGAAAGCTAGAAAGGGAGACAGGCCAGGAGGCATCAGGTCCCGAAGGCCACACAGAAGGGGTTTTATTCCGTTGAGAGGGTACCCACTGAGGTTCAGAGCTGGGTCTTTCATGGTATAAACCCACTCTTTTACCTGCATCCCCATTCTCTCTCCTTTTGCTCATTCCTCTCACCAGTGATTCTCAACATCTAATGTTCTCCTATAACCCTCTCACCAGATGTCTAGCTTAGCTCCCAGAGAAGACTGGGACTGTCAGTGCCCTCTTTACCTCTGGATTCCTCTGTAATGATGCCCAGCCCTCCTGTAGGGGAGGATCGGGGGGGGTGGTGGAGACGTACTGCCTAGTGCCAGGAAGGGTTGGTCTAGCTGGGGAGGCTGGGCCCCAGGGCTGTATACCGGGGCTTCTGGAGCCAGCCGGTTACTCCAGCCCCTCGTAGGTCCTTGTATTGTCACTCACCCCTCCCATCTTGGAATTTCCCATCTCTTCCTCTCCACTTGCAAAATATGCTCAGATCTTCCCAAATCAAAAAAATAAAATACACCTTTGGCTTCATCATCCCCCTTCCCTAAGTACCTTTCCCCTCATCAGTGCCAGACTTTCTGGAAGAGTGGTCCATGTGCTGTTTCTTTCATCTCCCCTTACTCTTTAGCTATCCTGCCCCTTCATTTTGAGTCTGCATTTGAAGGCAACATCCATCAACAGCCTCCCAGGCACCAAAGCTGGTGGCATCATTTCCATTTTATCCCCACTTGCCTTTCTGCAGGATTCCACATGTTTGGCAAACTCCTGCATCTCTGACTTTTCTGGCTTTGCTGTTCCTTCTCTGGCACCTCCTTTGCACTTTGTTTGGGTGGCACCTTTTTTCCACCTGTCCCCCCAACCACCAGCATTTTGGCATTCCCCAGGGTTCGCAGCATTCCCCAGTCCACTTCTCAGTGTACACTTTTCCTGAGCACCCGTTCCCACTCCTGCGGTACCTTTAGCTTGCAGCTTCTTGCTAATGAAGCCTTAGTCTCTACCTCTCTCTAGGGCCTCCATGTCTCTTTTCTGTTTACACTAACATCTCCACATCTATGTGCAAGACACCTTTCCTTTTATATCTTATTCATTCCACAAATTTTACAAAGTGCCTGCCACACAGGTCAAGTACCATGCTGGGTACTAAGCCAGGCCCCACCCACAATGAGCAAAGGACACAGTAGTTAGTAGAGCTCCCTCGGGGTGCAGTAGGCAGCATGAAGGAATTAAGAAGGAGTTCAGAGGTGAGGAGTCCTGGGGGCCAGGGAAGAGGGACCCTAAGAGACAGTGATCAGGGGAGACCTCTTGATAAAAGGCCCTTTGTATAGAGGCCTGAATGATGAGAAGGGGTGGGCCAGGAGTGACCTGAAGGGACGCTCCAGACAGAGGCCCTGAGGTCTGGAGGAGGAGCTCTACGTGCTGGAGGCAGAGGGAGCGAGATAGGGGACCGGGCAGAAAGCCATCTTGCTGGACTGTCTTGTAACGTCTATGAGGACCGCTGGCCCTGAGTGCAGTAGAACTCCGGAGCAGAGCGGGGGTTGTCCTTTGCAGGGTGGCTGTCACTTCCAGCCTCATCCTCATCTGTGCTGCCCTCTGCACATGGCTATAGGACCTGGGTGCTCCCGTCACCTCCTTCCTCCCCTGCCCCTTTGAGAGGCGTGTTGCTGGGGCACCCACAGCCTGCCTGCCTCAGCTGTGGTGACCCCTCTGTGCCTGCACAGCCACGTCCTTCTCACCGGCCCTGGAGCACTGCTCCATACCATGCGTGGGTATGCAGCTTCCTCTCGGGGCTGAGCCTTGGAGGGCAAGGACCACGTGCTGTCCTCCACCCCACTTTCTCTGTCTCAGAACCGGCACAGGGTAAATTCCTGGAGAGGAGTACTCTGTTTTCAGGGGCAGTCCAGAGGTTTGATTGTGGTGAAGGGAAGCTAGAGGAAGCCCTGAGCAGCGGTTAGAGGCTGTGTGATGCGGGCCATCCATTCCAGAGGGTGTCTGGGACGACATGAGTTCCAGGGAGAAGTCAGTAGGAGGAGGCCTGGGATCACTTCTTTGGAGTCACCCAGCCCCTTGTTAATTGTGAAGTGTGGAACAGCAAGGTTGGGAGAGAGAAGGTGGTTAAGTTTGTCTCTGCTGCTCCCTACCCACCCTGTTCCCTGCTCCCTCCATAGCTAAGCCCTGCGCAACAAGTACAGACAGACCTCCTGACCGCCACAAGGCCAGCCCTCACCTGCAGCAAGCCCTGTTACCATGGGGGTGGCAGAGACAACTACACATGCTCCAAAGAAAGACAGACACAGATGCATGAGGGAAAAGGATGCACACCCCCCAGAATACCCAGAGCAGGGGAGACCCACAATCCCAGACAGAGAAACACGTAGACCTAAGCACAGTGGGCGTGGGAGGCTGTATCTGTCTGTGCAGGTATGTGTAAATTATGTTTATATTTATATTTCAGGAGAAAGCCAGTGGGAGAAAGACAAACACAGAGAAAGAAGAGAGAAATACACCCAGTTCACACCCACAGAGGGGAAAGAGATGCACCAGCAACTCTGACTCTGTCTTTTCCCTGCTTGAGGGGAGACCCCAAAGTGGGGAAAGACACTGCACGTTCACCAGGATAGGCTGGGAAAAGACACTGAGGACACCTGGACTGGGGGAGAGAGTGACACATCCAGAAGGTGGAGGTGGGAGAGACAGATTCCAGGATGGGCAGGAGAAAGAGTTACACTCACGCCAGGATGTGAGCGGAGACGCACTCACTCCCACGGCAGAGGGAGACACACAGCCCCGGATGTGAGGGCAGGACACCAGTCCCACCAGGATTTGGGGAGAGAGGCACACATGCTCAGATGGGGGTACACACACAGAAGCATGCAGAGGTGGGAGAGAGACACAGACACCTGGTCTGCAGCAGGGAGAGAAAGACCCCCAGCGAGGAAGAGAGAGACAGACCCCCAGAGTTGGGGGGAGAGACAGAAATACACGCCAGAGTGGGAGGGCCCCAGAGATCCACAAACATACACAGCCCTGGAGGGGAGAGAGGAGCACACACACACACACACACACACACACACACACACACGCACACTAGGGAGGGAGAGGGTGCCTGCACCCCATGTGGGAACACAAGACAGAGCAACTCCAAAGGGAGGCGGCACATGTGTGCACACACATGCACACCCCCACGCATCTGGATGGGGTGAGGGGAGAGAGAGAGACACATGCATAGAGGAGGACACACACACATGTATTATGCACGGCAGGAGGCAGGAGGGAGGCCCACACCCTTGCAGAGGAGTTAAGACAGGCCAGGTGAAGGACAGCACACCAAGGGCAGTGACAGGAGACACGCGGGGTCAAGAGATGTGCACACGCTGCTCGTCTATGCGTGTGGTACTTGCACCATCCCCGAGACTTGGGGCAGGAAACGCTCGCGGTGCCACCCAGTTCTGACTGACGTGTCCTCACACCCCACTGGGTGTGCCCATAGAGCCAGGTCTGAATGGCAGTCAGCGCTTGGCCCCTGAAAGTACCTGAACTCTTCCTATCCTCCTCAGGTCACCCATATCCAGACAGAAGGTCACACCAAGTTCCTTTACCCTAATTAAAATGCTGGAAGTATACAGCGGAGGCATCACACACTCATATATCCGGTTCTATCCTCTGAGCGTGATGTACACACTTGAGAGTACAACAGTAGAGTGAAGAACCCCTTGGTTAAACCAATACAGTAAATGCTGGTGTATCACCAGGTTCAACAGTTAGTGCCTCCACAGCCAGGCTTGTTTCTTCTATCCCTTACCCATGCCCATCCCCATTCCCTCGGGCTTGTTTATTTTCCTGCGGGTGTGAAGTTATTTCATGCCATTTATATATTTATGATCATGTGCCTTTGGCTCCCCAGCTCGTTCTACTAGGGGTTCTCTTTTCCTCTGCTCCCTAGACAGCACCTTTCTGGCCAACTCTGGTTCCATGGCACTTCTGTGCTCCCCAAATTCCCCTGTGGTGCCCATGTTATAGCAGTGAGCACGCAGCTGGCTTGCCTTGCAGTTTGGTGTGTCCTCCCACACCCGCGAGACTAGGTCTGTCATCTTGATATCACTGCTCACCTGCACACAGCAGGCACTTGGGAGGTTTTGTGAGACAAGTGCCCCGAGCTGTAACAGCTCAAAGGAGAGACTTGTGTTGCCCATCTTGGGCTCTGTCTTCTCACCAACCCAGGGTTCCCTGGGCGCTGGCCCCCTCCCGGCTTGCACCGTCACCTGTTCTCCCACACGAAGCCAGGCGCCTTGAGCTTCAGGACCTCCTGTCTCCTTAGATTTGGGCTGAGGTGGCCTCAGGCAAGGGAACCTGCTCGGTGATCTCTCCAGCTGCTGGCTATGAACTTTGGGCCTCCTCACATCTGTCTCACCCCCTGCAGTCTTCACCAGCCCTGGACGCTGGCTTTCTGGGTCGTGGCTCCACCACCACCCTACCCCAGCCTCTCTGGCACCTGCCCTCTGCATGTTCTCCCCTGCTGGCCCAAGAAGGCTGGTTAGCTTCCATGAAGAGTGCAGGTGGTGGGCCAGCTAGCTCTGTAACAGACCCCGTGAACTGGGAAGTGACTCCCTTATCTGGAATAATAGTGCTGTCTGACTGCAGTGCTTGCCCTGTGCTGACTGTTCAGGGCACCTACACATAGTGATGCCATTTATCCTGGTAATGGCTCCCTAACATGGGTATTGTCTTGATTCCCAGTTATAGAGGAAGAAAATGAGCAGAGAGAATTTAAGTCACTAAGTATTAAATGAGATAATGCATGAAAAAAATTCTCAGCAAAACACCTGGTTCCATTCAAGTGGTCAAATGGTTTTTGGTTGGTTGTTCTAAACAAGCTTATTCACTCTATTTCATGAAATTTTGGCTAATAATTATGATAATAATAGTCTCTAATAGAACTAGAAATCTCTGATAGTCATTAGGTAACTTTACCCCCCAAGTTCACTAAGAAAATTGAGTCTGTCAGATATGCACCCTCAGCAGCTTCTTCGCTCACCACCCACCTTATTTGCTTTCTAACCCCTCCTTTTCTTGGCTGCAGAGGAGCTCTGCTCTTCTGCCCAAGGCTCATCCACTCTTTCACTGTCCCATTGAATATGGGATTGTGTTTGGTCCCACTGACTTCTTCCCTTCAGCCAGAGGAGGTGTTCAAGATTCTCCAGACCAAAACGGTTCAGAGTCTTCACTTGTCTCTGCCATCTCCATTCTCTTTCTCCTACAGGCCTTCACGTCTTTCTCAAACCACACCCGGCAGACTCCTGCCTCACCACTCCCCCGAAGCAACTTTGGCAAAGGTTTCATGATGGCCTCCTGCCCCACACGCATGCTGCACCCACATACACACATGCCACACACACACAAACACACACACGCCACACACACACAAACACACATACATTCACACACACACACACACACCCAGTGCTGAGTCCAGCAGATGCTCTTCCGGTTCCTCCACCTGCCTGCTCCATGACCGAAGTCTCTCCCACTGTAGTGCACCCACTGCATGCATGAGCCACCATTTTCTGCCACCTCAGCCTGACACAGCTCCTTGATCTTGCTACGCTCATTTATTCTCCACCTTTATTAGTTAAAAAATAACTAGTCATCATATGCTGAATAGTTACTTGATAGCCTAACTGCAATATTTCTTTTTCCTTTTTTTTTTTTTTTTTTTTGAGACAGAGTTGTGCCCTCTCACCCAGGCTGCAGTGCAGTTGCATGATCTCAGCTTACTGCAACCTCCGCATCCTGGGTTCAAGTGATTCTCTTGCCTCAGCCTCCTGAGTAGCTGAGACTACAGGCATGTGCCACCATACCCAGCACATTTTTTGTATTTTTTTAGTAGAGATGGGGTTTCGCTATGTTGGCCAGGCTGGTCTCAAACTGCTAGCCTAAAGTGATCCAACAGTCTTAGCTTATCAAAGTGCTGAGATTACAGGAATATTTCTTTCTAAAAAATAGTTTACCTAATGAAGGCCGGGCGTGGTGGCTCACGCCTGTAATCCCAGCACTTTGGAAGGCCGAGGCGAGTGGATCACGGGGTCGAGAGATCGAGACCATCCTGGCTAACATGGTGAAACCCCATCTCTACTAAAAATACAAAAAATTACCCAGGTGTGGTAGCAGGTGCCTGTAGTACCTGCTACCGAATAGCAGGTGCCAGCTATTTGGGAGGCTGAGGCAGGAGAATGGCGTGAACCCGGGAGGCGGAGCTTGCAGTGAGCCGGGATCGTGCCACTGCACTCCAGCCTGGGCGACAGAGTGAGACTCCGTCTCAAAAAAAAAAAAAAAAAAAAGTTTACCTAATGAAAGATCTGACTGTTAAACATTTGTTACTGTGTCACTTGTACATCAGTCTCGAATGCTTAGAAATAACCGTTTAGCCTCAGTAGAGTAGAATTATCAGTTGATTGGTCTGTGGCCTTTGTAGCAGGGTCAAGGGTACAAAAATGATCATGTGCATTCCTTAGGTTGGAGAAGATGTAAACATCATAAACTGTATAAATAATTTCTGACTTTGTCATTGTCAACCAGCTTTTTTTATGTACCCAGAGCTTGTGGTACATGTACATGTAGGTTTACTGTGTAGGGTGAAGTGTAGTGCTGCCTTTAGGTGTTTTCAAAAAACTTTTTATTGTAGAATATTTTAAAGATATACAGAAGTACAGAGAACAATAGAATGAATCCTCACACCCATCGCCAGTTTCAAGTCACCACACCTCAGCAGCCAGTCTTGTTTCCTTCGTCCCCTACCCATACCCATTGCCTCTCCTGCAGACTCTTTTGATGCAGTTATTTCATATCATTTGTATATTTCTTGGTGTTTCCAAAAAGTACAGACTCTTTTTAAAGGTATAATTACAATACAATTATCACACACCAAAAGAACAATAATTCCTTAATATCTAGTGAGTTTTCAAATCTGCCTACTTATCTTTTGTTTTTAAAGATTTCCATGATCCAAATCCAGTAAGGTCCATACCTGCTGTTAGCTGTTATATTTCTTAAAGTCTTTTTTGACCCACAGTTACTCATTTTTTTTTCTTCCTTAAAACGCATTTGTTAAAGAAACGGGTTTTTTGTCTTTTGTGTTTGTGTCTGTCTGTCTGTCCTGTAGTGTTTCCCCCAAGTCTGAGTTCTGCGGATTGCATCCCTGTTGTATTCTTTACACGCTCTGTAAGGTTCAGGTTCTGCTTTTTGCCTCCAAACACGTTATAGTCTCTTAAAAAGGAAAGCTGGAAAGATTGAATGTGGAAGAAATACATATTGAATTAAGTGCCATAAGCAATCATGATAACATTGCTACCAATATAGTGAATATAGCTATTTATCATAGCTGTAGTGTTATGGTGTAGAATTAGTGTTCCCATCATTTTAAAAAATGCATTAAAAACTAACAGATATTTCCTTCTGGAATGTTCTTCTATAAAACTATGTAACACTTTAAAAAATTGAATTGGGATCTTTGTTTTGTATCTTGCTTTTTAAAAATGTAACATTGTATAAAGATTGTTTCCCATGTACTTGTATGTTACTTCTTTGTATTCCTCAAAAGCTATACCACTTGAGAATGAATGACCACAGTTTATTTAGCCTTCCCTAGTTGTTGGCGAGTAGGTAGTTTCCAGTCCAGTCTTTAAATAATGCAGTAATGAATGACCTCATGCATGAATCTTTATGGGTGTCTCAGGTTATTTCTTAAGTTAAATGCTTAGGTGTAAAATGAGTGGGCGAAAAGATAAGTGCCCACTTTTCTTTGGCTTGGCAATTGCATGGCAGCTTTGACCTCCAGGGAAGACTTACAGTCGCTGTCGCTGGTAGTACACAGGAGTGCCCATTTCCTTCACTTTCCCCACCATGGGCCACAGCCACTTACAGCAACCTTCCCTCTCTCTACACTTGTTGATTTCTTTTGTTTTAATTTGTCCTTCGTGTTTTCCATTCTTAGCCATCACCACCTGCCGTCATTGCATTTCCCTTTGATACCTGGGGCTGCTAATCTTCCCTGTACCAAAAATCCCAGTTAACCCCAACTTGTTATCGTTTTGCCTAAAAGATTGACACTGAGTGAGGGTGCATAGTACATTCCTCAATATGAAATGCTTGATATGTGTAGATTTGTAGTGTCTACTTTGGCAGTTCAGAACCTGTGTTCCTCCTTTCTGGGTTTTTTTTTTTTTTTTCCTGTGTTTTAGATTATTGATGTTGCCAGATAAATGAAAGATCACCCTATGTTAATACCACAGGTTCTGTTAAGGTGGGGAGAAAAACACACCTGCCAAACTCTGAATTAAATGGAATTTGTAAAGCAGATAAATTAAGGGAGTAATTATTCACATTACCCAACAATTTGCCTTTAAAAAAAAAAGGATTGAAATTGGCACCTCTTTTGGTACCTTTAGTTATTATCTATCTGAGCAATGTCAATTGAGAATCTAAAGTATTAGAACTCCAAAAGTCATCATCGAAGTGCTCTGAAATTACAGTGCATACTAAAAATACCTCACATTTGCATAATGCTTGTAAAGTCGCATCATTGTCTGGAACACCCCACCCCTGTGAATTTGAACCCTAAAATGGCCATTGCTGACCACAGGCTCGCGTCCTCTGCCTCCACTTCCTTCCTTGCTCCTGCTGACTTTGTCTCTGCTGCTACAGTTTATGCTTCTGGGCCTCCTTCTCTCTAGCTCAGGTCTCACATACTCCCTGCTGCCACCGCTGGCTCCTGCTAGTGCTCTAGAATGTTCTGCTTCTCCACTGCTCTCTACTTCATCTTCCTGCTCCCAGCCCTGGGAGAATCCTCTCCTCCTGCCTTTTCCAGATGACTCAGGACAGTGACATTACTGGGTGATCTAAAAGCAGCGCGTGTAAAGCAGGCCTGCAGTGATGGCATGAGTCCAGGGCCTGTGGTCGTTTGGCCCTCCTTGGTCACTCTCCAGCCCTGTCATGGGAACATACCCCCATTCCCTTTAAATTCCGTAGCGCCGGGCTCCCACGTTCCTCCAGCACGTCAAGCCACATTTCCCATGCCTGCCCTTGCACGTGCTATTTCCTCTGCTGGAATGTTCTTACCCCTTTAGTTCACTGGACCAATACCTACTCATCCTTGAAAACTGCTCATGTGTCACCTACTCTATGAAGCAAAATTAATTACTGTGTCCTCCCCCTGTGCCTTGATGGTCTTTGGTTTGGCATCTGCACACACCCTGTCCTCCTCTATCTCTTCTTATGCCCTGGGTACTGCCCCCTCTAATTCATTATCCTTTCTCTCCCTTTCCCTCTCCACCTGATCCTTCCTGTCAGCATTATAAACATGACAAATCTCTGCCATCTTTTAAAAAATAAAACAGTGACAGCTCACTGTCCTCTCTGTACCTTCCCCTTCAGCTGATAGCATTTCTCCAAAGAGGAATGTGGACTTAGTGCCCCCAGTTCCTCATGCAGCACTCCTTCCTCACCCCAGGCCTCCATTCTGGTTCCCCAAAGTATAATAGTTCTTTTCAATTTTACTAAAAACCTGCATGTCACACAACCAGGAGGAAGTAGGGTTTAGTCCTTACCTTGGCTCTACCTCCCTGAAACATTCTCTTCCCTTGGCTTCTGTGACCTTAGAGCATCCTGGCTTTCCCTGCTACTCAGTGGCATACCTTCGACCTGTTGCTGGCTTCCCCACTCTGTCCATTCTCCAGATAGTCCCTCCTTTCCCCTCTCCGTGCCCCTTTCCACACCTTGCAGTGCCATGGTCTCTGCTGTATGCCATCTTCCCCCTAGTCCTTACCCTGCTCTTCAAATCCTTTGCCACTCACTGTGTTATGTGCCTTACATGCAGTATCATTTATTCCTCACAACAACTCTGTAGGGCTTCATTATCTCACTTCATAGCTGAGGAAACTGAAACTGAAGAAAGATAAGTCATTTACCCAAGGCCGAGAGCTAGTCCACTTGACTTGCTGTCACCAGGTGAGATTGCTTCCACACCACTGGCTGAGTGACCTGTCCTGCAGCCCTTCCATCTCCAGTTACACTTGTTAAAGCAGTGGCTCTCAGCCTTCAGTCGACTCCAGCCTTGCCTTTCTGCAGCCTCCCTTCCCACCACTTTCCTTAAGACACCATCAGCTCCAGTCACAGGAGGAATAAGCATTTCTACCCTAGTCTGCCCTTTTCTTCTTCTCCCCCGACTGGGACGCACTCCCCACCTCTCCAGCCTCACCTGTGCAGGCCCACATCTTACCTCACCCCAATCTCAGTTCAGTTGGCTCTTTTGTCCCAAATTCCCATCTCCAAAGCTTGGAAAGATCTTTTCTTTCTGTGAATTCCCACTGTACCTAATCTATACTTACCTTGTGGCATCTTCTACCTTCTGTTTTGCATTATCAATAATTATAAATTATGAGTATCCTTTTGGGATACCTCCTTACTAGACCCCAAGCTCCTTGATGGTAGAACTGGTGACTGATTAATCTTTGTGTTCACCATGATACCTTGATAGTTAAATTAAATGATAAGGATTTGTTTATCTGTAAGTTTGTTCTTATATCCCTTACCCGGAGCTCTGTGCAGATAGGGGGTCTATACTGGTCTGTTGGGGAAGACGAACTTTCTGGACATGACCACAAGATGGCAACAGTGACTGCAGCGTCCTGATATCTGTAGAGGGTGGGCCAAGTCAAGAAAGAGAACAATGTCTTCTTGATTGCAGGAGACTCAAGGGAAATCCAAGAGAATTTTCAAATTTAAAGCATTGTGTCAATGCCCAGTTATTCACAGAGGTGAGCAAATAGATTGGACAACTGTTTTCTTCCGTGGGTTCATTTGGCCAACAGCATGGAAAGCTCTCCTCCTGCCCTTCCTCTCATCTTCCTTTTATTCATTCAGCACATACTTGAGTTTCCCCTGTGTGCATCCACTGTTCTAGGTACTAGACATACAGAACTGGTCAGTAAAAGGCAGGATCCTGTTCTGATAGAGCTTACATTTTGTGGCCTTCACTGGGACCCAGTGGAAGATATTGCAGACAGAACCAAGAGTTTCCTTGCTGTTTTTTGTTACTTCTGGAGTCATCTTTTCCCCTTTGCCCCAGCATGGATTGATCCATAGTTTTATATTATCCCCACACGTTTCATTTCAACAAGCAAAGGCACCACTGGTCAGCGAATCACAGTGACTAATTTTGTTTTAGCCATGATTATTGGTGGCCTTCTCCCCTGCTTCCCAGTTACCCAGTTAATCAAGAATCGACTGTGTTCTTCTTACAGTTGAAGATATGGAAGTTAAAGAAAGGTAAAAAATCATGTCTAATGTTGCACAGGTGGATACATGAGAAAGTACATACTCAGGTCTTGGTATCATTCATTCCTTTCTGATCATTGTCAGTAAAGTTTTTTAAAGCAAAAGAAAGCAAACAAGTCCAGCATTGTGATAGGTGCCTATAGACAAATTTGACATACACTGTGTCTGTGCTAAAGGTGACTTATAAGGTGGACCTAATGTAAGTTTACTTAAAGTTGCATGTAGTGTTTAGAAACATTTCTTCAAGGGGTAAACAAGAGTGTAAGAAAAATATACACGTAATAATTTAGAAGCATCAGCTATCACACATTGCTTGTTTTAAGACTAAGAAGTTACTATCTGTTAGAGCAGCCTCCTTTGCGGTATGAATCTTAGTTGAGTATTCATTTTTTTTCCCGTATCAGATCCCTGTCCCCTCCCTGCATCTTCCCCGCATACCAAATGGCTCTGCAAGATGGGATTCAGTTCCATGCAACCTCTTGCCAAACTTGCCTTCATTTCAGGAGGACGAGAGAAGGGGTTTAATTTGAAAGGCTATGTGAAAGAGGCATCCTGTGTTGTAGAACTCACAGTGTGGAATCTTGGCTCCTATGTGCTTCAGTCGAGTAGATTTTTTTCTGACATGTAGCTATTTTCTCTGATTTTTAGCTATTATAATATTTTCATAGGTGCATTATCATCTTTTACCAACCAAAGTTAAGCCATAAACAGGGGTCAGTCCATTGCTGGATAGTCAATAATTACATATTACCCAAGTTACTTTTCAATTTAACATGCAAACTGACTGCTGGCTTCCGGTGGATCAGTTTTACTTTAGCTGTGATTTGGGTTTATGTATGACCATGGCCACCATAAAATTTAAGGTACACCCTGCCTATGCCACAGAGATGAGTAAGATCAGAAGTATGCTACTTCACCAAATATCACTTTTAATACAAATCTCATTATATATGAGCCTTGTTCTCAGGAACTATTCCCATTGTTTGTCCTTCAAAGATTCCATTGACTGTGATTCCGTATAAGAGCCTGTGCCCAAAAAAAACAAACCCTTATTTTTTAAATCCATATCAGGCCAGGGCAGCACTTACTTCTGAGTAACACTCTGAATATAACAGCTTTGCATTTTGAGCCCTCAGAACTATGCTAGAGACTTTACATACATCACTTTAATTCACACACTACTGCAAGGTAGATGTTTTTCCCATCCTACAGAGGAAAATGCTGAAGAGAGACTAAATACATCATTGAAAGTAGTTACACAGATAGTGAAGGTCAGACAGGATTCAAGCCTAGTTCTGATTCTTGCCTTTGTCTCTCTGCTGCTATTCCCCTGCACTGCTTTAGGTTCTGAATCAGGGCAAGGATTCATGTTTTCGGGCCCTCTCCAAGTCAGAGTTTTAAAGTAGCATTGCAAAGGTGATTTCCAGAACTATACTGCCTGAGATGATGGAAAGACCTTCTCTCTGTAACACATCTGTGTATCGCAGTAGGGAAGGAGACCAGGGGAATGGGGGCAAACTGAGGAGTGTATCATCATGCAGTGTAGGGGCCACCCCAGATCCTGGTGCTGAAGCTTCAAGAAGGAGGAGGCTGGGACTTTGCATTGATGGGTTTTAACCCCATTTTGTTAATTAACTGTCAGCAAACACTGCAAAGGCTTAAGTGAGTTTATAGTTTAGGAAGGTCAGGCCAGGCACAGTGGCTTATGCCTGTAATCCCAACACTTTGGGAGGCTGAGGCAGGTGGATTACCTGAGGTCAGGAGTTCGAGACCAGCCTGACCAACATGGTGAAACCCCATCTCTATTAAAAATACAAAATTAGCCAGGCGTGGTAGAGCATGCCTGTAATCCCAGCTACTCAGGAGGCTGAGGCAGGAGAATCACTTGAATACGGGAGGCGGAGGTTGCAATGAGCTAAGATCGCGCCATTGCACTCCAGCCTGAGCAACAAGAGCGAAACTCGGTCTCAAAATAATGTAATAATAGTAATTTAAGAAGGTCACTTTTTTTTTTTTTTTTAATGCTAACCAGCTGGACATGGTGGCTCACGCCTATAATCCCAACACTTTAAGAGGCCAAGGCTGGCAGATCAGTTGTGGTCAGGAGTTCAAGACCAGCCTGGGCAACATGGCAAAACCCCGTCTCTACCAAAAATACAAAAAATTAGTTGGGCGTGGTGACATGCACCTGTGGTCCTACCTACTCAGGAGGCTGAGGTAGGAGGATCACTTGAGCCCAGGAGGCGGAGGTTGCAGTGAGCCAAGATTGCACCACTGCACTCCAGCCTGGATGACAGAGTGAGATCCCATCTCAAAAAAAATAAAAATAAATAAAAATGAATAAAATAACCTAATTAGAAACTGAAAGGAGAATGACCACTTAATTGTTTCGGAGACCAACAAAGGCACACAAAGATTGGTTGCTTTCTGAAGAATCTAAAAATGGCATTGGGTATAGGAGTTGGGGAAGCAAGTTGTATAGGCACCTACACTTAAGATAATTTGTCAATTATACAAATAATTTTTAAAGTTTAAGCCCCTTCTGACATGACACGTCCATGGCTCCTTCACCCTTCTTGTCTCCTGCAGAGCTCCAGTCTGCCTCTCTTGCTCTTAGCTCCAAAAACAGTGAATCCCCTGAAGTTACCTAGACCCACCATACAGTTTGTGACTCCCTCTACCTGGAGTACCTGCCCATGCCTGGCTAATACTTGTTCTTTTGTTACCTTGGCTTCTGTGTTACTTCATTTGTTTTATTGAATTAATCAAAGGCAAGCCTATCAATTAGCATGGCACTTCTTTCTTTTAAAGCAACTGCTAATGAACATTTTTTAAAAGGCTATGCAGAGGCTGAATTGAAACACTTCAGGGGGTACTTCCTTTGGTATTTGATAAATGGAACGTATCCCAGAACTATTTATCATCCGTAGGTCTCAGTTCCAGTTAGATGTATTCTTGGAGACTTTAAATCATGTAGTGTGATATGCCAGCCCATAAAGCAACAGGTGAACCGAACTGGCTTCCTCCAAGTTTGACAGCTGAGAATGTGGCTCTAAAACCTGCCTAGATATATATCCTTTTCTAGTAAGGTCTGAGTGCAACTCACATTTAAGCCAATATTCCTTTCCTCTTTTTTCCCTCCCTCTGAATGGGAAGGAGAGATTTTAGTCATTTTGAGTCATTGCACTTAAAGGATTTTAGTTTATCAGTTTGCAGAAAGTTTTATTTTCGTACTTCTGTAAATTTATGTGATGATGAGTTTCTCATCATTTTGTTTTTTATAATACAAAAACTCTGCCATTTTATTGTTTTTTAACAGTTTTGGGGGGTATAATTGATATTGTATAAACTGCCCATATGTGAAGGGTGCTTGCAGTTTTCACATATATATGCATACGTCCCTGAAACCATCACCATTGTCAACATAGTGAGCATATCCGTCATTTCTAAAAGTTTGCTCATGGCCTTTTGTGATGGATCCCTCCCTATCCTACCTTCTGTCCCTAGACAACCTCTGATCTGCTTCCTGTCCTCTATGGATAAGCTTGCATTTCCTAGACATTTGTATAGATGGAATCGTGCAGTATGTACTCTTTGTTTTGCCCAACTTCTTTCATTCAGCCTGCTTATTTTGAGGTTCATCCATGTTACTGTATGTATCAATAGCTTATTCCTTTTTGCTGCTGATTAGTAGCCCATTATAGGAATATACTACAACTTGTTCATTTGTTTTGGGGTTTTTGTTTTTGTTTTTCTGAGACACAGTCATACTCTGTCACCCAGACTGGAGTGCAGTGGCATGATCTTGGCTCACTGCAACCTCCGACTCTCAGGTTCAAGCATCCCAGGTTCAAGCCTCCCAAGTTCAAGTGATTCTCTTGCCTCAGCCTCTGGAGTAGCTGAGATTACAGGCGCCTGCCACCACAACCGGCTAATTTTTGTATTTTCAGTAGGGATGGGGTTTCACCATGTTGCCCAGGCTGGACTCGAACTCCTGACCTCAAATGATCCATTCACCTTGGCCACTCACTCACCTTGGCCTCCCAGAGTGCTGGGATTACAGACATGAGCTACCGTGCCCGGCTAAAACCTGATTTTATCCATTCACACAAGGATAGACCTTCGGGTTGCATCTAGTTTTGACTATTATAAACAAAGCTACTATGAATAGTCATGAACAAGTCTTTGTGAAGACCTATGTTTTCAGATCTCTTGGTAAATAGCTAGATGTGAAATGCTGTGTCATATGGTAGACACATGTTCAACTTTTAAATAAATTGCCAAACTGTTTTTCAAAACAATTGTACCATTTTTACCTTCCTGTCCATGGTAGATAGGAATTCTATTTGTTTCACATTCTCAGCAGCTCTTGATACTGTCCAGTGTTTTTAATTTTGGTCATTCTAATGGGTAGATAGCATTATCTCACTGTGGTATTAATTTGCATTTCCCTAATGATCAGTGATCTTTTCGTGTGCTCCTTTACCATTCATATATTTTCATTGGTGAAATGTCTGATCAGATCTTTTGCTCATTTGTTAATTGAGTTGTTTTTTATTGTTGAGTTTTAGAAGTTCTTTATATATTCTGGGTGCAAGTAGTTTATCAACTTACAGTTGATCTCTGCTTTGCAGAGATGTTGTTCTAATCTTCTAATGGCTTGTCCTTTTTATTCTCTTAACATTGTCTTTTGAGGGGAAGTTTTACATTTTGATGAAATCCGACTTATCAGTGTGTTTATTTTATGGGTTGTGCTTTTGGTGTTGTGACCAAGGACTTTTTGACTAAATGAATGCCACAGAAATTTTTCTGCTTTCTTCCAGAAGTTTTATAGTTTTAGGTTTTATATTTAGGTTCATGATCCATTTAGAGTTAAGTTTTCTATATGGTGTGAGATGTGATTCCAATTTCATTTTCTTGATGTGTAGATATCAAACTTTTCCAGCAGCATTTGTTAAAAAAACATTATTTTTGGTGAAATAATTTTTTCTGATTATAAAGACATTTGTAAAGATTGTAAAGACATTGTAAAGATTATAAAGACATTTGTATAATGTAGAAAAGTATAAAGCTTATATCTTCCTAATCTTCTGTTTGTAATTTACCTAGGTACATTTAACAGTATTGGGAGAAGGAGAGCTAGTTTTAAGTGCATACTTTTAAAAAATTGGAATAATAGTGTAAATGCTTACTGTATGTCCTGCTTTTTACAATTTTAACATTGTAACTTTCCCCACATAACTTAGTATTCTTTAACTGCTCTTTCCCATAGGATTTAATATTCTTTAACTGCATGGTTTTTAATGGCTGCATAGCTGTTCTGTCACATGCATATCACACTTCACCTCTTCTGACATTATCAATTTTTAATCTTAAAATATACTTTGAACATCTTTATACTTAAATATTTTTTATTTTTGCTTAAATTTTTCTAAATGAATTATCAGGTCAACATATATTAACTTTTATATGGCTTTGATTACATAGTTGCACAATACATTCCAGAAAGGTTTCAACAATTTACACTCCCATCAGCAGTAACTAAGCAATTTAATCCTTTATTGCAAGTTTTGTTTGTTTGTTTTTGTAAAACCCTCAAGGATACCCTGGACACTCCTGTGCTTCTCTTAAAGGCAAATATTTTTCCCCTAGCCAAGTGCCATTCTCCTTTCTCATTCTTCCCAGACATAGGACCCTTCTACTCAGCACTGGCCAAGGTGAGCAAACTCCATGCATTTCTTGCCTTTGCTACCAAAAAACTTAGCAGGATGAACATACCTCCCTCCTAAGTCTAGTTTGATAAAGAAGCCCCTTTTCTTATCCAGGGCAAAAGCCTCTCCATCTTCTCTAGATCCCATTCTACCCTGATTCTTCCAAGAATGCCCCACTTTCTTCCCCGCCTCTTTGTCCTCAGCATGGAAGCATTCTCTAGTCTCTCCCCCTGGGATCTTGAGTTTCCCCCTACCTTGTTTTTCTCTTCTCTTTAGGTGCGAAGCTCCTAGAAAGAAAACATCCTCTTGTTGAATATCATTTGCTTATCACCCAATGAGCTATCCTTATTTACACATTCTCATTCTCCCTCCTCCCATTCTCTCACTCCCTCCCGCCCCACCCAATAACTTCTCTTGCTGAAGTTTGGTGTCCTCATGCCTAAGTGGTGAACCTATGGGCCAGTTCTGTAGCTCTTAGCATTTTTATCTTTGTGGTTTCCGCCACATTTTTCTTCCTTCTCCTTGAAGTTCTATCTCTGGTCTTTCTCCCCTTAAATTAGCTGATTTTGCCTCATAGAGGTGATCTTTAGGCTCTATCAGCAATTAACCAGTAACTTGGCTTGAATCTGTCTCTGTAAGAGTTGGCTGTACAACTATCATTGTCTTTCTTCCTCATATCTCTTTTTGTTAATACTATTAGGCACATAAGTGGACTTTCTTCTAGTAAATCTTATTTTTGCTGGTTTTCATCTCCGCTTTGGATAACTCCAACACATATCTTCTGTGTCTCATTCAAACAAGCACTTCCTTTCCTCCCTCTCCCGTCCTACCTCCCCAAGCATTTGCTGTTCTCAGTGCTTTCAATCCATCTCATAATGAGTACAAGAGTGTGAACAGTCCAGCCCATTGGGCACTTTTCTCATCTGAATCCGTACAGCATGTATAAATTACACTTCACGGTAGCCAGAAGGTCATCTTAGAATCTAATCATCTGTGGTTCTAATCTCTGACTTCTTTTTTGGCAGTCATGCCCTCCCCTACAACCACACACACACTTTTTTCTTTGTCTTTCTTAATTGTACATTTTTTAAGGCAAAAATCACCAAATATCCATAGTACTCTTTTCCTTTTCTGACCTTCTGTGGTACTTTTTTATACCATATAATATTGTTTTTAAATGTTGATTTGTCACTCTGATACCACGTTATGGCAGATCTTATTTAACATTTATATTTCTTAACTTGACAAAAGGTATATATTCTTTTTTTATATACATACTTTAAGTTCTGGGATACATGTGCAGAACGTGCAGGTTTGTTACATAGGTATACACGTGCTATGGTGGTTTGTTGCACCCATCAACCCGTCATCTATATTAGGTATTTCTCCTAATGCTATCCCTCCCCCACCCCCACCCCCTGCCAATGACAGGCCCCGGTGTGTGATGTTCCCCTCCCTGTGTCCATGTGTTCTTATTGTTCAACTCCCACTTATGAGTGAGAACATGTAGTATTTGGTTTTCCGTTCTTGTGGTAGTTTGCTGAGAATGATGGTTTCCGGCTTCATCCATGTCTCTGCAAAGGACATGAACTCATCCTTTTTTATGGCGGCATAGTATTCCATGGTGTATATGTGCCACATTTTCTTAATCCAGTCTATCATTGATGGACATTTGGGCTGGTTCCAAGTCTTTGCTATTGTGAACAGTGCCACAATAAACATACATGTGCATGTGTCTTTATAGTAGAATGATTTATAATCCTTTGGGTATATACCCAGTAATGGGATTGCTGGGTCAAATGGTATTTCTAGTTCAAGATCCTTGAGGAATCACCAAACTGTCTTCCACAATGGTTGAACTAAGTTACACTCCCACCAACAGTGTAAAAGCATTCCTATTTCTCCACATCCTCTCCAGCATCTGTTGTTTCCTGACTATTTAATGATTGCCATTCTAACTGGCGTGAGATGGTATCTTATTGTAGTTTTGATTTGCATTTCTCTAATGACCAGTGATGATGAGCTTTTTTTCATATGTTTGTTTGAAACATTTCATATGTTTCAAATGTCTTCTTTTGAGAAGTGTCTGTTCATATCCTTCGCCCACTTTTTGACTGGGTTTTTTCTTGTAAATTTGTTTAAGTTCCTTGTAGATTCTGGATATTATCCCTTTGTCAGATGGATAGATTGCAGAAATTTTCTGCCGTTCTATAGGTTGCCTGTTCACTCTTTGATAAACCTGACAAAAATAAGCAATGGGGAAAGGATTCCCTATTTAATAAATGGTGTTGGGAAAACTGTCTAGCCATATGCAGAATACTGAAACTGGACACCTTCCTTACACCTTATACAAAAATTAACTCAAGATGGATTTAAGACTTAAACGTAAGACCTAAAACCATAAAAACCCTAGAAGAAAACCTAGGCAATACCATTCAGGACACAGGCATGGGCAAAGACTTGATGACTGAAACACCAAAAGCAATGGCAACAAAAGCCAAAATTGACAAATGGGATCTAATTAAACTAAAGAGCTTCTCCACGACAAAAGGTATATATTCTGCAGCCACAACTAACCTGTGTGCTCCTACGGAACAGGGATCATGTCAGTCTATACCCACAGTAACTCAGACTGGAACCATACATAATAGGTGTTGGTAATGTTTATTCCATCAGTGTCAGATATTCGTCTTAGGAGAGTGGTAACCATGTATAATTGAGCCTTGACCCTCTGTTGTAGGGAAATGAAGCAGGTGATTTTCTGCATAGAACTTGTGGCTTCTTTTTCTCTCTTAGTTAATATCCCTAGAGATCAGTCTTCATAACCTGCACCAACAGACGGATGCAAACATTGAATACTTCAGAATACATTTTGCATTTTCTTTGTATGTCGTTGAGGATGGACATGACCTGGGAATTTAATTGAAAACAAGCAATAATCGCATCATAAAGACTAATTCAAGAGCTCAGAAATTGTCCCTGGCTCCTTATTCTGCCTCTGCTTGAGGGTGCTCAGTGGCTTGCACCCTTCTCTGTGGACAGGTGGCCTGGTCTCTGACTGAGGAAAGCACTCATGGGGCAAGATTTCTCCCATAGCAATTGTTAAGGACAAGATAGACACCACAAAAGGTTTTTCTGAAAACTGTGTTGCAGAGAAGATAATGGGTGTGTTTAGAACATAAATAAAATAAGCAGCAGTTTTGAGAAATGACAGTAAACTTGAAATAATTTATCAAAAATGTGAATAATCTAGATAACTGTGATTCGGGAGGAAATATATAAATCTAGGGATATTAATTTGTGTACTTTTCATTTTTCCATGTACTATACATTTTTAACAGGATTTAAGATACATTTTTCAATAAAGTGCAAAGAATGTGAATAAATGATAATGAATTAAAAGCAGTTTGGTTCATATGCCATTAACCAGATTGGCCTGACTTTTGGAATTTAAAACTAACTCTTCTTTTCTTTTTAGGTTGCCTCTTGGTGCTGCCTTGGCCGTATTTGGCACCCAGAATGCTTCATTCTGTGACGGTCTATTAATAAGGTTGCCTTGCTAGAGTTTGGAGCAGGGCCTCAGGTAGGTGGCTTTTATCATTATATGGCATGACTTTCAAAGTGATTAATTATTCCAGTTCCTAAATACTATAAGATATAATATTAAAAGCTTTGAAAAGCATGCCACATAATAAGCATGCCACTTACAATCTTAGGGTCTATCAGTATGTACTGTGATGGGGACTTCAGTAATAATTATGGTCGAATGGGAGGCTTGAAATACTAGCAAGGAGCAGTCTTCCTCACTCTTTGCACAAAACACATAGCTGCTGTAAAAACTTAATTTGTTCCTGTTCCCCAGATAGCCCACAGATGTACTCTTAAGCTCTTCTTTCTCTAAATCTTGCACAGTGATACAGTATCCCATGTTGCCCTTATATCTTTTTTTTTTTTTTTTTTTTTTTTTTGTCTCCTGGGCGGGATCCTATTACCTATGGGCAGGTGGAGAGGGGGATTAGACTTGCTCACAGGGATGGGGCAGATGCTAGAATAAGGAACCCAATGCAACAATAGCAATTTGCCAGCATTGTTGGGAAGAGGACACACACAAGCTATCTAGATTTCCCAGCCTGTAGGCGCAGCTCAGTGTCACAGAATCAAGGTGTAGCAATACTTGGAAATCCAGGCACACGTGGATTTGGTACCAGGTAAGTCTGTCAGTACGACCTTCAAGATAGGGTAGAGGTTGAGAGGCCAGGACCCCCAGCCCTAGGACGGGGAGACTGGAAAAAAAAACAATGGTGGCTGTGACAGATACCAGGGGATGGGCTCCTGAACTCTTCACTGATGGCAGATGGGGGAAAGGAGGCCTTGGGCAGGGTTTCACAAGATACATCAACAGAGCTTGATCAAATCAAAGGTACACGAATTAATCGGGCTAAAATTTTCTATAAGAACAACATTCTATGGGTTTAAGCATCAACACCGTTAGCATTAAAATTTTAGCTATCAGTATACTGTAAATATTTTAGCTATCTGTATACTATAAAAATTTTAGCTATCTATATGCTATAAAAATCTTTAGTGTTAGGGGTTATGGATTTTTTTTTTCTTTTTCTACTTTACTGTAGTTTTTAAACTTGTTTTCAATGAAGTTGTTTTTTAGTAGCTAGAAAAAGGAAAAATGACTAGTTTTACTTAGCCAAACTAAATTTATGCAGGTTTTCTCCTTTTTTATTCTCCTATATCTGTAATCAGTTGAAAATTTCCTCTGATATTTTAAACATGATCCTCACATTTTATTTTCACATGAAGGATACCCTCTTTTAAAGATTTTGAATTTTACTTTGTTCCTTTTTCCTTCCCATAGAACTTCACTGGCTATTTCTAAATGATAAATCATGATCAACCTGTAGTTCCATGTGCTTAAGGAGCTATGGAACAGGACATTTAAAGCAGAAGTGTTCTAAACGTCCAGGCTGGCTGAGTGCTACCCAGGTTTGTATCCGTGCTTGGCGGGCTCTGGGTAGCACGTGCCTGAGACTCCCTGGCTTTTGAGGTCTGCCGAAGCAGGTGACGCCTCTCCTGGGGACACAGAAGCAGTACGGACTCCCAGGTGGCGGTGGTGCTTTCCCTAAGTTCCTACCTCTCTGCCAAAACAAACTAACCATGTATTTCTCTGGGGCTTGTCTTCTGAGCTTGCTTTATAACCAATTTGAAATTTCAGGAGACCTGAAACATAGTTACCTGCTAGCTTTGATTCCTGAAATTTCCTTAAAGGGACCACAGTTCTGTTCAGCAAATGTCTATCAAATGTCTGCTACATGCTAGGGTGCTGACCAGGTGCTAGGGATACGAGGATGAATAATAGTATCCCTGCAGATGAATTTACTGTCGCTGGGGGAGAGACAGGTCAGACAGGTCATTTCAAGAAGAGCTTTCCAGTCCATATTAAGGGTGAAAGGTTCAGAGAGGTAAGGTTTTCAAGGTCATTCTTGATCAAATAGAATTGGTCAAGGAATATAGATAACAAACCTCTTCTAATTGTTCCAGCCAGGAGAGTACATGGGGTCCTCTGGAGGCAGAGGAGAGAGCGGCTACCCTTGACATGATGGTTTTGCCTAGAACTGATCCTGTTTACCCTTAACTGTGTGGGAATAAATAGAAATAGTTGTTTCTAGAAGTGATTTTATCCTGGACATGCACATGAGCATAACTTAGGGAGGACAGATGGATGGTATGTGCAGACCTGAACCAGGCCATGAATTCTGTTTTCATTACATTTTTTAGTACTACTAAAGCATCAGCACATACACAACATTTATGCCATAGCACAAGCCTGTCTTTAAAGTACACTTTACTTTGAGATGGCTTAAAACTAATTTCTGCTTGAGCTTTTATAGATAAGTACAACTTATATTTATAGCTAAGTAAAACTTTCTTTAGCACTTTTCTTATAAAGTGTCTGATGTCTGCCTTTTTGTTTGAATTTATAGGCAGATTCAGTATGGGTGCTTGACAGTTCAGACATGAAATCTGGATTATTCTGTATTTGCGATTTTAATAGCATTAGGCAATTTACTATACATGAATGGAGGCATGTTCTCTAGATATTTAGGTTCCTTCATTGTGAACATTTTTATAGTTGGTGTCAAACATTTTTGTTGTACCCCCAGAAACTTAATCAGTTACTGGTAATAAGATCAATAACTTACCACAATTTGGGATACATACAGTTTTCAGATTGAGCTGACCTGTGGGCTACCTACTTTGTAATCAGACCAAGATCACCAATATTTTGGGACTGTTTTATAGAAAAAAAAAAAAGCACAGGAAATTATCTAAAAATAGAGTATTGATTAAGCAGTCTTACTTTGCATTCAGATATAATTGTCCTTCTTTGCTCTCTGAGGCATCATTGCTTCCCTTTTGCACAATTTCTTTTTCATTTCCTCTTTGAAAATACTAATGGCCCCATGTGAAAAAAATGAAAATATCTCAGTGTTGTACCACCCATTGTATTTTTAAGTCTTTTTATTTTGATAAAAATACACAATCATAGGGAACCCCCCACCCCCACCCCAAATAGCAGTTGAAATGAAGTGCTTCTAAGTTGTGGATCATTAGAAGGGAGCTTTCAGTTGGGCATGGTGGCTCACGCCTGTAATCCCAGCACTTTGAGAGGCCAAGACGGGTGGATCACTTGAGGCCAGCAGTTCGAGACCAGCCTGGCCAACATAGCAAAACCCCCATCTCTACTAAAGATAACAAAAAATTAGCCGGGTATGATGGTACATGCCTGTAATCCCAGCTGCTGCGGAGGCTGAGGCATGAGAATCGCTTACACCTGGGAGTTGGAGGTTTCAGTGAGCCGAGATTGCACCACTGTACTCCATCCAGCCTAGGTGACAGAGTGAAACCCTGTCTCAAAAAAAAAAAAAAAAAGAAAAGGAAAAGGGAGTTTTCAAAAGAGAAAAAAAACTTTTAACTTAACGTGGCATTTTTGCTCTATAAAATAAACAACCAAGGAAAATATGTCTGAATTGGGAGATAAAATTTACTTGATACTCCTTCTTCATTGGGTTATCTGTTCATTCTCTCTGGCTACTCTAGAAAATGAGTGGCCTGAAAAGGAACATCCTGCTTGTACAGATAAGAGAACTGATATTGGGGTTTTCTGATTCCACTTTGGAATTCATTGACTTTTTCCTGTTGGTTCTTACAGACAAAAAGTTATGCCATTTTTCCCCTCACTTCTCACTTCTCAATTAGTTTTTATTATCTGTATACTAAATATAAGACATTTCTAAACATCAGTAAGGCTAATTTTTATGGTAAATTTCAAAAAGATGTCCTAGAACTATATTTTAATGAATTGCTCAAAATGAGTTAAAAATATAAAACGCAGTAATTCAAAAAGGGCATCCTTATTTTTGATTAACTTTAGTTAACTATGACATCTAATTTAGGAAAGTAAATAGTGTAGTTTTCCACAATCCAGTTATAAAATGCATTTTTGGGGACCTGCTGTAAACTCAGGCGAGTTAGGTGCATGTCTTGGCTATGTCTCCTGCTTCACAGTAGTTGCTCCAGCTCCTTTCTGTTCCCCTCTGTAGGGACCAGCAGCCCCAACTGAGAGTCTCGTCCTTCCTGCCCCATACCAAGGACTAATGCAGGCATCAGGCGTGTTTTCACTTTGGAAATTTTTATTACGAATGGGAGCCAGACTGATGTTATCTACTTGTATTAGTTGATTTCTTAGTATTAAGATTAGAGAATGCTTGTTTTCTGAGGCAAAATAAGTATTTTTAGATAACCTTTTATTACAATTGCTATTGTTTTAATCTAAGACTTTTCAAATAGCTGCTTAGTTTCAAAAAAAATACTGTTCTATTAGCTTATTCAATTTGTTGGACCAAATTGTGTTCATACTACATTATCTTTGACTTGAATATAGATACACAGTTGTCCCTTGCTATCCATGAGGGATTAGTTTCAGGACTTCCCTGGGATACCAAAATTCACAGATGCTCAAGTACCTGATATAAAATGGCATAGTATTTGCATGTAACCTATGCACATCCTGCCATGAACTCTTCACATCATCTCTAAATTACTTATAATACTTAACACAATGTAAATACTATGTAAATAGTTGTTATACTGTACTGCATATGAAATAATGACCAAAAAAGTCTGTGCATGTTCAATACAAATGCAGTTTTTAAAAAATATTTTCAATCCATGGTTGGCTGAGTCCATGGATGCAAAACCCACAAATACAGAGGGTCAACTGTAAATTCTATCTTATGTCTATTATGATGACTAAGCAAGCCTGTAGGTCATTGTGATGCTGGTAAGCACTTGGCCCTGTTTTAATTTTTTTCATTCATTCAACAGTTACTTTAACTGCCTTTTATGGGAAACAACAGTGAATAAAACTGGCACAACCTCTCTGCCCCTGTACCGTCTGCAGTTGATTTTTCATTCTTAGGTTTTTATAAGATAGTTTTTTTCCTGTTATTTTTCACTAATAAGTGATTTTACAGACTATGGAAAGTGAATGCTGTAAAAATTTACAAATTATGCAGAAACACCGAAGTTATTTCTTAAAAATGTTCTAAGTATACTGTTGCCCTTACTTCAAAACTGACTGCCTTCAGTTGGGTTATCTTAGTAATAGATTCTTTCATATTATTCAGAACTCTCTTGTGTTTCATACATGTAAATTACAATATTAAGAACTGGTAAGTTTCTTTTTGCAACCTACTTTATTTACTCTATATGGAAAAACCTGTTTTAAGGAAATTTTTTGACATCTTCTGAATTACTTACTAAAGGCATCTTGTAAGCATACAGGAGAATAAAGCTTTGATGCTTGATGGTATTTGCCCTTAATTAGCAAAATCTGTTTGACTTTTAAATATGAAATAATTATTGATGCAGGTAAGTGAAAAAATTCACAGCTCTTAGCAAAATGATTATCAGAACTATGGAATTTAAAATAAGCAGTTTTAATACAGGCCTGTTCTTTTGCTGGCATCTCATAGGAACTGATTTTAGTAGACCCTCTGATGTATGACTCATTTTGGCTTGTTAGTTTTTTATATGAGTCACTGTTTTAGAATAATGTAAAACATCGGAAGATAAATCTGGGTGTGTGTGCACAAACACGCCATACTCTCTCTATTGTTTCTGTATGCAAAGTTGCCCTGGAAAAAATTGCTTCTTCTGGTACCAACAAAAACTAGAAGGGTATTCTGAACTGCTGTTCATCTTAGAGTGATTTGAAATGGGTGTATGTATTTTCTACTTTGGTTCACAGTTCATCAGACCAAGGCAAAGGAGAATTTTCGTCACTTGAAAAGCACAATAACCAATCTTTGTGAGTTTTTTTTTTTTAAGTAGAAAAGAAAAACATGAGTACCAAACCAAGTTTTGTTGCACTTTTCAGAATAGTACTCCTGGTGCTTTTTAAGTTTTTCTTAATCCTATACAAGAGAATATACAGATAATTTTATCTAACTTTTCAGTTAGGATTACATAAATACAAACTGTATATTTTTTATTATATCAATCCAAAGAATAATTTCTAACCAGTCCTGCTTTCTTTTTTGGGGGGAGATATTTAGTAGAACTTTGAAATTATTTGGCAACTCATAAGAACTCAAAATAGGTTCAATTTAGGGAAATTAAGAAATTCAAGATTATGTTTTGGGATAAAATAAAATGATTGGCTGTGTTATTTTAGACTGTAAAATACATAGAATGGGTGATTTCTAGACTATTGGAATATGTCACAATATACATAATTTTAAACTGTGTTGAAATACTTAGATGCTAAAGGTTTTTATTGTAAAATGTCATTGAACAATAAGCATAAATAAAGATTTTATGAATGTATTTGAGAATGCAATAAAATTTATATGGATTGGAGAATAAAGGAAAAAATACATAAACTTATTGTTTACTAGTTAACTTGGGTTTTCAATTTGTTTCTACCCAAATCGTTTTCCACTCAGACAGATGTATTAGCTATTACTTTACATTAACAGTTGTTTAAATTATTTAAAACTGCCTTTATAAACTGTCTTTTAAACTTTTTAAGTCTTAAATTTATTTCCTTTTGGATATTTGGCAGCTCTAAAAGAGAAAATAGGCACTATCCCCTCTTTTGATCTTTTAAGGATAGTGACAGGATTTATCCACTTGCAAATTGGTTTGCTAACCTGCCTTGTCATAGAAA
The DNA here is from genome assembly GCF_000001405.40 of Homo sapiens. Lineage (NCBI taxonomy): Eukaryota > Metazoa > Chordata > Mammalia > Primates > Hominidae > Homo > Homo sapiens. The sequence goes on along the minus strand of NC_000008.11, from coordinate 56,172,745 downwards.
ACAGTAGAATAAAAGTGAAGTCACAGTTTTAGGGCATTCATCCCTTCTTTATCACACATATGCTGTCAAGTTGTTCATCTTCTGTGGGCCTCTCACCTTAAAATGGCAATGATGGTAAACACATCCACCTCTCAGATTCATTGAATTCCAGGGAGATAATAGAGATGAAAACACTCCACACGTGTCAGGTATTTATATTCTTAAAATAACATAATACACAAAATGGTCTTTCATATTCGTAATTACCCTACAAAAAACTCAGTATGTGCCCTGGGCAAGTAAGTATTTGCAAAGTTAATGTTATTATTTTGTAATTTTGATGTGCAGAATTCCGTTCTTCCATTTATGCATGTCCTGTGCTTTACAAAAGAATGGAGCTTTTGCTTTAATGTTTAAAATACCTTTATAGGTCTAAATTTTTGCTTTTCTTGTCTTTTAAACTATAAAAAAATGCTGCTTTCAGATATACCCTTGGCATTTTTATAATGATGCTTGAATGCCTTCTATTAAATACTTTATTTAGACATCATCAAATTCTTCAAGTATGAAAGTTTTATTACAGGGGATATTTTTAGATTTGTGTTAAGAATCTGAAAGTTATTTTTATTTAACCTGTCATTAACATATCTGTTATTTTAACTGTTTGATTTAATTATCCCTTTATAATCATGATTTCTGAATGTTCATCTTTAAAATACTCTGAGTTTACTGATCTCTCATGCCTTGTGCTCTCTACAATAGGTGATTCTATTCTGCCTTTTGACCGTTATTCTTTTCATGTTTACTTGTACGATCAAGAATTAACAGATTGTTTTCTGTGTGTGATCTCAGTCTACTAATGATCATACTACTGATAAACATTATAAGCTACTTTAAGAGTTTTCAACAATGACCTCTTAAACCAAATGATGCTCTCTTCCTAACACCCCTTTCTTCTGTAGCAAATCTATATTTAACTTCTCTTGCATGCTTTTGAAATCTAAAGAGTGCAGAGTTGTTGCTACATTTCAACCATCCTTGCAGCATCCTGAAAAATAAATTGGCAGGTGTTGCAGATAGCAAAAGTGTAGCTCTGAGAGGCCCCCGTTGTGCTAGTGTGCACAGTATGGGCTGAGTGCTTTCACCGGGAGCCTGTTGTTCTTTGGGTGGCTCCAGATGTACCCTCCGAAAGGGGCCTAAAATTGTCACTTCCATAATATTAATAAACTTAATAAAATTTTGATCATTTGGTTTATAAACAGTAGCCCTAATATCCATTTCAGTAGGTAAGTCAGATTTTAGAAATAAATAAATTTGGGAAAGAAGTGGGGAGTCATTCAGCATCACAAATTGCTATTTATCTAGGTAATACTTTTTATTTATGCATTTATTTGGTCACGTAAATGTGCTTAGACCTAATAAACATATGTAGTTGGTGAAAATTAATGCATGACTCGTAAGCAGAGTATGGAATGTAAGCATGTGCCATGAAACTGCAATTCTTTTATCCTGTATTTTCCATCATTTACATACCGGTTCCATTTAGAGGATAGTCCATTTTCACTTTTTTTTCATAGATTGGCCAAAATGGGAAGGATTGGATTCCACTCTCTTCCACGAAGAGTCAATGGGACTGGCTAAGATCAAAGTCTGAGGCTTTTTCCATCAGTAATCAGGTATGCATTGAACTAAAAATCACTATAATTCTATGCATGCACCTTTAAAGTATTTGACTGATATGCATATTATGAATGTGGTCTTTTATTAGATTTTGAGCTCACAACCTTATCCTATAGTTTGAAATGCACCTATGATAATTAATTTGAGTTTTGTAATATACTAAAATAAAAAGGTATTATCAGCCATGAAAAAATTTCAGCTGGTCTTAGAAAAGTGTAATATTTGAAATCAGTGCAATCTTCATTGCTCAGTATGTACATCCAAAGATAACAGAATTCATTTGTTACTCCATATTGATTATCACCAATTTTAGTAACAATCAAATGTTTGTATATTGCATATTGGTGCACTTCTAATAATTTTTTTTAATAACTTAGAAGTTGTTTTTCTTAACTGGAATTCTTTGCCCATTATGGTTGGATTTTATAACACAATGGCAAATATGACCAGTCTTTGAAGTATTTTCAGATATTAGTTATATACAGGGATTTAGATACTTGCATTCCATGTAGATTCTGCAATTGGGAAATGTTCAATTTGTTTCCCACGATGTTCTAAATAGGTGCATAAAAGTATCAGGTTAGGAAATCAAATAATGAAAATTAAGGTTTGTTTCCTGCCTTGGTAGAATGCTTTATACCAGTTTATAGTGTCATTACTGGTCACAGCAGAGTAGCTGTTTAGATATTTCCAAGGGAAGCAGAGGAGCTAGCTTTTGAATGAGAATATAACAGAAATAGAGCAAGAAGCCCTTGAGATCCAGAAAATCTAAAACAAAAAGAACATATGTTACCATTGGTAATGTCAGTTGCATTGTGTTAATGTCACTTTTAAACAGCAAGGCGGATTTTTAGACCGTTTGAATAGCACAAAGGCCTTGCCTGTATCTACCTAATAAAGAAAGACACCTGAAGCAAGTACTGATGAACTTACCCATATGCCTTACTATGTTAATAAAGTGAGTGGATAATTGCTGTATTTTGCCTGTTTAGAAACAGCCTTTACATTAAAATAAAGTTAGACCTATTGTAACATAGAGTTAATTTTACAAAAATGTAGGTATTTAGAGCTCCTGCGAAAGTATAACTGGAATCCGTGAAAGTCAGTCTAATAGTAACTTGGTAGTAGCTTGGGACAGCAAGTGTCAGTGTCAGTCTGGTGCCAAAACACAGGTGATATAAGGAAGTTGGTTTTAAAAGAGGTTGCAGGTATTATTTCTATGGTCTCTTAAAAGTACATCACAGGCCAGGTGTGGCGGCTCACGCCTATAATCCCAGCATGTTGAGAGGCTGAGACTGGAGGACTGCTTGAGCCCTGGAGTTCAAGACCAGCCTGGGCAACATATTGAGACCCTGTGTCTACAAAAGATAAAAAATAATTAGCCAGGCATAATGGCATGTACCTGCAGTCCCAGCTACTCGGGAGGCTGAGGCACTTGAAGATAGCTTGAGCCCAGGGAAGTCAAGGCTGCAGTGAGCCATGATTGCCCCACTGCACTCCAGCCTGGGTGACAGAGTGAGACTCTGTCTCAAAAGAAAATAAGTACATCACTCAACTAGCCTTTATAAACGTTGAGGAATTGGAACTTTGAGGAGTTGGTTTTCTTACCCTAGAAACAGAGTCGATAATATTTACTATGTTTTGTCGATGAATTTTTAAAGGTTTTAATTCATTTTTAAATTTTTTGTTTAAAAAGATATACTCCTTGCTGTACAATATGTACATTTCATTCTTTTTTGCAGCACCAATAACACATTGAAACTCTGACACACCTTTTTACCAACCTTAAACACCTCTTTGATGATGTGTTGTGTGCCATGTCAGAAGTCCACACAGGTCTGCTGCACACAGGTTGCAGGTGTGTCCAAAGGCCAATGCCCTCAGCTCTTGGGGATGCCTGCTGACTCGTTTACCTACTAACCTCAGTGTGCCTAAAATTTTTGTGATGTGAAAAACGATGAGGAAAATTACATTAACCATGTCTTTCTCCCAAAATGACAAAGAGCCATGCTCTTCACCTAATAAAACATCAAAAGGTTTTACTATTTGAAGAATTTGTATTTGTTAGGAAGATGAATCATTTCTACTCTTGACTCAGGAATCCCTCAGAGTATGATGACACTGGTATAATGCATCACTTCGGGTGGTGCATTCAACTCTTTCAGGCCTCTAGTGTCTCTCCGTGAAGTACCTCTTCCACAGACTCAATGGTTCACAAGGTGCCTAAAAGAGTTTTCAGTTGCTTATCTCTGTTTTCCTATAGTGCAGTCTGACTAGAGCTGACATGCACAAATCAAACTGATTTTTAGAGACTGAAATATTTGCTGAAACGTTTTTAGTCAGATTTTATGTTCTCTGATCTTTTGTAAAAATTGAAGCTTAATAATGCCACTTTTTAGAGTCATGTTTTGATTCTTCATGAGAGTTCCTGAAATCACTACTGCTATGCCTAAGTAAAACATGTGTCAAGTGGAATTTCAGGGTATGTATGAACTGTTCATTCTGAGCAATGCATTTCTATGTATTTTGACAAATATAAAGAAACCTATGGGGTTTCTAATGTAATGTGATGATATTACATTAGACCAGCTGAATCCATTTTATTGGTTTCTTTTTTAATTCAAAAGCATCACATAGCAAATAAAATTTTTAAAAATTGAGTTTAGTTACAAACTAGTTGTTTCTTATTTTTTTTTCCAGTCCCTTTTTGCTTTCTTTTACGACCACATGAAACTTGAGAAGCCACCTAAAGCTATATCATTTAGTGGAGTTGGGCAGTTCCCAAGTGTCCAACAAGAAGGCCTGGTTTAGGCTGCGATGGCCACTGTCATTCCTGGTGATTTGTCAGAAGTAAGAGATACCCAGAAAGTCCCTTCAGGGAAACGTAAGCGTGGTGAAACCAAACCAAGAAAAAACTTTCCTTGCCAACTGTGTGACAAGGCCTTTAACAGTGTTGAGAAATTAAAGGTTCACTCCTACTCTCACACAGGAGAGAGGCCCTACAAGTGCATACAACAAGACTGCACCAAGGCCTTTGTTTCTAAGTACAAATTACAAAGGTATTAAACTCTATTTGTCTTTCAGATTATATTTTCTCTTATGTTGGCTGTTTGAAGCCATTGTAAACGTATGTATTTGTATACACATTTTTCAGCTAATTTGCAAAGAGGAAATGTTAAGTAGATTAGACATTGGTTTAGTTTTTAGTATTCTAAATCACATACTTTTATGTGTTAGTGTCTTTGGACTTTTTAAAATAAAATGCTTAATGAGTAGAATTTCCATTTGTAGAAAGAAATTACAACAAGAAAAGGGTAAGGACGTTTACGTGAGTATATTCAGTCTTGCTCATTTGCTTTTGTAATGATAGCTGGAAACCAGCAAAAACTAAAGTGGCAACTTAAATGGCTCAAGTTTTGCAGTAATTAGGTATATTAACTATCCTCGTGGTATATATTAAGTTAAACAGTTTCCATTACTAAGGGAATTCTGTGTTAGCATAGTAGTTTAGCTTCCATTTGAAAAGTGAATACATGCCATTTTTGTCATAATAACTACTTATAGATTATATCTGTGTTTAAAGGCACATGGCTACTCATTCTCCTGAGAAAACCCACAAGTGTAATTATTGTGAGAAAATGTTTCACCGGAAAGATCATCTGAAGAATCACCTCCATACACACGACCCTAACAAAGAGACGTTTAAGTGCGAAGAATGTGGCAAGAACTACAATACCAAGCTTGGATTTAAACGTCACTTGGCCTTGCATGCCGCAACAAGTGGTGACCTCACCTGTAAGGTATGTTTGCAAACTTTTGAAAGCACGGGAGTGCTTCTGGAGCACCTTAAATCTCATGCAGGCAAGTCGTCTGGTGGGGTTAAAGAAAAAAAGCACCAGTGCGAACATTGTGATCGCCGGTTCTACACCCGAAAGGATGTCCGGAGACACATGGTGGTGCACACTGGAAGAAAGGACTTCCTCTGTCAGTATTGTGCACAGAGATTTGGGCGAAAGGATCACCTGACTCGACATATGAAGAAGAGTCACAATCAAGAGCTTCTGAAGGTCAAAACAGAACCAGTGGATTTCCTTGACCCATTTACCTGCAATGTGTCTGTGCCTATAAAAGACGAGCTCCTTCCGGTGATGTCCTTACCTTCCAGTGAACTGTTATCAAAGCCATTCACAAACACTTTGCAGTTAAACCTCTACAACACTCCATTTCAGTCCATGCAGAGCTCGGGATCTGCCCACCAAATGATCACAACTTTACCTTTGGGAATGACATGCCCAATAGATATGGACACTGTTCATCCCTCTCACCACCTTTCTTTCAAATATCCGTTCAGTTCTACCTCATATGCAATTTCTATTCCTGAAAAAGAACAGCCATTAAAGGGGGAAATTGAGAGTTACCTGATGGAGTTACAAGGTGGCGTGCCCTCTTCATCCCAAGATTCTCAAGCATCGTCATCATCTAAGCTAGGGTTGGATCCTCAGATTGGGTCCCTAGATGATGGTGCAGGAGACCTCTCCCTATCCAAAAGCTCTATCTCCATCAGTGACCCCCTAAACACACCAGCATTGGATTTTTCTCAGTTGTTTAATTTCATACCTTTAAATGGTCCTCCCTATAATCCTCTATCAGTGGGGAGCCTTGGAATGAGCTATTCCCAGGAAGAAGCACATTCTTCTGTTTCCCAGCTCCCCCCACAAACACAGGATCTTCAGGATCCTGCAAACACTATAGGGCTTGGGTCTCTGCACTCACTGTCAGCAGCTTTCACCAGCAGTTTAAGCACAAGTACCACCCTCCCACGTTTCCATCAAGCTTTTCAGTAGGATTCTGGGACATGGATTCATTACAGAAATGTATGTGTAGCTGTGCCCTAGATGACCATTTTTATTTTAGTGCCTACTTTAAAACAGTATAAAAATTTCTGCTTTTGTATAATACAAATTTTCATTAAGCCAGTATAAAATAGAAACTAGCTTTTAAACTGAGCTTTGGAACCATTTGTGTTCAGTTAAGTTTACCTGGGTATTTTGTCCTGATTCACTGCCAATTGTCACATTTTAAGACTTTTTTTTTTCCATATAGGAAAGCCATTATTAGTAGTAAACTTTTACAAATCCCATTTTCAAATTACTTTTAGATCTTAAAATTTTCATTTTTGTCTAATAACAGTGGCTCTACCTTTTGACATCTGGCTCATTAAAAAATTTAGCAATAGAATGTAAATTGTATAAAAAGTTTGTGAATAACTCAAGGGTTTAAATTTTCTTACTAGCTTCTAAATGGATTAATAATCAAGTGCTTCAAATGAATTAAGAGTCCAGTTTCGGAAGATAATAAATGTTTGTTAGATACACCATAATTTCAGATCAGTATATTCTGAAGACTCCCTGTTGTCTGGCTAAAATATTTGCCATCTTTATTATGAGCCTTTAAGGAAAACAAACCCTAAACACAAAGCATCAGTATTTATAGCAAAAAGAGACTCTGTTAGGTGACATGGCATTTCGTGTCACTTAATAGTTGGCCCTAAATTAGTACACAGGATATTTTGTCGTGTTTCATCCTTCTTAACATGCTATCTTTTCATTTAATAATAGTAATAGTGTATGGCATTGGGGTCTTCAGAGTCGATATATAGGTAGATCTCTTTAGTCTTTTCCACCTTTCACATCCAAGGGGTGGGTCAAGTGCAGCCAGCAATTTATTTTCATTGTTGGCCCACGGTTAGTCCATAATCTAGAGCCATTGTGGAACTGCAGCCATGAGGTGTGTTTATCCCACAGTGGATTGACTCAGCCTCTGTGGGTGACAGACTTCTAAGCAGGAAGATAGACGTGAAGCACATGGTTACATTTGGGAACTTGTGTAGGGATCATGGCCCCTGTAGCCAGGGTTAAAAACTGGACTTTTTAGAAGTAAAGTAAAAGCATATCGCTTATATCATTTCTTGCTGAATTTGATATGTTTTTCTTTCCCTTAAGAATCAAAAGCAGAAAACAAAAACAACAGTCCTACTCCGATGTTATCTTTCTGATTCAATGTGAATCCATCTTTCCTTGCAATATTTTGGATGGAGAATTTGAAGTTAAATGCATTAGAAAACTACCTGATGAACTACCACAAAGTTTTAAGTGACTAGAAATATATACAGTAAAATCCCACTTTCATGCATCTCTGGGAAATGATAGGAGTATTGCAAATAAGTTGAGTTTGTAGAGGGTAACAAAGTAAAGTAAAACAAACCTATCTTGGTTAACATGAAAATAACAATTGAGAATATATTATATTCACTGAATAATTATAGGCTTTTCCTCACATTAGACAACCAACATAATCTTCTTAAAGGTCTAATTAATATATTTTTCTAAGGGTCAGTTGGGACATTAACCTAAGAAACATATCTATTAAGCACTTGTTAACACCTTATTTTAGGACCCTTTCCGTTGGGGATGGGGGCAAGGGTGGGAGGTTTTTAGAAGAGTATATATCTCTTTAAAAAAAAACAGAAAGAAAAATATTTCTGAGCACTCATTAGCCCTATATGGAAACTTCTTTCCTTTTTGTAGGGCCAGTTATCACTGCAGATTGCAATGTTTACCAAGAATTTCTAAAAATGAGTGCAGATTACTGAATATAATACATTATTTAAAATATTTGGGAGTAGTATAATTTGTGGAGAAATGTAAATTGTAATAATGTAAATGGGGGCTTCAATATATATATATAATACACACACACACACACATGCACACATACCGCACTTCATAGAATCAAAGTTGCTCTCTGAAGGAGCTTTGGCTCCTGATATTTTATCATGCTCCTATATTTTTTTAATCCTTGGAGCAGTAGTTTTTATACTTATGTATTTAAATTTTATTATGAAAAATTACATTTATTAAAAAAGTGTGTTCCAAAGGCATTAAAATTATATATGTTAATAAGGAAGTACATTTTTAAATTTTTCAAACTGCTCCTAGCTTTTGATTAGGAGAATATTTTTTCTGAAAGTAGGCTTTTCGCTCTGCTTCATTACTGCTTCCTTTAGTTTCTATGAAACAGATTGCTTACCTAAATCTTTAGTTGAATGATTAGTGTTCAATATTGCTTTAATCACCATATAAAAGGAAAAAAATTGGTGACAGAGCACAAATAGAAAACCTATTTTTAAATAGAAATCACAAATAGCAAGTGTGGAAGCACTACTTTATTCTGTTTAAAATGTACTTAAGAAGTCATCAAATTAGTGAACTGAGACATTGGCCTTAGTAGGCTGTATTCACTGCTAATTTAAAAAAGGGAGTACCAGGATTTATTAAGTAAAGCATTTTGGAAATGGGGAATAGCGCCATATATGTATGTATGTGTATGTGTGTGTGTGTGTGTGTATATATACACACACACACACATACTTAAATCTTGCCCTGCATGAAATTCAAATACATGGAGGCACATCTTCAGGGCACCAGTGTTAAAATTTTGGAGTCTTAATTTTCATGTGTACACCTCTTTGCCTGTTCCCACCCCCAGACTTGAAATAACACTTCAGAGTAAGAGGGAATTCAGCTAATTTGTTTTTAAAATTGACTGTAGTGGTCACTAAACCCTTTTTGAGAGAATTTCTATTAAAGATGAGGCAGACTCGCTTATTTGAATTGCACAATGTTCTAACAAGGATGTAACACAGAATTGGCTTTTTTTTCCCTAGAAAAAGATTGTTTGTTTCTATGTCAACTAGATATGATTAAAAATAAGTATTGCCAATGCTGTTTTCATTCTCTAGTGGCCAGAATCATTATCCTTGAAATTTCTGGTAGTGCCTTAGCTTGGTTAAAAAAAAAAAAAAAAAAAAAAAAAAGGGATTAACATTAAATAAAAGTAGTTTAGAATTTGGGCCTCAGACAAGATATTGAACCTCATTCAGTTTCACTTCCACATGTATGTACAAGTTAGGTCACCAAACACGGAAGTGTGAGTGTGGAAGGATCTTGGCACTGTAAGCAATGCTATCCATTGATGTATACAAGTACCTTTATAGTTATCGATCACTGTTAAAACTTTCATTTTAAAATCCTATTACCAAGTTCAGTTTTTTAAAACTTCAATTGTCCTGGCTGATTATGCATCACTCTGTGTGCAACTTTTTTATTTCATTTAGTGTTTCTTTCAAGCTGTGTATTTTTGCCTATTTGTTGCTTGTGCTTTATTTTTCTTAGTCATTTGTGGAATATAGTGATATATTGTGTTAATTTGGACAGTAGCGGTTTTTAAAAACCATATACTGACTGAAACATGAGCCAGAGCCGATTGCTTTATTAAGCTAATAATGAATGTTAAAGAGTACATATTTTCAGGATCGTTCATCTAGTGAGCAATACACATATTATAGGCCAATATTTTTTTAAAAAATAGAGCTTGGTCAACCTCTATACTACACATATTACAAGATATAGCACTTTCAAAATGAATCTAAACCTTTACAGAAACTTTCTTATAGGTTATGCCTTTTATTTTAAGACTTATTATAATTCAAGTGCCATTAGATGATATATATGTAGGCCTTTGATATATAATGCTTTGTGTACAAAAATGGTAGATGGTATTTTAAACAGGTACATTTTTACAGTGTTTTCTTATCAATTTGCTATATTGCACAGAATCAGTGTGTGTCTTTTCATAAGGTTTTACAATGGTTTATTTTTTTACAAGGTTTACGTGTCTCAAAGCACACTGTCTTCCCAGTACGTAAGTTAAAAAATACCAGTTCACCCAAGTTGCTTCTAGCCTACTGAGATCCATGTGACATTGGAGGAGATCTTTTAAATGTTTAGTATTCGTCATTAGCAATGGCTGGCTGTTAGTTCTGGTAAATGTGTGCCTAAGTTGAATTTGTCTTGTTTTTCTCACACTGTGTCAGCAGCCATGTCTACAACACAGATAAGTCTGTTGTGATCACATAGATCTACATAAGTTGTGCAGTTTTGTGCTAAAAACCCATAGGGAGCTCCTTTGGGATCATAGAAAAGAAGATCATGCAACCAGCATTGGTGAAGGCACACTCAGATTGCACTTAGGGCCTTTCTATGATGTTGTCAACCCTCTGAGGATGGAAGGCAGTGTCTTTTGATGTTATCTAGCCTAGAAATGACACAGAACTATTGCTAATGTATAAAACACTTCATTATATAAGCTTCAGTGGTACAGATGAACCAGAATGAATGTTTATCTTCTCAGAAACACTCCTTCAATATTATATTGGATCATGCTGCTAATGTAACTTGGGCTACAACTCTTCATGGTGCTACAAACTTCTCTGTCTCATTCAGTCGTATTTTTTTATCCATAGAAAAAGGACTACATTAGGTGTAAAAGTGTACAATATATTTTTATACTGTGACTTAATTTGTCATTAACAAACTTTTACACCACCACAATGTATTCATGTGCACTTGCAAAAGGAGATCTCGGACATGCAAATGTTACCAGAACAAACCCAGCTTTTGTCCACAAGGTGACTGTAACTCAGAATGGAAAGTGGGCTTTATAATAGGGTGTGGAGTGAAGAACATGCTGTATGTTACTAACAGCCCTTTGAATTTAACAAAAACTGGGAATCCATTAGGAAACGGATTGCATCATACCTGAACATAAGCTGGACTGCTGAAATTGTATTTTTAGCTAATGAAAAAGTGTTTGGACTAGTACTCTAAAAATGTTCTAATGATAAAGTTTTGAGTCAAAATAGAAAAGAAAAAAATCTGCATTCCAGGCCGAATTTTGTATATTTTTATTGCATTTAAAATTGCTATTCTGTAATATTGGGAAATCAAGTGGCTTATCATGTATATCGTGTACTTAAAATGTATTCACAAACTACTGTTGTATTTGTATAAAATATAGACAAAGATCATATTTTTTGTGTGTGTATAAGCTCTGTAAAATAGCAATCACATTATGAAGCTGCAGTGATACTACATTTTAAACATTCACATCCAAAGAAGCAGACTATTTATTGTCCATATACCAGATTTAAAATATTAATTTGCTGCTAATTAAATAATAGTACTGCAGCTTCTTGTGGCCTACAGTGTTATGTTTGCTGTAAGAATAAGATATGTGAATTCCACAAAATATATGAATAAAATTATAGAATGGCTTTAGATAATGTAGATCTTCCTGAAATTTTAATAGATGATACTTTTCTATTTGCTATCACATTTTTTCTTCAAATTATAAGTATTTTCTCGTTTGATTAATAGTCTAATAGCTGGGTCTAGGACAATATTGTTGAAATGTAAAATCTAGGTTTTTGGTTTGTTTTAAAACTTTTGTATCTTTAGAGGAAGGATAGAAATTTTAAGTTAAAAAAGTCAAAAGGTGATGCATCAAAACTTGAATCCAGATGAGTTTAGAATTCAAAAAAGGATATTAGTTGCTTGTTTCTGGGAGATAAAATTGGTATTTAGCATTTATTTAACATTTATTGTTTGTCAGTACTAAAATTATTCTTTCAGAGTTCCCTTTGGGCTGTTTGCCTAAAATTTTGCTGAAGAAAGCTCCCTTGACAACTTGTGTGGACCAAAATGGCAATCACACACATATTTCAGCTAAAACTCATCTGCTAAATGGTCAGCAACACAGCTTCCGGGACAGGTGTTAATTCTAAAAATTCGGTTAATACCTTTCCAGGAACCAACTGTAGAAATAATTTGTTATGTATCTCATAGCACCTCTTTCAGTATAATAGGAAAAATTCTTCCTTTACCTTTTTGACTTTCCTATTTTCAGAGGGGTAAAGAAAATGAACATAAATCCAGTGTGGCAATTCCTTCCTCTTTTCACTTGTTTAATTTCTGCAAATTAATGCAGTATTTCTGTATTATTAGAATTAACACTAAATATGTTTTAAATTCATATGAAATCGTTCAAGGACTTCACAGAAGGAAAACACTTGTGCCCTTTTGCCTTTTTCAGAATATGTCTGCCATTCTTTGGAGGAGCTAGTTTTACCTTAAAGAAAATGAAAACACTTTTCTCCCTGATATACTGTTAACAGCATAGCACATAAATTCCCAGGTTCTTTCTGCTTGAGAAAAGGAGTGGGAAAAGAGCACGGTGCTTGATGGAGACTGTATCCATGAAGGAATGCACAGAATATCTTCTTTACTGTAGTCTTTGGCTGCCATTATTGCAGATGAAAATGAACAATTTTTTTATGTAAACAGGCTAACTGCGTTACTCAATAGATAGATACTTTAAATGTAAACCAATGTGTATTATAAATGCACAAGTGGAAAATTCTATAAATTTGAATCTTTTTTTTAAACAGGCAGATAGTCCCTTTGAAATAACACCTGAGTCAAGGTCTTAGGGTTTTGAGAGAATGAGAGTGGGAAGAATAAAGGCCCCTCACATAAGGTTTTCTGCTTTATGGTATTAGAATTATTGGAAAGGTATTACTTTTGGTTTATTCTATTTGTCATTAGAGAACTTTAATAATTTCTTGAGGCTCCTTTCAAAGTGTTGCTAGTGCAACTAGTAGTCTTACCGGAATAATGTTAGTAAACTGCTGTTTCTAAAAATAATTGATCTGTTATTAGGATTCACACACACCTGATATTTTTAAGCAGGTTCCTATAAACAGATTCTCATGACCTAGGAATGTTCATTGTGTAAGGAAGTTAATAACCTAAGCCATGATGCCCTATTTAAAGATTTTTAAGTTATGTCGGCTTTTCCCACCCCAGAATTAATGGTGATCAGTGGCTGTAACAAATATAAACCCTGTAAGTGTCTTGAAGACCATATTGTCTAATAACTCCAGCCAGTAAGTTCAACTCATCCCCAGCTTTCTGAGTTAAATTTTTTTTTGCAGTGGTAAAGTGCTACTTTTGTATTTTGTCATAAATTCTTTTATTGGATATGTCCATATTTATTCCTATATGCTAGCTTTATTGAGTTAGTTAGTGACCCTGAAAATGTTCCTCCATCCTTAATAGTACCTGCGCATTTCCTCCTCTGCCTTTTTCCGTCATTATCTTATGGAGTTACTCACTGTTCCTTATACTGGAGCCTGTGCTTATCTGTCCCTTCACCTCCAGTTGTTCACCATCCCTGGAATGCGGGATTTCTCCTCCTGCACGAGAATTCCACGTGCCAAAATCTTACCCATTATCCATCCTCCAACCCTTTTTTAATTATCTCTCTTCCACAAAGCCTTCTGGTCTCATTCACTGAACAGTAATTTATTTTCCCTCTAAACATATATTACAGTTGATTAGATCATCTCAGAATAATATTTTTTCTAGTACTTGAGGGTAAAACCCTATCCACATAGTTCCAAGCACAGGGTAGATAATCAAGTATTTGTTGGATGCATGACAAACAGTGCTTCCCTGAAAGACTCAGCCATTTTAAGATTTAGGAGACTTTTAAAAAACCTTTTCAAAATTTGACACTAGAAATTAATTAATAAAATAATTTTGACATGGGGTATCTCTGTTCTATGGAAAAGTTTGTTTTATACCCTGAAGAGTGTGTAATCATCCTTAAACTTCCTTTTGTTCTGGTTTTCTGCATCAGTGTGAAGAGATGCTACACGTGTACTGTCTCTTCACAAGTACATCATCACTAAATGCTTTCCCTACAATGGACCAAAACTAGGGAGCCATTGAAGATTCTAATCCTCCTTTGAACTTCAAAGGCTCATTAAGCTCTGAATTAGACGGATAAAAAGAAAAAATACACAGGTCCCAGAGACCTACAATTTGAAAGAGAATGAGACTTACCTGAAACACTGAAAGAAGTCAGTGGAGCCAGGTGTGGAAGTTATCAACCAGGTGTTGAAGCAAAAGACGAGTTCTGATACGTAAGGATTCAGAAAGTATACTTTGTATTTTTTAATTACAAATAATCCAGAGAAGCAAAAATCGAATCAATATGGACATCTCCAGAAAGCAGAAGGTAAACGTGGTGATAAGGAGTTACCAATAACTCGGTTAAATCTAAATTATTGATAATTTGCTAGTGAATAAGTATTTTTGAAAGTGATTGATGCTAATGTAATATAAATATTCTCAATGGCTATTTGATAAACATAAAAGTGGCTAGGGTTGACATATCAAGTTCCTATCTCCCCCTCCCTCTCCCTGCTCTCCCCCCCCCACCCCCAGCCCCCACCCACACAAAGGAATAAAAGACCCCTGTTAACCCTTTGGAGACATACATGGAACCACAGAACAAGGTGCTATGGAGTTCGAGTTGGAAAATCCAGTTTGGGGAGCAATTTAAAGCAAAAGTAATACAGTATTTTTCTAGTGTCCATGCCAGTTATTTCATGTTCTTGTTTTATTACATTTACTAAAACCTCCAAGAAAATACAATGGCGATAGGCATTGGTGTCTCATTCCCGACGTTAACTGAAATGAATTTTTTTTTTTTTTGATAGTTAAGATACTCTCTGATAGTTTGGGGAAAATCCAGGCGTTTCTCCTATAACATCGTTTCCTGAAGAACTTTATATTCTGTAAACACTGCGCACGAAATAACGGGGCTTACCAACGAGGAGTGCCAGAACCTGCCGGGCGGACGCCGGGCCAGGGGCTAAGAGTCTGCGGCACCTGGACCCTCCTCCCTCAGGGGGTTGGGCCGGGGCGCCCCGCTCAGGGGCGGAGCAAGGCGGTCTGGCGCCCCCACCGCAATTTTGTGCGGAGCGCAGCTCGCCCTGCATGGGCGCTCCGGCCCGGAGGCAACCTGTACCCACCAGCCTTCTCCCGCGTCCGCTGCGCCGCTTTCCCTGGCGCGCGGGTCTCGGCCGCACCTGGCTGCGGGCTCCGCGCCCCGCGCTAAGGACGCGGATGATGCGGGGCCTGCGGCTCTGGGACAGCCCGGACGGCCTAGGTGTACGACCTGGGGCGGCGTGGATGTGACGCCTGCATTCGGCCCCTCCTGTTAGGAAACCCCTTCTGAGCAGAACAGACGGCTGCCTTTATCACACGCAAGAATTACCAAGTTTGGCTGCCGACTTCTAGGAAATGCCTTTTCAGCATCTGTTGATGCGTCCACATAGGTTTTTCTACTTTTCGTTTATTGGTGTTTTCATCTTTGTTGAAACAGGTTGGCATTTTGGGAACTATCTGCTTGTTGTCGACACATTACTGGATTCTCTATGCTAATACTTTGTTTAAACATTTGACTCCATATCAATATGTGAAATCGGTACCTAGTTTCCTTTTTACTGAATTTATTAGCCTTTGGAACTCAAGTTATTTTGGCTTTAGAAAGACTGGTTGGGCGGGGAGGAGGGTGGAGGATGGGGCTGATTTTCTTGCCGTTCTGGAAGAGCTTAACTATGGGAAATTCAGCCTGCTCTATAAAAGGCGGATGGTGCTTGAGGCGCCCCTTCCTCAGGGCAGTTCCTCCTTCCCATCTTTACTCAGGCAATTGCTCACTTCAAATGCTCCAGTTGTTCTTGGATCCATTTGGGGACTTGGAATTGCCAGGAAATCGCCTATTCCCTGCAGAGTCTCACCTGTGCTGCCACAGGATTTGCATGCTGAGAGTCTTTCATCTCCACTGAAAGGAGACTCCCTTTTATGTCTGTCGCCCTTCTAGTCTGACTTCACCAAGCTGACACTCAAAAAATCTCACCATCATTTGTGATGTGAGATTTGTTTGCTTTAATTTTATGTGTGTGATAGTTTTATGTGTGTGATAGTTTACTATTGGTTTTCAATTTTCACCTAATCTAACATTCTTTGTCTTTAATGAGTTTATTCAGTTCATTCATAGTTAAGACTGATTTTATTCCTCTTACTCTGTGCTTATTACTTTAAGGATGGTTTCTCTTTTTCGTTTACCTTATTTTTCTGAGTTTGATAGAGTTGTTAATCATTCCACTTCTTCCCTTTTTTAACTTTGATGTTGCTTTGTATGTTTTAGTCTCTTTAATCACTACAGTCCCTTTTCCCCTGCTTTTTATTTTTTGTTTGTTTTGTTTTTGTGTTTTTGAGATGGAGTCTTGCTCTGTTGCCCAGGCTGGAGTGCAGTGGCGCGATCTCACTCACTGCAACCTTCCCCTCCCGGGTTCAAGCCATTCTCCTGTCTCAGCCTCCCAAGTAACTGGTATTACAGGTGAGTGCCATCACGCCTGGCTAATTTTTTGTATTTTTAGTGGAGACGGGGTTTCGCCATGTTGGCCAGGCTGGTCTCGAACTTCTGACCTCAGGTGATCAGTCTGCCTCCGCCTCCCAAAGTGCCGGGATTACAGGTGTGAGCCACCACGTCCGGCCTTCCCCTGCTTTTTAATTCTTATCACACATGACTCTTCTTTTATTTGTAGATGAAAATACGAACTATTTTCCTCCATTGAGAACGCCCCATAACACACTAATTCTTCCCTACTCCTTTTCTCTACCCTGTTCCTCACAAATGGACCCATTTACCACCCCCACCTACACACACCCCATGGCACACTCTAATATTTTGCAAGGAAACTTTAGCATTATTATTTTCCATAACTCTGGATGACCATCTAATTAAATGTATTCTGATGGCGGATTAAGTGCTATAATCTTTATTTCGTTCTTTATTATCATTTCTCTTTCTCTATTGAGATTTCCTATGTGTTCATTCAGTGAGCATGTACTTTTATGTCTTTCAGTATCACCTTCAGATCCTTTTCTGCTGATCCCAGCCATTGCTCCTTCCCAGGGTCTTCCCACGGATCACCTTTTCTCTTGTCTATGGCTCACATGTTCCTGTTCGTCGTTGTTGTTGTTGTTTTGTTTTGTTTTGTTCTGAGACGGAGTCTTGCTCCCTCACGCAGGCTGGAGTGCAGTGGCGCTATCTTGGCTCACTGCAACATCCGCCTCCCAGGTTTAAACGATTCTCCTGCCTCAGTCTCCCAAGTAGCTGCGATTACAGGTGAGTGCCACCACACCCAGCTAATTTTTGTATTTTTAGTAGAGACGGGGTTTCACCATGTTGGCCAGGCTGGTCTCGAACTCCTGACCTCAGGTGATCCACCTGCCTGGGCTTCCCAAAGTGCTTGCGATTACAGGCATGAGCCGCCTCGCCCAGACTCTGATATATAGATTCTTTTAGCCTAAATTTGGCCCCTTGGGGTCTGCCCATTGTATGGGTACAAGAGTCAGACAGAAATGTGGGCAAAGTTTATATACAGAATTTGCCTCCTGTTCTGGGTCTCTCTGCTTTCTGGGATTCTCACCTCCTCCTTCACTTTCCAGCTGCTGTTTTCCCTCCAAACTCTATTGTCTGATTTTTCAAGTCAGTAAGACTACAAAGTTCTATCTGAGATTTAGTTGCCCCGGGAGTGTGATACACTTGGAAAGTGAATTTTATTTGCCTTGGTTTATAATATCTGCATCTGAAAAACGTATGGAATCTGTTAATTCTCAGAAAAAGTTCCCAGTTTTTATGGGTTTATGGCCTTTACATACAATAGGAATGAAGGATTTTGTGTGTGTGTGTGTGTGTGTGTGTGTGTGTGTGTGTGTGTGTGTAATCTTTGTAGGTAGCAAAGATTCTGTGTGATGCCTAGGTCATATAAGTCTATGATTAACTTTATAACAAACTTTCATCCTGTCTTCCAAAATGGCTGTACCAGTTTTTTATTCCCATAAATAATGAATGAGAATTTCTGTTGCCCCACATTCTTAAGCTGTTTTGATATTGGTCTCAGGGGGTTTTAGCTAATTGTTGTTTTAATTTACATTTCCCAATAACAAATGATGTTGAGAACCTTTATATGTTTATTTTCCAACTGCATAAAACATTTTTAGTAAAATATCTGTTCAGATCCTTTGTCTATTTTTTATTGGATTAATTTTGTATTAGGTTGATTTTTTTATTGTTGAGTTTTAAGAATTCCTTATGCATTCTAGATATGAATGCTTTATCAGATAAACGATTTACAAACATTTTCTCCCAGTCTGTGGCTGGTCTTTTCATTGTTTCAACAGTATCAAAAAAAGCAAAAGTTTTCCATTTTTGTAAAGTCCAATTTATGTATTTTTTTCTTTTGTGGATTGGGCTTTTGAAATTGTATCTAAAAATTTATAACCAAACCTAAGGTCATGAAGATATTCTAGATTTTTTTCTATAGGTTGTGTATTGTTATGTTTTACATGTAGACCATGATTTAATTTTTGTATAAGATGTAAAGTATATTAGGTTTGAGGTTCGTGTGATTTGGGTTTTTTTTTTTTTTTTTTTTTTGCAAATGGATGGTCATTTGTTTTAGGACCGCTTGTTCATTTCTGGCTTTTCTATTCTGTTCTATTGATGTGTGTATTTATCACTTCACCAGTCTCACACTATCATAATTACTATAATAGTCTT
This sequence comes from Homo sapiens, assembly GCF_000001405.40. NCBI lineage: Eukaryota > Metazoa > Chordata > Mammalia > Primates > Hominidae > Homo > Homo sapiens. Next base: position 56,153,707 of record NC_000008.11, on the reverse strand, counting down.
GAAATCAGGACACATGCATCTTCCGAGTATATTTTCCTTTTTAAGAGTTGCCTTGGCTATTCCTTTGGTTCTGTGTACATTACATAGATTGTATATATTTTAGAATCTACATATTGATACCTATTAAAAAGTTTCTTTGGATTTTTATTTGGGTTGTGTTGCATATATAATTTGGGAAACATGAACACCTTTCAAATATTAAGTCTTTCAATCCATGAACTTAGTATCTTTCTTCAGTCATTTAGATCTTCTTTGTTTCATTGGTATTGTATAGTTTTCTACATACAAATCTCCCACATATATTATAAGACTTATATCTAAGTACTCCTTTAGTGTTATTGTAAATGGTATTTTTTTAAATTTCAGATTCCAGTTTCTATTGGTGATGTATAAGAATAAAATTGACTTTTGTATATTAACCTTATATCCTGTGACCTTGCTAAACTCACTTATTAGTTCCAGGTAGGGGTGTGTGTGTGTGTGTGTGTGTGTGTGTGTGTGTTTCTTGCTTTCTGCTGTATATGCCTTTTATTCCTTTTTCTTGCCTTATTGAACTAGCTAGAACTTCTAAGATGATGTTAAGTAAATGTGTTAATTAAAAACACCTTTGCCTTTTTCTGTATTTTTATAGGGAAAGTATTCAGTCTCTCACCATGAAGTATGATGTTAGTTGGAAGTTTTTCATAAACATCTTTTATTAAGTTAAGGAAATTCCTTTCAACTTCTAGTTTGTATGAGTTTTTTAAAATTATGAGTAGATGTTGAATTTTGTTGAATGTTTGTTCTTCATTCACTGATATGTTTTTTCTTATCTAGTCTACTCATATAGTGAGTTGCACTGATTGATTTTGAATGCTGAACCAGCCCTATATTCCTGAGATGAGCCCAACTTCGTTGCGCAGTATTATCCTTTTTTATGGACTACTGGATTTTATTTGCTAATATTTTGTTAGGGATTTTCATGTCTGTGTTCATGAGAGATGTTGATCTGAAGTTTTCTTGTGAATATATGAGGAAAAGTGTGTATATATGTGTGTGTGTATCTATCTCTATAGATATAGAGATATATATACATACAGATAGATATATCTCTACCAGTCCATAGTTATGCATCAGCAAATTTTAATACAACAACTCAGAGTTCAGTCTAACCTTCCCCCTTTTTAAATATTAACTCTCTTCTCCTGGTTCTTATTATCCACAATGTATTTACTTACTTACACAATTTTATAATATACATAAAAGTACTTCATAATTGCTAACCCATATCTACTCACAAGAGCAGCATAGTACTTGTTTACAGTTCTTTTGGTCTTTACCCCAAAGGCGTGTAGTCAAAATACTGTGTTCACAGTTACCCCCCATCACTTTCAGTTTAGTCATGTTATCCGTTTAAAATATAGCTGGGTTTGGGAGAGGTTCCAAGATGGCCGAATAGGAACAGCTCCAGTCTACAGCTCCCAGCATGAGCGACGCAGAGTACAGGTGATTTCCGCATTTCCAACTGAGGTACCAGGTTCATCTCACTGGGACTTGATGGACAGTGGGTGCAGCCCACGGACCATGAGCCAAAGCAGGGCAGGGCATCACCTCACTCGGGAAGTGCAAGGGGTTGGGGAATTCCCTTTCCTAGCCAAAGGAAGCCATGACAGATGGTACCTGGAAAATCGGGACACTCCCACCCTAATACTGTGCTTTTCCAATGGTCTTAGCAAATGGCACACCAGGAAATTATATCCCGCACCTAGCTCGGAGGGTCCTATGCCCATGGAGCCTCGCTCACTGCTAGCAAAGCAGTCTGAGATCGAACTGCAAGGCAGCAGCAAGGCTGCGCAAGGGGCATCTGCCATTGCTGAGGCTTGAGTAGGTAAACAAAGCGGCTCAGAAGCTCGAACTGGGTGGAGCCCACTGCAGCTCAAGGAGGCCTGCCTACCACTGTAGACTCCACTTCTAGGGGCAGGGCATAGCTGAACAAAAGGCAGCAGAAACTTCTGCAGACTTAAATATCCCTGTCTGACAGCTTTGAAGAGAGTAGTGGTTCTCCCAGCATGGAGTTTGAGATCTGAGAACGGACAGACTGCCTCCTCAAGTGGATCCCTGACCCCAGGGGAGCCTAACTGGCAGGCACCTCCCAGTAGGGACCAACTGACACCTCATACGGCTGGGTGTCCCTCTAAGACAAAGCTTCCAGAGGAAGGATCAGGCAGCAACATTTGCCATTCTGCAATATTTGCTGTTCGGCAGCCTCCGCTGGTGATAACCAGGCAAAAAGGGTCTGGAGTGGACCTCCAAAAAGGGTCTGGAGTGGACCTCCAGCAAACTCCAACAGACCTGCAGCTGAGGGTCCTGACTGTTAGAAGGAAAACTAACAAACAGAAAGGACATCCACATCAAAACCCCATCTGTACATCACCATCATCAAAGACCAAAAGTAGATAACACCACAAAGATGGGGAGAAACCAGAGCAGAAAAGCTGAAAATTCTAAACATCAGAGCGCCTCTTCTCCTCCAAAGGAATGCAGCTCCTCGCCAGCGATGGAACAAAGCTGGATGGAGAATGACTCTGAGGAGTTGAGAGAAGAAGGCTTCAAACGGTCAGTAATAACAAACTTCTCCAAGCTAAAGGAGGATGTTTGAACCCATCGCAAAGAAGCTAAAAACCTTGAAAAAAGATTAGACCAATGGCTAACTAGAATAAACAGCTTAGAGAAGACCTTAAATGACCTGATGGAGCTGAAAACCTTGGCAAGAGAACCACGTGATGCATGCACAAGCTTCAGTAGCCAATTCGATCACGTGGAAGAAAGGGTATCAGTGATTGAAGATCAAATGAATGAAATGAAGAGAGAAGAGAAGTTTAGAGAAAAAATAGTAAAAAGAAATGAACAAAGCCTCCAAGAAATATGGGACTATGTGAAAAGACCAAATCTACTTCTGATTGGTGTACCTGAAAGTGATGGGGAGAATGGAACCAAGTTGGAAAACACTCTGCAGGATGTTATCCAGGAGAACGTCCCCAACCTAGCAAGGCAGGCCAACATTCAAATTCAGGAAATACAGAGAATGCCACAAAAATACTCCTCGAGAAGAGCAACTCCAAGACACATAATTGTCAGATTCACCAAAGTTGAAATGAGGGAAAAAATGTTAAGGGCAGAGAGACAGAAAGGTCGGGTTACCCACAAAGGGAAGCCCATCAGACTAACAGCTGATCTCTCTGCAGAAACTCTACAAGCCAGAAGAGAGTGGGGGCCAATATTCAACATTCTTAAAGTAAAGAATTTGCAACCCAGAATTTCATATCCAGCCAAACTAAGCTTCATAAGTGAAGGAGAAATAAAGTCCTTTACAGACAATCAAATGCTGAGAGATTCTGCCACCACCAGGCCTGCCTTACAAGAGCTCCTGAAGGAAGCACTAAACATGGAAAGGAATAACAGGTACCAGCCACTGCAAAAACATGCCAAATTGTAAAGACCATTGATGCTAGGAAGAAACTGCACCAACTAAGGAGCAAAATAACCAGCTAACATCATAATGACAGGATCAAATTCACAAGTAACAATATTAACCTTAAATGGAAATTGGCTAAATGCTCCAATTAAAAGACACAGACTGGCTAATTGGGTAGAGTCAAGAACTGTCAGTGTGCTGTATTCAGGAGACCCATCTCACATGCAGAGAAACAGATAGGCTCAAAATAAAGGGATGTAGGAAGATCTACCAAGCAAATGGAAAACAAAAAAAAAAGCAGGGGTTGCAATCCTCATCTCTGATAAAACAGACTTTAAACCAACAAAGATCAAAAGAGACAAAGAAGGCCATTACATAATGGTAAAGGGATCAATTCAACAAGAAGAGCTAACTATCCTAAATATATATGCACCCAATACAGGAGCACCCAGATTCATAAAGCAAGTCCTTAGAGACCTACAAAGGGACTTAGACTCCCACACAATAATAATGGCAGACTTTAACACTCCACTGTCAACATTAGACAGATCAACTAGACAGAAAGTTAACAAGGATATCCAGGAATTGAACTCAGCTCTGCACCAAGCGGACCTAATAGTCATCTACAGAACTCTCCACCCCAAATCAACAGAATATACATTCTTCTAAGCACCACATCACACTTATTCCAAAATTGACCACATAGTTGGAAGTAAAGCACTCCTCAGCAAAAGTAAAAGAAGAGAAATTATAACAAACCATCTCCCAGACCACAGTGCAATCAAACTAGAACTCAGGATTAAGAAACTCACTCAAAAGAGCTCAACTACATGGAAACTGAACAACCTGCTCCTGAAGGACTACTGGGTACATACTGAAATGAAGGCAGAAATAAAGTTCTTTGAAACCTATGAGAACAAAGACACAACATACCAGAATCTCTGGGACACATTTAAAGCAGTGTGTAGAGGGAAATTTATAGCACTAAATGCCCACAAGAGAAAGCAGGAAAGATCTAAAATTGACTCCCTAACATCACAATTAAAAGAACTAGAGAAGCAAGAGCAAACACAAGCAGAAGTCAAAAAATAACTAAAATCAGAGCAGAACTGAAGGAGATAGGGACACAAAAAAAACCTTCAAAAAATCAATGAATCCAGGAGGTGGTTTTTTGAAAAGATCAACAAAATTGATAGACCTCTAGCAAGACTAATGAAGAAAAGAGAGAAGAATCAAATAGACGCAATAAAAAATGATGAAGGGGATATCACCACTGATCCCACAGAAATACAAAAACCATCAGAGAATACTATTAACACCTCTATGCAAATAAACTAGAAAATCTAGAAGAAATGGATAAATTCCTGGATACATACACCCTCCCAAGACTAAACAAGGAAGAAATTGAATCTCTGAATAGACCAATAACAGGCTCTGAAATTGAGGCAATAATTAATAGCCAACCAACCAAAAAAAGTTCAGGACCAGACGGATTCACAGCTGAATTCTACCAGAGGTACAAAGACGACTTGATACCATTTCTTCTGAAACTATTCCAATCAAAAGAAAAAGAGGGAATCCTCCCTAACTCATTTTATGAGGCCAGCATCATCCTGATACCAAAGCCTGGCAGAGACACAACCAAAAAAGAATTTTAGACCAATATCCCTGATGAACATCAATGCAAAACTCCTCAATAAAATACTCGCAAACCAAATCCAGCAGCACATCAAAAAGCTTATCCACCACTATCAAGTTGGCTTCATACCTCGGATGCAAGGCTGGTTCAACATACACAAATCAATAAACGTAATCCATCATATAAACAGAACCAGAGACAAAAACCACATGATTATCTCAATAGATGCAGAAAAGGCCTTTGACAAAATTCAACAGCCCTTCATGCTAAAACCTCTCAATAAACTAGGTATTGATGGGACATATCTCAAAATAATAAGAGCTATTTATGACAAACCAACAGCCAATATCATACTGAATGGGCAAAAACTGGAAGCATTCCCTTTGAAAACTGGCACAAGACAGGGATGCCCTCTCTCACCACTCCTATTCAACATAGTGTTGGAAGCTCTGGCCAGGGCAATCAGGCAAGAGAAAGAAATAAAGGGTATTCAAGTAGGAAAAGAGGAAGTCAAATTGTCCCTGTCTGCAGATGACATGATTGTATATTTAGAAAACCCCATCGTCTTAGCTCAAATCTCCTTAAGCTGATAAGCAACTTCAGCAAAGTCTCAGGATACAAAATCAATGTGCAAAAATCACAAGCATTCTTATACACCAACAACAGACAAACAGAGAGCCAAATCATGAGTGAACTCCCATTCACAATTGCTTCAAAGAGTATAAAATACCTAGGAATCCAACTTACAAGGGATGTGAAGGACCTCTTCAAGGAGAACTACAAACCACTGCTCAACGAAACAAAAGGACACAAAAAAAGGAAGAACCTTCCATGCTCATGGGTAGGAAGAATCAATATTGTGAAAACGGCCATACTGCCCAAGGTAATTTATAGATTCAATGCCATCCCCATCAAGCTACCAATGATTTTCTTCACAGAATTGGAAAAAACTACTTTAAAGTTCATGTGGAACCAAAAAAGAGCCTGCATTGCCAAGACAATCCTAAGCCAAAAGAACAAAGCTGGAGGGATCACGCTACCTGACTTCAAACTATACTACAAGTCTACAGTAACCAAAACAGCATGGTACTGGTACCAAAACAGAGATATAGACCCATGGAACAGAACAGAGCCCTCAGAAATAATACCACACATCTACAACCATCTGATCTTTGACAAACCTGAGAAAAACAAGCAATGGGGAAAGGATTCCCTATTTAATAAATGGTGCTGGGAAAACTGGCTAGGCATATATAGAAAGCTGAAACTGGATCTCTTCCTTATGCCTTATACAAAAATTAATTCAAGATGGATTAAAGACTTAAATGTTAGACCTAAAACCATAAAAACCCTAGAAGAAAACCTAGGCAATACCATTCAGGACATAGGCATTGGCAAGGACTTCATGACTAAAACACCAAAAGCAATGGCAACAAAAGCCAAAATTGACAAATGGGATCTAATTAAACTGAAGAGCTTCTGCACAGCAAAAGAAACTACCATCAGAGTGAACAGACAACCTACAGAATGGCAGAAAATTTTTACAATCTACCTATCTGACAAAGGGCTAATATCCAGAATCTACAAAGAACTTAAACAAATTTACAAGAAAAAATCAACCCCATCAAAAAGTGGGTGAAGGATATGAACAGACACCTCTCAAAAGAAGACATTTATGCAGCCAACAGACACATGAAAAAATGCTCATCATCACTGGCCATCAGAGAAATGCAAATCAAAACCACAACGAGATACCATCTCACACCAGTTAGAATGGCAATCATTAAAAAGTCAGGAAACAACAGGTGCTGGAGAGGATGTGGAGAAATAGGAACACTTTTACACTGTTGGTGGGACTGTAAACTAGTTCAACCATTGTGGAAGACAGTGTGGTGATTCCTCAAGGATCTAGAACTAGAAATACCATTTGACCCAGACATCCCATTACTGGGTATATACCCAAAGGATTATAAATCATGCTGCTATAAAGACACATGCACATGTATGTTTATTGTGGCACTATTCACAATAGCAAAGACTTGGAACCAACCCGAATGTCCATCAATGATAGACTGGATTAAGAAAATGTGGCACATATACACCATGGAATACTATGCAGCCATAAAAAAGGATGAGTTCATGTCCTTTGTAGGGACATGGATGAAATTGGAAATCATCATTCTCAGTAAACTATCGCAAGGACAGAAAACCAAACACTGCATGTTCTCACTCATAGATGGGAATTGAACAATGAGAACCTTGGACACAGGAAGGGGAACATCACACACCAGGGCCTGTCGTTGAGTGGGGGGAGGGCGGAGGGATAGCATTAGGAGATATACCTAATGTAAATGACGAGTTCATGGGTGCAGCACACCAACATGGCACATGTTTACATATGTAACAAACCTGTACTTTGTGCACATGTACCCTAGAACTTATAGTATAATAAAATAAATAAATAATTAAAAATAAAATTAAAATATAGCTGAGTTCATTTTTGTGTTCTACTTTTTTTAATTCCCTGCCCTCGCTGATGTTTTATTTAAGTATCTTTTCTTTAAGTATGTGAAACATTAACATGGTTCTAACATTCAGAATATATTTTTAAACTATGTCAAAGAAGTGCCACTTCTTCATCATTTTTATCCTATTCTCATACTCTCACATTTTCTCCCCACATCTTACCCATCAGCTTTGGTAAGCAATCTCATTAGTTTCCAGTCTATTCTTCCTAAATTTCTTTCTTTTTTTTTTTTTTTTTTCACAAATAAGCAAAACATATATATTTTCTTATTCCCCTCCCCTACTTTTTATACAAAAGATGTATTATGGGATATATATTGTTCTATGTTTTGCTTTTTCATGTAACAATATATCCTGGAAATCACTTCAAGTCAGTCCATAGAACTCTTCCTTGTTATTTATTTTACTGCATCATTTTATCTTCTGTGGATGTAGCATAGCTTATTTAACCACTCTCCTATGTATGGCCACTTAGATTGTTTCACATATTTTGCAACTGCAAATAATGCTGCAATTAATAACTGCATATGCATTTTCACATTGTTAGCAATGTATCTTCAGGGTAAATTCTAGATGTTGGATTGCTGAGTCAAAAGGTAAGTGCATATGTGGTTTTGTTGATTCTCCAAGTTTCCCTCCAAAATGGTTATGTGAATGTATATTCCCATTTATGTTGCTTTTAAGAAGTCATTTTTCTCTTTATACATTCCCCCAACATCTGTAGTTGTTTTCATGGAAAGGTGGGTCTAAATAAACTATTTCAGCATTGTAGGGAATAATCCCTTGTGCATCACTCTTTTTTTCTTTTTTGTTTTTTTTTTCTTTTTGAGATAGAAAAGGCTCAAAAAGCCTTTTTGCCAGGCTGGAGTGCAGTGGCACGATCTCAGCTCACTGCAACCTCTGCCTCCCAGGGTTCAAGCAATTCTCCTACCTGAGACTCCTGAGTAGCTGGGACTACTGGCACGTGCCATCACACCCGGCTAATTTTTGTATTTTTAGTAGAGACGGGGTTTCACCATGTTGGCCAAGATGGTCTCGATCTCTTGACATCATGAACCGCCCACCTCGGCCTCCCAAAGTGCTGAGATTACAGGCATGGGCCATCATGCCCGGCTGTGCGTCACTCTTAAATATGAAATCAGTCAGTGACCACTGGATGTTTCAGGCAACATTCCACATGAAGGAGACAGAGACTTAAATGGCAAAAAAGAAAAGTGGAAGCGCAGATGAAACAAAGGCAATGAGGAATAGAAAATAATTTTTAAATCTTCTCATTAATATTCTGTATAAGAAAGGATATTTTGTCCACAAAGAAAAAAACCTTATTTTTTTTAAAAAAAGCAATGTGTGTATATATGTGACATAGAGATATATGTATATATACACACACACAAGCATGCATATATGTATTTCCTAACTCTGCCATCTGAGCAGGCTTAGAAGCAGTGATAGCTAGTAGTAATGAGCACACTAAATACCCAAATCTTGGTTTCCAAGTACCATTCTCCACTAAAACATTCAGGGCTGCTTCTAGGAGTGGGGAAAGTAAAGTACAAGACAATCCTCTAACATATTGTTATACTAGAAAGTAAGGAAATCCTTAAAGAATGATGGGAGAACATGTGAAAAAGGACACAGAAGCCAACTTCAAGGGGCACCCACTGGCTTCACTTGGGCAAAAATAAATAAATAGTGATGGTAATGGATTATAACCCGTAGAATAAGACAAGAATATATGAAGCCATGGTTATAAAAATAAAATGAACAGTTAGCTGGGCACAGGGATGTGGGCACGTAATCCCAGCTACTCAGGAGGCTGAGACATGAGAATCACTTGAACCTGGGAGGTGGAGGTTGCAGTGAGCTGAGATCACGCCACTGCCCTTCAGCCAGGGCGACAGAGTGAGACTCTGTCTCAATAAATAAATAAATAAATAAATAAACAAACAAACAAACAAACAAATATGTATTGAAGTAGAATTCCAATTAATAATTGTAGAAAGAATGATGAAATTGCAAAGCCAGGAATTGGCAACTATGAATCATCAGTGGATACCAGCTAAGGGGCAAAACTATGTTGTTGAAAACCAGGTTATTTACATAAGATTAAAGTATCTCCCCACGAAACCTAGAAGTGAAATAAGAAGGCTATTAAATTCTTAACTGATAGCAAAAAAGTTATAGGTCACCTGAATAAAAGTCTAACTTGAATTATAAAAACAGACAGTCACAACCCTTCAGTCAGTTCCCAGACTCACAGAGCCAGTGTACAGGCCCAGAACCACTTGAATGAAGAGGCTGAGTCTCCTTGAAGAAGGACCCCAGACACTGCCAAGAATTTATATTGTTAATCTTTTTCCCAGCCTTCCCTAAAAAGACCTATGGCCTTCTATCAGGGTAACTGTGCATGAGGGAAAGGAAATAATTAGACTTTCCAGAGACTACCAGACACTGGCTTTGAGCTGACACTAATTTCAGGTAACCCAATATGTCACTATACTCCACCAGTCAGAGTATAGGCTTAGGTCCAGTGATCAATGGAGTTTTAGCTCAAGTCCAACTCACAGTTGGCTCAGTGTGTCACTGAACCCATGCTGTGGTTGTGTCACAGGATCCTTGGGGTGTTGCTTCGCCAGCCAGAAACCTCTGTGGCTGGTGGTGCCTTTGCCCGAGTTTTGCTCAGGCCCACTGGGCTCATTCCACCCACTCAGCCTGGCAGGCTGCACTTGGCTTGTGCTACCAGCCCAGATTCCATGACTGCCAAAGGTGAGCCAGGCACAGAGTGGCAAGGGGTGTGTGAGTGAGCGTGGGGTCTGGCCACTGCACACAGCCAGGCATGCCGGCTGCAGTGAGGTGGGCAGGTCCAGGCACTGGCACAGGTGCCGGCTCCATGCGAGGCTGCAGTTGGACCAAGCGTACTGCAAGTGGCTTCCACTGTGGGCACCAGGGAACATGGTGGTGCCCAGAAGCTTGGAGATGCCAGGAACTGCAGAGCCCCAAAGAGGGTATCACAATACTGGCCCAAGGAGCTCCTAGGTCTGGGCTCCTTGATGTCCTGCAGCTCTTCTCTCATTCTTGTCACCTGCAACATGGCGAGTGATGGGGTGTGTTTCAGCCCTGTTTGTGTTACAGCTTTTTCAGTCCTGTCATTTGGCATGTCCCAAGTTCTTATCCTGCATCCAGGAAGAATGAGGGATGCAGAAAACTGGAGGGTAAGCAAAGCAAAGAGATTCTTTATTGAGCAACATTAAAGCTCTCAGGGGACCTGGAATGCATAGCTCCTATCTGCAGGCAAGTCATCCCAACGAGTGTCAGCTCTCAGCAGAGAGGAGACCCAGAGTGGGTAGCTCCTACCCACAGGGAGGGTCCTGACCAATGTGCAGCCCTCAGCAGAGAGGAGACCTGGAGTGGGTAGCTTCTATCTGCAGGCAGGTCATCATGTTGTCTCTGTGAGTATGACTGAGTCTAGGGTTTTTATAGGGTTCAGAAGGGAGGAAGTGCAGCTGATTTGTCCATGGGCAGCCATGGGTGGGCCCAGAAGAAGCACCATAAGTTCTCACTCCAGGCTGCAGACTGCACTCAGAACTGAAAGCCCAACCCCCATGATTCAGGTGGTCTCTGGCTTGAAGGGACTTCACCAGAGACCTGCCTCCTTCCGCCCAGGAGCCTGCCTGCCTCCTGCCACCATCTACACGTCATCCATGACACCCAGGCTGTTCGGGCCAAGGGGCACCTGCAGGCCTGTGCACACCCACCGTCAGCACCCCCTTGGCCTCCCTCCTGAGCTCGTTAGTGATCAACGTCTGGAGAAGGCTGAGGCGGCAGGGGGCTGGCGTGTCAGTGCCACCCCAAGTGTGTGCACACCTAGCCAGGTCAGACAGCATCCAGGGCTCAGCCAGAACTTTACTCCAAAATTGGAGCTGGCACCAGGAGCGGGGAGAGGCCAAGCCGCAGGACCAGGCACTTCTAAGCCTGTGGGGAAGGGGGGTTTCCTGGGCCCCAGAGAGTACAGGGATGCCCAGTATGCAGCCATGGCTGAGAGGCTGCAGCTGCACCAAGAAGGGCAGTGCTCTCACCTGCTAACTTGGAAGGGGGTGGGGCTTCCACCTGTTCCCGGGTCCCTGTGGCTCCATGGAGCATGCAGCCCTAGCTGGGCCTGCCCTGCTGCAGCCAGTGTCATGGCAGCAGCTGCTCTAGACAGGCTGCTGCTGCCATCAGGTGTACCTCTGTTCTGGAAGGCGTAATTGAAATAGATATACTCAGCAGTTGGCAGAATCCCCACATTAGTTCCCTAACCTGTGTAGTGAGGGTTATTATTGTGGGAAAGACCAAATGGAAGCCATTAGAGCTGACTTTAGCTAGGAAAATAGTAAATCAAAAACAATACCACATCTCTGGTGGGACTGCAGAGACGGTGCCACCATCAAGGACTTGAAAACTGCAGAGTGAAAGACTGCTGCCTGGCCACTGGGGATCTCCTTGCCTCTGAATCAATAGGCAAAAAGGGGAGTTACTGATCTGGCTACAGTGATTGATCCCGATTACTAAAGGGAATTTGGACTACTACTCCGCAATAGAGCTAAGGGAGAAAATGTCTGGAATACAGGAGATACCTTAGGGCTTCTTTAGTATGACCATGCCCTGTGATTAAGGTCAATGTAAAATTACAACAACCCAATACAGGCAGCACTGCTAATGGCCCAGACCCTTCAGGAATGAAGCCTTGGTTCACCCCACCAGGTAAAGAATCACAACCAGCCAAAGTGCTTGCTGAAGGCACAGGGAATACAGAATGGGTAGCGGTATTTGTAAGTAGTTACAAATACCAGCTACAATCATGTGATCAGTTACAGAAATGGGATTGTAATTATGAGTACTCCTCCTTATCTTGCTATGAATATGTTTGTGTGCATTAACATACATATACACATATATGCAAATACCTTTGCTTTATCCCCTTTCTAATTCCCTTATGTAACATAACATGAATTAACTTTATATCATAATATTTAAATGTAGTTAAGTATTTCAATTATAGTATTTAAGTTATGAGATATCAGGAGAAGGGTAAACATCATTCTAGGATTTTACCTCATCTTCTGGGGAAGGGGTTAGTGTGTTTCTGCTGGTATGCAGGATAGCTGTATCCTTTTAGGCAGAATTATCACTTTGTTATTATATTTATTTGGAAATAAGCATGGTTTGAGGAGATGTATATGGGTGCCCAGGTTGACAAGGGGCAGACTTGTGATGGTTAATTTTGTATATCAACTTGACTGGGCCATGAGATGCCCAATTATTTGGTTAAACATTATTTCTGGATGTGTCTGCGAGGATGTTTTTGGGTAAGATTAACATTTGAATTGATAGACTGAAGAAACAGATTGTCCTCCCAATCGTGGGTGAGCCTCATCCAATCCATTGAAGACCTGAATAGAATAAAAGGATGAGTAAGAAAGAATTCTTTCTCTCTGCCTGACTGACTTTGAGCTGGGACAATGGGCTTCTTCTCCCTTTGTACTCAACCAGACTCAGACTGGAACTTACACCATTGACTCTCCTGGGTCTCCAGTTTGACAACTGCAGATCTTGCAATTCTCAGCTTCCATAATCACATCAGTCAATTCCTTATGGCAGAGAGGGGTGTGTGTGTTTGTGTATTCCTGCTGGTTCTATCTGGAAAACCCAGACTAATATATATGTGAAACATAAAGCTTAAGTACCAGTGTGAATGCAAATGTAATAAATGAGTTGCATTTCCCTATAAAAAGACATACACTGTCATAATGGATTATTTTAACTTAGCCAGTTGTTTACAAGAACCACACTTAAAGCCAAGAGATAAAATAAGATTTAAAATAAATGGATATTCCTGTTCTAATATCCAGAAGATTAGTAAGAAACAAAGAAGGAATTAGATTGTGGACATAAAAAGAAGTGACTACTGATAAGGAAGAAACATGTTGGAGAAAAAAACAAGCTTTCAAGTCTGTAATTTTACATTTTTTTAACCACATGGGAACCAGTGGAAGTTGTGCTAGGGGCATTTTGTCATGTGCCTGCATGCAACTATAATTTTATTGTGATTTAAGAACAATTTTAAAATCCTGGCTCCCCTCCTATTAAACATAGTATTGGAAGTTCTGGCCATGGTTATCAAGCAAAAGAAAGAAATAAAGTGTATTCAGATAGGAAGAGAGGAAGTCAAATTATGTTTATCTGCCGATGACATGATCCTATATCTAGAAAACCCCATTGTCTCAGCCCAAAAGCTTCTTAAGCTGATAAGTAACTTCAGCAAAGTCTCAGGATACAAAAATCAATGTGCAAAAATCGCTAGCATTCCTATACATCAACAACAGACATGCAGAGAGCCAAATCATGAATAAACTCCCATTTATAATTGCTACAAACAGAGTATAATACTTAGGAATACACCTAACAAAGGAAGTGAAGGACCTCTTCAAGGAGAATGACAAACCGTTGCTCAAGGAAATCAGAGAGGACCCACAAAAAAAATGGGAAAACATTCCATGCTCATGGATAGGAAGAATTAATATCATGAAAATGGCCATAGTGCCCAAAGTAATTTATAGATTCAATGCTATTCCCATTTAACTACCATTGACATTCTTCATGGAGTTAGAAAAAAACTATTTTAAAATTCATATGGAACCAAAAAAGAGCCCGTATAGCCAGGTCAATCCTAAACAAAAAGAACAAAGCTGGGGGCATCACCCTACCTGACTTCAAAGTATACTACAAGGCTACAGTAAACAAAACAGCGTTGTACTGGTACAAAAACAGACAAATAGACCAATGGAACAGAATAAAACACTCATAAATAAGACTGCATACCTACAACCATCTGATCTTCGACATACCTGACAAAAACAAGCAATGGGGAAATGATTCCCTCTTTAATAAATATTGCTGAACGAACTGTCTAGCCATATGCAGAAAATTGAAACTGGAACCCCTCCTTATACCTTATACAAAAATTCACTCAAGATGGATTAAAGACTTAAATGTAAAACCCAAAGCAATACAAACCCTAGAAGAAACCCTAGGCAATACCATTCAGGATATAGGCATGGGCAAAGATTTCATGACAAAAACACCAAAAGCAATTACAACAAAAGCAAAAACTGACAAATGAGATCTAATTAAACTAAAGAGCTTCTTCACAGCAAAAGAAACTATCATCAGAGTAAATAGACAACCTACGGAATGGGAGAAAATTTTTGCAATCTATCAATCTGAAAAAGGTCTAACATCCAGAGTCTACTAGGAACTTAAACAAATTTACAAGAAAAAAAAATCCCATTAAAAAGTGGGCAAAGGACACGAACAGACACTTCTCAAAAGAAGACATTCATGCAGCCAACCAACATGAAAAAAAGTTCTAGAGAAATTTCTCATTAGAGATAGATATGCAAATCAAAACAATAATGAGATACCATCTCATGCCAGTCAGAATGATGATTATTAAAAACTCAAGAAACAACAGATGCTGTCGCGGTGCAGAGAAAAAGGAAATCTTTTATACTGTTAGTGGGGATGTAAATTACTCCAACCATTGTGGAAGACAGTGTCGTGATTCCTCAAAGATCTAGAAGCAGAAATACCATTTGACCCAGCAATCCCATTACTAGATATATACCTAAAGGAATATAATTCATTGTATTATAAAAATACATGCACATGTATGTTTATTGTAGCACTATTCACAATAGCAAAGACATGGAATCAATCCAAATGCCCATCAGTGATAGACTGGATAAAGAAACTGTGGTACATTTACACCCTGGAATACCACGCAGCAATAAAAAGGAATGAGATCGTGTCCTTTGCAGGGACATGAATGGAGCTGGAAGCCATTATCCTCAGGAAATTAACAAAGGAACAGAAAACCAGACACTGCATGTTCTCACTTATAAGTGGGAGCTGAAGGATGAGAACACATGGACATACGGGGAGGGAACAGCACACACTGGGCCCTGTCGGGGCTGCAGGGCAAGGGACAGCATCAGGAAGAATAGCTAATGGATGCTTGGCTTAATACCTAGGTGATGGGTTGATCTGTGCAGCAAATCACCATGGCACACGTTTACCTATGTAACAAACCTGCACATCCCGCATATGTACCCCGGAACTTAAAATAAACATTGATGTAAAAAAAAAAAAGTGCTGCCTTCCCACCTCAGCCCCCAACCAGAGTATTTCTTATTTGATGCTTCACAGTAGCTTGTTTTCTTGAAACACTGTGTATGTTTTTAGATAACAATAGTAGGAAAATAAAAATAAACATACTTTTCACTCTATACTTTATGGGTTCCAAAATAATAATGGCATAAATATTCTATCTGGTATTGGCAATGAAAACGGGCAGGTGTGTGATATAGTTATGTTGGAATAGTAGATACAGCCCACTGCTAATGACTAAATTGGTTAGAATCATAATCTAGATGATAGATAGATAGATAGATAGATAGATAGATAGATAGATAATGGATAGATAGATAATGGATAGATTGATGATTGATTGATAGATAGATAATTAATAGATAATAGATCTGATCTGCCCAGAAATGTATAATTGAAGTCAGAGAACAACAACTTAGGCATGTCCACAGACCCAGTGGCAGAATGAACAATATTTGTTACATGTGTAGTTCTTTATGATTTACAAAACTCTCCCAGCCATTATCTTCTTTCAGCCTTATAAAAGACAGAGCATATTTTATTATCCTCATTTACCTTCTCTAGTAAGGCATTTTTTCTTTTTTTCTTACTAGAGATATAAGGCTTAGGAAAAAAGTGAATACTACGATAAATGAATACTAGGAAAAAGACATCACAATCACAAATTATTAATATCAGAAAACAGATTTAAGATTAAATATTCAAAAAGAAACACATGGATACAAATAACATTAAATGAACAATGTTTAAAGCAAATATAATAAACTTGGCAAGGTGCAATGGCTCACATCTATAATCCTAGCAATTTGGGAGGCTGAGGCAGGTGAATCACTTGTGCTCAGGAGTTTGAGACCAACCTGGGCAACATGGTAAAACCCTGTCTCTACAAAAAACCAAAAATTAGCTGGGCATGTGCCTATTGTCCCAGGTACTTGGGGGGCTGAGGCAGGAGGATCCCTCGAACCCAGGAGGTCAAGGCTAAAGTGAGCTGAGGATGCGCCACTGTCCAGCCTGGGGGACAAGGTGAGGCCCTGTCTCAATAAATAAATAAATAGGAAAATATAATAAACTTAAATTTAAAAACATGACAGGTAAATATATAAATGGAAATTATTAGAAATGCAAAAACTTAATTCTAAAAATTATATTAGAATGAGGGAGTTTAATAAATCTTTCAGAATTAGATATAAAAGACAAAAATAAGAAAGGACATAATGTAATCAAACGTGTGTAGTTATTAGATAAATCTTTGTCATTTGAAAAAGGAATACATACACACCCATATGTGTGTCCAGGTATTACAAAATTCCTTATTCATTTGGTCATAAACACATTTGGAGAAGTATACATTTTAGGGACACATTCTCTTAACAAATATAAATAAATAATCAAAATATGACTTTAAAAATTACGTAAGTATTTGAAAACTAAGAAACATCCTCCAAAATATTCCTTAAAGAAGAATTCCAAACTGAAATTACAAACTACCTTAAAAAAGCACAATGAAAAGGAGGCTGTCATACCAGAACCTCTGAGTCAAAGAAGTTGTTCTGGAAAAAAAAATCATTGTTTGACATTTCTTCATTATTAAAGAAGAAAGACAGAAAATATAGGCACTTTCTGTTTATCTAAGGAGGAAATGGTAGGCATCCTCCAAACTCCATTCTCTCCTTTTACCACAGTGAAAGAATAGTAGGTGGGTCGTGGTGTGTGTAGCTGATGCCCAACTACACTGCAGTCCCCAGATTCCCTTGCAGCTAGATGTGGCCATGTGACATAGTTTCACCAGTAAAATGTGAGTGGAAGGCTGTGTACCACTTCTTGGTACAGTGGACATGACTTCTCCACATTTCCTTTTCTCTCCCCACAAGCTGAAAACAGCCAGGACATGTTGGTGACCCAGTTTTGATTATGCAGACTGGACACTGCCTTACAGCAGCATCAGCAAGCTCTTTCGAAAATGGCCAGAGGGAAAATAATTTCGTTTTTGTGGGCCATAACTACTCAACTCTGCCATAACTCTCTGCCATAACTACTCAGCTCTGCCATTATAGATCAAAAGCATCCACAGGCAGTATGTAAACAAATTAGCGTGGTTGCATTCCAATAAAACTTTATTTGCAAAACAAGCCACAGGTAGAATTTGTCTGCATGCTGTAGAGTGCTAATCCCTACCTTAGAGAGTGGCAGCATCATCCTGTTTGCCTGTGTTCCTGAAATAAATATGTAGAATAGATCACCTACCCCTCCTGGACTGTTCCATGAAAAAAGAAATAAAGACGTTTTGGGATCCTCTTTCTACAGCAATTTAGTCTTCATCATAACTAATACATAACCTTAAGAAATTAGGGAAAAAAGACAATAAAATGAATCTGAATAAATTAAATAGATAAAAATAACGTGAATTCAATGAGGTAAAAATACAACAAAAAATAAATGCAAAATTAATTCATTAAACAAAAAAATGATAAAGTAGAAAACTCATGTTGAGCCTTATAAAAAAGAGATTTAAAAAAGATAGAGTAAAAGAATTATAAGAGACTACTAAATCTATGGAAATTATTTTGGAAATGTAGAGGACACTGATAGTTTTTGAGCAAAGTATTAATTACCCAAGGAGTAGAAAATTGAACTAAATTACTACAGACAAGAAAGGAAAAGTGATTTAAAAATCTATTATTTTAAAAAACCAGGACCCCATGGATAAAACTTACAGCTGAGTTCCATTTAAACGTGCAAGGGCATGTATTCATTCATTCCACAAATATGTACTGAGTGGTTACCACCAGCCAGGCACAATTCTGGTCCTGGTGAAAAAGCAGTGAACAGAACCCAGGGTTCCCACCCACATAGAGATTACATTTTACTGGAGGGGGACAGACAATAAAGAAACAAATAAATACATGATACATACTGTGATGATAAATGCTGTAGACAAAGACAAAGCAAGGTGTGAGAGAAAATAAATATTCCTAATGATAGTAAGTTTCTCTAATAACACATCTTTGCATGTGATTGTCATCTGTACATCCTCATGCATGAAATGTCTCTTTTTGTCTTTTGCCTATTTAGATTGAGTTTTTTTTTAACTGCTAAGCTTTGAGAGTTCTTAATATATTCCTTAGACTAGTTCTTTGTTGGATATGTGGTTTGAAAATATGTGGTGTGTGGATATGTGTTTTCTCCCAGTCTGTAATTTATATTTTCACCCTCTTAACAAGGTCTTTTGTAGAGCAAACATTTTAAGTTTTTATGAAGTCTAATTTATTAACTTTTTCTTTTGTGGATCATGTTTTTGGTGTCCAGTCTAAGAAATTTTGGCGTAACATTAGTTCTTGCAGATTTATCTTATTATTTCTTTCCCTAAAAGTTTTATAGTTTTACATTTTATATTAAGTCCTTGATCCATTTTAAGTTAATTTTTGTATAAAATGTGAAACTCAGGGAAAGATTTCTTTTTTTGCCTATAGATGTCCAATTGCTCCAGAAATCATTCACTGAAAAGGTAGTCTTTCCTGGGTTTGTTTGTTTGTTTGTTTGAGATGGAGTTTTGCTCTTGTTTCCCAGATGGAGTGCAGTGGCGCGACCTTGGCTCATCGCAACCTCTGTCTCCTGGGTTCAAGTGATTCTCCTGCCTCAGCCTCCTGAGTAGCTGGAATTACAGGCATGCGCCACCACACCCAGCTAGTTTTGTAGTTTTAGTAGAGACAGGGTTTCGCCATGTTGGTCAGGCTGGTCTAGAACTCCTGACCTCAGGTGATCCGCCCACCTCAGCCTTCCAAAGTGCTGAGATTACAGGCGTGAGCCACCGCACCCAGCCATCTTTCCTGTTTTTAATTACTTGTGAATCTTTGTCAAAAATCATTTGGGCACATTTGTGTGGATATCTTTCCGGGTTCCCTATTCTGCTTTATTCATCTATGTGTTTATCCCTCTGCCAATACTACACAATCTTAATTGGTATAGCTATAAAATCAGTCTTGAGATGGAGTAGACAGATTCCTCTCATTCTTATTCTTGCCTTTCAGAATTGTCTTAGCTCTTCTGATTTCTTTGCAGTCCCATCTAAATTTAAAATATTGTTGTCTATGTCTGCAAAAAAGTCTTGCTGGAATTATGTTACACCTGAATATCCATTTGGGAATTGAAATATTTACTATAGAGTCTTCCAATCCATGAACCGTGGTATGTCTCACCATTTATTTAGGTCTTCTTTGATTTCTTTCATCAGTGATTTGTAGTTTTGTAGTACATAGTATACAAGTTCTGTACTTTTTTTTTAGATTTACACTTTAGTATTTTTTAATGATTGTAAGTGGGACCGTATTTTTAATTTTGGTGTGCACATGCTCATTGGTAATTACCAATGAACAATTGAAGTGCAATTGATTATTTTATGTTTATCTTGTATCATGTGACCTTGCTAAACTCACTTATTAGCTCTAGGGTTTATTTTTATTTTTTGTAAGTTTCGAGGGGATTTCTATATATCTAAGTATGTCATTAGCAAATAGGAACAATTTTGTTTCTTCCTATATGATCTTTTTGACTTATTTTCTTTTCTTGCTTTACTGCGCTGGCTACAACTTCTCATGCTATGTTGAATAAGAGTGTTAAGAGCAGACATCCTTGTATTGTTCTTGATCACAAGGGGAACATATTCAGCTTTTACCATTAAGTATGCCATTCAGTGTAGGTTTTTATAAATACCCTGTATCAATTTGAAGATATTCCCCTTCTATTGCTAGTTTTTAAAGAGTTAATCATGAATGGGTGTTGGATTTTTCAAATAGTTCTTCTACATCAATTGCTATGCTGATTATGCACTTGTACCACCTAAATCTTTTTTTTTTAATGGTCTATTAATGATATGGCATGTAAAATTGAGAGACCTTATCCATTCCCCTCACCCTGCACTGTAGTGATCAGGAAGAAATCAGGAAATCACTATGGATAGAGCTTTGCACTCAGAACAGGGGCCTAAAATAGATGAGTGCATTGTTCCTAAGTGCACAATGCATTGGCCAGCTTGCTGGTTCTCATACTGGACTTGATGAGTAACACAAGGGGCTACGCTTATGGCTGGGCTGAGGAGGGCAAAGCTAGAGCTGCCTTCATGTTTCTAGAGCTGCCTAAATGTGTCCCCTTCATTTAAATTTCAAATGAATGTCCGAAGGTATTTCTGGGGCACCTGTCAAATTCCAGCAGTTAATGGAAAGGTGATTGGGGCTATTAGCTATCTAGAATTGTTGGTTTGTTTAGATGAAAACCAATTTTGGCACAATAAGTCCAAATACTAAGAAGCTCAATCCCTGCAGGTGGGAGAAGAGAATGTACAGTTGTCTCTAGAAAACAGCAGTTCTAACATTTATGAAACACATGGGTGTTAATGCCACTCCATTGACTGAGATCAGACCCTGAAAAAATGCCGTGGTCACCACTTGCTCCTGAGTTCTATTAATTACAGGAAATTTATGATTTAATAGCAATTATAAGAGATACAAAAGGATTATTTCCCAATTCTTAAACCTCTCAGCAACTTCACTTAAATCATCAAACAAAGGCTGCGAAGACTCTAAACACAGCAGTGCATACTCCTGGGGGCCACCTCTGCTCCCCACTGTGGCCTCCTGGACCCTCTGGAGTAAGGTGGGGAAGGGACTCCGCAGACACTCAGGGCACTGTCTGTTGAGTGCAAGTCCCAGATTTAGCCTCCCTTACTCTGTAAGTGCTTATTCTCCATATGGACATCAGATTTAAGGGGTTCTATAGGAGCTCTTCCGAACTGAGATGAGGAAGGAGAATGAAGAGAAACTGCATTCACTCAATTAGAATTGCGAGACTCCCAAATGAGACTTCCTGTCCTTTTGTTGTTGTTGTTGTTAAAGACAGGGTCTCACTCTGTCACCTAGGCTGCAGTGCAGTGGTGTGATCATAGCTCACTGCAACCTCAAACTCCTGGGCTCAAGCCTGGCATGCCCTAGTCTCCTGAGTAGCTAGGACTACAGGTGCATGCCACCATACCTGGCTAATTTTTTTTACTTCCTTTTTTTTTTTTTTGAGACGGGATCTCGCTGTGTCATGCAGGCTGGAGGGCAATGGCACAATCTCGGCTCACTGCAACTTCTGCTTTCCCAGCTCAAGCGATCCTCCCACCTCAGCCTCCTGAGTAGCTGGGACCACAGGCACATGCCACCACACTCGGCTCATTTTTGTATTTTTTTTTGTAGAGACAGGGTTTCACTATGTTGGCCAGACTGGTCTTGAACTCCTGACCTCAAGTAATCTGCCATTTTTATTTTATTTTATTTTTTGTAGAACCAGGGTCTCACTACACTGCTCAGGCTGGTCTTAAACACCTGGCTTCAAGCGATCCTCCCACCTTGGCCTTCCAAGTGTTGGGATTATAGGTGTGAGCCACCGTGACCAGCAGAATTCCTAATCTTTTGGGGGCCATTATCTATCTATTCCCAGTTGTGTGAGGTCATGTATCAGCATGGAATGTAAGTAACAGGACGGCTAACTAACTTTGATTTAAGCAATAAAGGCAATCAATTATTTAATATTACTGGAAATATGGAAGTAGGCAGTCAGAGCTGTCAGAATACTTGTCACCTTAGTGTGCCACTTCCTGGTTGGAAGGTTTTCGCAGCTTCAGGCGGCATATCTACATCCAGGGCAGGAAGCTGGAGGGTGTAGCTGTCCCAGAAGTGGCCTGGAAGATTATCCTACATCTCTCTCATTTGCCACAAATGGGTCCTTTGACTACCATTAGCTGCAAGAGTAGCTGCAAAATAAATAGGTAAATAAAAATGGGTACGTAGCTTTTTCAAGCTCCTAGACAGAGGCAGGCAAGAGGGTTGGAAATGAGTGTGTGGTTGTGCAGCTCACAGTGCCTGCCTTTGGGTGCATTTTCAAATGTGGACCTACAATTTTGTAGGTCCACACCTACACATATTTTGTTACATTAATCTTTATGTTCATGCTTTCTGATGCTATTGTAAATTAATTGCTAGTATACTGCCCTTGTATCCTGCTGCCCTGCTAAACTCATTTATTATTTCTAGAAGATGTTTTGTAGATTTCGTGAGATTGTTTATATATACATGATTATTTTTTCCAAGAATAAAGAAAGTTTTACTTCTTTCTTTCCAATCTCTATGACTTTTTTTCTTTGCCTTATTTTGCACTGCATAGGTGATCCAGTATTATGTTGATTTAAAGATTGAAAGCAGACATTTTTGCCTTGTTCTCAATCTTTGGATGAAATAATTCAGTCTTTTACTATTAAGCATGATGTTAGCTCCAGGTGTTTTTCAGATGCCCTTTATCAGGTTGAGGGAGTTGCCTTTTATTACTAGTTTGCTTAGACATCTTAAATGGATTTAAATGTTATGTGCTTTTTTTTGCATCTATTAAAATGACAATAGTTTGTCCCCTTTATTCATTAACTTAGTGACTTAATTAGTTGACTTTTTAAAGTTAATTCAACCTTGGATTTCTGGAATAAACTCTACTTGATTACAATATAGTATCTTTTGTATATATTACTAAATTTAATTTGTTAATACCTTTTTTTTTTTGAGATAGTGTCTCGCTTTGTTGCTCAGGCTGGAGTGCAGTGGCGCGATCGCAGCTCACTGCAACCTCCGCCTCCTGGGTTCAAGTGATTCTCCTGCCTCAGTCTCCTGAGTAGCTGGGATTACAGGCATGCACCACCATTCTCTGCTACAGAGACAGGGTTTCACCATGTTGGTCAGGCTGGTCTCGAACTCCTGACCTTGTGATCCACCCGCCTTGGCCTTCCAAAGTGCTGGGATTACGGGTGAGAGCCACCAAGCCCAGCCTGTTAATACTTTTTTAAAAATTGTGTTTATGTTCATGAGAAATATTGCACTGTACCTGCCTTCCTTCTTCTCCATCTCCTGCTTCCCTTTCTCCTCCTCTTCCTCTTCCTTCTTCCCCTTCTTCTTTGCAATGTCCTTGTTTGCTTTTGATATTAGAATGATGCTATTTCTTAAAATGAGTTAGAAAAATGGATACGCCTCTATTTTCTGAAAGACTATGAATAAGATTGGTATTATTTTTTCCTTAAATATTTAATACAATTAACCTGTGAAGCCTTATGGTCCTAGAGTATTCTTTATAAAAATATCTTTAATTATAAATAAAAATTATTTAACAAATGTAAGGCTATTCAATTTTTTATTTCTTCTGTAGTCAGTTTTGGTAATTTTTTTTTTTTTTTTTTTTTTTTTTTGAGACAGAGTCTTGCTCTGTCGCCCAGGCTGGAGTACAGTGGCACGATCTCAGATCACTGCAACCTCCACCTCCCAGGTTCAAGCAATTCTTCTGGCTCAGCCTCCCAAGTAGCTGGGATTACAGGCATGTAATCCACCATACCCGGCTAATTTTTTTGTAATTTTTAGTAGAGATGGTATTTCACCATGTTGGCCAGGCTTGTCTCAAACTCCTGACTTCAGGTGATCCTCGCACTTCAGCCCTGCAAAGTGCTGGGATTACAGGTGTGAGCCACTGCACCTGGCCCAGTTTTGGTAATTTTTTTCTAAAGGAATGTGTCCATTTTACTTAAATTGTCAAATATATTAGCATCAAGTTGTTCATACTATTTCTTTAATATCCTTTTAAGGTCTTAGGCTCTATAGTGATATGCTCTTATTCATACCAAATATTCATAATTTGTGTTTACTTTCAATTTTTCTTGAGCAGTCTAGCTAGAAGTTTATCAATTTTACTGATTTTTAAAAATAAAGCAACTTCTTTGTTTCATTTACTTTTTCTATTGGTTACCTTCCATTATTTACTCTATTTCTAGTTTAAGATGAAAACTTACATGAATTACTTTAGACTTCTTTTTCTAATATAAACACTTAAAGCTATAAGCTTTTCACTAAGCACTGCTTTAGCTACCTACCAAAAATTTTTGATATATCAAGTTTTCATTTTTATTCAGTTAAAAATATTTTATAACATTCTTTGTGATTTCTTCTTAAATTCATTAATTATTTGGAAGTTAATGATCTAATTTCCACATATTTAGGGAGCTTCCAGATATCTTCCTCTTAATTAATTTAACTTCATTGTGATGTGAGGAGCACTCTGTTTGATATTAATCCTTTTAAATCTAGTGACACTGGTTTTATGGCTTGTCTTGGTAAATGTTCCATGCAAACTTAAAAAGAATATGTAGTTTGTCAGTTTTTGGGTCAAGTCTGATCAGAGTTGTGATGATTAACTTTATGTATAATATCTTAGCTTGCTGGGCCACAGTGTCCAGATACTAGGTCAAATGTTAGTCTGGATGCTTCTGTGGGAAACATCACTTTTGTTTTCTATGAAATTAACATTTGAATCAGTGGACTTTGAATTAAGCAGATCACCCTTCATAACGTGAGTAGGCTGATGTATCCAGTTAGCTGAAGGCCTTAATAGAACAAACACTAGCCTCCTCCAAGCAAGAAAGAGTTTTGCCAGGAAACTGCCTGTGGACCTGACAACTCTTCCCTGAGTCTCCAGCCTGCCAGCCTACCCTACAGATTTTGGACTTGTCAAGCCCCTACAATTATAAGTCAATTCCTTAAATGTTGACAGATGATAGATAGATAGATAGATGATAGATAGATAGATAGATTGACAGATCAATCCTGTTGATTCTGTTTCTCTGGAGAACTCTAACACAAGTGTTGTTCCCCTTTTCTGTATAACTGACATTTTTTGTCTGCTTGTTTTACCAATCACTGAAGGAAGAGTGTTTATCTTCAACTATAATTATAGATAGTATCTTTCTGTTTCATCTTTTTTGCTTTATTAATTTTGAAGCTCTATCATGCCCATTTAGGATTACTACGTTCCTTGATTCCTTTACCATTCTGAAGTATCCTTCTTAATTCCTAGTAAAAGTTCTATTTTAAGTTATGCTTTTTCTTGCTGTTAATATAGCCCTTCCAACTTTCTTTTCATTAGTCTTTAACTAGTATTTTATCATTTTCTATTCTTTTACTTTTGCTTTATAGGGATATTTATATTTAACTTAGTTTTCTTATAAACAAAATATAGTTGGGTTTACCTATTTTTATTCAGTCCAACAATCTCTGCCTTTTAATTGGACTGTTTAGACCACTTATGTTTAATTTAATTATTGACAGGTTTGGGTTTAAATATATCATCTAACTATTACCTTTCTATATATTATATAGATATTTTGTTCCTTTTTTCCCCACCCTTTTTTGGGTTTATTAAGTTTTGGGATTTTTTTTAACCTCCACTCTTGGATTATTAGCTATACCTCCTAGTTTTACTGTTTTAATGGTTCTTCTAAGGTTTCAATATATATCCTTAACTTACGATAGTCTACCTTCATAAAATACTATGTTACTTCAGTTATAATGTGAACCTTAGAACAACAGGCTTCCATTTTCCCTTCCTTTCCTTTGTGCCATTGTCATCATGCTTTCTACATATGCTTCAAATCCAACAATGCATTATTATTATTACTACTACTACTATTTTAAATATTCAATTGTCTTCTAGAGACAGTTGAAAAATAAGAAAAATCTTTTACTTTAGCCCATATTTACCATTTCCAATATTCTTTATTGCTCTGTATGTGTCCAGGTTTCTATCTGGTATCATTTCTCTTTTTGTATTTTTGATAGTGCAGGTCTATAGGCGACAAATTATCTCAGTTTCCATTTGCCTGAAAAACTCTCTTTCATCTTCATTTCTAAACAATATTTTTGCTAGATAAAAAATGGTAGGTCGATGCTTATTTTTTCTCTCTCAACAGTTTAAATATTATTTCATTATCTCCAGCTTGATGAGAAGTCTGTGAAAGCAGAAGAAAATTATATTAATTATATCAAACCTTACTGCAGCCCCAGCTGAAACCCTGATTGCAGTGTTTTGAGAGTCCCTGAGCCAGAGGGCCTAGCTAAACTGAACGTAGATTCCTGACCAAATGGAAATAATGAGATAATAAACGTTAAATCAAACCCACTAAGTTTAGGGATAATTTGTTTTGCCAAAATAGATATCTAATTCAGAGAATATCCTAAAATCTTCCACACAAAAAAAAGTTAGTTACATGCAGAGTACCAGGAGGCAAGCATTAGACTTCTCCATAGATGTTCTTAAAATTGTGAGAGAAAATTAATTTCAATATACAATTTGGACCAAATTATTAATCAAATGTCAGAGTAAAACACATTATCAGGCATGTAGGGACTGGAACAAATGATCTCCCATGTATTCTTTTTCAGGAAGCTACTGAAGGATGTATTTCACCAAAATAAGAAAATAGGCCGGGCATGCTGGCTCATGCCTGTAATCCCAATACTTCGGGAGGCCGAGGTGGGCAGATGGCCTGAGCTCAGGAGTTTGAGATCAGCCTGAGCAACATAGTGAGACCCCATATCTACAAAAAATACAAAAATTAGCTGGGTGTGATGGCACGAGCATGTAGTCCCAGCTACTCGGGAGGCTGAGGTGGGAGAATCACTTGAGCCCAGGAAGTTGAGGCTGCAGTGAACCCAGTTCACGCCACTACGCTCCAGCCTGAGTAACAAAGTGAGATCTTGTCTCAAATAAATAAATAAATAAATAGAAAGAAAATAAATCAGATGAGAGGAAGGCATGGGATTCAGGAAAAAGTGAATCCAAACCAAGAGAATTCTAGGAATAAAAGTAAAGGGAGGCCAGGCACGGTGGCTCACGTCTGTAATCCCAGCACTTTGGGAAGCTCAGGTGGGCGGGTTACTTGAGGTCAGAAGTTCAAGGCCAGTCTAGCCAACATGGTGAAACCCTGTCTCTATTAAAAATACAAAAATTAGCCGGGCTTGGTGGCATGTACCTGTAATCCCAGCTACTTGGGAGGCTGAGGTGGGAGAATTGCTTGAACCCAGGAGTCAGAGGTTGCAATGAGCTGAGATCGTGCCACTGCACTCTAGCCTGGGCAACAGAGTGAGAGTCTGTCTCAAAAAAATAAATAAATAAAACAAAATTTTAAAAAGTAAAGAGAAAACCCAAAACGGTAACTAAGTAGTAGGCATAACAGCCATCAACTTTGGAATAGGAGAGCTACAAAAGTGTATGCCAAAACAGAAGGTAAATACCCAAACATCCATCTCAAAAATTTGAAAATAGTTGCCTCTGGGTGACAGGAGCTAGGTGAGAAAGGGAGATGGTGGTGAGCAGGAGGTTCCTATCTCACCTACCTATAGGGAAATTTTTGTTTTTTTTTTATTTTTGAGATGGAGTCTCGCTCTGTAGCCCAGGCTGGGGTGCAGTGGCTCAATCTCAGCTCACTGCAACTTCCACCTCCCGGGTCAAGCAATTCTCCTGCCTCAGCCTCCTGAGTAGCTGGGATTACAGGAATGCGCCTCCATGGCCAGCTAATTTTTGTATTTTTAGTAGAGATGGAGTTTCACCATGTTGGCCAGGCTGGTCTTGAACTCCTGACCTCGTGATCCACCCACCTTGGCCTCCCAAAGTGCTGGGGTTACAGCTGTGAGCCACTGCACTTGGCCCCTATGGGGAAATTCTATCTCAATCCCAATCAGGTCTTCCCCACACTCGCTATTTATCCAAAGATAATTTATTTCCTGGATCACAGAACTGATGTGTCCATGAAGAGCTCTAACTTTATGCGGAATTAGTCTTAAGAGTTCAAACATTGTTTGTTCTGCCTTATTTTACAATCATTTTATTCTCAGACAAGCATACTCCTAAGGGCACTGTTTCTTCATTGCTGTAGAATATTCCAGCAACTGAGACACATTGCACCAATCATGATAACCAAGAGAAATGGAATATGATGATCAGCCAGGCCTGAAGACCCTAAGAAGTGAAAAGAACCTCCACAGCCACTGGAACTTATGGAGCCATGAGTGTGCAATTTGACTAAATCGTGCTGACACTCCAAGCAAGCCGCACAGGCCTGGTGCATTACCTGTCATCACAGGGTCACTCTCCCCTTCCCAGGAGTGATGTAAGAACGATTTATTATAGTCCCGAGGGGAAAAAGAAACTATCCTTGAATGGGTGGAGAGTAAATTTTGGGAGGGACTGTAACTGGGTTATTCAAAACTAGAGTCTTTGGAATCCTCTATTCTTTTTCTTGAGACAGGGTCTCACTTTGTCACCCAGGCTGGAGTGCAGTGGCAAGATCTCGGCTCACTGCAGCCTCAACCTCCTGGGCTCAAGCAATCCTCCCACCTCAGTCTCCTTAGTAGCTAGGACTATAGGTGTGTGCCACCACGGCAGGCAATTTTTTTTTTTAACTTTTAGTAGAGACGGGGTGTTTGTTGCCCAGGCTGGTCTCAAACTCTGGGGCTCAAGTGATCCTATCGCCTCAGCCTCCCAAAGTTTTGGGATTACAGGCTTGAGCCACCACGCCCCGCCAGAATCCTCTATTGTAACCGAAACAATCAGCATGAAATAGCACGAGGGGCTTAGAGGACTGAGACCCATTACAGCTGAATGCAGGAATTAGGTATCCTGGGGTAGCTTAAACCTCCACTCCCCTCTATTGCTCTAGTCTTTGCCAGAGGTGCATCCCCTGGTAAATGCAGAGGACATTCGTTGCCTTTGGCTGCACATTTAGAGAAATTACTTCCCTCCAAATGTTCATGGTCTGGTTGAAATAGTATTTTTAGGTGCCTGCCTCCCAAAAAAGGAGGCAAAATGATGTACCAGTGTACCTATCGGTACACTGGTACAGCCAGGAAGTCAGAAAATGAACAAAATTGGCCTGTGGGTTGCTTCCTTTGAAGACTAAAGGAAGGGCTGAAGAATCAATCCAGTGGTGGTATTCTGGCCTAGCTTTCTGCTGGGACCACTGCCATAGCTCCTGCTTCCTAGTTCTCTAGGAACTAACTTCTTGCCTACTTTGGAGTATGGTTCTTAAGGTTCCTATTGGGTCTGTAATCCTCCAGAATCTTTCCAATAAATTTCTTTGCTTAAGTTAGGTTCTACTACTTCTTGGAACCTAAGAGCTCTAATTAATACAGTGGTTAACTGTGGACTGTAGTAAATTGAATGCAGCTATTCCTGTTCTGTCAATGCTATGCCTAATTTTGTTTCTATATTGAAAAATTGTCATAAGTAATTCTCAGTTTTCATGAGCTCTTTTAGGGATCAGGCTAATACAGTCTTCTCTCTCCCTGTTAACACCACTAACAACAATATGTTGATGTACCTACTCCAGCTTGATGTCATCATGTAGTGCAATGGAATTTAAACCGATGGCCTAAACTAGAGCCAAATATTATAATTACCCATTACATGGTAATATACTGATTAGGGAGGATAGGAACATGGAAGAGAAGGCGTGGGTTATTTAATAAAACAAACCAAGGAGTAGAGAAGTGTAAGTTAAAAGCACAGGAAACAATTAACAAGGGACAATACAATGTAAAACCCAAGTTATTCAAAATGGTGACTAATTTTGAATAATTTCCTATATTTCTTCTAGTGTTTCCCTGCCCCTACTTTTTTGTTTTGTTTTGTTTTGTTTTTTGAGATGGCATCTCGCTCTCTCGCCCAGGGTGGAGTGCAGTGGCGTGATCTCAGCTCACTGCAACCTCCACCTCCCGGGTTCAAGCAATTCTGCCTCAGCCTCCCGAGTAGCTGGGACTACAGGCACACACCACCATGCCTGGATAATTTTTTTGTATTTTTAGTAGGGATGGGGTTTCACCGTGTTAGCCAGGATGGTCTTGATCTCCTGACCTCGTGATCCGTCCACCTTGGGCTCCCAAAGTGCTGGTATTACAGGCATGAGGCAGCAGCCTGGTCCCCTACTTCTTCTGACACTGGCTGCTGTTAAAATCTGGAGTTGCAGTCCTACTTCACCTGGATCGACAAGGTTGCTCAATACACGAACTCAACACTGATCCTTTTGGTGGAAAAAATGACACTAGCTGCAATATGTCTGCTGTCTCCTGTGGGGCCATCTGGGGCAAATTACTGCCCTTTCCCCACCATGCTTGGGTTGGGCCCAATGTGAGGACCAATATGGACTCAAGTTATTATAACATCTGGTTATATAATAGGACATAGTCAATGGGCAAGAGCTGCATCAATATTCAATGGTGGAAGGGACCGAGCCATTCTGTTTTGGTAACTGGCAACTCACTTTTTCTGAAAATAAGTGTCAATGATAATTGGGATATATAAACCTCAAGTCAGCCTCCCGCTGACCATTCCATGGATTGTTAAGAATTACACTGTGGTGAGCTAATAAATACAAAAGCCTAAAGCAAATGTTACTGTGAATAACGGGAATATTTAGTAAGTATCCACTGGTCTGAGTGGAGGAGCAAGGATTTTGCATGATGATTATCCCACTCCCCACTCCCAGAAGCCCTGCAGCCCCACTTGAGGCAGGTGCCCCTCCCCACATACTTCACTGCTTCCCAGGGATCTCCTGCACAGAGAAAAGCGACTCTCAGTTATATTCTGGGTTACTCAGTAAATGGGTTATGAAAGTCATTAAATTAATTTCTCATATTTATTACATACACACACAAAAATATCAACAGAGCAAACAAAACTTAAGATTCTAAGAAGGCTGGGGAGTTGAGCCACTGGTGTGTCCGTGCTTCTCTATCTCCTCTTCCTGTGTACAGATTAGGATGTGACAGAGTCTTAATTTAAAGTTTGAAACTATAATCCTAATTTCCATGAGAATTTGTAGTAGTAGGGAACCTGAGCTCAGCAAAGGAGGCTGCGGACGAGCCTCCAGTCTTTGGTGAGCCTCTTGTCTTCCTGTGGACTTCACCTCCTCACCTGCCTTTGCTATCCTGGGTTACCATGTTTAGACTCAACTCTAGCTCAGCACCCTCTGGTCTTGGGTAGGTATCAAAAATTAAATCTTTTTGTCTAGCCTTGGTTTCACACCCCCTCCCTTATATCTTTCCTATAACATCCAATAAGAGGATATCCTGCTTTCCTCCTTAGCCCAGATCGACTCGCCATGGGCACCACCATGTCTAAATGTCAGCAGGGCACTTCCAGCCTTCCTCAGTTTGTAACGGACCATTATAGTGCATGGTCTTTTAAATCTGCAATAGGCGCACCAGGGGTGACCCCAAATTTTAATTTCGCCTTTATGGGTCCTGGAACTATGGTATCCTGCAGCATTTAAAGGAGGACCAGGGAAGTCACCATGCCAACTAGATTGTTTCATGTATACATGGAAAGATTAGGTTCTGACACAAGTTGCCAAGAAAGTAACCAAAACCTCACTAAAGATGTTGAGAGAACCACTGGGAAGTCCTGTCAATTTCCTGTTCAAGTGTGACCCACTAAGACCACACCCCGCCTCCCATCTCACAACAGCTAAAGACCGAATAATTGACTTCCTCCTCCTTCTCTGCCCCCAGAGTCACCCAAAATCGTCTTGAGTAGAGTTCCAACAAGTGTCCTGATGTTCCATTTTCAAAGATGCCAACCGGAGATGCCCAGAGCTTTGCTATAAAGTGCCTCTTAATCGCATATAAAATTCAGCCTCACCAAGATTCAAGTCACATTCCGAGTGTCCCGGTGTGCTAGGGCACTTGCAGAGAATCTGCTGGTCTTGATTCACTGGTGGGGGCAATCGGTGCCCAGATTAGGAACATGCCCTGCCTGGGGTTTTAGACAGCGGGCTGGCAGTCATCTTTCCTCACACCTATCAGGCAGATGGTACCTGCCATGGTGTATTGTAAAGTATTAAAAAAATAAAAAAATTAAAAAGAACAAAGAAAAATTCAGCCTCAAACCATTAGCACTGCAATCCTCAAGCCATTAAGAAGGCACATCCTAGAAATAATTAGAATATTTTCCATCTAGAAAAGGCAGAATATGGCTGGGCATTGTGGCTCACACCTATAATCCCAGTATTTTGGAAAGCCAAGGCAGGTGGATCACTTGAGGTCAGGAGTTCGAGACCAGCCTGATTAACATGGTGAAACCCCATCTCTACTAAAAATACAAAATTAGCTGAGCATGGTGGTGCACACTTGTAATCCCAGCTACTTGGAAGGCTGAGGCAGGAGAATTGCTTGAATCCAGGAGGCGGAGGTTGTAGTGAGCCGAGATCATGCCATTGCATTCCAACCTAGGCAACAAGAGTGAAACTCCGCCTAAAGAAAAAAAAAAAAGAAAGAAAGAAAAGGCAGAATATTTGAATATTTCAGAATGGCTGAAAATAAAGTTAAGTCTCTTTTCAGATAAGTCTAGGCTGCAGAAGGCCAGGAGAGAAAGCAATTGTTTGTATTTCAAAAAAAAATCTTGGTCGACTAAGAGGCATTAAGAAGATACATTCTATATACATAAAGAGAAACTAGAGAAAAAGGAAAATTAAAGATCTGGGGACTAGGTTATGATAAAATCAGCTTAGAGAATCACTTGGATTTATGCATTGTAAACTTTGGTATAATATAATAATATGTTGGTAGGAAATGTTATATATTATAAAAGGAAGCTCAAAGAAGAGAGAGAATAAATTTTAAAGGCTTTAATATCATTACTATTTACTAAATTAAATTGTAATGAAATACATGAAGCTGTGTGGGTTCTAACATTGCCAGAAATTGAATAGTAGAAGATAGAATTGGGTGCCATCCAGAACTTGTGCATATGAACCTTCTGTGTGTAATGTTGCACCTGGTCACTACGTAAGGATCAGATAATGGCTAAATGAAATTTTCATACATAACTGGGGAAATTCGTTTGCTTGATTTTCCCTTCACCCACATCTCATAAGGTAGACTCTGAGAACAGTTTTCTACCATACTCAAAGGTTTATTATCACAAAAGAAAAAAACCTCTTGGCTGAAAACTGCCACCTTCTAGGAAAACTGCCAGCTAGTTATACTGACAACCTCCCAGAACTGAAAACAAATTAATCATACATGGTTTATATAAGACAAAGCCACACAGAATGAGCTATGAGGAGTGACTCTACAAGAAAATAATTTGATTACACATCTTAGTGGCATACAGTATAAGGATAAAAACAACTGCAAAGAAATCTTAAATTTTATTTAATAATTTTATCAGATAAATTAGTAATTAGATTAATTTTGTTTGGAATCAAGCTTTCAAGTATAAGGAAAGAGAAGGAAAATAATAAAATTTAAATGCTTTAATTGGGAATCATACTGTCAGAACTGAATTAGAAATATCAATAGAAATCCATGCTTTTTAAAAGAAAAAAGAGTATATGTTTTCCAATTCTGTCAGCTAAAATGAACTAATAACAAGGGCTTAGGAGAATGAACCTAATGTGTGCACTTAATGCTGAGATTATGGCATCTTTCCAGGATACCCTGGAGAAATGACTGATTCCAGGAGCCATTATGAGCCTGAGGCAACTTGCTGTATGTACCAAGAGGCAAGAAATAATTCATAGTAATGGGACTGTGTCAAAAGAACAAAACAGGGCCCCCCATTGGCCAAAGTGTGTCAATTTGAGCAGCAAAAATAATAATTATTGCAGTTGATTAAATCACATTGAATCTATGAGAGGCCACGAGTCCATAATGATACGCATGAGAAAATTTTGCTTAAAATTGAGTAAAGATGGTGAATTGAATAGAGTATATTACTTTTGGATCCTTTATTCAAACATCCTATTATTTTGACACATTTATCAGTGAAAAATACAGAATTTAGTAAATATTAAATACAAAGTTAGAAAGCATTTTCTGAGGCGGGGCGTGGTAGCTCATGCCTGTAATCTCAGCACTTTGGGAGGCCGAAGTGGGAGGAAAGCTTGAGCACAGGGAGGTGGAGGCTGTAGTGAACTGTGATCGCGCCACTCCACTCCAGCCTAGAAGACAGAGTGTGAGACGCTGTCTCAAAAAACAAACAAAACAAAACAAAAACAAGCAAGCAAACATAGTCTGGCTTGAGGGAAGATGCCAGTATGTGATCATAAATTGGACAAAATCATTCAAGACAGCCGCATTTTAATCAGATCAAATTTCAAAATTTCAAATATCTATAAGCATTTTATGTTCTTAAAAACATGAGAAACTTGCAAGATATCATTAAATTCAAAGGTTTCCAAAACCAGTTTGAAACACATTTGTATGTCTTAAAACCTTTTGTGAAGTTTAGCTGTATTTAGACAAGTAAAATTTTATTTACGTATCTCCAGAGTCAAAATACAAAACCCAAGCGATCAGGGCAAAGTGGAAGCAACCAACCCCAACCTCCCCGCATGGAAACAGATAGTGTGCGCTGGTCACATCCAGGGACGTGCTCCATGCAATCCACAAACTAAGATCTGCCCCGACCATATTATATGGACCATATAAAAATTAAAGTAGCTGTATATGTACTTTACTGACATAGAAACAAGTCTATGTTATATTGCTAAGTATAAAATTCAAATTTTAGAATGTCAATAGTATAATCCCACTGAAGTAAAAAAAAATTGATATGTTTTTCAAGTTTGAGTCTATAATCTTTGTATGGGAATTTTTAGTAAAGCGTATATATTCATCTACAGCTTAACTTTTTAGTCTTAAAAAAGGCAAAAGTGAAATTTCGACGATGAAATCCACGGTTGTAACCAGCAATACCACACTTGCACGGTTGCAATACTCGCGCTCTTCGCACTGTAACCTCTGGAATCCACTGTAACCTCTCGAATCCGCTGTCACCCGAGATCTCTTAACCTGGCGGTCCCCTGCCAGGACTCGGGCGGCCGTCAAGAGTGCGCAGGCGCAAGCGCGGCCGCCGTCGGTGGGGTTTTATGTGCTGTTGAGACTGCTGTTGAGCTTCTGGGCCTTTTTAAGACTGCCTTCCAAAAGACGACGTGATGACTCTAAAGAGAAAGGAAAATTTGTTGCGTACGCAGAAGGGCAGGCTGGGCGCACTCTGAGCGTCTTTCGGGGACCGACGGCCTCGCCCACGTGCTTCCGGGCACCAGCGCGCCCAAAGCCCGTGCACTAGGAAACGCACAAAAGCACCAGCGGGCGAGCCCGAGGGCGAGCCCACGGGTAGCCAGGAGGCGGCGAGGGCGGCTTGTCTTCCAGAGACTGGGGAATCAAGAAAGGCAGAGCCACCTCCTCGGCCCCAGCGCAGCAAGTGCAGGAGGCAGGGAGGGCGCAGCGCCCCGCCGTCCACGGTACCCGTGGAACCCGGTGCGCGCCCCGGGAGCTGGGGCGGCTCAGGCCCAGCGTGCCCAGAAAGCCAACCACGTTGGTCAGGAGGACGTTCTCCCACTATCCGCGATCCTCAGGCTCTGATTAAAGTCAAATTAAAAGGAGCTATCCGTTCCGGTATCTGTTGTTACTCTTGTGATAAATATGGTGTTTGATACGAAAGTATCTTAATAGTCATGCTGCCAATCAAAGAACAAAACACGTAAAGCCTGTGCGCTAAGAACACGAGAGCATTTCGCTCCTCAGGAGGTGCAGTTTATCTTGTCTCCTTTGTTTCATATATAATTCCAAGGAGAATTCCTTGTTATCAACACATTTTGCTCTTTGCCTTTGGGGGATGACATAGGCATATTGCATTTGATCAGATTAGTGTTAACCTTCCACCCACGTTTTTACTACATGCTGTACCATTAATACAGCAGGATTTTATACCTTTAACCGCAAAATTCAAGAGCAGAAAAATACTCAAATTGTATGTTAGTTTAACATGAAAACGAGTTATTTCAGCCCTGATAGGATACTTTTAAACCAATACTACCTAACAAATATGTTTCTTATTCGTATAAGCCCATACACATGGTTTTTTAAATGAGTTTTATAAATAATAATTAGCATTGAGGCCCTGATCTAAGTATTTGAAACTCTGTTACTCTTCACAACAATCCTGAGATGGGCATATTTTCCTCATTTTGCAGATAAGGAAACAGGCACTGGGATGGTAAGAAACCCAGGCCATCTGGCCCCTAATAGCCTTTTACCACCATGCTAAAGCTTTACCCATTTTTGAGATCCAAAATATTACATAGTGCACACATATTTGGTAACCAAATCAGGATTAAACATTAAAGTTAAGGGCCAAGCACAGTGCCCTGTAATCCTAGCATTTTGGGAAGCTGAGGCGGGCAGATCGCTTGACCTCAGGAGTTCAAGACCAGCCTGGAAAACATGGTGAAACCCCATCTCAACAAAAAAATACAAAAATAGTTGGGTGTGGTGGTGTGTGCCTGTGGTCCCAGCTACTTGGGAGGCTGAGGTGGGAGGATCGCTTGAGCCAAGGAGGCAGAGGTTGCAGTGAACCAAGATCACACCACTGCACTCCAGCCTGGGTGACATAGTGAGACGCTGTCTCAAAAAGAAAAAAGCAAAATTAAAGTAAGAACATAATAAGAAATATGTTTGGCACTGTGTTACGGGGAGAAAAAATCAATAGGGAGATAAATCCTGCTTTCAGGGTAAGTGCAATTTGCTGAGTAAAAGAAATATTTTAAGATACCTTAAAAAAGAAAACAAAGGCTGTTGTAAATTGGATATTCAATTAAATATTCTTGGGCAGATTGGCAGATGATAGATCTAATGAACTTGGGGTTTATAAATACACAGAATGCCACATTTTCACTAATACCTTATGTTTTGGGTAAAGAGTAAAACCAACTTTGAAAATGAATTGTGTATGCAATTATCTTAAAAATAAAGATTATATAATAAGTCACATTATCTTGCATTATGTGTAATATCTAGGGGGTTAAGGCACTCTCATTCTGCTAATATTCACAGCACTCCTATTATATAACCATTTCAGAGCCCTGAATTATAATCCTAACTAGGTGACAGTTACTGAGTAAATTTTGCAATGTAGATTTATTATAGAATATAATTGTATTACTTTTTCTCTATTCATTGGCATCCTTTTATATTTGGGGTTTGACACAATTGCACACAACAATCTTTCTACTAAAATATTCCATAGAGTTGGCCAGGCATGGTGGCTCACGCCTGTAATCCTAGCACTTTGGGAGGCTGAGGCAGGTGGATCACCTGGGGTCAGGAGTTTGAGACCAGCCTGGCCAACATGGTGAAACCCCATCTCTACTAAAAATACAAAAGTTAGCTGGGCATGGTGGCATGCGCCTGTAATCCCAGCTACTCGGGAGGCTGAGGCGGGAGAATCGCTTGAACCCAGGTGGCGGAGGTTGCAGTGAGCGGAGATCGTGCCATTGCACTCCAGCCTGGGCAACAAGAGCGAAACTCTGTCTCAAAAAAAAAAAAAAGATTGAGGCTCAAGCAGGTTAAATATTATACACACACTAGATCACATACTAAGCCACACAGGTTGTATAGAATAGAAATCCTATTCCAGGGCTTCACAGACCTCAAATTGTTTCTGTAAATGGTTCATGTTTATTAATTTACCTTCTCAAAGTCAATATACTTCAAAAACAGAACTGCTATCATTAAAATGTGGTTACACATAACCTAACACATAAGTGCTTTAGAAGAAGGGAACTTTACCATTTGATTTTTTAAAATATAGATCCTAACACTTTTGTGTGTGTGTGTTTTCTCATGAATATGGTAATATTATTGGTCCTTTTTCCAAAGATATGGTATGAAATTAATTTTTTGCTTAGAGTCAGGATCTTGCTCCATCATCCAGCCTGGTGTGCAGTGGCACGATCATAGCTCACTATAGCCTCAAACTCCTCAGTTCAAGTCTCCTCCCGCCCCAGCCTCCAAAGTAGCTAGGACTATAGGAGTGCACCACCACACTCAGCTAACTTTATTATTATTTTTTGTAGAGGCAGGTCTCAAATTCTTGGCCTCAAGTGGCCCTTCCACCTTAGCCTCCCAAAGCACTGGTATTATAGGCATAACTCACTGCACTTGGTAGAAAATTAATTTTCATTATAAAAATCAGAAAGAAAGATCTTATTGTCTGATGGCCAATACCCTGAATTTCATTCCAACTTCTGGTTTTCTACATTATATGTAGGTACCAGTGATTTTGTGCCATTTTTATTTCTTCAGATTTTTCCTCTTCTACAATTCTCCCATATGTGTTATTATTTGAAGCCCTGATCACAGCTCTGAATCATTTCTATTCTTTTGTCTCCCCCAACTCTGGTTCAAAACTTCGGTAACTCATTTGCTACGAAGTCTAGAATCTCTCTTGCAAGTGAGCTGACCGGTTGGGCCAAATCGCCTTGGAAGGGAAGGATTGTTAGGAAGTCAGTATGTTGCTAAGATGTCTTGCTAATTTGCTGTGTAAGCTGCATAGAGTGTCAGGGGATTCTCCTTTCCACTGATGAATTTAGGTGTGTGTTATGACCTGTATCAGTGATTCTATTTGGATTGATTAAGGTTGCAATTTTTTATCCATATGAATGTTGCACCTAGTTTTTCCCTGTAATTGGTTAAACAAATGTCTGCTGTTTGCATTTTAACTCTTAGCCAATACCTGCTGGAAGTGATTTAATGCAGCTGGAGAATGACACTAACAATCATTACAGCCTGCAAAGTGTGAAACAATTTCATTGTGCTTTGTGGTCTCTTTAGTCTGAGGACTGATAATGTGCAGCGGATGAGACTTGAAAAAAACGTATTTTATTATAATTTAAGAAATAATGTAAAAGAGGGGTGAGTTCTGAGGCAGCTCCATGCTGTTTGTCTGGCATGAGCTTGTTTTTATAAGAATTCACTTCAAGTGTGGAAGGGAAATGCTTTCATCTGAAAGGGATAGCTGTGCTTCATTCCGGTTTCTCCCTCCATCTGATAAAAACTCTTGCTGAGTGACAGCACAGATGTAGCTCATTTGGAACAAGTGAAGGAAAAGGAGAAAAGGGATGAGGTGGAGCGAAGGAGTAGTCAGTCATGTTTCCAAAGTCCCGCGGTTTCCCCTAGTCTCTTCATTCACTCCAGCGGCCCTGGTGTCCCCCTGCAAAGTGCGATGCCCTCGCCCCTGGCCCTACGCCCCTACCTCCGGAGCGAGTTTTCCCCATCGGTGGACGCGCGGCCCTGCAGCAGTCCCTCAGAGCTACCTGCGAAGCTGCTTCTGGGGGCCACTCTTCCTCGGGCCCCGCGGCTGCCGCGCCGGCTGGCCTGGTGCTCCATTGACTGGGAGCAGGTGTGCTTGCTGCAGAGGCTGGGAGCTGGAGGGTTTGGCTCGGTGTACAAGGCGACTTACCGCGGTGTTCCTGTGGCCATAAAGCAAGTGAACAAGTGCACCAAGAACCGACTAGCATCTCGGCGGAGTTTCTGGGCTGAGCTCAACGTAGCAAGGCTGCGCCACGATAACATCGTGCGCGTGGTGGCTGCCAGCACGCGCACGCCCGCAGGGTCCAATAGCCTAGGGACCATCATCATGGAGTTCGGTGGCAACGTCACTTTACACCAAGTCATCTATGGCGCCGCCGGCCACCCTGAGGGGGACGCAGGGGAGCCTCACTGCCGCACTGGAGGACAGTTAAGTTTGGGAAAGTGTCTCAAGTACTCACTAGATGTTGTGAACGGCCTGCTCTTCCTCCACTCGCAAAGCATTGTGCACTTGGACCTGAAGCCCGCGAACATCTTGATCAGTGAGCAGGATGTCTGTAAAATTAGTGACTTCGGTTGCTCTGAGAAGTTGGAAGATCTGCTGTGCTTCCAGACACCCTCTTACCCTCTAGGAGGCACATACACCCACCGCGCCCCGGAGCTCCTGAAAGGAGAGGGCGTGACGCCTAAAGCCGACATTTATTCCTTTGCCATCACTCTCTGGCAAATGACTACCAAGCAGGCGCCGTATTCGGGGGAGCGGCAGCACATACTGTACGCGGTGGTGGCCTACGACCTGCGCCCGTCCCTCTCCGCTGCCGTCTTCGAGGACTCGCTCCCCGGGCAGCGCCTTGGGGACGTCATCCAGCGCTGCTGGAGACCCAGCGCGGCGCAGAGGCCGAGCGCGCGGCTGCTTTTGGTGGATCTCACCTCTTTGAAAGCTGAACTCGGCTGACTGAAAACCTGGTCAAGATAAGTTTTTGTCTGATTCTATTTGTTTTTAAAGGAAGTGGAGATGTCGAAGAAAACATATTTGTAGGATGGAGTTTTAGAAAATAAAGTTACTAAAAACTCCTTTAGTCTCCAGTGCTTTTTCTAGGACACATTAGCAAAGCTACAAGTCTAGTACCTGTTGTCTCAGTACTGTTAGTAACTAATCTTATTCATATAGTCATGTGCTTTGCTTTCCATTGCTAGTATTTCATTTATTTAAATTTGTTATTGATAAAAGTTTGTCCAAAATAGAACTCCACTGCAGAAATGTCAAAATTTTCTATAAATCCATATATATCCCATACCTACCACATAAATTCCAACTATTAATGGTGTAGTTGCTCCCACACCAAATCAGTAAAAACTTTTAAAAAAATAAGTAATGCTTTCCTACTACTCCCCCCAGTAAAACTTCTTGTTTGTAATGACCTTCACTCATAAAAGTCATACACTGAGGTACATTTACATTCAAAGGAATTATATCATAAATGACTTATTGTAATATCTTTAACTTGTGCATTGCAATGAGTAGAAACATTTTGCTAAAACACTTCTAAACTGGGTCATTTTTACCTGGTATTGGGACTCAGAAGTAGAAGATAAAGATTATATGATGTGAGAGGAAAATGTAGGAGTAGAAGGTAAAGATTATATGATGTCAGGAATCATGAAATTTAACATTTGGATGGAAGAGAACAGACAAATAGAACTAGATTGCCCACTCTAGACATCAAAACAATGGATGTTGGTACATAGGATTTAAAGGAGAAGGTGATTGGATTTTGTCATTGGGACAGCTTTGACTTTCTTTTAGCAATAGCAGTTTCTGTGCATGGTGGAAAGCAAGGCTGATGCAATGGCTGGCAGAGGGAATGGCAAGGCCCTGAAGCAGAGGCTGTGCATGCACTGTTAAGGAGGGAGAGGCAGGAAGCTTAAAAGGGGGTCAGAGACACAGAAATGTTTTCAGATTTTTTATCTGGTATCATTTAGTTTTAGGTTGAAAGAAATAATTTTATTTGTAAAATGAGCCACCAGAGGCAAAGATAATTGATAAAGTTTAGATACTTGTAGAAGGGATGAAGCATAGTACCTAGGGGAAGAGATTGTCATCTTGGAGAGAAAGGGCATCTCTTCCCAGGATGGGAGCCAAGGGTGGGGGCACACTGGTATTATAGACACATTTACCCTAGGAAAAAGGGGACTGGGGAAGCACACATCTGTGAACTTCTATTTTTTTTCTGTTAAGAGTGGTTGAGGGTAGGGGAGTCTACAGAGTGAGAACATGGTTTGAAACTGTTCTTCAGAAAAGCAAAAGGGAGCTGTCTGTGGCCATGTAAAACACTGACAGAGTGCTGCTAACTCTGTCCAGGTAGTTGGGGGAACAAACCACCTATACCGATAAAGAATTCCCTTCTCTGATTATTATTATTATTTGAGATGGGGTCTCATTCCATCACCCAGGCTGGAGTGTAGTGGCACAATTTTGGCTCACTGCAACCTCCACCTCCCCAGTAGCTGGGATTACAGGCACGTGCCACCACACCTGGCTAATTTTTGTATTTTTAGTAAAGACGAGGTTTCACCATGTTGGCCAGGCTGGTCTTGAACTCCTGACCTCAAGTGATCCCCCCACATCAGCCTCACAAAGTCCTAGGATTACAGGCTTGAGCCACTGTGCCCAGCCCCCTTCTCTGACTATTGTGGCAATAGGAGTTCATGTTGGTAAGTTTAAATTACAATAGTATCTTCCCTTCACCTGGAGACCACATAGAATGACAAGATGAAGAAGGGGGAATAAACACTGTAGGCTCCATAATCAGTGAATCTGGGGTAGAGAAAACAAACTCTAAAATGTGATAACTAAAGATTGAATGGAGCCTTAAGGAAAGAGAGCAGAAAGGATAAGGGGTGGCTGGCGTCAGGGCAAGGGGGTGGGGACCAAGGGACCCAGCAGTGACAGATCCCAGAGAGACCTGCAAAATTAGGGGCCCTGGAGAACAGGAGCCCACTAGGAAGTGCAAATGTTGGGGAAGAAATCAGAGAACAGGAATGAGATCAAACAGTGCTGAGGTTAGAGGAGTTGGTAGAAAAAGAAGGAAGAGCAGGTGTTACGGAGGATCCAGCCATGCAGAGCTCAGAAATTGGCAGCAAAATTCAGCTGCTGGACAGGAGGGGGTCACCCTGGGGACAGGGCAGGGAATACTGGACAGGCACAGAAGCCTTCTGGGCCCGGTTTGCTTTGGAGAGAAAGAAGGTTGTGGCTGCATGAAGAAATCCACAGAAATGCCATATTGGAAGGAAACAAACAGATGAAAGAAGTCTGAGTTGTTGGAAAACCACCCTGGTGAGAGGTAGAACAGGTGCATGACTGCTCCCTCTGTAGCAGCTAAGAGTCAAAGTATGCTCTTTGACATACACATCAAGTCAGAGGTAAAGGCATACTTAACAGTGCAAAGATAAGTATTAAGCAAGATAATACGGGCGGGCGCGGTGGTTCACGCCTGTAATCTCAGCACCTTGGGAGGCCAAGGTGGGTGGATCACCTGAGGTCCGGAGTTCGAGACCTGCCTGGCCAACATGGTGAAACCCCATTTCTACTAAAAATAGAAAATTAGTCAGGCGTGGTGGCACATGCCTGTAATCCCAGCTATTTGGGAGGCTGAGGCAGGAGAATCATTTGAACCCGGGATGCAGAGGTTGCGGTGAGCTGAGATGGCGCCATTGCACTCCAGCCTGGGCAACAAGAGCGAAACTCCGTCTCAAAAAAAAAAGAATAACATTTACATCAAAACTCCATAAAGACTGCTTTTAAAAAAGAAACGACAGGTCAATCTTGTTTAAAACTATCAGTGTAAAAAATTATCAGTGTCCTAAGTAAATATTAGCACACAGAATCTAAGAGTTAATTTTTATAATCATGCACGTTATTTTTAATCAAGTGGATTTCTTCTAAGATGCAAAAATAGTTTCATATTAGAAAATCTATTGACTTACTTCATCATATTAGCAGGTTAAAAGAGTAAGAACATATGCTGAGAATACATTTGACAAAATTAAATGTTCATTCCGGGTTTTTAAAAAGAGACTCAAAAGAAGGAGGAATAGATATTTACCTAACCCACTTTTTTAAAAAAAAATACATAACTAATGTTAATTTCTTATATTTCTTATTTTTTTAAATGTATTAATACCATGATTATATAACATAGGGAAAACTGAATAAAGGATATGTTATACAAGAATTTTATGTACTGTCTGCAATTCTTCTATGTCTAAAGTTATTTCAAAATAAAAACTTAAAAATGTATAGAACACCACACATTTCAGCCCAATAGCTACCATATTAACAGGAAATCATTCCACTAAAGTCATGAATAATGTAAGAATGCCCACTACTGCTATTATGATTTAACGTTTTATTGGTCAGTGATATTTAAAAAGAAAATTAAACTTGAGGTCTAAAACTGTAAAGAGAGAAGAAAAACAAATTCTG
Organism: Homo sapiens; assembly: GCF_000001405.40. Taxonomy (NCBI): domain Eukaryota; kingdom Metazoa; phylum Chordata; class Mammalia; order Primates; family Hominidae; genus Homo; species Homo sapiens. The sequence continues at coordinate 56,109,410 of NC_000008.11, read as the reverse complement.
TTTGCAGATTCTATTTTCAGGATGTATACTTGGAAAAGAAACACAAGACAATAGAAAAACTAAAACAAAATAATTATGTAAGTTTGCAGGATATAAAATTAACATACAGAAATAAGCAGACTTCAACTATGTAAACAAAAATCAGCTAGAATTTATAAAAGAAAGATTCTTTTTACAATACCATTGAAAAAGATAAAATATTCCCTTTGACACAGCCACAGACTGCATGTTTGGTGATAGCAGGGCTGGAGGATGAGATACTTGGCTAATATGGTGGGGACATTAGTCATATACAGAAGGATTAAACAAGTAAGAAAATACATCAAGGAGAATGGGAGCCAGGATTTGTAACTGTTAGAAAAGGAAGTTACAAGTATAGAAATGAGGAAGTCTAGAATAAACCCTACTGAAATTGAAATAGGAAATGTCAGATTGAGTTTAGAAGTATCAGTATGAACATGTAGTTTTTAATAGAGGTAGATGAAAGGAGAGATAGGGATAGATATACTAACAGACATTAATGTGTGTGGGTCTGTGTGTGTGTGTACGCACATACATGTATTTCCTAGCTCTGTCCTTTGACAGGACCTAAAGTAATGACACTCTGGAGCAGATTAACACCAAACTTTAGTTCTGAATTCTGACTTTTTAGTTTCTGAATTTTTATTCACAACAGGAGGAAACCAGGGCCTCTTGGAGAAATGGCGATTCCAGAGCAGGGAAAATACAAAATGAACCAGAACATCTTGTGCCTCCAAATAAAGAAATGCTCAGGAATGATAGACACCTGTTATAAGGACACAGGAGCTGGCTTGAATGATCTCCTACTGGCTGACCTGAGATAATTTTAGCATTAAAATGATTAATGATGGTAAATCAATTAGAAATGAATAGTCATAATGAAGGAAATAGGAATCCATAATGATATAAATAATTATATAAATAAATGTTGGAGAAAGGAAAGCTCTACCTTACAATAGAATACCAACAAATATTAATTGCAAATAAGCACAAAATAATTATCCTTACAGTGAAGAAGTCATACTGACATTATCTTACAAGTGATGTAGACAGATATACAGAAAGGTATCTTACTCAAGATAATATCACCAGTAATGGGGCAAACTGACAAACATTACGTGCCTCCTGATATGACGCACTGAGAAGAACATAGCACCACTTCTGTGGTAGTCCTGCAAAAGACATATAACCTTACCCAAATCAAGAGGAAACAATTATACACTCAAATTGGCCTGCTCATGTCAGAAGTATCAAGGTCATAAAAGACAAGGAAAGACTGAGGAACTGTTCCATATAAAAGGACATGACAACCCAGTCCAACACATAATCCAGGATTGGATTGTGGTCCTATAACAAACATTATTAGGACAACTGATGCATTTAAATGAGATCTCTAGATTACACGGGAGTATTATAACAAAATTTCTTGATTTTGATAGTTACACTGCAGTTATGTTGGAGAAAGCCATTGTTTTTAGGAAATACTCAGTGAAATGCTAAAAGAGTAATAAGGTATTATGTCTTCAACTTACTCTCAAATGATTCAGAATAAGAAATAATTGTATGTAGAAAGAATAAAGTAAATGTCAAATTTAACAATCGGGGAACCATTGCTGAATGAGGAGGGTCACGTGCATCAGTGTGAAGAGACCACCAAACAGGCTTTGTGTGAGCAACAAGGCTGTTTATTTCACCTGGGTGCAGGCAGGCTGAGTCCGAAAAGAGAGTTAGCGAAGGGAGATAGGGGTGGGGCTGTTTTATAGGATTTGGGTGGGCAGTGGAAAATTATAGTCAAAGGGGGTTTTTCTCTTCCAGGTAGGGGCGGGGGTCACAAGGTGCTCAGTGGGGGAGGTTCTGAGCGAGGAGAAGGAATTTCACAAGGTTAATCGCTCAGTTAAGGTGGGGCAGGAACAAATCACAATGGTGGAACGTCATCAGAACTGGCCATTTTCACTTCTTTTGTGATTCTTCAGGCCATCTGGATGTATACGTGCAGGTCACAGGGGATACGATGGCTTGGCTTGGGCTCAGAGCCCTGACAAGGAGAATTTGGGAGATCTTTGTATTACCGTTGCAACTTTTCTGTAAGTTTGAAATTATTTCAAACTAAAAAATAAAAATACCTAGTTAAAGCTTAATAAAAACGTGCAAAATCTTTAGGGCAAAATCTTAAAAATACTAGAAAGGTATATAAGAGGCCTCAAAGAAATGAAAAGACTGCTATATACTTGAATAAAGATTTGCCATAAAGATGACTATTCGCCCTAAGTTAACATATATTTAAAACAATTCCAATTTTATATATAAAGTAATATAAACTAGTATTTATATATAAATATAAAACTGATGTGTTTAATTTGGAAATGAGACAAGCTGACTGTAAATTTTTTTTTTTGAGACGGGGTCTCACTCTGTCGCCCAGGCTGGAGTGCAGCAGTGCGATCTCGGCTCACGCAACCTCTGCCTCCTGCGTCAGCCTCCTGAGTAGCTGGGATTTCAGGTCCACACTATCACACCCAGCTAATTTTTGTATTTTTAGTAGAGACGGTGTTTCACCACGTTGGCCAGGCTGGTCTCAAACTCCTGACCTCAACTGATCACCCGCCTCGGCCTCCCAAAGTGCTGGGATTACTGGTGTGAGCCACCGCTCCTGGCCATAAAATTTATGTTAAAGAATTTATTTGTTTAAAAAGATCAAGAAAGTTCAGAAAGAGACAGGCAATGAGGGAGCACTAGCTCTATCAGATATTAATATGTTCTATAAAACCTAGATAATAAAAATATTGTGGCATGATATATGAATAGACAGACCATTTCAAGAGAATAGGTCAGCCATGGTGATTCACCTCTGTTATCTCAGCACTCTGGGAGGCCGAGGTGGGCAGATTACTTGAGGCCAGGAGTTTGAGACCAGCCTGGCCAACATGGTGAAACCCTGTCTCTACTAAAAATATGACAACTAGCCAGGCATGGTGGTGGGCCCTTGTAATCCCAGCTACTCAGAAGGCTGAGGCACGAGAATTGCTTGAATCTGGGAGGCAGAGGTTGCAGTGAGCCAAGATCGTGCCACTGCACTCCAGCCTGGGTGACAGAGTGAGACTCTGTCTCAAAAAAAAATTAAATTAAAATTAAAATTAAAATTAAAATACACAGAATAGAAGTCCAAGAAGTCAGTCACAAGCACATATGGGAATTCTGTCTGCAATAAAGATGGTGTCTTGAGTCAGTGGAGAAAAGATGGACTTTCTTTTTTTCTTCTTTTTCTTTTTTTTTTTTTTTTTTTTTTGGAGACAGGGTCTGGCTCTGTTGCCTAGGCTGGAATGCACTGGCACAATCTCAGCTCTCTGCAACCTCTGCCTCCTGGGCTCAAGTGATCTTCCCACCTCAGCCTCCCAAGTAGCTGGGACTACAGGCACACACCACCATGCCTGGCTAATTTTTATATTTTCTGGAGAGACGGGGTTTAGCCGTGTTGCCCAGGGTAGTCTCAAACTCCTGAGCTTGAGATCCTCCTGCCTCGGCCTCCCAAAGTGCTGGGATTACACGCACAAGCCACGGCACCTGGCCAAAAAAGATGGACTGTTCAATAAAATTATTCTGGGAGACTTGTGTGGCCAACTACCAAAATTAGATGTAGACCTCACATCATTTATTAGTGTATTATTCTGTTCTCACATTGCTATAAAGAAATACCTGAGACTGGCCCTCTCCCTCTCCTCCCTCTCCTCCCTCTCCTCCCTCTCCCTCTCCCTCTCCCTCTGCCTCTCTCTCTCCCTCTCTCTCTCTTTCCACAGTCTCCCTCTGATGCCGAGCCAAAGCTGGACTGTACTGCTGCCATCTCGGCTCACTGCAACCTCCCTGCCTGATTCTCCTGCCTCAGCCTGCCCAGTGCCTGCGATTGCAGGCGCGCGCCGCCACGCCTGACTGGTTGTCGTGTTTTTTTGGTGGAGACGGGGTTTCGCTGTGTTGGCCGGGCTGGTCTCCAGCTCCTAACCGCGAGTGATCCGCCAGCCTCGGCCTCCCCAGGTGCCGGGATTGCAGACGGAGTCTCGTTCACTCAGTGCTCAATGGTGCCCAGGCTGGAGTGCAGTGGCGTGATCTCGGCTCGCTACAACCTCCACCTCCCAGCCGCCTGCCTTGGCCTCCCAAAGAGCCGAGATTGCAGCCTCTGCCCGGCCGCCACCCCGTCTGGGAAGTTAGGAGCGTCTCTGCCTGGCCGCTCATTGTCTGGGATGTGAGGAGCCCCTCTGCCTGGCTGCCCAGTCTGGAAAGTGAGGAACGTCTCTGCCCGGCCGCCATCCCACCTAGGAAGTGAGGAGCGCCTCTTCCCCGCCGCCATCCCATCTAGGAAGTGAGGAGCGTCTCTGCCCGGCCGCCCATCGTCTGGGATGTGAGGAGCCCCTCTGCCTGGCTGCCCAGTCTGGAAAGTGAGGAGCGTCTCTGCCTGGCCGCCATCCCATCTAGGAAGTGAGGAGCGCCTCTTCCCCGCCGCCATCCCATCTAGGAAGTGAGGAGCGTCTCTGCCCGGCCACCCATGGTCTGGGATGTGGGGAGCGCCTCTGCCCCGCCGCCCCGTCTGGGATGTGAGGAGCGCCTCTGCCCGGCCGCGACCCCATCTGGGAGGTGAGGAGCGTCTCTGCCCGGCCACCTCATCTGAGAAGTGAGGAGACCCTCTGCCTGGCAGCCGCCCTGTCTGAGAAGTGAGGAGCCCCTCCGTCCGGCAGCCACCCCGTCTGGGAAGTGAGGAGCGTCTCCACCCGGCAGCCACCCCGTCCGGGAGGGAGGTGGGGGTCAGCCCCTGCCAGGCCAGCCGCCCCGTCCGGGAGGGAGGTGGGGGGGTCAGCCCCCAGCCCGGCCAGCCGCCCCGTCAGGGAGGTGAGGGGCGCCTCTGCCCGGCCGCCCCTACTGGGAAGTGAGGAGCCCCTCTGCCCGGCCAGCTGCCCCGTCCAGGAGGGAGGTGGGGGGGTCAGCCCCCAACCCGGCCAGCCGCCCCGTCCGGGAGGGAGGTGGGGTCAGCCCCCCACCCGGCCAGCCGCCCCGTCCGGGAGGGAGGTGGGGGGTCAGCCCCCCGCCGGGCCAGCCTCCCCGTCCGGGAGGGAGGTGGGGGGGTCAGCCCCCCGCCCGGCCAGCCGCCCCCTCCGGGAGGTGAGGGGCGCCTCTGCCCGGCCACCCCTACTGGGAAGTGAGGAGCCCCTCTGCCCGGCCACCACCCCTTCTGGGAGGTGTACCCAACAGCTCATTGAGAACGGGCCATGATGACAATGGTGGTTTTGTGGAATAGAAAGGCGGGAAAGGTGGGGAAAAGATTGAGAAATCGGATGGTTGCCGTGTCTGTGTAGAGAGAAGTAGACATGGGAGACTTTTCATTTTGTTCTGTACTAAGAAAAATTCTTCTGCCTTGGGATCCTGTTGATCTGTGACCTTACCCCCAACCCTGTGCTCTCTGAAACATGTGCTGTGTCCACTCAGGGTTAAATGGATTAAGGGCGGTGCAAGATGTGCTTTGTTAAACAGATGCTTGAAGGCAGCATGCTCGTTAAGAGTCATCACCAGGCCGGGCGCGGTGGCTCACGCTTGTAATCCCAACACTTTGGGAGGCCGAGGTGGGCGGATCACAAGGTCAGGAGATCGAGACCATCCTGGCTAACACGGTGAAACCCCGTCTCTACTAAAAATACAAAAAAAATTAGCCGGGCGTGATGGTGGGCGCCTGTAGTCCCAGCTACTCGGGAGGCTGAGGCAGGAGAATGGCATGAACCCGGAAGGCGGAGCTTGCAGTGAGCCGAGATTGCGCCACTGCACTCCCGCCTGGGCCACAGAGCGAGACTCCGTCTCAAAAAAAAAAAAAAAAAAAAAAAAAAAAGAGTCATCACCACTCCCTGATCTTAAGTACCCAGGGGCACAAACACTGCGGAAGGCCGCAGGGTCCTCTGCCTAGGAAAACCAGAGACCTTTGTTCACTTGTTTATCTGCTGACATTCCCTCCACTATTGTCCTATGACCCTGCCAAATCCCCCTCTGCGAGAAACACCCAAGAATGATCAATAAAAAAATAAAAAATAAATAAAAAAAAGAAATACCTGAGACTGGGTGGTTTAAAAAGAAAAGGTTTAATTGGCTCACAGTTCCTCAGGCTGTACAGGAAGCATGATGCTGGCAACTACTCAGCTTCTGGAGAGGCCTCAGGAAACACACAATCATGGTAGAGGCGAAGGGGAAGCAGGGATGTCTTAAATGGGTAGAGCAAGAGCAAGAGAGAGACTGGGGGGGGCAGGTGGTGCTACATACTTTTAAACAACCAGTTCTCATGATAGCTCACTCATTTCCTGTCATGAGAACAGCACCGAGAGGATGGTGCTAAATCATTCACAGAGGATCCACCCCTATGATTCAATCACCTCCAACCAGGCCCTGCCTCCAACTCTGGGAATTACAATTGAATGTGAGATTTGAGTGGGGACATAGATTCAAACCGTGTCAATCAGGATAGATTCCCCAATGCATCAAAGACTTAAGTGTCAAAAATGAAGTCATAAGAAGTACCAGAACAGTAAATTCTTTTATAACATCATAGTAGAAAAGTCTTCCTAAAGCCATAAATAAAACAATTGATGTTTTCAACTACAAAAACAGGGAACATGTCTTCATAGAAAGAAAATTAACAATATAAATAAAGATTAACGAGAAATAACAAACTGGAGGAGAGGATTTGTACCTCATATTACAGCAAAGGGTGAATCCCTCTAGTGTAAAAAGAGTTTCTGGAATTTGACAAGGAAAAGACCAACAGATGAATGATCAGTTCACAGACATAGAAATATGAGTGATTCTTAAATATATGAAAATTGCTAATTAAAACTACCTTTCAATACCATTTTCCATTATGGCCAAAATACAAAAATTTGACAAATATAATTGGTGAGGCATGGGGACCATGGGGAAATGCCTAGGCACTCTTGGATATTGCTGGTGGAAGTACAGACTTTAGGGAAAATAATCTGGGAACATCTATTAAAATTACAAAATTGCTGGTGTGATTCCATCCTGTGCAGCTGTTCTCTTGAGCAGTGGTCATTTATCTCTGTCCCCCTTCTCTGCCACCTAAGTGCGTGCTGCCACCCGATGGAAGATTTGATGGACATGGACATGAGCCTCCTGAGGCCCTAGAACTATCTTTTCGGTTGTGAACTGAAGGCCAACAAAGATTATCACTTTAAGGTGGATAATGATGAAAATGAGCACCAGTTATCTTTAAGAATGGTCAGTTTAAGGCTGGGCGCGGTGGCTCATGCTTGTAATCCCAGCACTTTGGGAGGCTGAGGTGGGTGCATCACGAGGTCAGGAGTTTGAGACCAGCCTGGCCAAGATGGTGAAACCCCGTCTCTACTAAAAATACAAAAATTAGCTGGGCATGGTGGCACATGCCTGTAGTCCCAGCTACTTGGGAGGCTGAGGCAGCAGAATCACTTGAATTCGGGAGGTGGAGGTTGTGGTGAGCCGAGATCGTGCCATTGCACTCCAGCCTGGGCGACAAAGCGAAACTCTGTCTAAAAAAAAAAAAAGAACGGTCAGTTTAGGGGCTGGTGCAAAGGATGAATTGCACATTGTTGAAGCAGAGGCCATGAATTACGAAGGCAGCCCAATTAAAGTAACACTGGCAACTTTGAAAATGTCTGTACAGCCAACGGTTTCCCTTGGGGGATTTGAAATAACATAACCAGTGGTCTTACAGTTGAAGTGTGGTTCAGGGCCAGTGCATATTAGTGGACAGCACTTAGTAGCTGTGGTAGAAGATGCAGAGTCAGAAGATGAAGAGGAGGAGGATGTGAAACTCTTAAGTATATCTGGAAAGCGGTCTGCTACTGGAGGTGGTAGCAAGGTTCCACAGAAAAAAGTAAAACTTGCTGCTGATGAAGATGATGATGATGATGATGATAATGATGATGATGAAGATGATGATGATTTTGATGATGAGGGAACTGAAGAGAAAGCACCAGTGAAGCAATCTATACAAGACACTCTAGCCAAAAAAGGACAAAAATTAAATCAGAATGGAAAAGACTCAAAACCATCATTAACACCAAGATCAAAAGGACAAGACTCCTTCAAAAAACAGGAAAAACTCCTAAAACACCAAAAGGACCTAGTTCTGTAGAAGACATCAGAGCAAAAATGCAAGCAAGTATAGAAAAAGTGCATTGAACAGTCCTGGGCACTACTGGTAAATTAAGCCCAAAGATGGGGAGAAAGGAAAAGGAGAGACCAATATAGTCCATACTGAGTGTCATCAACAATCCAGACTGAAGTCTTCTATTTTAATCCCAATCCCCTTTTCTGATTTGCCACCCATGCCTCTTCAGGCTGGAAACAATCTCACTCTTGGTTCCCTAAAGCACTTTCTTCTGACTGCTGTGATTCGGTGAACCTTGCCCTTTGCTTTCTATTACTTGTGCATTTGCATCACCTCTGACCATGTTTTTTTTTTTTTTTTTTTTGAGACAGAGTCTCACTGTCTCCCAGGCTGGAGTGCAGTGGCACGATCTCGGCTCACTGAAAGCTCTGCCTCCTGGGTTCACCCTGCCATTCTCCTGCTTCAGTCTCCCGAGTAGCTGGGACTACAGGCGCCCGCATGCATGCCCGGCTAATTTTTTGTATTTTTAGTAGAGACGGGATTTCACCATGTTAGCCAGGATGGTCTCGATTTTCTGACCTCGTGATCCACCTGCCTCGGTCTCCCAAAGTGCTGGGATTACAGGCGTGAGCCACCGCGCCCGGCCACCTCTGACCATGTTTTAAATCACCTTTGTATCTCCTTAGCTGTTCAATAAATATTTGAATGAATAAAAAAATTACAAAATTATTTACCCTGTGATCCAATAATCATACTTCTGGAGATTTATTTATATAGACATATGAACAAGTTTATTCATTGCAGCATTTTGGTAAGAGCAAAATGAGAGCAGGTCAAGTCTCCATCAATAAGAACTGGTTAGCTGATGATACATCCATATCATAAAACACTATGTACATGAGAAGAAATAAAAAAAGAAGCGTTTTACTGTTACTGATAAAGCTGCATAATATGTTTTTAAATTAAAAGCAAGATGTAAGATGGTAATGAATGCAACTGAGTATGTTACAATATGCTTCCTTTTGTGAAGGAAAGAGGGGGAATAAAAATAGATATTCATGTTTTTTATACTTTTACATAATAACTCCAGAAAGGAAAAAAAAAAAGTCGTTATCTGTGGTAAGGAAAAGAGACAGACAGAGCAAGGATAGGAATGGGAGTTTTCACTGCATACCATTTATATTTGATTTTATGTCAATGTATTGCTTACTCAAAAAGAATAGAATGTAATAGTAACAAATATTGAAACATAAAGTTAAACCTCAATCTGCACAACCTGCCTTAAAGCGCCTTTAATCCACTTCCCTAACTGTTCCTTGCTCTCGTGTATCACACTACTTGCCTTCCTTTTCATCCAGTTTTCTCAAGCTAACTGAATCATGGTAAACATCCTTTTAACTGTGCCAGGAATTCACTTTTCTCCAGCCACTTTCTAAAGTCAAAAGTAGAGGGCAGCAGCCCAGGCATGGTGGCTCATGCCTGTAATCTCAGCACTTTGGGAGGCCGAGGCAGTTGGATCACCTGAGGTCAGGAATTCAAGACCAGCCTGGCCAACATGGTGAAACCCCATCTCTATTAAAAATACAAAAATTAGCAGGCATGGTGGCAGGCACCTGTAGTCCCAGCTACTCAGGAGGCTGAGGCAGGAGAATTGCTTGAACCCGGGAGGTAGAGGTTGCAGTGAGTCAAGATCATACCACTGCACCCCAGCCTGGGTGGCAGAGCGAGACTCCGTCTAAAAAAAAAAAAAAAGGTAGGGAGCAGCTGACAAGGCCATGAAGGAAAAAGACTAAAATGCACCCGTTTAAGTTATGCCCCTCTGGTAAATGTTCCCGTCACACTACACTTCTCCTTCATAACACTCATCACTCTTGTAATGTCCTCACGGCTCAGAAAAATCATCACTTTTTATTATTGTCATAGCTAAAATTTATTGAGAGTATTATAATCCAAAAACTGTAAAGTGTTTTACATAGACTAAAATCTCACCACTAACCTATTTACTATGATTATTTATTTAAAGATCAGGAGATTGATACCCAGAAAGAGTAAGTAACTTGGCGGAGGGTCATGTACCCAAATGACAGGGCAGAACCTATGTCCTTAATCCTTACACTCCGCCACCTGGGATAGTCATGGTGGCAAGAAATACCCTACTTTCACTTTCATTACTTTAAATGTTTAAACAACTTATTGTATCTAATCCATTAAAAAAAAGAAAATTAGTGTCTAAGGCATTACTTGGTACAAATATTAGAATACTGTAATTGAGAAAAAGAAGTTACATGAGAAGTATAATGTGGTGCCTGTATTAAGCCATTCTTGCATTGCTATAAATGCCTGCGACTGGGTAATTTATAAGAAAAGAGGTTTGACTGGCTCATGGCTCTGCAGGCTTTACAGGAAGCACGGTGCTGGCATGTGTTCAGCTTCTAGGGAGGCCTCCGGAAGCTTACAATCATGGCAGAAGGTGAAGAGGGAGCAGCCCCTTCACGTGATGAAAGCAGAAGCAAGTGAGAGAGTGTGAGGGAGGTGCCACACACTTTTAAATGAACAGCTCTTGTGTGAACTCAGAGCAACAGCTCACTTATTACCAAGACGATGGTCCAAACCATTCATGAGGGATCTGCCCCCATGATCCAAACACCTCCTACCAGGCCTCACTTCCAACATTGGTGATTACATTTTGACATAAGATTTGTGTGGGGACAAATACCCAAACTATATCAGTGCCCCATGCTGAAAAGGAAATAGTTAAGTGTATACTTATTCCTTTCCTTCACATAAATCCGATCATGGCCGGGTGCGGTGGGTCACACCTGTAATCCCAGCACTTTGGGAGGCCGAGGCGGGCAGATCACAAGGTCAGGAATTCAGGACTGCCTGACCAACATGGTGAAACCCTGCCTCTACTAAAAATACAAAAATTAGCCAGGCTTGGTGGCAGTGCCTGTAATCCCAGCTACTGAGGAGGCTGAGGCAGGAGAATCACTTGAACCCAGGAGGCAGAGGTTGCAGTGAGCTGAGATCATGCCACTGCACACCAGCCTGGGTGACAGAGCGAGACTCCATCTCAAAAAAAAAAAATCTGATCATAAAATAATTCTTATTCCCATATTCAGCAAGCATATATTTCATCATCCACTATATCCTTAGCATCATGCCTGGAACACTGGGGAAAAGCAAAAACATACATAGACCCAAGATTTGATATTATAGTCTAGTACTGAAGAGATCATACAATACTAAATTTAACTCAAGATTTTTATAGATACTTATTTAAGTTTAAATTCACAGGATCAGGCAACCAAGCTAACACCCTCTAGGCAGGAAAATATGAATAGTTCAAGAAAATAGACCTAAAGATACTGATGATGGACGTTCCCCAGTAAAACAGTAGAATAAGTGACAGTGAAGCTTTCATTCTTAAAGGTCTGTCCACATGTGCAGAGTTAGCAATCAGCTTTTAGTGCCTTACTCTTTTTTGTGTGTGTGTGTGATGGAGTCTCGCCCTGTCGCCCAGGCTGAAGTGCAATGGTGTGATCTCGGCTCACTGCGACCTCCGCCTCCTGGATTCAGACGATTCTCCTGCCTCAGCCTCCTGAGTAGCTGGGATTACAGGTGCCTGCCACCATGCCCAGTTAATTTTTGTATTTTTAGTAGAGACAGGGTTTACAATTTTGGCCAGTCTGGTCTCAAACACCTGACCTTGTGATCTGCCCGCCTCGGCCTCCCAAAGTGCTGGGATTACAGGCATGAGCCACCACGCCCGGCCCGCCTTACTCTTAAATAGAACCAGTGAGCCTAATTTATTTCTGAGTAAAGGCTTTACTATGAAAGAAGAAGATTTTTAAAATCTTAACCATCTTTGGAGACATGTGAAAGGAGTGTTGGCTACGTGAAACAAACACAGGATTTTTTTAAAGCTAGAAAATAGTAAAGAGCTCTTGGAAGTTAACACTATAATATAAATAAATAATTCGTTAGAAAAATTGATACATAAAGGTAAGGAAATATCTCAGAAAGTAGAGGAAAAGTAAAAGAAATTGAAAATAGCAAAAACAAGACAATTGGAGGATCAATCTGAGAAGTCCAACATCTAACTAATAGAAGTTCCAGGAAGAGAAAACATGAAAAACAGAAGAAAATTATTAAAGAACCATTTAAGAAACAAATGTCTTCCATTTGAAAGGATGTACCGATTGCCCAATGAATGAAAACAGACTATGAGAAAGTATATAATCATGAAATTTTGAAATAGTGGAGACAATAGCAAAGTCCTAAAAGTTTCCAGAATTTAAAAGCAAAAACAAGTCACATACAAAAGATAAAAACATTAAAAGACAGTGGAGAACATTGCCTCCAAAATTCTAAGCAAAAATCACTTTCAACTTAGAATTCTATACCCAAACTATTGATTGTATGTGCAAGTTGACTAAAGACCTTTTCAGACATGTCAGATCTCAAAAATTTATATCTGTGTACCCTTTTCCAGGAAGTTACTTGAGGGGGTTCATTCCACCAAAGCAAGAACATAATCCAAGAAAGAAGAAAACTTGGGAACCAGGGAATAAATAGGACTCAATAAAGAAACAAAGGGAATCCCCAAAGATTATGGCAAATAAAGACCATGAGCTGTCAGTTGTGCACCAGTACAGATTAGAGCAGGTCCAAAAACTCAAGATAAAACTAATGAATCCCTGTGTTTGAGTGGACTGAAAGAACATTTCCAGAATTTAAGGCAAGTTGGGGGTTAACTTAATGATGAGTATAGAGAAAACAAAGCAAATTAAATAAAAAGTTTATTAACTTTAGGAGAAACAAAAAGTTGGGCAACAAAAGGAAAGCAAACATTGCATAAGGAATGGAACAATCCCAAATGGCTTTATGTAAATGTAATACTGTAACATCACATATTGATCTAACCAAAGTTATAACTTAACTATGATGGAAAGATGGAGGGGAATTGTGACCAGATGTACTGGGGATAGGAGTTGAAAAAAAGTAAATCCTCATTTTCCAAAAAGGGACGTCAATAGATAATGCTGACAACTATAATAATAGTAATAATAATAATAATGTAGTCATATAAGCATGCTATATTTAGAGGTATGCAGTTAAATATCAAAACCAACAGCAAAAAGGAGTTGAGCATGGTTGGGAGACTCTAAGAATTGATGTGGCACCCTAGAGGCCAGCTTTTCTATGCAATAATTCGAGTGTAGCTATTTGACTTGTTAACTGACATTCACGTACAACTGATGAAAATTAAAACTAAATTTAAAAAATGAAAAGAAAATGTATGTATGGGCATGTTTTTAAAAGCAAACAATATCAAAAACCTTAAATTTTTTTAATACATTGATATATGTGAATCAACTCACGTGAAATTTATACTTTCCTTATAAAGAATATTGAAATAATACAAGCCCCCGTGAAAGGGGAAAACTGAAAAGACGAAACAAGCCACACATTCAGCTAAGGAAAGCAGAAGCAGTTGAGAAGGACTAAACTAAAGCAAGACAGCTTCCTGAATACTGCTGAATAGGGCATCAAATTACAAAGAGGGAAAACCTAAAGGTCTATGGAATAATAGAGTGCAGCCAGCAGAAATTTAAACAGAAGGGAGAAAAAAACTTGACAGAATAATAGCAACCAATGCCAGAAGCACATCCCCTCACATAGGAGTCAAGTTACAGAATTTCCCTGACTTAAAAACTGGAAGTAGATTTTCCCACTTTCAGAAATGGTGAACCATATTAGAACATATTGTACAGTTAGTCTGAGCAAACATTTGTCCAACATTGAAGAATCTTTAAGGCCTTAAGAAATGTTAATTCTGCCACAAAACAACCTGAAGAATAAATTGTTTAAAAAAGAAAGAAAAATAAGCTGCTTTCTCTCATATTCAATTGAATGTTGTGACAAGGGTAATGCTAGTCTACTACGGTAGATGGTCTATTATTAATTGTCTACTGGAGTATATCTTTCCATAATTATCTCATAATTTCCTGCTCTTTTAACTTGAGCTAGGATAAATCCATGGCTAGGACAATTCTGTTTCTGAATATAGAGTCAATTGAATGTAGGCTTGAGTATGCAATTAGTGGATTGTTCAGGATTTTCCCTGCTGGCTCTCTTGCCACTATGTTTTGGCCATTCTGGTACTCAGTACCTCTGCCAGGGTGGTAGGAGAGAAAATGATGCAGATACATTCAACAATTTGTTTTTCTGTTTTGTAACAGGACTGATCTCCAGTGTTGGCTTTAATTAGATTTGAGGACTACTTCTAGGTTTCATTTATTTGAACTCTCCCCCAACCTATTTTATAGATTCCTCCTTAGTGACAAAAATTCTATTTTAAAGAGTTCTATGGTTTTTTCTTTTCTTTTTTTCTTTTTTTGAGACAGAATCTCGCACTGTCGCTCAGGCTGGAGTGCAATGGCACGATCTTGGCACATTCCAACCTCCACCTCCCGGGTTCAAGTGATTCTCCTGCCTCAGCCTCCCAAGTAGCTGGGACTGCCACCACGACCAGCTAATTTTTGTATTTTAGTTGAGACAGCATTTCTCCATGTTGGGCAGGCTGGTCTCGAACTCCTGACCTCAGATGATCTGCCAGCCTCAGCCTCCCAAACTGCGAGGATTACAGGCGTGAGCCACCGCACCCAGCAAAGACCTGTAGTTCTAACTCTAACAGCAGGAAATCCTCATTGGGATTTTATTTGTACAAAGACGTGTAGTTCTAGCTCAAACAGCAGGAAATCCTCATTGGGATTTTATTTGTACAAAGCTTCAAAGATTTCCTGGGCCGGGCGCGGTGGCTCACGCCTGTAATCCCAGCAGGCCGAGGAGGGCAGATCAATTGAGGTCAGGAGTTCAAGACCAGCCTGAGCAACATGGTGAAATCCTGTCTTTACCAAAAAGACACAAATTAGCTGGGCGTGGTGACACATGCCTGTAATCCCAGCTACTTGGGAGGTTAAAGTAGGAGAATCGCTTGATCCCAGGAGGTCGAGGTTGCCATGAGCCGAGATCAGGCCACTGTACTCCAGCCTGGGCGATAGAGCAAGACCCTGTCTCAAAAAAAAAAAAAAAAAAAAACAAAGTTCCTGGAAGAGATCACTAAGATGAGGCTAATAGTCGGCCTCCACCCACAACCCCTCTGCCTCTCCATATCAAAAAAAGAAAAAGGCAACCAAGAAATAATGGCTTCTCCTTAACTGAGGAGGAACTGTTCAAATGAAGAAGAAATTAACCCTAAGAGCAATGTCAGCGCAAGAGAATGTCAGCCTAAGCTACCCCAGCGGATGAAGGAGATCTTTTGAGGCGCCTTCCAGGAAAAATGACCAGCGGAGAGAGTGGAGCATTGTGTGAACAATTAAAACGAAAAAGGCGCCAGGGGGCGCTGCTGGCTCAAGGCTGGGCAGCCCCCGGGAAGGTAGCCGTTTCCTTGCTTCTACAGAAGCTCATGGTTGAAGATGTCCACAAGGGACAAGAGACCAGCAACCCCTGGGAGATGTCATGACACCAGCAAGGGGACAGGTGCTTAGTGTCTTCCAGCAGAAAGAGCAGATGGAGGGAGTGGAGGCCCATGTTTCCTGAATGTAGCTTAGGCTGCTGGAGCCTGAGGAAACAAAAGCTGCCTTTAGTGATTCTTCTGCCTGGGAAAGTCAGGGAAACCCAAGAGTGAATAAAACATGTTTCCTGTTTGCAAGGAGCTTTTAGCCTTCCACCATTGGTTTTACTAAAATTATATGTTTTTTCAATAAATACTTTACATCCCACACACCAAAATCGCTTCCAGATGGATTAAAGAGCATATATAGAATTGAAAGATTATGAATATGAACACAGAAGCTTAAAAACAATGAAAAAAACTATGAAGGAGATTGCCAGATTTAATTACAAAAAATGGTAACTTCTGATTATTAAAATATGAATAAACTACAGACAATGGGTGGAGAAAAATATTTTGTCAAAATGTGACAACAGGTCAATATTTTTATTATATAAAGAATGCATACATGGCCAGGTGCAGTGGCTCATGCCTGTAATCCCAGCACTTTGGAAGGCCGAGGCAGGTGGATCACTTGAGGTCAGGAGTTTGAGACCAGCCTGGCCAACGTGGCAAAACCCTGTCTCTACTAAAAATATAAAATTAGCCTGGCGTAGTGGCACGCGCCTGTAATCCCAGCTACTTGGGAGGCTGAGGCAGAAGAATCACTTGAACCTAGGGGGTGGAGGTTGCAGTGAGCTGAGATTGTGCCACTGCACTCCAGCCTGGGCGACAGAGCTAGACCCTGTCTCAAAAAAACAAAAAGAAGAAAAGAAAGAGAAAGAAAGAAAGAAAGAAGGAAAGACAGAAAGAAAGAAAGAGAGAGAGAGAGAGAGAAAGAAAGAAAGAAAGAAAGAAAGAAAGAAAGAAAGAAAGAGAAAGAGAGAGAGGAAGGAAGGGAGGGAGGGAGGGAGGGAGGAAGGGAGGAAGGGAGGGAGGGAGGGAGGGAAAGAAGGGAAAGAAAGAAAGAGAAAGAAAGGAGGGAGGGAAGGAAGGAAGGAAAAAAGAAAAGAATAATTGAAAAAGAACACACATACATAAAAATCATCATGCCCTAATAGAGAAACGAACGAAAATCTTGAAAGTTCAATTCATAATAAAGAATATGCATTTAGGAGACAAATATGAAAAACAGGATAACGTGATCTCACAAGTACTTGAAGAATTGCAAATTTAAAATAAGGTATCTTTTTTTAAAACACCCACACATACACAATTCTTAATTTGAATAAAGTTGTGGTAAAAGAAGATCTCGCCACTCCTAGTGACAATATAAATTATTAAAGCTTTTTGGAAAATAACTGCAGTTTGGCAGTGTATCAAGAACCTCAAAAATATTTATATTCACTGATTCAGTAATTCTGCTTCTGGACCTCCATCCTATGAAATACTATAAAATAAGAATTTTAATTGAAAAAAAATCACCAAGAGCCATTTATTCTGGTAAGAAATTCAAAGAAAGATAAATGTTTTAAACTAGTTAAATAAATTGCAATAGAACAGTTGATTCAAAAGGATATGAAGATTGTGATAACAGAAATGGCTGTACTATAGTGTTCAATGAATGGGGCAGAGTACAAAATTACACATTGTTTGATTATAAGTGCTTTTTAAAATCAAGAAATTTTTCTTAAAACACACAGAGAAAAGACCGAAATTAAAGTTTCGTTTGTCTGGGGTTAGTTGTCTGGAGGGCTGTGGATTTATTTATTTAAAAAAAAACTTTTCTTGTTTTCCAATTTCTAGAAATTCTTTATAATATAAACAATCTGAAAAGAAATTAAGAAAACAATTCCATTTACAATAGTATCAAAAGAACAAAATACTTAGGAATAAACCTAATCAAGGAGGTAAAAGGCTTTTACATTGCCATAAAACATTGCTGAAAGAAGACACAAATAAATGGAAGGACATCCTGTGTTTAAAATTTTTTTTTTTTTTTAGATGGAGTCTTGCTCTGTTGCCCAGGCTGGAGTGCAGTGGCACGATCTTGGCTCACTGCAAGCTCCACCTCCCAGGTTCACGCCGTTCTCCTGCCTCAGCCTCCAGAATAGCTGGGACTACAGGCGCCTGCCACCATGCCCAGCTAATTTTTTGTAATTTTTAGTAGAGATGGGGTTTCACTGTGTTAACCAGGATGGTCTCGATCTCCTGACCTCGTGATCCACCCACCTCGGCCTCCCAAAGTGCTGGGATTACAGGCGTGAACCACCGCACCCGGCCTCATCCTGTGTTTATGAATTGGAAGATGGAGTCTCGCTCTTGTCACCCAGGCTGTAGTGCAATGGCGCTATCTTGGCTCACTGCAACCTCTGCCCCCACCCCGTTCAAGCAATTCTCCTGCCTCAGCCTCCCAAGTAGCTGGCATTGCAGGCGCCCACCCCCACGCATGGTTAATGTTTGTATTTTTAGTAAAGACAGGGTTTCACCATGTTGGCCAGGCTGGTCTCGAACTCCTGATCTCAGGTGATCTGGCCACCTCAGCTTCCCGAAATGTTGGGATTACAGAGATGAGCCACTGTGCCCAGCTGGAAGACTTAATATTATAAAAATGTCCATACTAGCCAAAGCAACCTACAGATTCAGTGGAATCCTATTTCAGAATCTAAATGTCTTTCTTTGCAGAAATAAAATTACCCTAAAATTCATATGGAATATTAAAAGATCTTTAATAGCCAAAACAATTTTGAAAAGAAAGAACAAAGTTAAATGACTCACACTTCCTGATTTCAAAACATATTACAAAGCCATAGTAATCAAAACAGTGTAGTGCTGGCATGAAAACAGACAAATAGACCAATGGAATAAAATAGAGCCCAGAAATAAACTCTTGTGTATATGGTCAAATGATCTTCAACAAATATGCTTCATTTAGTTTTTTTATTATTTCTTTCTTTACCAAAGTAACTTAAGCAAACACAAAAGTCACATCATTTTATTTCTTCATCCTTCTATTAGCATCTCTAAAATATGGACACTTTCTTACATAACCATAATGTCATTATCACTCTTAATTAACAATTTCTCACTAATATCAAATGATTTATCAATAATCAAATTTCCCTAATTGCCTCAAAATATGTTCTATGGTTGTTTTGTTTATATCAACATCTAAATAAGATGCACACATTTCTTTTAGGTGTTCTTTTAATCTAGATTCCTCCCCCCACCCAAATGTTTGTTTGCTTGTTTGCAGAAACTAGGTTCATTTTCTTTTCTTTCTTTCTTTTTTTTTTTTTTTTTTTTTGGTGATGGAATCTTGCTCTGTCGCCCAGGCTGGAGTACAGTGGCATGATCTCAGTTCACTGCAACCTCTGCCTCTCAGGTTCAAGCGATTCTCCTGCCTCAGCCTTCCGAGTAGCTGGGACTACAGGCACGAGCCACCACTCCCAGCTAATGCATTTGTAGTAGAGACAGGGTTTTGCCATGTTGGTCAGGCTGGTCTCGAACTCCTGACCTCAAGTGATCCACCCACCTCAGCCTCCCAAAGTGCTGGGATTACAAGTGTGAGCTACCACACCTGACCAAACCAGGTTTATTTTCTATTAAATGTCCCACATATTGGGTTTGCCTATTGGCTTCTGGGATAGTCCCTTTGCATTGCTATAAAGGAACACCTGAGAATAGGTAATTCATAAAGAAAAGAGGTTTATTTGGCTCACATGTCTGCAGGCTGTACAGGAAGTATAGCTCCCACATCTGCTTCCAGGGAGGGCTTAGGAAGCTTCCACTCATGACTGAAGGCAAAGGGAAACTGGCATCCCATGGTGAGAGAAGGAGCACGAGCCAGGAAGGGGGTACCAACTTCTTTTTTTTTTGAGATAGAATCTCGCTCTGTAGTCCAGGCTGGAGTGCAGTGGCCTGATCTCAGCTCACTGCAACCGCACCTCCCTGGGTTCAAGCAATTCTCCTGCTTCAGCCTCCCAAGTAGCTGGGACTACAGGCACACACCACCATGCCCAGCTAAGTTTTGTATTTTTAGTAGAGAAGGGGGTTTCAATATGTTGGCCAGGCTGGTCTTGAACTCCTGACCTCAGGTGATCCGCCCAACTTGGCCTCCCAAAGTGCTGGGATTACAGGCATGAGTCACCGTGCCCGGCTGCCAGCCCCTTTTAAATAACCAGATCTCACATGAACTGAAAGAACTCACTCATTACCATGAGGATGGCACCAAGCTATTTGTGAGGGATCCACCCCCATGACCCAAATACCTCCCACTATGCCCACCTGCAACATTGGGGGTCACATTTCAACATGAGATTTGGAGGGGACAAAACATCCAAACTGTATCAGCTTCTTTGTGGTGACATTTAAATCTTTCTATTATCCCCCCATTCCCTGTGAGGGGAATTTGGTTTTAGACCCTTGACTAAGTTCAGGTTCAACATTTAGGGGAAGAATCCTTCATATGTGGTGCTGTGTGCCTAACCTCAGGAAGAATACATTCATTTTTCCACCTTCAGAGATAATGAGATGGATCAAGGGGTTCCGTAAATCTGTCCATTGTAAGGGCATCCTCCAGCCTTCTCTCATGTAATGGTTCCATCCATTACATATCACCTGACTCAACTATTTAGGACTTACAAAATGAGGCAATCCTAATTTTATCATTCCTACCCTATGTAGTATTTGGAAATCTGTTTAAAAAAAAAAAACTCTTCCACATAAAATAGAGCTATTTGGTGGAAATGCAGTATGTATAAGAAAGTTAGGGTAGCCAGGTGCGGTGGCTCATGCCTGTATTCCCAGCACTTCGGGAGGCCAAGGCGGGTGGATCACCTGAGGTCGGGAGCTCGAGATCAGCCTGACCAACATGGAGAAACCCTGTCTCTGCAAAAAATACAAAAAATTAGCTGGGCATGGTGGTGCATGCCTGTAATTCCAGCTACTCGGGAGGCTGAGGCAGGAGAATTGCTTGAACTCGGGAGATGGAGGTTGTGGTGAGCCAAGATTGTGCCATTGCACTCCAGCCTGGGCAACAAGAGTGAAACTCTGTCTCAAAAAGAAAAAAAAAAGAAAGAAAAAGAAAAAGAAAGAAAGAAATTTAGGGTAAATGCTAATTTTTTGCTTTTAATTATCATATTTCAGAGTAAGGAATTGGTGTCCTAGTTATTTACTGTGGCATCCAATGAGCTATTAGAGTTATTCTCTTTTTGATCTCATTCTGCCTCTCTCTCTATCATAAATTTGTTTTTTATATATTCAATATCGATCAATTCTAGTCTTAATTCTTTTTGATGCTTAAATGGTTTCATAATTGATTAATGGAGTTTCTTTATATTGGCCCCTGTTCTTTGGACATAATCCATAAATCTTCCTTGCTTTTTGACACAACAATATGTCCCTAACTCATCTTATAAATTCCTACGCAGATTTAGAATCAAGCATTCCTCCAGTGAGCCCTGATGTTTTTAGTGGGAAATGCTATTTAGAGACTCCAATCCAGACACCAGTTGTGCTCATTGCTATTGGGTTATCATTACCCCTAGGCCTTTTCAGTGGACAGAACCAGAAACTGTCTATTTGTGAAATTTTAAAATAAAATAATCTAGTAAATATGTGCAGTATGTGATTATACCACAATAAAGCTGTTAAAAACAAAAACAAAAATAAATGCACATCAATGGGCTCAATTTCAATCATTATTTTAAGTCAACACTGGTAAGATAAAGATAACCATGTTTTAAACAGAAAAGCACATAACACATAGCACACTCCTATGCACCACTCAGAGTTTAGCCGTCAACTGTTGACCAAGTTATTTTCATACATAAGAGAGAACAATAAATTCTAAGATTTATAAAAAATAGAGTGGAACAATTAGGTAAACATTTAGAAAAAATAATTTGAATCTCCTAATATCTTACACCAGAATACATGTCAGAAACATCAATGAAATCAATGTAGACAATGAAACCTCAGATGTACCATAACAAAACCATGGCGATTTTTTTAAAAAATGAAGTTGTGACAGACAAAGAAGACCCAAAACCCAAAGCAAGAAAAGAAAATATTATTTAATTTGACAACAACAAAAATAAAATTTCTTGATAGTAACAACCATGATGAGGAACTGACAAATTGAAGACAGACTGACAAACTGAAATAAAATTTCTGCAACTCAGATCACAGATTAAGAGCTAATTTTCGGCCAGGCACAGTGGCTCATGCCTGTAATTCCAGCACTTTGGGAGGCCGAGGCAGGAGCGTCAGGAGGTCAGGAGATCGAGACCATCCTGGCTAACACGGTGAAACCCCATCTCTACTAAAAAATACAAAAAATTAGCTGAATGTGGTGGCATGCACCTGTAGTCCCAGCTACTTAGGAGGCTGAGGCAGGAGAATTGCTTGAACCCGAGAGCTGGAGGTTGCAGTGAGCCGAGATCATGCCACTGCACTCCAGCCTGGGTGACAGAGTGAGACTCCATCTCGAAAAAAAAAAAAGAGCTAACTTCCATAACAGAGAGCGCTTATCAAATCAATGAGTTGAAATATCAGTAACCTAATAGAAAAAAACTGGTACAAGATATGAACAGACAATTCACAGAAAAGGAAATATGAACGACTCTTAAATAAATGAAATGATGCTTAATTCACTCTTAGTAATAGAAACACAACTTTGGGTGGTTGTTAAAATTAGTGGCAAGCAGTAAAAGTGATGAAGTTTGCTAAATTTCCTTTTTTTTTTTTTTTGAGACAGTTTCTCTCTTGTTGCCCAGGCTGGAGTGCAATGGCGTGATCTCGGCTCACTGCAACCTCCACCTCCCAGGTTCAAGTGATTCTCCTGCCTCAGCCTCCCAAGTAGCTGGGAGTACAGTTGCCTGCCACCATGCTCAGATACTTTTTTGTATTTTTAGGAGAGACAGAGTTTCACCATGTTGGCCAGGCTGGTCTCAAACTCCTGACCTCAGGTGATCCACCCACCTTGGCCTCCTGAAGTGCTGGGATTACAGGCATGAGCCACGGCGCTGGGCCAGATTTTGCTAAATCTTGATTCTTGTCCTTTTAATAATCTATGTGATCAAATGGGAGAACACATACAGTGCTTGCTGCAAGCTGTTTTATGGTTGTTTGGAGGAAAAGCAGTTGTGAACTGAGTTGCAAACTGAACCAGCCTCTTTTTCCATGGAACACCATAAAAGTCTTTTTTTTTTCCCAATTACTGGTTTGAATTATATTGTATCAAAGCATCTTTTCCCATCCCTTAATAAAAATCTAGGAAGAAATCTATTATTATAGTTTCTGGTAACTTCAGATTATTACAACCCAGTCCAGTTCAGTTTAAAACCCTGAAATGATATCCAGTTCAATGTTTTCTCCTCCACTATCAGTGGTTACACTTGTGGCTTGAGTAAATAGACTATTTAATTTAAAATAGAAACTGGGACACACTTGAGTGAAAGTCGGCACTAATAATAATAATGATACCTTGGTCATGTGCTGAGGCTACCCTGGCCATTTTGGATGAATGGTCACCCTAGGTGGAAGGACTTGAAATAGGGAGAAGGGAGTTTCCTCTGTTATTTCAAAACTCTCCCCCTGTGGATTCTAAGCCTAACTCTATTGCTGGGGAGCAGGAAGGAGGATAGAGAAGGCAGAAGGCATCTCACATGTCTAGCAGTATGTTGGTGGTGGGGAGCTACCCTTGGATCTGTTCAGTTCCATGCCTTGCCATTCAAAATTGGGAGTTCATCTGATTGAACACCCTCCTCTCACAAAGGAGGAAACGGGGACCCATGGAGACGATGACTCTTGTGAGGCGCATGCCTAATAAGGGGCCAAGCCTGGACTCCAGCATGTCCTCCAACTTCTCCCCAGCGTCCCCTGTGCTGCACTAAGGCAGCTTCTCTTGCATGCGCCCATCAGAGCCAGGACCAGGTTGAGGCTTTGGGCTTAGTAGTTAAGGGGGTGGCAAGAAACCCAGTAACAGAGGTAAATAATATTGGAATGCATTCTCTTAAATGTCAAAATCAAAGCAAAACAAGCTATGACAAGCAGAAACACAATTTTAAATGAAGACGGCATCAGTATTACTCACTTTTCCTTTTGCCTCAGTTTCCAGTAACCACAGTGCACATAATTTAGATGTCTAATGTCCATCTTGGACTGAACACGTCTAAGACAGAACCCTCTGGCTGGGCGCAGTGGCTCATGCCTGTAATCCCAACACTCTGGGGGGCCAAGGAGGGTGGATCACGAGGTCAAGAGATCAAGACCATCCTGGCCAACATGGGGAAACCTCGTCTCTACTTAAAATACAAAAATTAGCTGGGTGGGGTGGCGCACACCTGTAGTCCCAGCTACTCGGGAGGCTGAGGCAAGAGAATCACTTGAACCCGGGAGGCAGAGGTTGCAGTAAGCCGAGATCGCACCACTGCACTCCAGCCTGGCAACAGAGCGAGACTCCATCTCAAAAAAA
Organism: Homo sapiens; assembly: GCF_000001405.40. Lineage (NCBI taxonomy): Eukaryota > Metazoa > Chordata > Mammalia > Primates > Hominidae > Homo > Homo sapiens. The sequence goes on along the minus strand of NC_000008.11, from coordinate 56,085,281 downwards.
AAAAAAAAAGAGAGACAGAACCCTCCATTTGCCACCCCCAACCTGTTCCTGCTTCAGGCCTCCCCATCTCGGTAAATGGCCTGGTTCATCAGGCTCAAAACCCAAAAGTCACTGTTGATTCCTCCTGTTTCCTCACTACGTATATGCAACCTATTAGCAAAGCATATAGAATCTGCTTCCAAACAATGTTTCCAATCTCCAGTTGTCTCTGCCTTCAAGGTTTCCACTTTTGTGCCCCTCACCAAGATCATCCCTCACCTACATCCCTGCAAAAGGCTACTACCTTCTTGTTTTCACTCTTATCCTCCTATAGTCCATCTCTTCAAAATGTAAACCAGGCCAGGCGTGGTGGCTCACGCCTATAATCCATCACTTCGGGAGGCCAAGGCCAGGCAGATCACCGGAGGCCAGGAGTTTAAGACCAGCCTAGCCAACATGGTGAAACTTTGTCTCTACTAAAAAAAAAAAAAATACAAAAAAAAAAAAAAGTAGCCGGGCATGGTGGCATATAGCTGTAGTCCCAGCTACTTAGGAGGCTGAGGCAGGAAAATTGCTTGAACCCAGGAGGTGGAGGTTGTAGCAAGCAGAGATCACGCCATTGCACTCCAGCCTGGGCGAGACAGCAAGACTTCACCTCAAAACAAATAAATAAATAAAAATTAAAATAAACAAAATGTAATCACATCCCCCACCCACCCTGCCAAAAATCCTTAGTGTCACCCAAATGACATGTCCTAGTCCTCACATCCAAAACCTATGAATATTTGGAAATATGGTCTTTGCACAGTGTGGTGTTTTGTTGTGTTGTGTTGTGTTGTACTGTGTTATGTTGTTTAAACATAGGCTCTCCCTCTGTCCCCCAGGCTGGAGTGCAGTGGTGCAATCATAGTTCACTGCAGCCTTAAACTCCTGGACTCAAGGGACCCTCCTGCCTCAGCCTCCCGAGTAGCTAGGACTACAGGCGTACCATCACGCATGGCCTGGAAATACGATCTTTGCAAATCTAATTAAGTTAAGGATCTCAGAATGAGTTCAGTCTTAGATGTAGGTTGGGCCCCAAATCCAGTGACTAGTGTCCTTAGAAAGGAGAGAGAGATTTGACACAGACACACACGGAAAAGGCCCTGTGACGATGAAAGCAGAGATTGCAGTGATGTGTCTACAAGCCAAGGAATGCCAGGTGTTGCCAGCAGCCAGCAGATGCTAGGAAAGCAGCACAAACATTATCCCTCAAAAGGGTTCAGAAGGCTCAACCCTGCCAACACTTCCATTTTGTATTTCTGGCCTCCACAACTCTGAGGGAATAAATTTCTGTTGTTTCAAGTAACCAACTTTGTGGTAAATGTTTACAGTAGTCCTAGGAAACTAGTACAGGAATCTTCCCACTGTGCTTAGAATAAAATGCAAGCTCCTAATCCTACTTCACAAGGTACTACATTACCTGGCCCCTGACTTCTTTCTTTCTCATCTCCTTCCCCTCCTCTCCCTCACTGCTGAACTGCACTGGCCTTCTCTGTTCCGCAAACACAGCAAGCTCACCTCCACCCAGGGAATTTGCATCTGCTCTTTCCTGTTTAGGAAGCCCCTCCCCCAGATTACTGCATGGCTGGTTCCTCCTGGTTATTCCACCTTTATTCTAATACCTCCTCCTCTGTAGACATTTGTTATTCTCTTCAGTTACACAGCTGAAAATGCGAGATGCTCACTTCCCCAGACTCCCTTGCAGCTTGGCCTTGACTATGTGAGCTAGGCTTTACCTGTCACAAGTTGGCATAAAGAAATAGGAACACAGCACTGCAGGCTGATGGTGTGAGAACTCACCCTTAGAGTTCCTTCTTCCTGCCTTTCTGGAACATTGTTTACCTGCCAGCAGCATGGAGGCTGCACTTTCTCTTAAACATCAGGTGCGGAGTCGTCCTCCAGTTTGTCCATCCCCGGCGACTTCATGGTAGGCTGGGGGGTGACCTCAGAGTCATTTCAATACCTCTAGTATAGCTCTTCTAAAGCCGAATTCTTAATCATAATCTGAGCTTCTTCACTGTTAACTTCTTGGTCACCCGAAACCCACTTAAAGTTTAGTGATTGCCTTTTTTTCTAGTTCTTTTAATAAGACTATTATTTTCACAGACATGTATAGGCTGGCTACAGTGTCCGGGCAGGGTTCCGGGCACTGGGAATACAATCAAAGACAAGACATGGTGGGGCGTGGTGGCTCACACCTGTAATCCCAGCGCTTTGGGAGGCCGAGGCAGGCGGATCACCTGAGGTCAGGAGTTTGAGACCAGCCGGGCCAACATGATGAAACTTCATCTCTATTAAAAATACAAAAATTAGCTGGGCGTGGTGGCAGGTGCCTGTAATCCCAGCTACTCCGGAGGCTGAGGCAGGAGAATAATTTGAACCTGGGAGGTGTTCACTACAAGAGCATAGGCAAAACAGAAGCACTGTCGAATCATGCATTGTCCAGGTCCCTTTGAGAGTCTGTTATACAGCAGTCCTCCTCTTTGCCCTTTCGTTTTCTGTGGTTACAGTTACCTGCAGCCTGAAAATATTAAATGGAAAACTCCAGAAATAAACAATTCATCAGTTTTAAACCACATGCCATCTTGAGTAGCGTGATAAAATCCCACGGCATTGGCCAGGCACGGTGACTCATGCCTATAATGGCAGCTGAGGTGGGTGGATCACCTGAGGTCAGGAGTTCGAGACCAGCCTGGCCAAGATGGTGAAACCCTGTCTCTACTGAAAATGCAAAAATTAGCTGAGTATGGTGGCAGGCACCTGTAATCCAGCTACTCAGGAGGCTGAAGCAGGAGAATCGCCTGAACCGGGGAGGCGGAGGCTGCAGTGAGCCAAGATCATGCCATTGCACTCCAGCCTGGGCGACAGAGCGAGACTCTGTCTCAAAAAAAAAAAAAAAAAAAATGCTGCTCTGTCTCTCTCAGAACATGAATCCTCCCTCTGCCCTGCGTCTCACGCCGTCCACAATCCCCGCCCATTAGTGACTTAGTAGCCGGCTTGGATGTCAGATCAACTGTGGTGGTAGCACAGTGCTTGTGTTTAAGTAACCCTTATTTTACTTAATAATGGCCCCAAAATGCAAGAGTAGTGATACTGGCAATTCAGACATGCCAAAGAGAAGCCAAATATATGCCAAAGAGAAGTCGCTAATCTCTTAATGTACCTCATTTATAAATTAAACTTTATCATATGTACGTATACATGGGTGAAAAAACACAGTGTATACAGTACTCAGTCCTATCCTCAGTTTCAGGCATCTACTGAGGTCCTAACTTAAACCCCCTTGGATAAGGGGGGACTACTGTAATCTGATTTCCTCAGTATCAAAGTGTTGTGTAGATGTATGTATTAACTACCTATTGCTGATAACAAATTACCACAAATTTAGCAACCAGCACACATTTATTACCTCACAGTTCCTATGAGTCACGGATCCAGGCATGGCTTAGGAGGGCCCTCTACTTCAGGGTCTCTCATTAGGGCTTCAATCAAGGTGTTGGCCAGTTCTGAGGTCTCATCTGAAGACTCAGGGATCTGCTTCCAAAGTCATGTCATTGTGGGTGTAACTTCAGTTCTTTTCAGGCTGTTGGGCCGAGAGCCTCAGCTCCTTTCTGTCTGGGCCACCAGCCACCCTTATGTCCTTGCTACATGGGCTTCTCCATAGGGTAGCCTCCAACATGGCAGCTCCTTCCTCAAGGCTGGCAAGGGAGAGTCCACTGGCAATACAGAAACCAGAATCTTATTTAATCTATTTGTGAAAGTGATATCCCAGTACTGTTGCCAAATTCTAGTGTTTGGGAGCAAGTCACGGTTTCCCACACTCGGAGAAGGAGTTTTCACAAGGGCATGAAAAGCAGGTGGGGACTCTTGGGGCCATTTTTGAGTCAGTCCAAAGCACAAAAGCAACACAGCAGAATTAGTATGTGGGGAGAGCCATGAAGTCCAGTCTTCTCACAAAGGAAGGCAAATGGTAGAAATATTTCCTAGAGTTATATTAATTCTGTACAACATGAAAAGCACAAGCCCAGCAAAAGTGACTGGTAAATCACATATCCCTAGCTTTCCCACATGATGTCTGGATCACAAAGCTGTGCCATGGAAATCCTCTGCAGGTCCTCTGCTAGAGCTAGGAAACAGCTCTAGCTGGGACAGAAGTAGACCAGTGACTTTTCAGATTGTATGCAGGCTGGGGAGCAGGACAAAGAGAGGAGACAGGGGGCACTAGTGAGGCCTGTGGGCAGGACATTCAGCTCCCACCCGCACAGAGAATTCCATGAGCTCTGCCATTAAATATGATTGTAAATTACCAATCTATCAAATGTTCCATATGAATCATTCTCCGTAGAAAGACGTTATTGTATCCCTACTTCTGTTCTTTTGGTCACTTTAGTGAAATGATTTTAATGAGCAAATAGGGTTGAATGGCCTTGGTATCTATGGAACTTCAAACGAAAGGATGAGAACTTTAAAAGGCATTCTACCTTACAATGGACACAATAGTAGCTCAATAAAATTTCTAACCTCATCGCTTCTCAGCCTTTTGGCTAAGATCAAGTGTAAAATTTCTAACCTCAGCTATAGTGAAATGTATAAAGCCCTTCTATGCCATGTTCTTTAATACAACAGGATTTTGTATCTCTCAGATATACTGCCACTGCTAATGATAAAGATGACTGCTAACATACACTGATAGTACAGAGCTAAGAGTGCAGGCAGCTTTGATCCAAACACTAGTTTTCCTGTGACCTAACCTCAGCTTCCTCATAAATAGAAAGTGAATAACAGCACTTATCACCTACAGTTGATGTGAGGATCAAATGGATTACTATTACAGTTAGAACACTCCCAACAATAGTGCTGGTTCTTCTCCTTCTCCTTCCGCCTTCTCCTTCTCCTCCTCCTCCTCCCCTCCCCCTCCTCCTTCTTCTTCTTTTTCTTTTTCTTCCTTTTTTTTGAGACAGTCTCACTCTGTCCAGGCTGGAGTGCAGGGGCATAATTTCGGCTCACTGCAACCTTCACCTCCCAGGCAGGCAATTTTCATGCCTCAGCCTCCCAAGTAGCCAGGACTACAGGTGTGCACCACCACACCTGGCTAATTTTTGTACTTTCAGTAGAGATGGGGTTTAACCATGTTGGCCAGACTGGTCTAGAACTCCTGGCCTCAAGTGATCCACCTGCCTCAGCCTCCCAAAGCGCTGGGACTACAAGCATGAGCCACCGCACCTGGCCTGGTGCTAGCTACTCTCATATGCCGAGTAACGTTCTAAATCTTCACATACTCTCTCTGGTTTTTATTCTTAAATTTCAGACTGAAGAAGTTTAACACAAAAAATATGTATTTAGATAAAAAATTCTGCAAATAAAATACAGGAGTTCCCCCTTATCCACAGAGGTAGTGCCAAGCTCCCCAGTAGATGGCTGAAAGCATTTCAGACTGAAGAAGTTTAACATACAAATGTTGTATTTAGATTTTTAAATTCCACAAATAAAATACAGGAGTTTCTCCTTATCCACAGAGCTGGTGCCAAGACACCCTGGGTGCCTGAAACCACAGATAGAACCAAACTCTATATATACTACGTTTGTTCCTGTACATACATACCTATGATAAAGTTTAATTTATAAGTTAGGTACATGAAGAGATTAATAATATTTTATTATACTTTAATAATAAAATAGGACAATGGTAGTCATATACTGTAATAAAATTATGTGAATGTGGTCTCTCTGATTTCAAAGTATCTTATTGAACTGTGCTGCAGGTAACTGAAACCTCAGAATGTGAAACCAGGGATAAGGTGGGGACTACTGTTGTGTCTAAACAGACTCATCCACATTCATTCCACAATTTGCCTTTTTCAATGTGATTCAGACATTTACACATGTGTACCATGAATTCAGTAGTTTTTGACTGCTGTAAATTTCCTTTTGGAGAAAGTAGGATGACACTGTCATTGCAGTGAAAGACCAGTAGATGGCCATCCACAGACCCACACAAATACCTGCAGTATTTACAAGATAATTGTCTTTACAAGATAATTGTCTTTACAAGATAATTTTAAAAGATCTGCAAAAATTAGTAAAGAAAGGCTATACATAGGGATATTGAAAACACAAATTTCATAAAGTTGTTAGGAATATTTCAAAAGTTAAAATGAACCTGCTATCTAATTCAATGTTTTTCACACCGAAATCCTCATTCGGCTGTTGGAGGAAATATCTGTTTGGGTACAACCTTCCCAGAAGGCAACTTACTTAATACCAAAGTATTTTAAATGTGCTTATTCTTTGATTAAGCCATCAGAGGATAAGTTATTTAGTAATTGACCTAAGGCATTAAGTAGGAGCTAAAATATTCATCTACAATAGTGGCTCTCAACCGGGCATTATTTTTACCCACAGGGACTGTTGACAATGTCTGGAGGCATGTTTGATTGTCACCAGTGGAGGAGTGGGGTTGCTCCTAGCACCTAGTGAGTATAGAGGCCAGAAATGTCGCCAAACCTCCTAAATGCGTAGGACAGTCCCCCAAAGCAAAGAATTATCCGGCCCCCAAAATGTCCATTGTGCTGAGATTGAGAAACCCTGATCTACCAGGATTTACCTCATGATATTGTTTATAGACTGCAAAATGGGAAAACCAGCCTAAATGCCTAAAAACAGAAGACAGGTTCAACAAATCCTAAAAGAATCATTCATACAATTCATGATAACACCGTCATTAAAAGACATGTTGGCCTGGCGTGGTGGCTCATGCCTGTAATCCCAGCACTTTGAGAGGCCAAGGCCAGTGGATCACCTGAGGTCAGGAGTTCGAGACCAGCCTAGCCAACATGGCAAAACACTGTCTCACCTGAAATACAAAAGTTAGCCGGACGTGGTGGTGGGTACCTGTAATCCCAGCTACTCGGGAGGCTGAGGCAGGAGAATCACTTGAACCTGGGAGGCAGAGGTTGCAATGAGCTGCGATCATACCACTGCACTCCAGCCTGGGCAACAGAGCAAGACTGACTCCTCAAAAAAAAAAGAAAAGAAAAGAAACATACATTGAATGATGGAATTATGTATTTTCTTCTTATTTTTGGCTTATTGTTGTTACTTTTTTCTCCAATGGATATCTCACATCTAGTATTCAAACATAACTTTTTTTTTTTTTTTGAGATGGAGTTTCGCTCTTGTTGCCCAGTCTGGAGTGCAATGGCACGATCTCGGCTCACTGCAACCTCTGCCTCCTGGGTTCAAGCGATTCTCCTGCCTCAGCCTCCCGAGTAGCTTAGATTACAGGAGCCCGCCACCACACCCGGCTAATTTTTGTATTTTAGTAGAGACAGGTTTTCAGCACGTTGGTCAGGCTGGTCTCGAACTCCGATGTCAGGTGATCCACCCACCTCGACCTCCCAAAGTACTGGGATTACAGGTGTGAGCCACCGCGTCTGGCCCAAACATAACATTTCAAAGAGAAATTGGGGGCCACAGAAGCTGCTAGTTTTCAAGAGAAAAATACGGCAAAGTGTTTGAAACTAAAACTAATAAACTTTAAAATTCCCAAACCTCACTAGATCCCACCTCCTGACTCTAGTAGTCTACTGTCTGCTTCTACAAATTTGACTTTTTTTGACTCCACATATAAGTGAACTCACACAGTATATTTATCTTTAGTAGAGACAGGGTTTCACCATGTTGGCCAGGCCGATCTCGAGCTTCTGACTCCAGGTGACCTACCCGCCTCAGCCTCCCAAAGGCTAGGATTACAGGTGTGAGCCACCATTCCCGGCCAGAATTTCCTTCTTTTTTAAGGCTGAATAATATTGATCCATTCAGGCTGGGCACGGTGGCTCACACCTGTAATCCTAGCACTTTGGAAGGCTGAGGTGGGCAGATAACCTGAGGTCAGGAGTTCAAGACCAGCCTGGCCAACATGGTGAAACCTCGTCTCTACCGAAAATACAAAAATTAGCCGGGCATGGTGGTGCCTGCCTGAACTTCCAGCTACTTGGGAGGCTGAGGCAGGAGGATTGCTTGAACCCAGGAGGTGGAGGTTGCAGTGTGCCGAGATCGCACCACTGCGCTCCAGCCTGAGCAACAGAGTAAGACTCTGTTTCCAAAGAAAAAAAAGATCCATTCATCTGTTGCTGGACACCTAGGTCATTTCCTGACCTTAGCTACTGTAAATAATGCTGCAATAAACATGGGAGTGCAGGTATCTCTTCTAGATACCAATTTCATTTTCTTTGGGTATATACCCAGAAGTGGGATGGCTGGTTCACATGGAAGTTCCATTTTTAATTTTTTGAGGACCCTCCATACTGTTTTCCAAAAAAAAAAAATTTCCATTACTTTTGTCTAATATTATCTTAACCATTTGTTTCCTTAGTTCTAGTCACATCAGCCATTTTTCACATACCTGCTGGGCCACATTTTGCTTTTCTCTATAAAGAAATTTCCTCGTTTACTATCAAAGTAGTTAACTTGTTCACCAGTTCCTCAAATACTTAAAGGATGAGGTAAGCCTAAGAAAAAGATGTACCAGATTTGTTATAAAAAAAAAATCACACTTGTACAAAATTACAATTGTACTTCTCAATGAAATTCCTTCATTGAATTTCCAGTCATCTTTGAGCATTAGTAAAACATGAATGCCGCTGTATATGTTCACTTAAAATATGCACAGTCACCTCCAGGCAGTACTACAGCGGTGGCTGATCACACCCCAGGGAGCAGGGCAATTGTGCTTTTGTCTATTTGTCGCACACAGCCATACCAATAAGTTAAACCTCTAAGTTATGAAGTCTCAGGTTACAGCTAGCACAATAAGAATGCAGGTTTTCAGAATTTCTGCTGAAAATTCTACTAAGAGAGTATTTACAGACAATGGATTACATTTAAAAATAACTGAACTGGGGCCGGGATAGGTGGCTCACACCTGTAATCCCAGCACTTTGGGAGGCCAAGGCAGGCAGATCGCGAGTTCAGGAGATTGAGACCATCCTGGCTAACACGGTGAAACACCGTCTCTAGTAAAAACACAAAAAATTAGCTGAGAGTGGTGCCACGTGCCTGTGGTCCCAGCTACTCGGGAGGCTGAGGCAGGAGAATTGCTTGAACCCAGGAGGTGGAGGTTGCGGGGAGCCAAAATCGTGCCACTGCATCCAGCCTCGGCGACAGAGCGAGACTCCATCTCAAAAAACAAACAAACAAAAAACCCAAAAAACTGAACTGGAAAACATCCAAATTTGAAAATTTAAAATAATTGTTAAAATGGCAGCAAAAAACCTCATACGTATCGTGAGCCAAAGAAACCCAGTTATTAGTTATGTTCCAATTATCACCAAATAAGACAATGCTATTATTTGATTAAAGTTTCAAACATAATTTCCTACCAAGGAACAGAAGACAAAACCTCAAGAAAGAGTCCTGACGGGGCGAGCGCGGTGGCTCACGCCTGTAATCCCAGCACTTTGGGAGGCCGAGGCGGGCCTGAGATCTGGAGTTTGAGACCAGCATGATCAACATGGAGAAACCCCGTCTCTACTAAAAAAAAAAAAAAAAAAAAAAAAATTAGCCGGGCATGGTGGCGCATGCCTGTAATCCCAGCTACTCCGGAGGCTGAGGCAGGAGAATCGCTTGAACCCAGGAGGCGGAGTTTGCGGTGAGCCGAGATCGCGCCATGGCACTCCAGCCTGGGCAACAAGAATGAAACTCCGTCTCACAAAAAAAAAAAAACAAAACAAACAAAAAAAAAAAACAACAAACAGGCCTGGACGGAGGGGTCAGAGCTCTGTCCCTCCCCATTTCAGAGTGTTTGAGCAAATAACTCTTTCGGCTCAGAGCTTCAGGTGGAAAGTAATATGAGATGATTTTACTCTTCTTTCTGCCCTGTATCAAAATCCATCTCAGTGATTTCCACGTATTTAGCCCCGGCTTCTTGCTCAGGTGTAGGTGAGCTCACCCTGCGCTCTCTCCCACTGCTCAGCTCAGTTGACCATTCGGGTTTTCCACTATACTTGGTCACTTATGTGATTATGAACAGATGTTCAGTATTAAGAAGACCCTGGGGGATCTTATCCAATGACTTTATCCAACAGAAAGGAGATGAGGTATCAGGACTGGGTGGCTAGCCAGGTTCCAGGCCGGGCCTCAGGATAGCTGCGCAGCCTGGCATTTTCGCCTCACTTTCCAGAAGGACGAGAAGCCAAGTTCAGGTCCTTTCCAGAAATAGATGTAGATACTTCTGCTGGACTGGGAAGCCAGGAGCTGAAATATCACAACAGGACGTTTCAGGCTATGAAAAATAACTGCTTACTAATTCTAACGTAAGTTATCCAGATTACGAGAAGCATTTCTGCCAATGCTCATGTCAGCTAAGCTCAGAGAAGTTACCTCATCCTCAGAGAGCAACGAATGGTATGGTCTATGTAGAAAGCAAAATTTGCAACGGAAAAACCAGAGTTCGTGTGCACTTTATGAGGAAGAGGGTTAGGTGCACCAGACAGAGGAGTTTCTCAGGTTTCCGTGTCGCCTGTTCTCTCGACCAGGTGGCCCTCTCGGCGCAGGCGGGGACCCCACCCTGCGGGACTTCGGCTCCTCCGTGCGGACAGGGGGCGCCCGCAGCCGTGCCTTTCCCGCCAACTCCACTAGTGCTCCAGCTCGCCCTTGTGCGACCGCCTCTAGGGCCCGGGATATTTCCTGTTCCGGGGCGTGTGGGACCCGGATGCAAGCGTGCTATATAAGCGTTGCTCAAGTCCCACCCCTTTCTTTTTGAGGAAGACGCGGTCGTAAGGGCTGAGGATTTTTGGTCCGCACGCTCCTGCTCCTGACTCACCGCTGTTCGCTCTCGCCGAGGAACAAGTCGGTCAGGAAGCCCGCGCGCAACAGCCATGGTGAGGCGGCAGTCGGCGGCGGGCGGCGCAACGCAGGGCTCGGGCGCCGGGGGGACCCCGGTTTCGAGTTCGTGCTCCTGAGGGCAGATGCCGGGGCGTGTAGGGGCGGAAAGGCGCTCCTGAAATGGTGGGGAAACGCGGGAAGCTTCCGGAAGCTGCCTTTCTCCAGAAGTGGCAGACCATTTTTGGCTTATTGTTCTTTTTCATGTATCTAATAATAGGCTTTTAAGGATACCGGAAAAACACCCGTGGAGCCGGAGGTGGCAATTCACCGAATTCGAATCACCCTAACAAGCCGCAACGTAAAATCCTTGGAAAAGGGTCAGTGCATTCGTTATGCGGGGGGGAGGGGGAATTGGGCGAAAAGCGACGAGCTTTACTCGTTAATGTTAGTGTAGAAGGTGGACTGCAAGAACTAAAGTGACAAGTTACTTAAAAAAGTAAAGCGTGGCTTAAAATTGCTTTTACTGTCATACAGCTGGCGATGAGGAGGTACCTATTGTGTTGAGTAACGGTGATAATTTTATACGCTATTCTGAGCCAGCAGAAGTGAAGGCCTTAAGCCGATTTTAATTGTTTCGATTATACTGAGAGGTCTTTTATTTCCTGTAGTGTGTGCTGACTTGATAAGAGGCGCAAAAGAAAAGAATCTCAAAGTGAAAGGACCAGTTCGAATGCCTACCAAGGTAAAGTAAATCGGAGGGGCAGGAAGTAGGAGTTGCTTCCGGATGTTGCATAAATTCAGGTTCTTTAAGGAGTTCGGCTGCCAAAATTGTTAACACTGATGCTGTCTACAAACGCACATAGAAATCGGTGGTAGATTGCGGTTCCTAGTAAGTAGCTAATGTTTAGATATGATTGTTGAATTATTGTTGCTGTGTTCTTGGTGTGCTTTGGTGCTTAACAGGCGCAAGCTCTAAGGGTGGTGTCCTAGCACAGTGAAAACAGACCTGGCATTTTCAACCCATGGTACCTGAAAATCTATTAGTGTAAATTGGAATCATACCAAAGGGAAACTAATGAAATGATTAGAAGTAATGATTTTCCAGATGTTCTAGGGATAAGTATAAAACGATAAACACTTGGTTTCCTTTGTCTTTTGTTACAGACTTTGAGAATCACTACAAGAAAAACTCCTTGTGGTGAAGGTTCTAAGACGTGGGATCGTTTCCAGATGAGAATTCACAAGCGACTCATTGACTTGCACAGTCCTTCTGAGATTGTTAAGCAGATTACTTCCATCAGTATTGAGCCAGGAGTTGAGGTGGAAGTCACCATTGCAGATGCTTAAGTCAACTATTTTAATAAATTGATGACCAGTTGTTAACTTCTGTTGGTTTTTATTCAGAATACTGGCAGATTTTAGGAATATAAAGGTGTACTATGAGACTTCCACTTTTCAGGTGGAATATATGGGTATCTTAGAGTGGTCTATCCTGTTTTCGTTGTCGTTTGAGTCATTTGAAAACTGGATTCCGTTAACTACATAATATGTGAGACCTGACTGGTTTTATTGGACACTGGCAGTTTATAACTTTGGCATACTCTAGATAAATTCTGATTGGTATGGGGTGTTAAGGTTTCTGGGGCGTTTGTAATGCACACCCATGGTTGAGAACCTAGTGCGCTAGTAGGCACGTGTTAAAAAGCTAGTAACTAATATTTTTAAATTAACCAAGTTTAACGTCCTTAAAAAAGGATTAAGTGGCAGAGGCAGGACTAAAACTAAGTTTTAGGGTTTTAGGAACTAAAACTTAGTTTAAAAATACTTATATTTTCAGTGTTTTATATTTTAAATATAAAATTTTCACTTTTTTTTTTTGGGGGGGGGGACGGCGTTTTGCTCTGTGGCCCAGGCTGGAGTGCAGTGGTGTGTTCTTGGCTCACTGCAACCTCTGCCTCCCAGGTTCAAGCAATTCTCCTGCCTCAGCCTCCCAAGTAGTTGGGATTACAAGTGCCTGCGACCAAGCCTGGTTAATTTTTTATTTTATAGTAGAGATGGGGTTTTGTCCTGTTGTTCAGGCTGGTCTCAAACTCCTGACCTCAGGTGATCCACCTGCCTCAGCCTCCCAAAGTGCTGGGATTACAGGCATGAGCCACCATGCCTGGCCCATTTTCACTTTTACATTTTTTAAAAATACTTATATTTTCAGTGTTTTAGACAGGGTCTCTGCAGTCCAGGCTGGAGTGCAGTGGTGTGATCACTGCAGCCTTGACCTGGGCTCATGCAATCCACCTCAAACTGCCTAGTAGCTGGGACTTAACAAGCATGTGGCTACCATGCCCAGCTAATTGTTTTTTGTAGAGGTGAGGTTTTGCCATGTTGCCCAGGCTGGTCTGGAACTCTGAAGACTCAAACCATCAGCCTGTGTTAGCCTACTAAACTGCTGGTGTTACAGGAGTGAGCCACTGTACCCAGCCTAGAATTTAAAATCAGATAGATACCCTTACAGGTTTGCTAAACTTATTGGGGAAAGTTTCTATAGATTTATTGTGGAAAAATGGAACATCTACAAATTGTTAAGATTGCCTTCAGAAAATTTTTGAAATTTTTAATAGGATCAAAGTTGGGTAATTCAAGTTTTTTCTTTTTGGATTTGGGCCTAGGCTTTCACGCTGAACTCTGCTATCTTTTCAAATTGACCTTCAGTTGAGATTTCTGTATACAACCAACTGCATGCTAGGCACCTGCAACCCACAGCTGAAAAGCTAATGTGTCTAAAATGAAATCTTCCCTCCCAGAAGCTCTGTCCTGTGTTCCTAGTCTGAATCCATTGTCTACTGAAGTCTCACAGTTCAAACTGGAGTCACCCCTTGCCCCTCCCCTACTGCTGTTACCCAACATCCAATTCCTTCTGAGTCTACTTCAGATCTCAAGACAAACCCAGTTAACATCAAGGATTTGAATGGAACTGAGTCTGGAATGAATTATGCCACATTGCTAAATTTAAACCAAACAGTTGATCTTTGGGAGCTGTTTAGCTATCAGTTAATAAGACCATTTTAAAATGGAATACCTATCAATACGTGGCCCCCAGACAAATACCTATGAACTTTTAGTGCAGCATAGCAGTCTTTAGAGCACACATGTCTTGAGAACTGACTGAGGAAATGAAATTCTGAAAAAAATGTCACTAAAGTCCAGAGAACATATACTGTGAAAAATACACTTCAGTAAATCAGAAAATAGTGGAAGGACAGCTTCATGGCTTTCACGGAATTGTGAACATGAGCAGTTGTGTTTTTTCACAATGGTTAAAGTGTTGGATTAAAGCTATACGTAATTGAGAACCTGTATTACAGCTAAAATAGCACTAAAAAATTTGAAACTGCTGTTATCTTCAATTTCTCAAACACTTAAAAATACCTGCATGGAAATAAAACTGCAGGGCCTTTGAATATAGGGAATTCAGGATAGATTAAATAGTGGTAATGATGCCAATAATTCTATGCAAGTTAACAGGCCATCTTGTATGGATGGGAGTTAAAGGAAGGTTGAAAATAGGATATCTCTGCAGTGCTTACTCTATTTGGATTTGCAGAGCACTGCTTCTGGTGTAGAAATGTAAGCTAGCAATAACCAAGGGAACAGAAACCACCATGGCTGTTCATTGCTGGGTCAGAATTTTTTTTTTTTTTTTTTGAATTTAAATGGAAACAGTCTCGCTGTGTCACCCAGGTTGGAGTGCAGTCGTGCGAACATGGCTCGCTGCAGCCTTCAACTCCCTGGCTGAACCGATCCTCCTGCCTCAACCTCAAGTAGCTGGGACTACAGGCTCACACCTTGACGCTTGGCCTGGCTTTTTTTGTGGAGATGGGGTCTTGCCATGTTGCCCAGGCTGGTCTCAAACTCCTATGCTCAGGCGATCCACCCTCCTCGGCCTCCCATAGTGCTAGGGTTATAGGCAAGAGCCACTATACCCAGACTGGATTAGATTTCTTCACATGACATCCGTAGAGTGCCTGTGTGTATGCTCTGTGGATGTAAAATGAACAGGCAAGAGTACAGAAGTAGAATCTCTAGCCATGCAGTCAGACAGATGGCTCCAAAATTAGTTACTTGGTTATGGAGACGATCAAGTTACTTGACTTTGAGCCTCAGTTATGTGCCAAATGAGGATACTAATAGTATCTATCTCAAATGCATATATGGGTGTTCACTGTCTCTGGGAGACATTTTCCAAAGAAACCAAGACTAACTTGTTAAGGGAATAGATTTCTCTCACTGATACAGGATGTGCTCTAGCTGGCCCACGATACTGCATTGAATTACAGTGTTTCCTAAGTATCTGTGGGGGATCAGTTCAGTACCTCTCTTGAATACCAAAATTGAGGAAGTTCAAGTCCCTGATATAAAATGGCATAGTATTTGCATATAATCTATGGCATCCTGTATAATTTGTCATCTCTAGATTACTTGTAATACCTAATACAATGTAAATGGTATGTAAGTAGTTATGCTGTATTCAGGGAATAATGACAAGAAAAAGAATGTCTATACATGTGCAGTAGAGACAATTTTTTTTC
Organism: Homo sapiens; assembly: GCF_000001405.40. NCBI lineage: Eukaryota > Metazoa > Chordata > Mammalia > Primates > Hominidae > Homo > Homo sapiens. The sequence goes on along the minus strand of NC_000008.11, from coordinate 56,069,853 downwards.
TGAATACTTTTGATCTACAGTTGATCGAATCTACAGATGCAGAACCCATGGATACAGAGGGCCAGCAGTACACTTTGAGAAGTGTATTCGAATCCCCGGGGACATGTCCTTTTTAACTGCATTCTCCTCCGCCAAAAAAGTGACCAAGCAGGTATAAGTGGAGAAACAGCCAAAGCTGAAGTGTATTCTTTTTTGTTTAATTGTACTTCAGTGGATGCAAATGAAATTTTATCTTTTGAAAGTAAGAGGAACTATGGCTGGGCGGGGTGGCTCACACCTGTAATCTCAGCACTTTGGGAGGCCAAGGTGGGCGGATCACCTGAGGTCAGGAGTTCAAGACCAGCCTGGCCAACACAGTGAAACCCTGCCTCTACTAAAAATACAAAAATTAGCCAGGTGTGGTGGCACGCTCCTGTAATCCCAGCTACTTGGGATGCTGAAGCAGGAGAATCTCTTGAACCTGGGAGGCAGAGGTTGCAGGGAGTTGAGATTGTCGAGTATAGTGGATTGAGTGCTGTGGAGCCGAGATTGCCAAGTGCAGTGGATCGAGTCCACTGCACTCCAGTCTGGGCAATAGAGCTAAACTCAGTCTCAAAAAAAATAATAAAGGAAAAAGTAAGTCAGAGGCGCAAAATCAATCCTTATTTCCTTTAACCTAGGAATAATAGCATATTTCACTTTCATAGAAATTGAACTCTTAGAGAACCAGATCCTTCTATACCTTTTGTTCTGTAAACTGCTATTTATTTACTTATTTTTGCCTCACATATTGTGCATATCCTTCTTCATTAACTTAAAAAGAACTCACCCCATGGATCATCTGAGGTCAGGAGTTCGAGACCAGCCTGACCAACATGGTGAAACCCTGTCTCTGCTAAAAATGCAAAATTAGCTGGGCGTGGCAGTGCGTGCCTGTGGTCCCAGCCACTTGGGAGGCTGAGGCATGAGAATTACTTGAACCCGGGAGGCAAGGGTTTCCAGCCTGGGCGACAGACTGAGACTCTGTCTCAAAAAAAAAAAAAAAAAAAAAAAAAAAAAAAAAAAAAGATATTTTCACCAAGAGAATATGGAAATTTTTAATTTTAAGAAACACTGTCAAATTGATGCTTTCAAGCAACTGTGCACATTTGTATTCCTCCCAGGAGTCAGTACAATATCATATATCTGGTATACAAAAAAAATCGCTCATTATTTTAGCCCTACCCTCCATTTGTCTCTCTTCTTTCTGGGACTCCTATTGATTGCATGACCTTCTGAAGGTCTTGTGTGTGTCTTACCTTTTTTTCATAACTTCTCTTAATTTTTTTTTTTTTTTTTTTTTAGAGTCTTTCTCTGTCACCCAGGCTGGAGTGCAATGGCGTGATCTCAGCTCACTGCAACCTCTGCCTCCTGGGTTCAAGTGATTCTCGTGTCTCAGCCTCCTGAGTAGCTGAGACTACAGGTGTGCACCAGTGTTCCCAGCTGATTTTTGTATTTTATGTAGAGATGGGGTTATGCCATTTTGGCCAGGCTAGTCTCGAACTCCTGAGCTCAGGTGATACACACACCTCAGCAAATCTTTTAAATTATACATTCTGTGATATTTCCTTGACTTTCTTATCCAGCACTTGTATTGATTATTTTTCATTTTGATAATGTTGGGTTTTTAAAAACTCCTTTATGATGGAAAATTTCAAACATACACAAAAGTAGAGAGAGAATGGTATAATAAACCCACTCAGTTTTAAGGATTGTCAACTAATACCAGTTTTATTTCATGTATGACTCCAACAACTTCCCCAACCAGCCTTCAGATTATTTGAAAGCAAATTTCAGACATCGTATTTTACTCATACATTTTCTAGTATCTAAATCTGAAAGAGACTCTTTTCTAACAGTTCTGTAGCATTAATTATACTCATACTGTTGTGCAACAAATATCCAGAAATCTTTTGTCTTGCGAAACTGAACCTCTTACCCATTAAACACTAACTCCCTTTTTTTTCACCCTGAACCATTGGCAACCACAATTTTACTTTCTTTTTCTGTGAGTTTGATTACTTGATACTTCATGTGAGTGGAATCATATAATATTTGTCTTTTTGTGACTGACATTTTATTTAGCTTAATGTCTTCAAGTTTGACCCATACCATATCATGTGGCAGGATTTTTCCCTTTTTTTTTTTTTCAGACGGAGTCTCGCTCTGTCGCCCAGGCTGGAGTGCAGTGGCGCGATCTCGGCTCACTGCAAGCTCCGCCTCCCGGGTTCATGCCATTCTCCTGCCTCAGCCTCCTGAGTAGCTGGGACTACAGGCGCCCACCACTAAACCCGGCTAATTTTTTTGTATTTTTAGTAGAGACAGAGTTTCACCATGTTAATGAGGATGGTCTCCATCTCCTGACCTCGTGATTCGCTCGTCTCGGCCTCCCAAAGTGCTGGGATTACAGGCGTGAGCCACCGCGCCCGGCCATGATTTTTCTTCTTTTTTAAGGCTGAATAATATCTCAATGTATGTATATATACCACTTTTTAAAAATTCATTCATCTGTTGGACATTTAGATTGTTCCCACCTCTTGGCTATTGTGAATAATGCTATAATAAACATGAGTATGCAAATATGTCTTTGAGATTTTGCCTTGAATTATTTTGGATATATACCAAGTGAGATTGCTGGATCATATGGTATTTCTATTTTAAATTGTTTAAGGAATCTCGATACTGTTGCACCATTTTGCATTCCCATCAGGGGATCCAGTTTCTCCAAATCCTCACCAACACTTCATTTTTTTTTTATGGTAACCATCCTAATGGGTGTGAAGTGATATCTCATTGTGGTTTTGATTTGTACTTCTGTAATGATTAATGAAGTTGAACATTTTTTTATATGCTTGTTGGCCATTTCTTTCTTTTTTTTTTCTTTTTTTTTTTTTTTTTTTTTTTGAGACAGAATCTTACTCTGTCACCCAGGCTGGAATGCAGTGGCACGATGTTGGCTGACTGCAACCTCTGCCTCCCGAGTTCAAGCAATTCTCCTGCCTCATCCTCCCACGTAGCTGGGATTACAGGCGCATGCCACCACGCCCAGCTAATTTTTGTATTTTTAGTAGAGACAGGATTTCACCATGTTGCCCAGGCTGGTCTTGAATTCCTGACCTCATGATCTGCCTACCTTGGCCTCCCAAAGTGCTAGGATTAAAGGCGTGAGCCACCGCTTTTGGCCAGCTTATTGGTCATTTCTATACCTTCTTTATAGAACTGCCTATTCAAGTCCTTTGCTCTTTTTTTTTTTTTCCTTTTTTTTGAGACGGAGTTTCGTTCTTGTTGCTAAGGCTGGAGTGCCATGGCGTGATCTCTGCTCACTGCAACCTCCACCTCCCGTGTTCAAGCGATTCTCCTGCCTCAGCCTCCCGAATAGCTAGGATTACAGGCATGCACCACAACACCCAGCTAATTTTTTGTATTTTTGGTAGAGACAGGGTTTCACCATGTTGGCCAGGCTGGTCTCAAACTCCTGACCTTAGGTGATCCACCCACCTTGGCCTCCCAAAGTGCTGAGATTACAGGCGTGAGCCACTGCGCCTGGCTGTTTGCCCATTTTTTTGAAGTGAGTTATTTTTGTTTTTGTGAGTTGTATGAGTTATTTATGTTTTCTGGATATTAACCCCTTATTAGGTAGATGATTTGCAAGTATTTTCGTTCATTTTGTAGGTTGCCTTTTCACTCTCTCAGCTATGTACTTTCATGGACAAAAGCTTTAAAGTGTGATGTAATGTAATCACATCAAACTTTGAAATCTTTGATTTCATTGCCTATGTTTTTGGCATCATATCTAACAAATCATTGCCAAATCCCATGTCATAAAGCCTTTCCTCTATGTTTTCTTCTAGAAGTTTGATAGTTTTAGGTCTTACAGTTCAGTTTTTAATCCATTTTGAGTTTATTTTTGTATATTGTGTAAGGTAAGCATAATTTTTGTGTATCATGTAAGGGTTCCACTTTATGGCTTTTGCCTGTAGATATCCAGTTTTCCCAACACTATTTGTTGAAGAGACTGTTCTTTCTCCATTCAGTGGACTTGGAACCCCTGCTAAAGACAATTTTACCACATACACAATAATTTATTCCTGGACTCTCTATCTTATTCCATTGGCCTGTTTGTTGTTATGCTCATGCTACCTACCAGAGCTTTAATTATTGTGACTTTATAATATGTTTTGAAATCAGAAGTGTGAGTCCTCCAATCCTATTCTTTTTCAAAACTGTTTTGGCTATTTGTTATCCCTTGAGAGTCCACATGAATTTACAGATACATTTTTCTATTTCTGCAAAAATGCCATTGGTATTTTGATAGGTATTGTGTTGAATCTGTAGATAGACCTCTTTGGGTAGTATTGACATCTTAACAATATTCAGTATTCTAATCCATAAACATAGGATGTCTTTACATTTATTTGAATCTTCTTTTATTTCTTTTAGCAATATTTTGTGGTTTTCAGTGTATAAGTCTTTCACCTCCTTGGTTAAGTTTATTCCTATGCATTTTACTCTTTTTGGTGCTATTGAAAATTGGATTGTTGCCAGGAGCGGTGGCTCACGCCCTGTGATCCCAGCACTTTGGGAGTCCGAGGTGAGTGGATCAAGAGGTCAGGAGTTCAATACCAACCTGGCCAAGATGGTGAAACCCCGTCTCTACTAAAAAATACAAAAAAATTAGACGGGCACGGTGGCAGGCGCCTGCAATCCCAGCTATTCACGAGGCTGAGGCAGGGAATTGCTTGAACCCTAAAGGCAGAGATTGCAGTGAGCCGAGATCATGCCATTGCACTCCAGTCTGGGCGACAGAGTAAGACTCCATCTCAAAAACAAAAACAAAAAAAGACAAGAAAATAGGATTGTTTTCTTAGTTTACTTGCCAGATTATTTACTGTTAGTGTATAGAAATGCACCTGATATTTGTATTAATTTTGTGTGCTGCAATTTTGCTGAATTTGTTCATTAGTTTTCAATCTTTTGTGATATAATACCATGTCATCTGTGAATAAATACTTCTTTCCTTTCAGTTTGGATGTATTTTATTTCTCTTTCTTGTGTAATTGCTCTAGGACTTCCACTGCTATGTTAAATAGAAGTTGCAAGAGTGAGCCATCCTTGCCTTGTTCCTCATCTTAGAGGAACAGCTTTCAATTGTTTACTATTGAGTGTAATATTAGCTGTAAGCTTTTCATATATAGCTTGTATTACATTGAGGTAATTTCCTTCTATCCTAGTTTATTGAATTTTTTTAAATCTTAGTTCTTCTTAAAATGTTTTGTAGAATTCACCTGTGAAGTCCTGTGGTCCTGGGGTTTTCTTTGTTGGGAGGTATTTTGGTTGCTGATTAAATCCTTACTAGTCATAGGTCTGTTTGGGTTTTTTATTTCTTCATGAATTAGTTCTGGTATGCTGTATATTTCTAGGAATTTATCCATTTCTTCTAGATTACCCAATTTGCTGGTGTATAATTGTTCATTGTATTCTTGTTAATCCTTTTAATTTCTGTAGCATCATTTATAATGTCCCATATGGCATTTCTAATTTTAGTTATCTTCTCTCTTTTTTCTTGGTTAATCTAGCTCAGAGTTTGCCAATTTTTTGACCTTTTCAAAAAACCAACTCTTAGTTTCATTTTTAAATTCCATTTATATCTCTGTTCTAATCTTAGTTATTTTCCTCCTTTTTTTTGCTAACTTCGGGTTTCATTTTTTCTCCTTTTTCTTGAGGTTTAAAAGGGTTTCTTGCAGGGCGCAGTGGCTCACGCCTGTAATTCCAGCACTTTGGGAGGCCGAGGTGGGCGGATCATGAGGTCAGGAAATTGAGACCATCCTGGCTAACACACGGTGAAACCCCATCTCTACTAAAAATACAAAAAAATTAGCCGGGCGTGGTGGCGGACGCCTGTAGTCCCAGCTTCTCAGGAGGCTGAGGCGGGAGAATCGCTTGAACCCGGGAGGCGGAGCTTGCAGTGAGCCGAGATCACGCCACTGCACTCCAGCCTGGGCGACAGAGCAAGACTCCGTCTCAAAAAAAAATAAAAAAATAAGAACAATAATAATAAAAAGCGTTTCTTGAGGTATAAAATTAGGGGTTTCTTGAGGTATAAAATTAGGTTGTTTCTTTTAGCTATTTCCTCTTCTTTTTTCTTAGAGATACAGTATGGCTCTGTCACCCCAGCTGGAGTGCAGTGGAAGGGTCACAGTTCACTGCAACCTCGAACTCCTGGGCTCAAGCAATCTTCCTACCTCAGCCTCCTTAGCAACTGTAACTACAGGGCCACTATGTCCAGCTATTTTTTATTTATTATTTTTTGTAGAGATGGGTTCTCACTATGTTGTCCAGGCTAGTCTTGAACTCCTGGTTTTAATCAATCCTCCTACCTCAGCCTCCCAAAGATCTGGGAGTACAGGCATGAGGCATCACACCTGGCCTATTTCTTCTTTTTTAATGTAAGCATTTACAGCTATAATCTTCCTTCTTGGTAATGCTTTCACCGCATTCCATAAGTTTTGATATATTGTATTTTCATTTTCATTTGTCTCAAGATATTTTCTAATTTCTCTTGTGATTTATTTTTTTCTTTTTCTTTCTCTCTCTTTTTTTTTTTTTTTTTTTTTTTGAGACAGAGTCTCACTCTGTTGCCCAGGCTGGAGTGCAGTGGCACAATCTTGTCTCACTACAACCTCCGCCTCCCAGGTTCAAGCAATTCTCCAGCCTCAGCCTCCCGAGTAGCTGGGATTACAGGTTCCTGCCACCACACCCGGCTGATTTTTTGTATGTTTAATACAGACGGGGTTTCACCATGTTAGCTGGGCTGGCCTCGAACTCCTGACCTCAAGTGATCTGCCTGCCTCAGCCTCCAAAGTGCTGGGATCACAGGCGTGAGCCACCGTGCCTGGCTTAGAAATGGGGTTTCACCATGTTGGCAAGGCTGGTCTCGAACTCCTGATTTCAGGTCATCCACAGGCCTCGGCCTCCCAAAGTCCTGGGATTACAGGCGTGAGCCACTGTGCCCGGCCTCTTGTGGTTTCTTCTTTGACTCATTGGTTGTTTAATAGTTTGCTCTTTAATTGCCACATGTGTGTGGATTTTCCGTTTTCCTTCTGCTACTGATTTCTAGTTTCATTCTATCGTGGTTGGAAACGATTACTTTGTATGATTTCAGTCTTCTTAAATTTGTTAAGACTTGTTCTGTGGCCTAACCTGTGATTTATTCTGGAGAATGATCTCTGCACTTGAGAAGAATGTGTATTCTGCTGTTGTTGGATGGCGTGTTCTCTATATGTCTATCAGGTCTAATTGGTCTATAATGTTCAAGTCTTGTTTCCTTATTGATCTTCTGTCTGGTTGACTTAGTCTACTTCGTCTGACAGTAGAATGGCCACCTCTGCTCTCTTTTGGTTACCATTTGCATGGAATAACTTTTTCCATTTTTTCACTTTCAGCCTATGTGCATCCTAGATCTAAAGTGAATCTCTTATAGAAAGCATACAGTTGGATCTTGTTTTTTTTTTTTTAATTCATTCAACCAATCTGTGTCTTTTGATTGGGGAGTTTAATTCATTTATATTTAAATTAATTACTGATAATGAATGACTTACTATTGCCATTTTGTTGTTTTCTGTGTATCTTGTAACTATTTTTTCTCTCTTCCTCTTGTACTGCCTTCCTTTATGTTTCATTAGTTTATTTTTATTTATTTATTTATTTTTGAGATGGAGTTTCGCTCTTGTTGCCCAAGCTGGAGTGCAATGGCGCGATCTCGGCTCACTGCAACCTCCGCCTCCTGGCTTCAAGTGATTCTCCTGCCTCAGCCTCCAGAGTAGCTGGGATTACAGGCATGCGCCACCATGCCCAGGTAATTTTTTGTTTTTAGTAGAGATGGGGTTTCACCATGTTAGCTGGGCTGGTCTCCACCTCCTGACCTCAGGTGATCTGCCCACCTTGGTCCCCCAAAGTGCTGGGATTATAGGTGTGAGCCATCTTGCCCGGCCTCATTAATTTTTGTAGTGACATGCTTTGATTCCCTCCTCTTTTCCTTGTGTGTATCTTCTATAAGTATTTTTTTTGTAGTTACTATGGGGATTATATAAAACATCTTAAAGTTATAATAATCTATTTTAAACTGATACAACTTAACTTTAATCACTTACGAAAACTCTACTTTGTTACATATTTGTCCTCTGGTGAATTTTTCAGTTCAGCTATTTTTCCACTCCAGAATGTGTGTTTTTCTTTTTAATAGTTTTAATTTCTTTATTGATATTCTCATTTTATTCATGCATTGTCTTTCTGACTTTGTTTAGTTGTCTATTTGTGTTCTCTTTTAGCTAATTGAGCTTCTCTATAATGATTATTTTTAATTGTTTATCAGTTAATTCATAGTTCTCTACTTCTTTAGAGTTGGTTGCTGAAGATTTATTTTGTTCATTTGATTGGGCCATTGTGTTGGTCTGTTTCTGTGTTGCTGTAAAGAAACACCTGGGGATGGGTAATTTATAAAGCAAAGAAGTTTAATTGGCTCATGGTTCTGCAGGCTATACCAGCATGGCTCCAGCATCTGCTTCTGGTGAGGGCCTCAGGAAACTTAATCATGGCGGAAGGCAAAGTGGGAGCAGCCACATCACATGGCAAAAGTGGGAGCAAGAGAACAAGGGGAGAGGAGCCACATACTTTTAAACAACTAGATGTTGTGTGAATTCAGAGTGAGAAATCACTTATAACCAAGGGGATAGTGCTAAACCATCCATGAGGGATCCACTGCCATGATTCAGTCACCTCCTATCAGGCCCCACCTCCAACATTGGTAATCACATTTCAACATGAGATTTGGAGGGGACAAACATCCGAACCGTATGAGCCATGTTTCCCTCTTTTGTATGTCTTGTGACATCTTGTTGGGATTGTCTCTTCCAGTCCATATGGACTGGCTTCATATAGGAGATCTTCACAAGAAGCCTGACATAGATGGTGGGCGACTTCTCAAACCTTTCTTGGGGATGCATTTCCTTTCTTTCTTTCTTTTTTTTTTTTTTTTTTTTTTTTTGAGATGGAGTCTCGCTCTGTTGCCCAGGCTAGAGTGCAGCGGCATGATCTCGGCTCATTGCAGCCTCTGCCTCCCAGGTTCAAGCGATTCTTCTGCCTCAGCACCCCTGAGTAGCTGGGACTACAGGCATGCGCCACTGCACCCGGCTAATTTTTGACTACAGGAACGTGCCACCACGCCCGGCCAGGGATCCATTTTCTCTGGGCCTGTGTGTGTAATTTTCTTTTATTTATTTTTTATTTGTAGAGACAAGTTCTCACTATGTTGCCCAGGCGGGTTTCAAAACTCCTGAGCTCAAGCCATCCTTCTGCCTTGGCCTGCCAAAGTGTTAGCATTATAGGCATGAGCTACTGCTCCTGGCACGGGTTTGTGGGTGTGTGTGTGTAATGTTCTAGTTAAAAAGCTTGTGTGTGTGTGTGTGTGTGTAATGTTCTAGTTAAAAGGCTTGCCCGTTTTCTCAGGAGTTCATGATCTCTTACTCCCTCTGGTGTCTGTCTTCAGTACTGCAGCTTTCCTGTAGCAACTCATGTGACACTTACCTTTTTCAGTGGTCCCCAACCTATCATCCAAACTATGCGTCTTCTGCTCTGAGTTCACTGAGTCAAGCAAGGCAGAAAGTAGTCTGTTGGACGGCCCCCAGAAAGCCAGGATGTTGGGCTCATGTTTCACTCTTCTTTTTCCCTTGGCAGGGAGAAGCTGGGAGTTGTGAGTTTTCTTCCACTCCATGTTGCATTGGGAACGCAGAGGGGTTAGGGTTGGCAAAATGTAAGACATTTTCTTACCCACTTTGATGTAGTTAGTCTTGGCTTTGTACGCACCTGAGTGCTGCGACCTCTTTGGTTTCTGGAGCTCTCACAAAGGCAGTTTGGTCCGCATATTGTTGTTAAGTTGGTGTCTCCGTGGGAAAACGGGACTGGGGCTTCCTATTCTGCCACCTTGCTATTATCACTCTAATGACTCTTTTTTTTTCTTTTGAGATGGAGTTTCACTCTTGTTGCCCAGGCTGGATTGCAATGGCATGATCTCGGCTAGCTGCAACTCCGCCTCCTGGGTTCGAGCGATTCTCCTGCCTCAGCCTCCTGAATAGCTGGTATTACAGGTGCCCGCTACCATGCCTGGCTAATTGTTTTGTATTTTTAGTAGAGACGGGGTTTCACCATATTGGCCAGGCTGCTCTTGAACTCCTGTCCTCAAGTGATCCACCTGCCTTGGCCTCCCAAAGTGCTGGGATTACAAGTGTGAGCCACTGCGCCCCGCTCGAATGACTCTTTTAAAAACATAATTATATATCATTATAACAACTAACAGTAACAATTCTTAAATTCTTTTTTTTTCTGTTTTTCTAAATGAGATGGGGGTCTCGCTCTGTTTCCTGGGCTGGAGTACAGTGGTGTGATCACAGCTGATTGCAGCCTCGACCTCCCAGGCCCAAGTGATTCTCTCACCTTAGCCTCCTGAGTAGCTGGGACCACAGGCGTGTGCCACCATGCCCGGCTAATTTTTTTTTTTAGAGATGGGTGTCTCATTATGTTGCCTAGACTGGTCTCAAACTCCTGGGCTCAAGCTATCCTCCCTTCGTGACCTCCCAAAGTGCTGGGATTACAGGCATGAGCCACTGTGCGGGGTCAACAATTCTATTTTTTTTTTTTTTTTTCGAGACGGAGTCTCGCTTTGTGTCTACGCTGGAGTGCAGTGGTGTGATCTTAGCTCGCTGCAACCTCTGCCTCCCAGGTTTAAGCGATTCTCCTGCCTCAGCCTCCCAAGTAACTGGGATTATAGGCGTGTGCCACCATGCCCGGCTAATTTTTGTATTTTTAATAGAGACAGGGTTTCACCATGTTGGCCAGGCTGATCTCAAACTCCTGACCTCAGGTTATCCACCCACCTCAGCCTCCCAAAGTGCTGGGATTACAGGCATGAGCCACCACGCCTGGCCCTCAACAATTTTTAATATCATGAAATATCCAATGGCGTTCAAATTTCCTTGAGTGTTTTTACTTCTTGTTTGAATCAAGATCAAATAGGTTGACGTGTTTCTTAAATCTCTTTTAATCTAGTAGTTTCTTTCCATATAAAAAGGCATATAGATACAGACAATCCTCATTTTGCTCAGTAGTATGAGACCAAAGAAAATAACCATACAGCCGGGCGTGGTGGCTCACACCTGTAATCCCAGCACTTCGGGAGGCTGAGGCAGGTGGATCATGAGGTCAGAAGTTCGAGACCAGCCTGACCAACATAGTGAAATCCCGTCTCTACTAAAAATACAAAAATTAGCCGGGCATGGTGGTGCTCGCCTGTAGTCCCAGCTACTCGGGAAGCTGAGGCAGGAGAATCACTTGAACCCAGGAGGGAGAAGTTGTGATTAGCTGAGATCACCCCACTGCACCCCACCCTGGGTGACAAGAGCAAAACTCTGTCTCAAAAACAAAAAAACAAAAAAACAAAAAGAAAAGAACCATACAAGCTGAGAATATGCAAGAGGATCATAATAATCAATAGGGAATTTTTTTATTGTTCTATGGACCTGTAAAATTTTTGTGAAAACATTAAAAAGCCTCTTACTGTGAGTTATAAATGTAAAGGGAAATGGAAAATAATAAAAAAGTAAAACTAATATTTAACACACTGTCATCTAATACGTTAGCAATATTGAGAATTAAAGCATTATATTTCTTTCTTCAAAATATTCAGTTGTTATTTGAACAGTGTTTGCTTTCTTCACTCATCATATAACTTATAAGAATTTTTTAGGCTGGGTGCGGTGGCTCATGCCTGTAATCTCAGCACTTTGGGAGACCGAGGCGGGTGGATCACCTGAGGTCAGGAGTTTGAGACCAGCCTGGCCAACACAGTGAAACCCTGTCTCTACTAAAAATACAAAAATTGTCTGGGCATGGTGGTGTGTGCCTGTAATTCCATCTACGTGGGAGGCTGAGGCGGGATAATTGCTTGAACCCGGGAGGCAGAGGGTGCAGTGAGACAAGACAGCGCCACTGCACTCCAGCCTGGGCTACAGAGCAAGACTCCGTCTCCAAAAAAAAAAAAAAAAGAATCGTTTTCTGTGACCAAATAACTAAGAAATATTTTTTCTTCCCCTTTGCTGATAGAAAACACATCCTCCTCTTCCTTCCCTGTGGTCCTTCCTATCCACCAGGAGGCGGAGGTTGCAGTGAGCCGAGACCAAGCCATTGCACTCCAGCCTGGGCAACAAGAGCAAGAAACTCTGTTTCAAAAAAAAAAAAAAAGAATTTTTTTCCATGCCTTGAGGAACCATCATACTATTAACTTTGAATCAGCTTCCAACATTTTATCCTTTGTGCTTTCAATGTCATGAAATATTTCTAGATTTTCATTATTATAAAGTTTGTTGATGGCGTCACTTCTTCTGGGGAATTTTCTTTCTTTCTTTTTTTTTTTTTTTTTGAGACAGAGTCTCGCTCTGTTGCTCAGGCTGGAGTGCAGCGTTGCGATCTCGGCTCAGTGCAACCTCTGCCTCCTGGGTTCAAGTGATTCTCCTGCCTCAGCCTCCTGAGTAGCTGGGATTACAGGCATGCACCACCACACCTGGCTAATTTTTGTATTTTTTTTTTTTTAGTAGAGACAGGGTTTCACCATGTTGGCCAGGCTGGTCTCGAACTCCTGACCTCAAGTGATCCACCCGCCTCAGCCTCCCAAAGTGCTGGGATTACAGGCGTGAGCCACTGTGCCCAGCCTCTTCTGGGGCATTTTCATTCTTTTCATCACAACAACTTTCCTCATTCATGTCAATAAATCTGCCTTCACTAAGTTCCTCTGGCTACACAGCCAGAGGAACTTCTCAGGTGTTAGTAGTATCCACATGCTCGTCGTCAACTATTTTTTCTAAACTCCATTTACATTTGATTTAAATTTCACTTCCAGCATTATCACTTTTTGTTTCTTTGATATGCTTTTGTCTTTGTTGTCCAGTTCCCTGTTCTGACATTCATTTTTGTGAAATGTTATGTGGGTTTATCACTGGGAGATAAGGAGGTGATACAACTACACACTTTGCTATCTTTGCAGTCTCCATGAGAACTGAATGACAGTTGTGTGATGACCAATCACCAGACTTTGAAAGAAGTTACATGATCATGATTGATGACTGATCATTATGTGTATGTTATTTACTTAGTGATTTGTGGACTGAAGAGCTAGCCATGAAATTTGTACTTTATGCAGTTACTCATAATTAATATACAGTGCTAACTGATGTTTGAAATGTGTTGTTGAAGGATTGGTATTATTTAACTACACTATTATAATTGAAATTCATGCTTATCAGAACTTTGAAAAGCAATGAGTGCCTGTTTTAGGATTAGCTTTGATTCTTCAGGGGGCAGTTGTCTCATTTGGCTTTTCTCTCTAATGCTGCTGTTTTCCTTATATTTCTGGGAATCTTGGATTTCTTTTATTTATAATTAAGCGTTAAAATTAAATTTTTATTTCTAGGAACAGGTTTGGATTTTCCCTGTCCTTATATAGATATGCCAGTTTCTCTTATAATGTCCTCCTCTGACATTTGAAGGATTTGCATGGACTTCCCTTTTGGGTACACCTGTAGGAAGCGATATGGGGGATCCCTCACAACAGACACCACGAAAATACTAAAACGAAGAGCAACAATCCTCACACTTGAGACCTTAGCTCTTCCCAGGGTTTTTTCAACTTATAAATGGGTACAGCTTCCTTTATCCTTGGTGAGGCTGGAGCTTGTGGCAGAGGCTACCTGGCATAGGTATTTCATTAACACACTGCTAAGTCTTAATGTAAGCCCCTTTTTCAGGCTCCTTCAAAATCCTACATTCTGTACCAGACTTATCCCCACCTAGAGCTGCCAGAGACCCAGGAAAAGCAGTTCCCACCACCACACCCCAATATGACCATATTCTTGGGTGTGGCCTCCTTCATTCTGTTTCATCCTTCAGCAGGCCTTCCACCACTTTTTGAATTCCAGAAAGTTGTTGAAATCACAAGTCCGTATCCATTCTCTTTGTTCCTTGGTTTTCCTCTGCAAGAATTTCAGTGAGGTCTCCAGGCAGACAGAAAGCAAATATCATTACTGAGTCTGCAATTCTGAGCTGAGATTTAATTGATTCTTAAAGTTTCTCAAGTGTCTGTTTTATGTAGATAACTCCTCAAGGACCCTTCTCATTATGAAGAGAGGGAGGGTAGCACAATGCTTAAGGGTAGAGGCTCCTGAGCCAGACTATGTGGATTTCAAATTTGACTCTGCTCTTTCTCAGCTGATACTTTGGCTATGTTACTTACACTCTTGTACCTTAGTTTTCTCATCTATAAAATAATGCCTCATGGAATTGCTTGAAGAGTAAATTAGCTAATATTTTTAATGTTAGCTAGGACGGTGCTTGGCAGAGAGTAGGAGCTATGTAAGTATTTGAAAACGAATGAGTCCAGGCACAGTGGCTCACGCCTGTAATCACAGCACTGTGGGAGGCCAAGGCGGGTAGATCACCTGAGGTCAGGAGTTCGAGACCAGCCTGGCCAACGTGGCGAAACCCCATCTCTAGCAAAAATACAATAATTAGGTGGGCATGGTGGTGCGTGCCTATAATCCCAGCTACTTGGGAGGCTGAGGCAGGAGAATCTCTTGAACCCAGGCCGGAGGTTGCAGTGAGCCCAGATCGCACCACTGCACTCCAGCCTGGGTGACAAGAAGAAAACTCTGTCTCAAAAAGAAAAAAAAAAAAAGAAGAAGAAAATCAATGAATTTGAACTTAGAAACAAAATGTATCTGAAAATGCAATGCCTTGAATTTCTTGTCTCGCTCCTATCTGGTACAGCATTCCCTGAACACAAGAAGTTTACATTTTTTCTTTCTGCTTAGAAATCAACCTGGGTACTCGGGAGGCTGAGGCAGGAGAATGGCGTGAACCCGGGAGGCGGAGCTTGCAGTGAGCCGAGATCGCGCCACTGCACTCCAGCCTGGGCGACAGAGCGAGACTCCATCTCAAAAAAAAAAAAAAAAAAAAAAAAAAAGAAATCAACCTGGGGTGACTGCTTTTGCAGTTAAGTAGGTGGTTAATAAAAACTAAATTTTTCTCTATTTGAATAACTATGCGTATCCCTGATAAGACACTCAGGCACCTTGGTAGCCACTGAAATGAATTCACCATACATCAAACTAATAGAAGCAAGAGAAACAATCTGGCAAAGAAATACTCAATGAAATAAATTCCAAACATCTGTTTCCTTTTATATTTATTAATCATTGCATTCTCACAATATTTCAGCCAAAGCCTGGGGAAAGTGAGAACTCTACCTATTTAAATAAGTTCAACAAAAAGCCCATAATAAAATATTTAGCATAAGACACAGATCTAAAAAATGAAAAGACATAGATCTAACAAAACTGCAATTAAAGAACTGTGCATTGTTTTCCTATAAGTGATTTGTCAGATGTTTTAAAATTATATATTTCTTATTATTTGTTCACTTAAGATTTATCACTTTGTACATTAATCAAGTCTCAAGTGTTTTCATCTCCAAGAGTCACACTGTGAGCTTGAATCTTTTTCAAAGAAAAATCCCATTAAGCTTTGCTTTAAAGAAAACAAAGGAAAACTCACAGGAGCAAAAAGTATTTTGTCTCCTAAAATTGAAGAAAGAGGCCAGGCGCGGTGGCTCACGCCTGTATTCCAAGCACTTTGGGAGGCCAAGGCGGGTGGATCACCTGAGGTTGGGGTTCGAGACCAGCCTGGCCAACATGGTGAAACCCTGCTTCTACTAAAAATACAAAAATTAGCTGGGCGTGGTGGCAGGTGCCTGTAATCCCAGCTACTCAGGAGGCTGAGGCAGGAGAATCACTTGAACCTGGGAGGTGGAGGGTGTAGTGAGCTGAGATCACACCACTGCACTCCAGCCTGGGAGACAGAGCAAGACTCTGTCTCAGAAAAAAAAAAAAAGAGGGAAGAGACATAAACCAGTGCTATAAAAGCTGTGAGCCTGATTTATCACAGTTGTTACCACAATGCCAGAAAATAATCTTGACAAGCACAAGTTCTTTAAAGATTCTTCTTTTTATTTTTCTTTCAAAACAATCTCAAATTTACATAAAAGCTGAAAGAACAGTACACAGAACATTTTTCTCAGCCATTTTGTATAAGTTGCTAACATGATGCTCCATTGTCCTAAACACTTCAACATGTATTTTTACAAAAACATACATTCTGCATCCCAACCCTAATGCAAACATAAAAATTAGGAATATTACAATGACACATCATACCTAGTCCTCCTTATTCAATTTCACCAATTGTCTTCGACTTGCCTTTAGAGTGCAAGGATCCAGATGAGAATCAGGCATCACGCTGAGTTAACATAACAGGTCTCTTTAGTCTCATTTGGCTCAGAACAGCTCTTCAGCCTGCCTTTGATTTTCCTGGCCTTGACACTTTAGGAGATGACAAGGCACTGCCCCACTTGGACCCCTTTCTAGCACCACTCAGGCTCCAGCCCCTCACTCAGGGCTGATTCCATGTCCCCTTCCCCCATATAGGCACCCTTTTTACCCATTGGGACACCAGCACCCTGCACCTGGGAGCCCCTTCCACAGACACCCACTTCGCCCAGCTCAGGCTCTGACACTCTGCAGCAGGGCCACTGTGGCTCCCTACTGCCCTATAAGGATGGTCACATGCAGGGGCTGAGTTGCTGACGGAGGGAAGGGAAGGGGAAGAAAAAGAAAAGGAAAAGGTGCTGGGCACGGTGGCTCAAGCCTGTAATGCCATCACTTTGGGATCTGGAGGAATGGACTAGTAGTTGTAATAATCACAAAAGGACTCCTGTGGGAACGGACAGTTTGCCATTGCAGAATATAAATCCACATTTCACAATCTCTTACTACTTTAAATGTATTTATACAATAATTTACTGATTTCATTTCAGTTTGAACAAGGTCAATAGAATATCATTTTTGTCTACACACATGTTTAAGACATGTGAATTCTGTGTGTGCTTTTCATCAACCATGACTTTTTTTTTCGAGACAAGGTCTTGCTGGGAGGCCCAGGCTGGTGGATCACTCAAAGCCAGGAGTTCCAGACCAGCCTGGACAACATGGGGAAACCCCGTCTCTACTAAATATACAAAAATTAGCTGGGCGTAGTGGCACGCGCCTATAATTCCAGCTAATCCGGAGGCTGAGGCATGAGAATCTCTTGAACCCCAGAGGCGGAGGTTGAAGTGAGCCGAGATCATGCCACTGTACTCCAGCCTGGATAACAGAGCAAGACCCTGTCTCAAAAAAAAAAAAAGTCATGTTTGACTATGATTATTAAAAACACACACAGAAGCCACATATCTTAAACGCTTGTGTACACAAAAATGATATTCTATCTACTTTGTTCGAACTGAAATGAAATCAGTAAACTATTGTATACATACATTTAAACTAGCAAGAGATTCTGAAATGTGGATTTATATTCTGCAATGGCAAACTGTCCGTTCCCACAGGAGTCCCTTTGTGATTATCGCAACTACTAGTCCATTCCTCCAGAGCCTCCTGCCTGGGCTGTTGCAATGGCTTCTTTGCTGGTCTTCCTGCTTTCACCCTTGCCCCCATCCCCAGGCTCATTCTGTGTTTTCAATGGAGGCTAAAATTATCTTTCAAATATTTAAATCGGATCATATAACTTTTCTGTTTAAACTTCTGTAATAGAGACTTCTAGTTTCTGCTCACAATATACAGAACTAGAAAGGGAGTCACCTTCACCTGAACCAAATGCAAGTTCGTGACTTTTCTTGAACCCATAGGGGAGCTGAGGTTGGTTTGTTGTTGTTGGTTTTTGTTTTTGTTTTTGAGACGGAGTCTTGCTCTGTCGCCCAGGCTGGAGTGCTATCGTGTGATCTCAGCTCACTGCAACCTCTGCTTCCCCAGTTCAAGCAATTCTCATGCCTCAGCCTCCTGAGTAGCTGGGATTACAGGCGGTGGCCACCACACTGGCTAATTTGTGTATTTTTAATGGAGACGGGGTTTCACCATGTTGACGAGGCTGGTCTTGAACTCCTGACCTCAAGCGATCTACCCGCCTTGGCCTCCCAAAGTTCTGGGATTATAGGCATGAGCCACCACACCCAGCCATGCTGTTGTTGTTGTTGTTGTTGTTGTTGTTGTTTTGAGATGGAGTCTCGCTCTGTTGCCCAGGCTGGAGTGCAGTGGCATGATCTCAGCTCACAAAGCCTCTGCCTCTTGAGTTCAAGAGATTCTCCTGCCTCAGCCTCCTGAGTAGCTGGGACCACAGGTGTGCGCCACCACACCAGGCTAATTTTTGTATTTTTAGTAGAGATGGGGTTTTGCCATGTTGCCAGGCTGGTCTCCAACTCCTGGCCTCAAGTGATCTGCCCGCCTCGGCCTCCCACAGTGCTGGGATTACAGGCATGAGCCACCATGCCTTGCCAAGCTGAGATCTTAAGGCAACCAACTAGCTTGAAGTCTAAGGAGAGATGGGGGCCTGCTGAGAGAGACAAAATGTAAGCATTTGCTTCCCTAGGCCAGATGCAGTTGCTAAGACAAATTAAATATTTTTCATTCTTCTTCTCATCATGGCGGACCCTAGAGATAAGGCGCTTAGGGACTACCGCAAGAAGGTGCTTGAGCACAAGGAGATCGATGGCCGTCTTAAGGAGTTAAGGGAACAATTAAAAGAACTTACCAAGCAGTATGAAAAGTCTGAAAATGATCTGAAGGCCCTACGAAGTGTTGGGCAGATTGTGGGTGAAGTGTTTAAACAGTTAACTGAAGAAAAATTCATTGTTAAAGCTACCAATGGACCAAGATATGTTGTGGGTTGTCGTCGACAGCTTGACAAAAGTAAGCTGAAGCCAGGAACAAGAGTTGCTTTGGATATGACTACACTAACTATCATGAGATATTTGCCAAGAGAGGTGGATCCACTGATTTATAACATGTCTCATGAGGACCCTGAGAATGTTTCTTATTCTGAGATTGGAGGGCTATCAGAACAGATCCGGGAATTAAGAGAGGTGATAGAATTACCTCTTACAAACCCAGAGTTATTTCAGCGTGTAGGAATAATACCTCCAAAAGGCTGTTTGTTATATGGACCACCAGGTACGGGAAAAACACTCTTGGCACGAGCCATTGCTAGCCAGCTGGACTGCAATTTCTTAAAGGTTGTATCTAGTTCTATTGTAGACAAGTACATTGGTGAAAGTGCTCATTTGATCAGAGAAATGTTTAATTATGCTAGAGATCATCAACCATGCATCATTTTTATGGATGAAATAGATGCTATTGGTGGTCGTCGGTTTTCTGAGGGTACTTCAGCTGACAGAGAGATTCAGAGAACGTTAACGGAGTTACTGAATCAAATGGATGGATTTGATACTCTGCATAGAGTTAAAATGATCATGGCTACAAACAGACCAGATACACTGGATCCTGCTTTGCTGTGTCCAGGAAGATTAGATAGAAAAATACATATTGATTTGCCAAATGAACAAACAAGATTAGACATACTGAAAATCCATGCAGGTCCCATTACAAAGCATGGTGAAATAGATTATGAAGCAATTGTGAAGCTTTCAGATGGCTTTAATGGAGCAGACCTGAGAAATGTTTGTACTGAAGCAGGTATGTTCGCAATTCGTGCTGATCATGATTTTGTAGTACAGGAAGACTTCATGAAAGCAGTCAGAAAAGTGGCTGATTCTAAGAAGCTGGAGGCTAAATTGGACTACAAACCTGTGTAATTTACTGTAAGATTTTTGATGGCTGCATGACAGATGTTGACTTAGTGTAAAAATAAAGTTAAAGAAAATAATGTATGTATTGGCAATGATGTCATTAAAAGTATATGAATAAAATAACATCATAAAAATTAGTAGTTCAACTTTTAAGATACAGAAGAAATTTGTATGTTTGTTAAAGTTGCATTTATTGCAGCAAGTTACAAAGGGAGAGTGTTGAAGCTTTTCATATTTGCTGTGTGAGCATTTTGTAAAATATTGAAAGTGGTTTGAGATAGTGGTATAAGAAAGCATTTCTTATGACTTATTTTGTATCATTTGTTTTCCTCATCTAAAAAGTTGAATAAAATCTGTTTGATTAAAAAAAAATTTCATTCTTTATAATTTCTAAGTTTCCTCTGTATTTTGTAATATTTACTATGTATTCATATAGTAATTTGTATAGGTCAAGTTATAAAAACTTGGTCTCATGAGTTTAATGTAAGTCATCTGAATAGTCAATAGTTAAATACATAAACACCTCAGTTAGGGAATATTGTATTCTGAAAAATTATTTTTCAGACAATCAAAGTTTAATCCCATAATTTCCAAAGCTTTGTTTTTATCAATTCCCAGTGGAACTCTTCTGAAATGTGCTATACTTTTCCCTCCTTTATTAAATAGAGTATACTAATAATTACACATGTATAGGCTAGCAGATCCTCTGAACTTTCATTGCTGCACTGTGCTTGAAGACCGTCATGTCCTTAAGGGCCACTGCACCAGGAGAAGCCCTTGAATTCATTTAAAGATATGCTAATCTAGCTATTATTTTCTTACTTCAGGAAAACCTCTAAAGGCCATCTTCTGCAATGACATAATGCCTAGCGGATTACCCTAGCTCTCAAATGGAATGGAGCAGTAGAGCAAGTAGGAGTAGAGTGGACTAGAACACATGTAGGTCCCTGGTCAGCTTTGAGGGCAAGGCTGCCCTTCCAAGGCTTTGAGGGCATATCTGGGGCTGCACAGCCACTCAACTCAAGAGAGTGTTCACGACCATCCAGGCCCAGCCATAGGCTTTCTTAGTATTCTTTTTTTTTTTTTTTTTTTTTCTGAGAGTTCTGCTCTTGTTGCCCAGGCTGGAGTGCAATGGCACAATCTCGGCTCACCTCAATATCCGTCTCCCAGGTTCAAGCGATTCTCACTGTCTCAGCTTCCTGAGTAGCTAGGTCTACAGGCATGCACCACCACGCCCGGCTAATTTTGTATTTTTAGTAGACATGGGGTTTCTCCATGTTGGTCAGGCTGGTCTTGAACTCCTCAGGTGATCTGCCCACCTCGGCCTCCCAAAGTGCTGGAATTACACGCATGAGCCACTGTGCCTGGCTGCTTTCTTAGTATTCTGTATGGTATTGCACCTTGAGCTCTTGCTTGACAAAAGGCTTGTAACTTAGGATCTTTGGATCTCTGTAAATTGTGGATGGACTTCAGTTAATTCACTTTGAGGTTATAGGTAAAAATGACTGATTTTACTGCATAGAAGATCCAAAACTCATTGGATTCTCAGAGGGAATGAGATGGGCTGAGATGTTACTCTTGTAACTCCTAAAAAAAAGAAGTGATGGCAAAAGCTGCCCTAGTCTTGTGGACTAGGCTCAGTCTGAGCTGAGCATGGGGCATAGCTCAATTCTGAGTGAAATGCAACTGCCCACTATAGAAATAGCCCCTGAAGCCTGTGTAAATGTGTATCACACTCAAATTATAGCACTGTCTACACACATCCTGCACCTTGCTTTTTTTCACTTAATGTATCTTGGAAAAATCTTATTTTTGTGTTTATAGAACTATTCTTTTCCAGTGATTACCCAGGATTCCATTGTATGATTACAGCACAATCTATTTATCTGGTACTCTGCAACAGATTGAATGTTTGTGTCTCTTCAAAACCCCTATGTTGAGATCCTAACCCCCAAGGTGATGGTATTATAATGGAGATGAGGCCTTTGGGAGGTGATTGGGTCATGAGGGTGGAGTCCTCCGGAATGGAATTCACACCCTTATAAAAGAGGCTCCAGGCCGAGCGCCTTGGCTCCTGCCTGTAATCCCAGCATTTTGGGAGGCCAAGGCGGGTGGATCACCTGAGATCATGAGTTCCAGACCAGCCTGGCCAACATGGCAAAACCCTATCTCTACTAAAAATACAAAAAAAAAAAAAAAAAAAAAATTAGCCAGGAGTGTGGCACGTGCTTGTAATCCCAGCTACTTAGGAGGCTGAGGCAGGAGGCTCACTTGAACCCAGGAGGCAGAGGTTGCAGTGAGCTGAGATTGCGCCACTGCACTCCAGCCTGGGTGACAAGAGTGAAACTTGGTCTCAAAAAATAAATAAATAAGAGGCTCCAGAGGCTACAAGGAGAAAGGCAGCAGTCTGCAGCCCAGGAGAGGGCTCTCTGCAGAACTTGAATTCTTTTTTTGTTTTTTTGTTTTTTTTGAGATGGAGTCTCACTCTGTTGCCCAGGCTGGAGTGCAGTGGCACGATCTCAGCTCACTGCAACCTCTGCCTCCTGGGTTCTAGCGATTCTCCTGCCTTAGCCTCCCAAGTAGCTGGGATTACAGGTTTGTGCCACCACGCCCGGCTAATTTTTGTATTTTTAGTAGAGACAGGGTTTCACCATGTTGGTCAAGCTGGTCTCAAACTCCTGACCTTGTGATCCACCTGCCTCGGCCTCCCAAAGTTTTGGAATTACAGGCATGAGCCACCGCTCCCAGCCCAGAACTTGAATTATTTCAAAGCATGTTAAGAATTTGATTCTCTAGGAGGAAGAAGGTTAAGCTCTGTGTTGAGGCAATGCTTAGTAAATCATATGTTTTTCTGTAAACTTCAACTTGGTTTTGCTAAAATCATGGTTTCAATTTAACAAGAATTTGTTTTATTATCTGCACAACTCAAAGCTAGATGTTTCTCCTAACTCAGATTTTGGAGTCTTCCAAGGGCTCATTAGTAAAGTAAAATATAAGAAGGAATCAATTAGATTGGGGGTGGTGTAGTGAGGAGGAGGAAAACACGTGAAGTGGTGTTTCAGGTGGATGGAAGAGCTCACAGGTGAGCAGGAGCACAGTCCGAGAGAAGTCAGTGTGAATGGAGCCTCAGGTCTGGAGTTCATGTGCACAAAGAGGGCTGGAGAGATACGAAGGACCAATCATGCAGGGCCTTTCCTCTATGCTGAGGAATATAACCTTTATCTTCATAGGGGAGAATATCGGGGGGTTTTGGTGAGAAGAGTAAGTTGATCAGACACACTATTAAAAATGGACTGGGCCTGGTGCTGTGGCTCATGCCTGTAATCCCAGTGCTTTGGGAGGCCAAGGCGGGCAGATTACTTGAGGTCAGGAGTTCAAGACCAGCCTGGGCAACATGACAAAACCCCATCTCTACTAAAAATACAAAAATTAGCCAGGCATGGTGGCACTCGCCTGTAAACCCAGCTACTCTGGAGGCTGAGGCATGAGAATTGCTTGAACCCTGGAGGTGGAGGTTGCAGTGAGCTGAGATCACACCACTGCACTCCAGCCTGGGCAAAAGAGCAAGACTCTGTCTCAAAAAAAAAAAAAGAAAAAAAAAAAGGAAGAAAGGGAGAGAGAAGTCTGAAGTTGGGGAGACCATCAGAGGAGTTCAGGCCAGAGCTGAATGCAACTTGAACTAAAATAGTGGGCGTTGGGATAGAGAAAGCACTATCACTATGAGATGTTTTCAGAAGTATAATCTACTATATTTGGAAATCGATTGAATCTGAGAAAGACAGATAAATGAAGAGTGATGCAGGTATGGGGACCTCGCACGAGGATGATAATGGCAGTCCCGGGGATGGACAAGAGGCCCCGGGGACTTGTGTCGAATGAGATGAGAAGAGGGGCTGAACGAAGCCCTGCAGGACACCAGTCCTGAGAGGAAACAAATGCATAAGTGTAATGGAGAAAAACGAAGGGATTGCGGAATGAGGGAAGCCAAGGGACATATTTCAAGATGAGCAAGGTATCAACTGGGTCAGATAAAGTACAACATAAATAAGAGTCTTAAATTTAGCAAAAATTTATACAGAGATAATGTCAAAGAGGTGTGGAGATGGGAGGTAGACAGAAGAAGACTGAGAGTGGGAGGAGGCTGAGAGAATGGAGAGAGAGTGCACAAAGATATCCTTTGGAATGTTTGGCTCTAGAGGAGATAAGAGAACAAGAGCCAGGCACAGTGGCTCTCCTATAATTCCAACTACTTGGCAGGCTAAGGTAGGAGGATTGCTTGAGCCCAGGACTTCAAGGCCAGCCTGGGCAACATAGCAAGACTCCCATCTCCAAAAGTAAATTAATTAAAAAAAAAAAGAGGGCAAATCTGGAAGGCAGCAATGCAAGGTTTGTGTTTTTCAGATGAGGTTTCAGCTGTTTAAATGCTGATGGGGGGCCGGACACGGTAACTCATGCCTGTAATCCCAGCAATTTGGGAGACTGAGATGGGTGGATCACTTGAGGTCAGGAGTTCAAGACTAGCCTGGCCAACATGGTGAAAACTTCTCTAATAAAAATAAAAATATTTGCCGGGTGCGGCGGTGGGCACCTGTAATCCCAGCTACTTGGGAGGCTGAGGCAGAAGAATCACTTGAACCCAGGAAGCGGAGGTTGCTGTGAGCTGAGATCACGCCACTGCACTCCAGCATGGGCGACAGAGTGAGACTCTGTCTCAAAAAAAAAAAAAATGCTGTTGGGAAGGAGGCAGTTGGGAGACAAGAGGTGAACAGCGTGGAGAGTAACAGAGTGAGCCTCCCAAGAATGTCGGAGTATGGAATATAAGTTGGCAGGGGAATGAGCTAGGAGAGGAGGGGGATACCACAACCCCTTTCTGGTTGTAACTAGAAGGAATGAGGTAAGGACAAGGCCTGTGGCAGGTCAGTTCACTTGTTTATGCCCAGAGTTCAGAAAGTTCTCCTATGTGATTCTCAGTGTCTCTGTGAATAAGAGAAAGCCTCAGATGCTAAATTAGGAGGGATCTGGTGGGATCTAAGATTGGCAGAGCATGCAGAAGTTTGAAAAAGCATGGGGATGAACAGGAGCAATATAGAGCTGATCAGAAAACAGAAGGATTACTGGGATATATGACCTCGTTTTTACAGTGACACCAATATGAGCAACTTTGTTATTTTTTTCTCCAGTTGCCCTTGGTGATCAAGATTTAGACACAGGGCGGCTGGGTGCAGTGGTTCATGCCTGCAATCCCAGCACTTTGGGAGGCTGAGGCGGGTGGATCACCTGAGGTCAGGAGTTGAAGACCAGCCTGGCCAACATGGTGAAACCCCATCTCTACTAAAAATACAAAAATTAGCCAGGCGTGATGGTGGGTGCCTGTAATCCCAGCTACTCTGGAGGCTAAGGCACGAGAATCTCTTGAACCCGGGAGTTGGAGGTTGCAGTGAGCCGAGATCGCGCCACCTCACTCCAGCCTGGGTGACAGAGTGAGACTCCGTCTCAAAAAAAAAAAAAGGCCGGTTGCGGTGGCTCAAGCCTGTAATCCCAGCCCTTTGAGAGGCCGAGGTGGGCGGATCACAAGGTCAGGAGTTCAAGACCAGCCCAGCCAACATGGTGAAACCCCATCTCTACTAAAAATATAAAAATTAGCTGGGCATGGTGGCGGGCGCCTGTAATCCCAGCTACCCAGGAAGCTGAGGCATGAGAATCACTTGAAACTGGAAGGCGGAGGTTGCAGTGAGCCTAGATTGTGCCATTGCACTCCAGCCTGGGCAATAGAGTGAAACTCCACCTCAAAAAAAAAAAAAAAAAAAGATTTAGACACAGGGAAAGCAAATTGTTGTATTAATCCAAGATTGGGGTTTACTAGATTATGGCAATGGTGAAAGAAATGACAAGGGAGTGGAATATATTACCAATAATATTACCAAGTGATGGACCATGAAATCAATGAACGAAAGGAAAGATGCCCAGCAGAGGCAGATCCTGATAATTACATCCTGGTACAATGAGAGAGCATTGAAGTACGTGTCAATAATATAGCAGTAGCATTCAAGTTATGGTTATATATTTGTAATCAACCATGCAACATGGAGTTTTTGGATCACAAGATTTGGTATTGAAAGACATGTGTTCCAGTTCCTGTTCTTCTCTCAGGTTGGTCCTTCAGCAAATCATTTAACCTCTGGGACTCAGATACCTGATGTATGAAGGTTTAAACTAAACGACCTCAGAAGTCCCTCTCAGCTTTGAAATTCCAGAATTCTGATTATATTGAAGATAAATCATTTTTCCATGATCCCAAGTAGATGTGATGCCAATTTTCTCTTCTGGCTATAAAACACAATTAGTGGCTGGCACGGTGGCTCACGCCTGTAATCCCAGCACTATGGGAGGCCGAGGTAGGTGCATCGCTTGAGCCCAGGACTTTGAGACCAGCCTGGCCAACATGGTGAAATCCTGTCTCTACTAAAAATACAAAAATTAGCCAGGCCTGGTGGTGCCCGCCTGTAATTCTGAGGAGGCTGAAGCACGGGAATCGCTTGAACCGAGAAAGTGGAGGTTACAGTGAGCTGAGATTGCTCCACTGCACTCCAGCCTGGGTAACAGAGAGAGACCCTATCTCAAAAAAGAAAAATAAAAAGAAAAAAACCACATTTAGTAAGGGTGATGTTATTATGCTCCATGAATAATTACAAGAGGTTTTACTGTTTGAATTCTGATGAGATAACTGAGAATATTGGCATTAACAAGTTTAGAGAAGTGTTACAAGTTTTTATTTTAAAGTAGCCATAGCAAAGAGTCTAGTAACATTCAATAAAACAAGTTTTTGGGTTTTTTTAGCCTGGGCAAAATAGAAAGGCCTTGTCTACAAAAAAATAAAAATAAAAAATTAGCTGGGCATGGTTGAGCACTCTTGTAGTCCTAGCTACTCAGGAGGCCGAGGTGGGAGGACCCCTTGAGGCTGGAGAGTGGATGTTGCAGTGAGCCCAGCTAGTGCCACAGCACTCCAGCCTGAGCCACAGCAAGACCCTGTCTCAAACAAAAACAAAAACAAAAACAAAAACAAAAAAACTAAGAAGGCACTGAAGAGGAAAAGTTGTAAAAGCTAAATAAGGACAGAGAGTTTTTTGTTTTTTTTTGTTTCTGTTTTTTTGTTTTTTTTTTTGAGACAGAGTCTTACTCTGTCGCCCAGGTTGGAGTGCAGTTGCACAATCTTGGCTCACTGCAACCTCCGCCTCCCAGTTTCAAGCAATTCTCCTGCCTCAGCCCCTCGACTAGCTAGGATTA
Source organism: Homo sapiens (assembly GCF_000001405.40). Taxonomy (NCBI): domain Eukaryota; kingdom Metazoa; phylum Chordata; class Mammalia; order Primates; family Hominidae; genus Homo; species Homo sapiens. The sequence continues at coordinate 56,042,759 of NC_000008.11, read as the reverse complement.
TAGGTGCCCGCCACCATGCCCGGCTAATTTTTGTATTTTTAGTAGAGACAGGGTTTCACCATGTTGGCCAGGCTGATGTAGAATTCCTGACCTCAGGTGATCTGCCCGCCTTGGCCTCCCAAAGTACTGAGCTTACAGGCATGAGCCACCTTGCCCAGCCAGGACAGAAGTTTTATGTCTTAGAACTAGGAGGTTCCCCAATCCTATATATTATATAGAAGGTGCATACCCCATGGCCCCATCCACAAACCATTAGGCCATCATTTATATATTCAGGTGAGACCAAAGTTACTAACCATTTTATTACGTTGGTGCAAAAGTAATTACGGTTTTTGCCATTTAAAAGTAATGGCAAAAACAGCAATTACTTTTGCACCAACCTAATACATAGTGGAAGGTAGTAAATGAAATTTTATTTATTCTATATATAAGAACACTAACCTTTACAATTAAGTATAATTCCCGTTAAAAAATATTATTAATATTTCATGTGGCTATAGTCCTAACTAGTCTGGAGGCTGAGGCAGGAGAATGCCTTGAGCCCAGGAGCTGATGTTCCCGTGGTATGATCATGCCTGTAAATAGCCACTGTACTTCAGTCTGAGCAACAGAGTGAGACCCTGTCTCTAAAAAAAAAAGAAAAATAATCATAAAATTAGAAAATACATTTACAGTACTTGATCTAAGTTTATCTTGTCTGTTTATAAGATGAATTGTCTGTCTAAAATGGCCCACAACTGCAGCTGCAGACCTCAATCTATGGTACATATCAAGCAATTCAGCTTTTTCTTGTAATGTCATCACTTTTATCTGCTTCTTGGGATACTTACTTCATCGCTAGTGGCATTTTGTATGGGTCCCATGGTGTTATTCAAGGCTTACAGTTTTGCACTAAACAGGATAAAAAAGACGAGAGAACCACAAGAGATCACTTTTTACTGCTACATGCAGTTTACTGGAGAGACTGCTCATGGGAAGATGATTAGCGGGACAGGGCATTTTAAGTGGGTACTCACACACTTGAGATCAGTGCAATAGCAACAGAAGGCGGCTATGAAATTATTAGAGTATAGCATGTACTGTAGTTAATTTTATGTATCAATGATTTAATACTGCATCTTTATATTTGTTTACATTTCTCTCAACTATAAATGGTGCCATGTATGGTCTGTAAGTGTGTGCATGTAAGTTTTGATAGATTTTTATAATAAATTTGTGTATATTTTATGGTAGCAAATAATAAAATCGAATAGTATCTACATGCATTTTATGCCTTAATGACATATCTACGTTTTTAATTTTTTTTTTTTTTTTTGAGACGGAGTCTCACTCTGTTGCAGTCTTGGCTCACTGCAACCTCTGCCTCCCAGGTCAAGCGATTCTCCTGCCTCAGCCTCCTGAGTAGCTGGGATTACAGGCGTGCACCACCATGCCCGGCTAATTTTTGTATTTTTAGTAGAGATGGGGTTTCACCCTGTTGGTCAGGCTGGTCTTGAACTCCTGACCTAGTGATCTGCCTGCCTTGGCCTCCTTAAGTGCTGGGATTATAGGCGTGAGCCACCGTGTCTGGCAGTTTTTCTTAATTTTTTGATATTTCTAGGCTATGAGGTTCATCTTTGAGTTTTTCAAATTGTCACAAATCTCCAAAAAATTTTCATATATATATGAAAATTCTCTCTCTCTCTCTAGATATATACAGAGAGAGAGAAAGAAAGAAAGAGAGAAAGAGAAAGAAGGAAGGAAGGAAGGAAGGAAGGAAGGAAGGAAGGAAGGAAGGAAGGAAGGAAGGAAGACGGCCGGACGCGATGGCTCATGCCTGTATATCCCAGCACTTTGGAAGGCCGAGGTGGGCGGATCACCTGAGGTCAGGAGTTCGAGACCAGCCTGGCCAACATGGTGAAATCCTGTCTCTACCAAAAATACAAAAATTAGCCGGGCGTGGTGGTGGGTGCCTGTAATCCCAGCTACTCGGGAGGCTGAGGCAGGAGAATTGCTTGAGCCCAGGAGGTGGAGGTTGCAGCGAGCCAAGATCGCGCAATTGCACTCCAGCCTGGGTGACAAGATTGAGACTCCATCTAAAAAAAAAAAAGAAAGAAAAGAGAAAGGAAAGAGATGCGGTGTGTCGTTATATTGCCCAGTCTGGTCTAGAATTCCTGGCCTGAAGCAATCCCCCTGCCTTGGCCTCCAAAGTACCTGGGGTTACAGGCACACACCAATATACTGGCAAGCAATATATTGTGGACCTTTGCAGCATAAACCTGTGTTGTTCAAAGGTCAACTGTATGTGATGGAAACGTCCACAGAAATGTATGACTTATCGCTCTTCTTGGCTTAATTGGCTTAAGGATAGCTCTCTCTTGTGTGATTCTGGGAGTGACTGGTGAGGCTAATCTTGGACTCTTGGACACCCTTTTCTCTATAAGGACCTTGGAAAAAGCTCTACCTTCCTTAATTGAATCTAAAAATTCTGTTGTTCATCAATCCATCCTACAGAGCTGGTTTGGTCAAAACAAAGCAGAGCATAAGAGCGTGCCACTATAAGCCTGCAGCCTGTGTGGAGAAACGGTGAGCTTTTCTCATCCCTTCTTTATTCTTCCACTTTTACTTTAAAAAAAAAAAAATAAGTATTTTCTTTTCATTGCCACGTCAGCTGTTCCCTTCTTTAAAAAAAAAAAAAAAAGAAAGAAAAAAGAAAAAGGAACAGTGGCAGTGGCTCACACCTGTATTCCTAGCACTTTGGGAACCAAGGCAGGAGGATCGCTTGAACTCAGGGGTTCAAGACCAGCCTGGGCAACATAGCGAGACCCCGTCTCTACAAAAAATATAAAAATTAGCTGGGCATGGTGGCTCACACCCATGGTTCCAGCTACTTGGGAGGCTGAAGCTGGAGCCTGAGCCTGGGATGTGGGGGCTGAAGTGAGCTCTGATTGCACCATTGCACTCCAGCCTGGGCAACAGAGAGAAACCCTGTCTTTAAAGAAAAATAAAAATAAACAATTTAGAAACTGGAAAAACTATTTTTTTCTTTAATTTGATGAGAACATAGATATGTTCTCATCGTAAAGCACTTAGCATAGTTCCTGACATAGAGGGATGAACTGCACCTGTTGATTTCTATCCCTTTGCCTAGAAAGGATTAAAACAAAATCCAACCTTCTTGCTTTCTGGCTCCTCTTGCTTTCTGGCTCTGCTGATTCCTCTTGGAAGAAGGTCCATCTGTAAGAACATAAACAATCTGATTTTGTCAGGAGTGCTTCTCTCTATGCCTTCACTTGACTCTGGGGCCCCCATGGGCTGCACCCATCTCAGCCCAGAGTGAGTTTTCCACACTTTCAGAGGTCGGGGCAGGAGCCTGTCATTGGCTGAGCCTGGCCTGTCTGTCAAAGCTCTCTTCAGATGATATCACTCTCTGCTCTTCAGCCTCTTCTGCCCCACCATGGACTTAATCCTGAGGAAGAATTTTCCTCCCACTCTCTTCACTCAGGACAAGTCTTTCAAAAAGATGCTTTGTTTGATGAGAATTTAAGTTGATGTGTGATTTCGGGGGGAAACAGACAAACCCAACTTTGCACTGGTGTTTTATTCCCTCTGCCCAACACACTCACTCCATGTAACCTGATGGTGGCTTTCAGTGCCTCTGTCACCTTTGCTAAATTCTTAGGCCAGGATAGAGTTCGCTGTGCCTGGACATCACTCTTTTCATTCCCTCCTCATGCCAGGCTGGGAGGGAGATCTTTGAAAAGGCAGAGTGAAGAGTTGTCCAAGTTATGCTGAGAGAGTCCTAGAAGTCTTCTAGAGGCTCCCTTCTGAAGAACATGCAAGACCCCTGTCTGCTCTGACCTTGCAAGGCAGCCAGCTGTCAATGTGACTGGGGGGCTTTTGCAACCACGAGGGTAGGGTTGCCAGAACCATGATGACATCTGAGGGACACAGGGACCCAGGAAAGGACAGGTGAACCCCCAAGTAATTCTTCCTTAAAAATGAAGCAAAAAGTCTTCGCACTATATGATTCTATGTCTGCAAAATTAGAAAAGGCAAAACTATGGCACAGAAGATAGAGGAGCGGTTGCCTGGGGTGGGATAAGGGTGGAGGGTGCAAAGAAACAGGGAGGAACTCTTTGGGATGATGGAAATGTTCTACATCTTGATCGTAGTTGCAGTGACATGATGGCATAGACATGTCAAAATATCGGATTGTGCATGTAATCAATAAAAAGTGAAAATGCCCTCACGTGAAAACAGCTGGGAGAGCCATGGGGAGCAAACAGAACTGCCTGCCTGTAATTCCCTCCCTGCATCTCCTGGGTTGTGGATTCCTTTGTTGGAGATCCACGGTCCAATGTCCTGGATTTGACCAAAGAGAAGCAGCCTCACTCAGTGGAGCCAATTGCTTTGCTTATTTTTTCTCTTTCTCCCTTGAGGCTCCCAGGGTGCTGTGGAGGGTGTCTACAATACACTGTAGCAACAAAATCAATCTGGAATTGAGGTCTTCTTTCTCCTCCTCCTCACTGGATCTGCCCAAGAACCAAGGGAATCAGACCAACACCCCTGGCTCCATTTCCCACATTCTCTAAATAGGGTGCTCATGCTTTCCTTCTCATGGGCCGTTTTGTGGGATCAGAGACTACAGTGTCCTGCGCTGGCACTCTGTGGCCCCTCACTGGGAGTGGAGTTTTAGACCAGCTCTCAGGGTCCCCTCTCCCTCTCCACCCATCCTGTTTCTTTGAAATGTCTCTAGTTTCTCAGCCCCCAGAATTCACTCACAGCACAATCTATCTTTCTATGTTTTTATTAAACCCAGGGATTCAGGATTGGTATAACATTTATTAGAGCACATTTAGATCATTGCACAATTTAATTTCAACATTGAAGAGATTCCTGAGGGGGACTTTTTTTCCCTGAAAATTTAATAACATAACCCTGGGTCAGGAATCTGCCTGAGCAGTCAGTGGAATGTGTGCACACCTGTAGTGAGGCACACTCCACACCTCATTCCATTATAAATCTCTGGGACCTCAACCCACCTACCCATGGCACTGAAAGTCATGACAACGCTGTAATGTTTTAAATCTACCCAATTCTTAAGGGATAGCTTTATAACTACAGTTATGTGTGACATTTTGTAAAACCAGTGAACAATTTCTGAAATTATTGTTCAACAAACACCAAAATGGTGAGGAGTTTCATTACTACTGAAATCACACTTCATTCATAAGGAAACACTTTCGTTGTCTATAATTTTTACTTATTTTTAAATTGACTTACAAGTTGATTTATAAAAGTATATAACCATATGTCCTTTCATAAATATCCTTATAAACTTTTTTTTTTTTTTTGAGACAGGGTCTGGCTCTGTCACCCAGGCTGGAGTACAGTGGTGTGATCTTGGCTCACTAGGTGTGATCTTGGCTCACTCCGCCTCTTGGCTCAATTGATCCTCCCACCTAAGCCTCCCAAGTAGCTGGGACTACAGGCACATGACACTACACTTGGCCAATTTTTGTATTTTCTGTAGAGGTGAGGTTTCCCCATGTTGCCCAAGCTGGTTTCTGAGCTCCAGTGATCCGCCCACCTTGGCCTCCCAAAATGCTGGGATTGTAAATGTGAACCACAGCTCTTGACCCTTATAATCATTTTGCAAAGAAAATTCCACTAAATCCACCCCACTTTCTGATGTTGAGAGTGAAGGGAGGTGTACTTGTTGAAAGCTCACTGTCTCAAGGGACATGAAGGGACAGCCCAGGTCCATTGGACCTTCTCTCTGTTGGCTCAGAATTTGGGCACTACAGACCAGCAGTCACTATGTCAGGAGTTGGTGACTATTTTGTAATTTTTATTCCTCTATGATAAGAAATCTTTAAAGGAGAAAGGGCCTTGTATTCATCTTTGGAGAGAGCAAGAAGTGGGAGCTGAGGAGAATCCTGTTTTGGAGGCCAAAAGCCCAAAGCATGGACCCAGCGGTGGCACCATTGAGAGGAATTCATTCTTGGGTATCCTAGGGGCACTCTGCAAAGAAGAGAGGAGATGACAGGGAGCTGCCTGGGTGTAAGGCGCAGGTGAGGAGTAGAAAATGCTCCCCACGTCATGGCCTGAGGGTGCCTGGTTGCCTTGTAGGGGAGGGGGGAAGTCATATTTCACTTGGCTGGAGCCCCACCTGACAAAATATGCCCACTGGCTGCTGTATTAGTCAGAGTCCTTCAAAGAAACAGAACCAATAAGATGTGTGTATATAAATACACACACACACACCCCCCACACATTTATTCTGGGAATTGTCTCGCACAATTATGAGGTTGAGAAGTCCCATGATCTGCTGTCTGCAACCGTGGGAGTTCTGAGGGTTCTGGTTTCCGAGTCTGAAGACCCAAGAACCAGGAGCTCCATGTCTGAGGGCAGGAGGAGGTGGATGTCCCAGCTCAAGCAGAGAAAGCCAATGCGCCTTCCTCCACCTTTTGCTCTGTTCAGGCCCCCAGCAGATCAGTGACGCCCACCCATGCTGTGAAGGGGAGCTTCTTCACTCAGCCTCCCCGATTCCAGTGTGAGCCCCTCTAAAGTCCATCACAGACACACCCAGAAATATGGTTTTCCCCACGATATAAGCTTCCCTCAGCCCAGTCAAGTGGACACAAAAAGTTAACCAGCCCAGTCCTTCTCTTGTCCACTTCTTACCATCTCCTTAAACCATACTTCATCTCCAAATAAAGAGAGTAACAAGGTCATACTTGGGTCTAACATGATACAACTCCACTGTACCAGGAGAAACACACTAACTCCTTCCTAGGAGGAGGAGGCAAAGTCCTAGAGTGATGTTTACTCTTCTCCTGATAGTTCATAAATTAAATGCTATGACGTAAAATTAACAATACTTAAATATTGATATAAAGTCAATACTTTTTTTTTTCTTTGAGACAGAGTCTCGCTCTGTCACTCAGGCTGGAGTGCAATGGTGCAATCTCGGCTCACTGCAACCTCCACCTCCCAGGTTCAAGTGGTTCTCCTGCCTCAGCCTCCTGAGTAGCTGGAATTACAGGCACCGCCACCACACCCTGCTAATTTTTGTATTTTTAGTAGAGACGGGGTTTCACCATGTTGGTCAGGCTGATCTCGAACTCCTGACCTCGTGATCCACCCACCTCGGCCTCCTAAAGTGCTGTGCTGGGATTACAAGCTTGAGCCACCATGCCCGGCCTTCATTTTTTTTAAATTGAGACAGAGTCTCACTCTGTCATACAGCCTGGAGTGCAGTGGCATGATCTCAGCTCACTGCAACCTCTGCCTGCCCCACGCACCTCTGCCTGCCTGCGCACCACGACGCCTGGCTAAGTTTTGTATTTTTAGTAGAGAAGAGGTTTCGCCATGTTGGCCAGGCTGGTCTCGAACTCCTGACCTCAGGTGATCCACCAGCCTCGGTCTCCCAAAGTGCTGGGATTACTGGTGTGAGTCACGGCGCCTGTCCTAAAGTCACTGCATGTTATGTTACATGATAAGGGAATAAGAGAGGAAAGAAATAATCTGTGTATACAGACCCACAAACATATTCGTAACAAAATAAGGAAGACATACTCATGACAGTTATAGCCTGGCATTACTCACTTGCAAGTATCCTTATCATCACTTTCTTAGATAAGAAAATTACAATCTTTTTTGAGTGCCTGTTCTGTGTCAGGTCCTGTGTTAAACATCTTCACATGCACTGGCCCCTGCGTATGGCCTTCTGAGGTAGATGGCTTTATCTCCACTTTAGAGATGGGGTGTAACAAACAAAATGCAGTAACAACAAATGTCACCTCTGTCCTTGGTGGACGGTGATTGGAGAGTCCCACGGAGCCCACACATCACTGCAGGGAGCCCTGTAGCGTGCCCCTTGGGCTTGCTGCTGCATCTCATCATGGCCTGTCAGCTCTCCTGGCCCTTTGCTGGCTCTGCTGTCTGGTGAGGAGATGAATTCTGTCTTCCTCACCAAGGACCCACTCACTGTTCTTAGTAAGCACAACTTGGCACAGCAAAAGGCTGCTCCTTCCAGCCCTTTCTTCTTGAAGGCCCTACCAGTACACTTCGTTGTTTCTATTTCTGTGAGACTTGGCTGTGGAGTCTATCTCCATCTCACAGCATTTTTCCTTTCTGTCCTGTACACCTTTCCCAGCCCAGAAAAACTGCCTCTCTGTTGCAAGCATTGGAGGCTTGTTTCATTCTCTTCTCCACGTGCCAACACTCTTGACACCAATAGGTCTCAAGGTTTGGAAACCGTGAAATCAGTGGAAACCATCAGAGCACAGAGCATTTACAACACCAGTTCCACAGAAATGCACCATTGCCCATGCTTTTATTAGCATGATAACACAAAAATAGTCCCAGTCTTTTCTTTACCATGTCCTGGAATTTGAGACGAAAGAGCAAACTCTATACTCATAAAACCTGTGTTACTGCAAAACAAAAGTTCTCTATCTTCAGACATCATAAAACCCAGGCTCTATTCTCCTTCTGGGGCCTAGAGGGTCAGTCTCAGGAGTGTTTCTTGTACCTTGGGCAGTTGTGGGCTCTGTCAGGTATTGGCTCCAGCTTATACCTGGACCTGCTTTAGCTCAGGAGGGAGAGCAGCGTGATCGAGCATTGATAGTTGTTCTGATGTGTTCATGTTGTGAAAAGGAAAATGTTTCTGGAAGGACTTAAAAGAATTGTACCCCGGGAGTAGCTGGCAGGAGGAAGCCCTTAGATCTGTGTCCCTGGGGACTTGTCTGGAGCATTGGTGCAAACAGGGCCTTCTGCCTGATAGCTCTGTTGCAGGTCACCTGTGTCCTGTGTGTAGCCTCTTTAGTAGTTTTACCTGTTGTTTGCACTGTTTAGAGCCTTGCAGTAAGAGACTTGTCAATTGCTTCTTGGTTTTCTGCAGATTCCTAGTGCATGTCAGAGCCATTGCCCAACCAGACAGCTGACTGTCCTATATGCCCTTATTTCCTCAGTCAGAGGCATCACTTTCTCAGATGGCTTCACTTTTTGTTCATTTCTATCACCGGGAAAACTATTCAGCTTTCTCTATCAGGGAAAACCAGCTGTGTTTATACCATATGGTAAATGTCACCATGAATAAGACAAGACCTGGAGAACAAAGCATCACTTATCTGGTGCTGTGGACAATGGAAAGGCACCTAGCTCAGGGGCACCTCTTTGCAGTCCTGATTTCAGGGTGGATCTGCGTGGGGTAAGAGTCACCCTGAACGGGGAAAGTAAGTTGCAAGCTCCAGGTAAGAAGGGGGTTCAGGGCAAGGGCATAGTTGGAAAGGAAAATTTTCCAGTAATCATCAAGTTTGTCTGTCAAATCAACTTTGTCCAAATTCTTGTACTGCGGTAATACTTAGTCACCCTATTGTGCTGATGAACACTTGAAATTATCCCTTCCATATCAACAGATTTTTGTACCCTTTAACCAACTCCCCTTCATCCACGTCCCCACTCTCCTTCACCATTCTATTCACCACCTCCATGAGATTATTTTCTTTTTAGTTCCCACATACAAGTGAGAACATGTGATATTTGTCTTTCTGTGCCTGGCTTATTTCACTTAACATGGTGTCCTCCAGTTTCATCCGTGTTGCCGAAAATGACAGAATTTCATTCTTTGTTATGGCTGAATAATATTTCATTGTGCACATGTACCACATTTTCATTATCCATTCACCTGTTGATGGATACTTAAGTTGCTTCCATATCTTGGCTACTGTGAATAGTGCTGCAATAAACATGGGAGTGCAGACATCTCTTCGATATATGGATTTCCTTTCTTTGGGGTATATACCTAGCAGTGGGATTGCTGGATCCTATGGTAACTCTAATTTAGTTTTTTGAGGAACCTTCATAGTGTTTTCCATAGTGGTCGTACTAACTTACATTTCCATCAACAGGGTACAAGTGTTCCCTTTTCTCTGCATCCTTGCTAGCATTTATTATTTTTTGATTTTTTGATAATACCATTCTAACTGGGGTGAAATGATATCTTATTGTGATTTTGATTTGCATTTCTTTTTTTTTTTTTTGAGATGGAGTCTCGCTCTGTCGCCCAGGCTGGAGTGCAGTGGCGTGATCTCGGCTCACTGCAAGCTCCGCCTCCTGGGTTCATGCCATTCTCCTGCCTCATCTTCCTGAGTAGCTGGGACTACAGGCGCCCACCACCACTCCTAGCTAATTTTTTGTATTTTTAGTAGAGACGGGTTTTCACCATGTTACCCAGGATGGTCTCGATCTCCTGACCTCATGATCCACCTGCCTCAGCCTCCCAAAGTGCTGGGATTACAGGTGTGAGCCACCGTGCCCGGCCCTGATTTGCATTTCACTGGTGATCAGTTGGTCATTTTACCATATACCTGCTGGCCATTTGTACGTCTTTTTTTTTTTTTTCTTTGAGACAGAGTCTCACCCTGTCACCCAGGCTGGAGTGCAATGCCACCATCTCGGTTCACTGCAACCTCTGCCTCCTGGGTTCAAGCGATTCTCCTGCCTCAGCCTCCTGAGTAGCTGGGATTTCAGGCATGTGCCACCACGCCCAGCTAATTTTTAGTAGAGATGGGGTTTCACCAGGTTGGTCAGGCTGGTCTCGAACTCCTCACTTCGTGATCTGCCTGCCTCGGCCTCCCAAAGTGCTGGGATTACAGGCACGAGCCACTGCGCCTGGGCCTGTATGTCTTCTTTTGAAAAATGTCTGTTCAAATCATTTGCCCATTTTTAAATTGGATTATTTGTTTCTTTGCTATTGAGTTGAGTTCCTTATATATTCTGCCTATTAATCCCTTATTGGATGGGTAGTTTGCAAACATTTTCTCCCATTCTGTGGGTTGCCTCTTCACCTTGTTCATTGTTTCCTTTGTTGTGCAGAATCTTTTTAGCTTGATGTAATCTCATTTGTCAATTTTTGCTTTGGTCACCTGTGCTTGTGAGGTCTTGCTCAATAAATCTTTGCTCAGACCCATGTACTGAAGAGTTTCTCCAATTTTTTTTCAGTAGTTTGATAGTTTCAGGTCTTACATTTAAGTCTTGAATCTATTTTCGTTTGGTTTTTTGTATATAGTGAGAGTTAGGGGGTCTCATTTCATTCTTCTGCATGTGGATATCCAGTGTCATCGACACTGTTTATTGAAGATACTGTCCTTCCCCAACATATATTCTTGGTGCCTTTGTCAAAAATGAGTTGGCTGTAAATGTGTGGATTTATTTCCGTGTTCTCTGTTTGGTTCCACTGGTATATGTGTCTGTTTTTATGCCAGTTCCATACTGTTTTGATTACTATAGCTTTGCAGCATATCTTGAAGTCAGGTAATGTGGTGCCTCCAACTTTTCATTTTGCTTAGGATTGCTTTGGCTAGCTGGAATCTTGTGATCCTATGAATTTTAGGATTTATTTTTCTATTTCCAGGAAGAACGTAATTGGTATTTTGATAGGGATTGCATTAAATCTGTAGACCGTTTTATGTAGTATAAACATTTAAACAATATTAATTCTTCCAATTCATGAGCGTGGGATACTTTTCCATCTTTCTGTGTCCTCTTCAACTTGTTTCATCAATGTTTTTCTAACTTTCATTGTAGAGATCTTTCACTTCTTTGACTAAGTATATCCCTAGGCATTTTATTTTATTTTATTTTATTTTATTTTATTTTTTTAGATGGAGTTTCACTCTTGTTGCCCAGGCTGGAGTGCAATGGCGCGATCTTGGCTTGCTGCAACCTCCACCTCCCGGGTTCAAGCAATTCTCCTGCCTCAGCCTCCCGAGTAGCTGGGACTGCAGGCGCCCGCCACGATGCCTGGCTAATTTTTTGTATTTTTAGTAGAGACAGGGTTTCACCAAGTTGGCCAGGATGGTCTCCAACTCCTGACCTCAGGTGATCCGCCCACCTCGGCCTCCCAAAGTGCTGGGATTACAGGTGTGAGCCATCGCGCCTGGCTAGGCATTTTATTTTTTTGTAGCTATTGTAAATGGGATTGTTTTCTCAATTTCTTCTTCAGATTATTGGCTGTTGGCCTATAAAAATGCTACTGATTTTTGTATATTAGCTGAATAGTTTTAATATTTCCAGGGCAAAAATGTCAACTAATAGCACAAATTATTAGCAGACACATGTCATTATTTAAGTTAGGCAGTAAGTTTCTTGCTTTCAGGAAACCTTTTTTTAAGCTCCAATCTAAAAGAAATTATTATGTGAAAAGCCAAACCAAAACACCTAGAATAACCTGGACATATTGCTAGCAATGCCTTTACACTCTCTACCAACTAAGTATTAGTGAAATCTGGAAAAAAAATAATAATAATTAAAAAAAACTTATTTGAAGATGATTTCCTACACATGGGTACATCTCTTAGTCCAAAGTGTGACAGAGATAATCTTTTTTTTTTTTTTTTTTTTTTTGACACGGAGTCTTGCTCTGTCGCCCAGGCTGGAGCGCAGTGGTGGTGTAATCTCAGCTCACTGCAACCTCCGTCTCCTGGGTTCAACCGATTCTCCTGTCTCAGCCTCCTGAGTAGCTGGAATTACAGGCACCTGCCCCCATGCCCAGCTAATTTTTGTATTTTTAGTAGAGATGGGGTTTCACCATGTTGGCCAGGCTGGTTTCGAACTCCTGACCTCAGATGATCCTCCTGCCTCAGTCTCCCAAATTGCTGGGATTACCAGTGCTGAGCCACCATGCCCGGCTGGAGATAATCTCTTTAAGGGCCTATCGCAGTATGTCACTGTGGTCAGAAGAGGGCAAGAAGTGGCACTCAAATTAACTAGAGTGGGGTTTTTTATTCCATATTGCCAAGTGTATAGGAAATAAGGGGAAAAGGTCAATTCTTGCCATTTATGTTGTAAGCAACTGCTACATTGCTAATTTGCAATTGCAAGGTGCCAGTTATTTCAGCCGTGTTTCTTTCTTTTATAACATATTTTGAAATTTATTCAGGTTCAATAAACAATATATATTAGCTAATCATTTGATTTTTTTCATTTGCATGTTTTAGACTTTGATCGAATTCATTTTTCTCTTACTGTTTATTAATAAAGGTTTAACTTTATAAACAACAATCTGATATTAAAATAACCATGCAGTTATTAAGCAAGGGAACTTTATGTGAGTGTTGGATTAAAGTTAAATAACAATGTTAACTTGTTGTAGCTTTACAGTTTCTAGAACTGACACTTATAATTGAGATCAACCATCTTATAAAGCTTAAGCTATTTTGTAACTTTAAAAAATTGACTCGGTAGGGCCCGGTGGCTCATGCTTGTAATCCTAGCACTTTGGGAGGCTGAGATGAAGGAATCGCTTGTGGTCAGGAGTTTGAGTCCAGCCTGGTCAACATAGAGAGACTCCCATCTCTATTTTAATAAATAAATAAAAATATAAATATAAAATGACTGTATTATTTATATAGTAATATGTTATTACTATATTACTTTTTTGTGAGCTTGTATTTCTGATAACATCTCTTTCATTCACATTATTTTTGGACTGGATTTTTGAAAATAGAAATAGGTATTTTATAAACAGAAAGATTCTAGGATGAGGTTGTGAATAAATCCAAGTAATATAAATTTAATTACCCAGCAGTTATTTGAAATTATGAATGCTTTCTTGAGGGGTGGAGGGAAACACATTTTCGAATCATTATTCTTTTCAGTTCTGAAGAGGGCTTAAGGTAATGTACAGCTGTGGAAAGTCAAGTGACCAGAACCACCACTGGTCATTTATGTGACAGAACACTAGGTGGCACTGTTCCTCGAAGGAATTGACTAGAATTGCATACCAAGAGTCCTTTTTTTTTTTTTTTTTTTTTTTTTTTTGAGACAGGGTTTAGTGCTCTGTCGCCCAGGCTGGAGTGCAGTGGCATCATCATGGTTCACTGCAGCCTCAACTTCCTGGGCCCAAGCAATCCTCCCACCTTAGCTTTCCAAGTAGCTGAAACTACAGGCATGTGCCACCGGCTAATTTTTTTAAATTTTTTTGTAGAGGTGGGGGGGTCTCACTTTGTTGCCCATGCTGATCTCAAACTCCTGGGCTCAAGCCATCCTCCTGCTTCGGCTTCCCAAAGTGCTGGGATTACAGGCGTGCTCCCCAGTGCTTAGCCTTGTTCATTATTATTAACTGAAGTCCACACTTTATTCAGACCTCCTTAGTTTTTACCTATTGTCCTTTTTCTGTCTCAGGATCCCACATTACATTTGAGTCATCAAGTCATGTCTCCCTAGGCTTCTTCCAGTAGTGGCAGTTTCTCAGACTTTCTTTGCTTTTGATGACTTTGCTGGTTTTGAGAGCTACTGGTTGGGTATGCATGCCCCTCTATTGGAGTTTGGTGTTTTTCTCATGATTAGCAAGAGGTTACAGGATGAAGGCGACAGAGGTAGTGTGTCTTCATCACATCATGTCAAGGGTGCATAGTATCCACATAACAGATGACTGTTAATGTTGACCTTGATCACCTGGCTGGGGAAGCATTTGTGAGGTTTCTCCACTTCACAGTTACCGTCCTCCCTCCCTCCACACTGGAAGGAAGCCACTTTGCACAGTGAGCACCTAAGGAGCAGGGAGCTATGCTTCAGCTCCTTGAGGGTAAAATATCTACATAAATTATTTGAATTCTTCTGCACTGGAAATTTTTCTCTTCTCTCCCATTTATTTATTTATTGAATTATTTACTTATACTAGTGTGGACTCGTGGATATTTATTTTACACTACAGATTATAATCCAATACTATTTTATTTATCTTGTTACTCAAACTGTTCCACGTTTGGCCCCTGGAGGCTCTTTTACTTGGCTCCTGTGTCCCATTGACAAATCCCTGTCATCGTGGATTTTTGTTTGTTTTAGCAACTTGTTTACTTTTTAATAGACAGCTTTTGCTTAGTCTACAAATAGAATTTAGCCCTGTTGTTGTATAAGCATTTCTCTTACTAAAGTGCTATATAATAATGAAAACTGAAAGAGACATGAAAGGAAGAAGAAAAATATTTATTATTATTTCAGTGTGTTCTCTCGAAATGTTTTATTTTTCTTCTCTTATTTTCTGTTTTCATTTTTATTACTTGGCATACTTTTTAACTTTATTTTAAAAATAGGCCAAATTATTTTTTCTAAATAATGTATATTCTGATTATTTCTATTTAACAATACACTATGAACATTTTCCACTTTCTTACATTTATATAAAATATTCTACATAGTTCAATTAACCTTCTCTTTATAATTGACTAACATTCTCCCTTAAGTATACTCAGTGCATTGCTTGATTCTGGACACATAGCTGACTTTTACTACATAGTGATTGGGTGAATTAGCCATTTAGAGATTTTCAATTTTTTTTTTCTTTTTTCTTTTTGAGACAGGGCCTCTCTCTTGTCACCCATTCTGAAGTGCAGTGGTGTGATCATGGCTTGCTGCAACCTCTGCCTTCCAGGCTCAAGCAATTCTCCCACCTCAGCCTCCTGAGTAGCTAAGACCACAAGTATGTGTCACCATGCCTGGCTAATTTTTTTTAATTTTAATTTTTTGTAGAGATGGGGTCTCACCTTGTTTCCCAGGCAGGTCTCAAACTCCTGGGCTCAAGCGACCCTCTTGCTTCGGCCTCCCAAAGTGCTGGGATTAAAGGCGTGAGCCACCGTGCCTGGCTGTGTTTCAATATTTTTGAATCATAAATAGTGATGCAATGACTACATCTGAGCCTAGAGTTATTTAAGCAGTTGTACATTATTTTGCATATTTAAGATTTGTAGAAGGTGAGCTGGGTCCAATAGCACCAATTTATTTTTTATTTTTTATTTTTATTTTTTTTTGAGACCGAGTCTCGCTCTGTTGTCCAGGCTGGATTGCAGTGGTGCGATCTTGGCTCACTGCAATCTCTGCCTCCTGGGTTCAAGCGATTCTCCTGCTTCAGCCTTCCAAGTAGCTGGGACTGCAGGGATGCACCACCACACCTGGCTAATTTTTGTATTTTTAGTAGAGATGGGGTTTCACCATGTTGGCCAGGCTGGTCTTGAACTCCTGACCTCAGGTGATCCGCCCACCTCGGCTTCCCAAAGTGCTAGGATTACAGGCATGAGCCACCATGCCTGGCCACCAATATTTTTGAAGCTTTTGATTCATAATTAGATTTTACAAATGGGGTAAATTGTATGAGACTAACCCAAGGAAAGAAAGGGAAGGATATTGTCCAGTCTATGCAAATAAGCAAGGGGTCACTGGTTGAGAATCTAAACAAAACCAGTTGATTAATGAGAAATAACACTTCCTAGAAAGTCTAATTCAAAGCCTGAGCACTGCCCTTCTCAGCTCCCATTCTCACTGCTATGCTGAGACTCCAGGAAATTTGTGCAGCTGATTTAATTCAACTCAGTTCAACAAAAGGCAAGAGGAAAATAATCCATGTCCTGTGCAGCAACGGGTCGCCGAGCCTCTCCACAGCTCTGTCAGGTGGGCAGAATACCAAGAGGCCAGTGTCAGTCTTCACTGAGAATTCCCATTCTCCCTGGAATCTCTGCCTGGCTGTCCAAAATGTTCATTACAAAGTTAACATAGATGCCTGAAAACACCAGAGAGGCCGGGCGTGGTGGCTCACACCTGTACTCCCAACACCTTGGGAGGCCAAGGCGGGAGGATCACTTGAGGTCAGGACCTCGAGGCCAGCCTGGGCAACATGGTGAAACCCCCATCTCGACTAGGAATACAAAAATTAGCTGGGCGTGGTGGTAGTGCACCTGTAATCCCAGCTACTTGGGAGGCTGAGGTGAGATAATCACTCGAACCTAGGAGGTGGAGGTTGCAGTGAGCCGAGATCATGTTCAGCGACAGAGCGAGACCCCATTTCAAAAAGAAAAAAAAAGAGAGAGAGAGAGAGAACTCTGGAAGCTAAACTTGTACATTGGATAGAAGCTGGTATGTCAAAGAAATGAAAACAGGTTTCTCTCTGCTTTTTTAAGTATAAAAAGTATTATTATTTTCTTAAAGATCAGTCCAGTCCTTGTTTGGCATTCCTTGGTGTAATAACATGGGAGTTTTCTTGTGGAGTTTTACATTCACATTTACATAAGATTTTATTTTATTTTATTTTATTTATTTATTTTGAGACAGTCTCACTCTGTCGCCCAGGCTAGAGTGCAGTGGCACAATCTTCACTTACTGCAGCCTCCGCCTCCCAGGTTCAAGCGATTCTCACTCCTCAGCCTCCCAAGTAGCTGGGATTACAGGTGCCCGCTACCAAGTCTGGCTAATTTTTCTATTTTTAGTAGAGACGGGGTTTCACCATGTTGGCCAGGCTGGTCTCTAACTCCTGACCTCAAGTGATCCACCCACCTCAGCCTCCCAAAGTGCTGGGATTACAGGCATGAGACACCATGCCTGACCTATGTAAGACTTTAAATCTCACGCTCGCTGTTGAGCGTTGGTTTGGGATGTGTGCCTGGGGGAAAATCATCCCCCTCAGATTCTCCTCTGTGAGGAGCTGCAGGGTTTTTCCTTCTTCCTCAGCCTCAGGCTTAGGCTGTGTCCTAGAAAGAAGGCCCTGTTGTTTTAGTCCATAGCACTTGCCTGGAAGTTTGTATATCTGTGAATTCACTTCCTAAAGGAATGCTTTGTGACTTTATTAATTAAGAAGAAGAAAAATATTTTTTATCTGACTCTTTGGAGTTGATAGTTTTAATCTAATTATCTAGTTTTCACATTTTTCATACTTCCTTTTCCTTTATTTCCTACCAAGACTGCATGGAATGTAGAATATGGTTCTCACTCTGTCACCCAGGTTGGAGTGCAGTGGCGCAATCTTGGCTGACTGCAACTTTCGCCTCCCAAGTTCAAGCGATTCTCCTGCCTCAGCCTACCAAGCAGCTGGGATCATAGGCATGTGCTACCACATCCAGCTAATTTTTGTATTTTTAGTAGAGACGGGGTTTCACCATGTTGGCCAGGCTGGTTTCGAACCCCTGACTTCAGGTGATCCACCCTCCTCAACCTCCCAAAGTGCTAGGATTACAGGTGTGAACCACTGCACCCGGCCTGGTTAGAATATTTTTAAAGACAGATGGGAAGCTGCTGTTTGGAGAGCTAAATAACATAAACCACTATGGGATTTTGTGTGTGTGTGTGTGTGTGTGTGTGTGTGTGTGTGTGTGTGTTGGGGGGGTGATGTTTCTGCCTAGGTATTCTTTAAAATACGGTCATGTGTCACTTGAAGACATGGATATGTTCTGAGAAATGTGTCATTAGGTGATTTTGTCATGTGAATATCATAGAGTATACTTACACAAACCTAGACGGTCCTGCCTACTGCACACCTAGGCTATATGGTACAGCCTATTACTCCTAGACTGCAAACCTGTACCTCAGGCTACTGTACTGAATACTGTAGGCAACTGTAATCCAATGGTAAATGTTTGTGTATCTAAACATCTCGAAATATAGAAAAGGTCCAGTAAAGATACGGCATAAAAGATAAAAAATGGTATATCTATCTAGGGCACTTACCATGAGTGGAGCTTGCAGGATGGAAGTTGCTCTGGGTAAGTCAGTGAGTGAGTGGTGAGTGAATGTGAAGGCCTAGGACATTACTGTGCACCACTGTAGACTTTATAAACACTGCACACTTAGGCTACACTACATTTATGAAAACAATGTATTTCTTCAATAATAAATTAGCTCTAGTTTACTATAACTTTTTAAATTTATAAACTTAAATTTTCAAACTCTTCGACTCTTGTAATACCTCTTAGCTTAAAACATAAACACATTGTACAGCTGTACAAAAATATTTTCTTTATATCCTTATGCTATAAGCTTTTTTCTATTTTTAAATTATTAAAAAAAATTTTAACCTTTTAAACCTTCTTGTTTTTTAACAAGAAGAAACAAACACATACATTATCCTAGGCCTGCACAGGGTCGGGAATCATCAATATCACTGTCTTCCACCTCCACATCTTGTTCCACTGGAAGGACAAGCATGTAGCTGTCATCTCCTGTGATAACAGTGCTGTTTCTGGACACCTCCTGGAGGACCTGCCTGAGGCAGAAGGAGTACATTCTAGAATAATGATAAAGGCCAGATGCAGTGGCTCACGCCTGTAGTCCCAAGACTTTGGGAGGCTGAGGCGGGCGGATCAATGGAGATCAGGAGTTCAAGACCAGCCTGGCTAACATGGAGAAACCCTGTCTCTATTAAAATACAAAAATTAGCTGAGTGTGGTGGCAGGTGCCTGTAATCCCAGCTACTCAGGAGGCTGAGGCAGGAGCATTGGTTGAACCCGGGAGGCAGAGGTTGCAGTGAGCCAAGATGGTGCCACTGCACTCCAGCCTGGATGACAGAGCGAGACTCTGTCTCAAAAAATAAAATAAAATGACAGTAGAAAGTATAATACAGTAAATACAGAAAGCAGGAACTGTCGTTTATTATCAAGTATCATGTACTGTGCATAATCCTATGCACTGTACCTTTTTTTTTTTTTGAAGTGGAGTCTCCCTTTGTCGCCCAGGCTGGAGTGCAGTGGGATGATCTCAGATCACTGCAACCTCCGCCTCCCGGGTTCAAGCAATTCTCCTGACTCAGCCTTCTAACTAGCTAAGATTACAGGCGTGCGCCACCATGCCTGGCTAATTTTTGTATTTTTAGTAGAGACGGGGTTTCACCATGTTGGTCAGGCTGGTCTCGAACTCCTGACCTCGTGATCCGCCCGCCTCGGCCTCCCAAAGTGCTGGGATTATAGGCGTGAGCCACCGTGCCCAGCCGCACTGTACTTTCATATGACTGGCCGTGCAGTAGGTTTGTTTATACCAGCATCGCCACAAACAGGTAAGGCAGACATTATGACGGCTATTTTTCAGGTCCTTTGTAATCTTATGAGACCATCATCATTGACCAAAACAGATTATTATACCCTAAGTCACTGTACATTCCAACTAGTCCCAGCACCCAGCACAGGGCTTGACAAACAGTAGGTCATCAGTGAATATAAGCTGGGGACAGGGGCTCACAATTGTAATCCCAGCGCTTTGGGAGGCTGAGGTGGGAGGATTGCTTGAGCCCAGAAGTTTGAGGCTGCAGTGTGGTATGATTGTGCCACTGCACTCCAGCCTGGGTGATAGAGTGAGAACCTGTCTTAAAAATAAATAGCTGGGGGCCGGGTGTGGTGGCTCAAGCCTGTAATCCCAGCACTTTGGGAGGCTGAGGTGGGCGGATCACCTGGGGTCAGGAGTTCGAGACCAGCCTGGCCAACATGGTGAAACGCCATCTCTACTAAAAATATAAAAATTAGCCAGGCGTAGTGGCTCATGCCTGTAATCACAGCTACTGGGGAGGCTGAGGCAGAAGAATCACTTGAACCCAGGAGGCAGAGGTTGCAGTGAGCCGAGATCGTGCCATTGCACTCCAGCCTGGGTGACAAGAGTGAGACTCTGTCTCAAATAAAATAATAATAATAAAATAAAATAAACAGCTGGATGTAGTGGTCTGCTTGTAGTTCCAGCTACTTGGGAGGCTGAGGGAGGAGGATCACTTGAGTCCAGGAATTCTGGGTTGTAGTGTGCTATGCCTATCAGTTGTCTGCACTGTTTGTCATCAATTTCATGGACTCCTGGGAGTAGGAGACCACCAGTTTCCCTAAGGAGAGGTGAATCAGCCCAAGTTGGAAACGGAGCAGGTCAAAACTGCCATACCAGTCAGTAGTGGGATCTTACCTGTAAATAGCTACTGCACTCCAGCCTGGGCAATGTAGTGAGATCCTGTCTCTATTTTAGATAATAAATAATTTTTTTTCTTTTTTTTTTTTTTTTTTGAGACAGGGTCTCTCTCTGTTGCCCAGGCTGGAGTGGAGTGGGATGATCTCAGGTCTTTGCAACCTCCACCTCCTGGGTTCAAGTGATTCTCGTGCCTCAGCCTCCCAAGTAGCTAGGATTATAGGTGCGCACCGCCATTCCTGGCTAATTTTTGTAATTTTTTTTTTTTTTTAGTATAGATGGGGTTTCTCTATGTTCCCCAGGCTGGTCTCAAATTTCTGGGCTCAAGTGACCCACCTGCCTCGGCATCCCATAGTGCTGGGATTATAGGCGTGAGCCACTTTGCCTCGCCAATAAATAAATATTGGTTGACTGAATAAACTGATAAAAGAGATTATGGTATTCTATTGTTATACATTTTCCAAGATTGAGAATAATTCACTCCCATTTCTTGTCCAAGAGTTCTGGTTTCTTTAGGAAAGGTAAATGGTTTTAAACAACAACACTGACAACGAAATACACAATCTCTGAGGATTGTGCCAAGAAATAATAGCAAAGAGTTCTGGCTCCCAAAATCATTTTATGTTTAAAAAAAAAAAAAAAAAAGCCTGGAATATTTACATACCCCCTGGAATAATGACATAGTGGAAGGTGATCACTCAGGACAGTAATTACTACCTCTGCCTATGTGGGCGCAAGAATGTGGCTGACACGAGTGTGTACATAGTGTTTTTCCATGACCAGAGGAAAGATGAGTGTCTATCAAGGGGGTGGCATGGCCCTCGCACAGTTGCAACTCCACCATCCTGTTTGAAGCTGGGGTCCTGCTGCCTGAGGAGCTGACAGGCCCAGCTGGGCAACTGCTCAGGGAGCCAGAGGAGTATTTGAGGAGATGCTGCCCCTCTCTCGCTTCTCTCTCTCTGGCTTAAACTGTCCTGGTTTTAAGCCCCCACGAAGCAGCCAGTGAGGCCGCGCCACTGCACTGGCCCTGACAATCACATTTCCTTCTTGTAAACTGCATCACCACCCAGTGTTCGCAGTGATTTTAGTGACACCCCTTCCCACTTACTAGGAACAACATAGTCTGATATGCACTCACAAATCTTTTATTTTTTGTTTTTTGAGATGGAGTCTTGCTCTGTCGCCCAGGCTTGAGTGCAATGGCACGATCTCGGCTCACTGCAACCTCCGCCTCCTGAGTTCAAGTGATTCTCCTTCCTCAGCTTCCCCAGAAGCTGGGATTACAGGCACCTGCCATCATGCCCGGCTAATTTTTGTATTTTTGTAGAGATGGGGTTTCACCATGTTGGTCAGGCTGCTCTCGAACTCCTGACCTCAGGTGATCCAACCACCTCGGCCTCCCAAAGTGCTGGGATTACATGTGTGAGCCACTGTGCCTTGCCTCAAATCATTTTTCTGAGTTGAGATGCAACGGTCCCCAAACCAGGCAGAACAAGTCTTCAGTAAACCCAGGCTCAGGGAGGCTCACACGGGCCACCCAGGCCCCAGGCCTGTGGCTGGGCTGCAAAAGGGGCCATGGCAGTGACCAGGCTGTGAACTGTCCCCGCAGGAGGCCAGGGCTGAGTTGGGGAAAGCTTGGCGTCCTCACGCATCGGCGCAGTCTGATGTGCTCTGGTTGCCTCTGTTTTCTGAGAGACTGGGTGTTGTGGGCTGAATGTGTCCCCACGATTCATACATCAAAGTCCTCAGCTTCAGTGCCTCAGAATGTGACTGCATTTGGAGATAGGGTCTTTACAGCAGTCATTCAGTTCAAATGAGGTCATTTGGATGGGCCCTCATCTTCCAGGACTGGTGCTGTTATAAGAAGAGGGAATTTGGACACGACTCACACGAAGAGAAGACTGAGAAGCACAGGGAGAAGGCCTCGGGAGGGCTAGGCAGGGGCAGAGGCCGAGAAGAAAGCAGCCCTGCCTGCACCTTGATTTCCACTTGTAGCCTCCAGAACTGGGCAAGAATAAATGTCTATTGTTGAAGCCTCCTGGTCTGTGGTACTTTGTTATGGCAGCCCTAGCAAACTAAGATGCTGAGCTTCAGCAGAAGTCCTTGGTGCTGGCTGACATTGTTTTTACCACGAGCATCCTGGTAAAAAGATCCAGGATCGGAGGCGAGTGCTGTCTTGGAGATGGCCAGAGCACGGCTTCCACACTGGGCAGGATGTGCATGCTTGGCAGTGCACACCGATGGCTCAGAGCAACCACCAGGATGTCCCAGGGAAGCTACCACGGCTTTCTGCCAGTGTGTGGCTCTAATGGCACCACGGTGCAGGACTTCTATTCGCTCATTTCTCCCACACTTCCCTCAGCTGTTCTGAGCTGTTTGCTCTGTGTGTACGGTCAGTTCTGGGGCTTCCAGGATGCTGCGTGGCTGCCTCTGCTGCACAGATGGAGCCATCCACCGGCCCCACCTGAGGCCCAGCATCTCTGCCCTTCTCCTCTTCCTTCCTGGCTATCTCAGCAGGGACATTCCCTTTTCTCCCTTCTCTTTAACCCTTTGCAAGCCTTTCTTTCTGCTGCCACTTTGCAAAAATAGCTTGTTTCAGAGGCACTTTAAGTGCTGGGGGTGAGAGGCCAGTGTGGCCCAATCCCTGCCCTCAGGGAACTTACGCCCTTCTGAGGACAAAACCCCTCCCTGGTCTGCCCTGTTTTTGTTCCCCTGCCCTGCTGCTGCCTTTGACATGTGCCTTAAGCATGTTTTTTATTTCCTATATTCTGATGCTTTGACATTGGGGCCCTGCTGACCTGGAGATACTGCCCCTTCCAGGGTAGCGGACTCCTAGAGAGAGCAAACAACTCACCGGGGAGCTCACCACTCAAATGCAAAGCAACCAATCCGGAGCCGCCCATTCCCACCCCCTCCTCTGTGGGGTTCTACCTTTATCTGCCCTCCTAATCCCCCAGGGCCAGAACCAAGTGACTAGGGACAGCCCCTATGCCCCAGCCCTTAAACTATTCAAACCAGCCAACCCTGAATCTGCTTACCTGCTGGGTCCTTCCCGTGGAAACCACAATAAAAGCTCTTTCCCACATTTCCCCTTGGCTCCCTCTGCCTCCTGACCCACCCTGGTGCTTCCCTGTGTGGCCTGCATGGTGTGGTGAACCTCCTCCTCTTGAGAACTGTGAGTAGCAAACTCTCTTTTCAACAACAGTTGTCTCCTCATCTGTTGGTTTCACCACACCTGAGTAATAATAAAACCCACATGTAAACGCAGTGTCGAGCAGCCACTCCTCATGGAGCCCTTGCCCCGGGCCCTGGGGGCCAAAAAGTGGGTGGCCCGCACAGCAGAAATTCCTCCTCTCACAGTTCTGGGGACAGGGAGCCTGAGATCAAGGTGTCGGCAGGGTTGGTTTCTCTGAGGGCTTGAGGGAAGGTCTGTTCCAGCCTCTCTTCTTGGCTTGGCGATGGCCGTCTTCTCCCAGGCTCTTCACATAGTCTTCCTTCTATGTGCGTCTGACTCTTCCCATGGTTCTTTTCATAAGGACACCAGTCATACTGGATTAGGGGCCAGCCTACTCCAGTGTGACCTCATCTTAACCAGTTACATCTATATTAACCCTATTTGCAGGTAAGGTCACATAAGGTACTGGCAGTTAGGACTTCAGAACGTCATTTTTGGGGAACAAAATTCAACTCATAATAGCTGCCAACCCCAAAATCTAATTCCCTAGTTGAGTTTCTTCAGAGTTCTTATTTGAATACTAGAATCAATGTCATGATGGCTCCCGCAGAAGTCCCAGCTCACATCTGAAGTCCCTGCCTTAGGAGGCCGAGGCAGGAGGGTCACTTGAGCCCAGGAGTTTGAGGCTGTAGTGAGCTACGATTGCACCAGTGCACTTCAGTCCACTCCAGACACAGTGAGATCCTATCTCTAGAAAAATAAAAATAAGGCCGGGCTCAGTGGCTCACACCTGTAATCCCAGCACTTTGGGAGGCCGAGGCAGGTGGATCACAAGGTCAAGAGTTCGAGACCAGCCTGGCCAACGTGGTGAAACCTCGTCTCTACTAAAAATACAAAAATTAGCTGGGTGTGGTGGCGGGTGCCTGTAATCCCAGCTATTTGGGAGGCTGAGGCAGGAGAATCGCTTGAACCCAGGAGGTGGAAGTTGCAGTGAGCCAAGATCACGCCACTGCATTCTAGCCTGGGCGACAGAGGGAGACTCCATCTCAAATAAATAAATAAATACATACATACATAAATAAAATGTCACAGATGGCGGAGGTGTTAAAAACAAAACAAAACAAAAAACAAGCAGACTTTTGCACCCTACCCCAAATCCAGAGAAACTCAATCTCTGGGTGCTGGAGAACACCCTCAGAGGATCTGCTGCTAGAACATCTCCCACAGCAGGCCACATGGAGCTTGGGCTCTCATTTCTCCTCCATTGGGACCGCCATAATGGCCTCTTCATAGGATTTCCTTCAATCTCTCCCTCACACTGCCCACTGACTGGAATTCATAACATGCTTTTCCGACATTGCATCTTATTTAACATCTCGATTCAACAAACTTCTTGATTTCATGTCTTTATTTCACAAACATTGGCTTCACTATATGCCTGGCTTAAAATGAAATATCCTTGCATTTATTCCTCACAACAGCCCTATGAGGTAAGGACTCTCATCATCCCCACTTTGCAGCTGAGCACGATATGCAGAGCTGGGCTGGGACACCAGCAGTGTGGCTCTGGGCCATGGTGCGTCACCTCTGTGCTGCGCTCCTTGGAGAGGCCGTCCTCCACCGTGGAGTGCTGCCACCAGCACGGTATGAGAAGCTCACGCTCACCTGGGACAGTACCTTCTCTCCAAGGCGTGGCCTCACGCTGCCTTACCAGGTTTCCCGCCGCTCAGCACCTGGACATCCAGTGGGTCTGAAAGGGGGTCCCTGACTAGCAATGTCAGCTGCCATTCCTCACTTCCATTCCAGATCTACACCCCAGAGCAGAAACCCTGGTGGGGCGCCCAGCGATCCATTACAATGTGCCTTCCTGGCGTTTCAGAGGCAGGCTCCAGCCCTCATTCTACAAGTCTGGGGGGCTCTGTCCTTTGATGACCCCATATTTCCCTGCCCTCCTCCGCCCTGACTGTACTCCATTCCTGAAACTTCTCCTTGATGTCTCCTTTTTGGCTGCCACTGACCTGTCCATTCTTTAAGGCCAAACCTGAATGTCACTTTATTTAGGAAGCTTTTTTTTTTCTCCTTATCTCCTTTCCTGTCCTCCTAACCATACTTCATACCTATTTTTTTCTCCCTGTAACAGTTTCCTTGCTGTACCTTATGTCATTGTACTTGTCACCATAAAGCAGGCCATTTAAGGCCAATGTCTGTGTCCCTCACACACCTACTGCAGTTCCTGTGTTCCAGGAAGCACTGGATTAACCATTGTATGGAACCAATACCATTAGCCCACGGAGGACATGAGTTCAAGTTAAATTACAGTGACAGAAAAAGACCAGGGCAATTACTTTGAAAAAAAAAAAAAAGAGTTTTACAAAGCAGGTTTCAAAACATAATTCTTTGACAGAGCCAATGTTTTAAAATGATTTCATTGCTCTCTCCCATCGAATGGAGAAACTTCGGTGCTGTGGTATCTGGCAAGTCCTGTCCTTTCAGGCACAGCCCAACACTTACACCAAAGTGACTTGTCCAGGGCAGGTAAGACTGGAGGAGCTGCCATCAAGGCTTCAGACCTGAAGGTTATGCTCCTGTGTGGTCTGACTTCCATGTGACAGACGAGCATCTCTTCTTGGGTGTGGCCTTTCAGCGCTCCTAAGGTAGCCTAGGACTGCACTTCTTCACCATCTGAGCTCCCATAGCATGCTGGGAGCTCTTGTGGTCAGCTGAAACCACCAGATTCACCCCCCCGCCTCCGCTACTTGGACTGCTACATCTCAGACTACGCCAGGGCAGTATTTGATAAGAGATCATATGATTAATAGCATACATATATGATTAGCAGCATACATATTTTTGCATTTTTGAATGTGGATGTAAAAAATGGGTTTTTCTGGGCCACAATCTGGATGTCCTCCGTTTGAATCAAATCAACCCCTGAGACTAAAAGGTCTTGCATACTCTTCAAGCTGTTGGGGTGCAGGTCCACATGCCCTTATCCATAATGCCGAAATCCAAAAGACTCTACAAATCAAATGGTCTTTTAAGAACTCATTTGGTGGCAAAACCTGAGCCGAAGCTATTTATATGCTATAGTCAATTCCACTTAGTGTGAATATTCAGGCATTTTTATGCATATATGTTTTAATTAAAGATTTCTTCCTTGGCTGGGCGCGCTGGATCATGCCTGTAATCTCAGCACTTTGGGAGGCTGAGGCAGGCGGATCACCTGAGATCAGGAGTTCAAGACCAGCCTGGCCAACATGGTAAAACCCCATCTCTACTAAAAAATACAAAATTAGCTGGGCATGGCGGCACATGCCTGTAATCCCAGTTACTCGGGAGGCTGAGGCAGGAGAATCATCTGAGCCCGGGAGGTGGAGGTTGCAGTGAGCTGAGATCTTACCACTGCACTCAAGCTTGGGCGACAGAGCGAGACTCCATCTCAAAACAAAACAAAACAACAAAAAAGATTTCTTCATCAGTGTTCACTGAGGCTTTACCACCAAATATTCAATATACTCACTGTATTAATCTTTTCTTATTTGTTTTTATTTTTATTTATTTATTTATTTTGAGATGAAGCCTCGCTCTGTTGCTCAGGCTGGAGTGCCATGGCATGATCTCAGCTCACAGCAACCTCCGCCTCCCGGGTTCAAGCAATCCTCCTGCCTCAGCCTCCTGAGTAGCTGGGATTACAGGCATGTGCCACCATACCCAGCTAATTTTTTTTGTATTTTTAATAGAGACGGGGTTTCATCATGTTGTCCAAGCTGATCTCCAACTCCTGACCTTAGGTGATACACTCGCCTCGGCCTCCTGAAGTGCTGGGATTACAGGCATGAGCCACCGTGCTTGGCCCT
Organism: Homo sapiens; assembly: GCF_000001405.40. Classification (NCBI taxonomy): domain Eukaryota; kingdom Metazoa; phylum Chordata; class Mammalia; order Primates; family Hominidae; genus Homo; species Homo sapiens. The sequence continues at coordinate 56,015,039 of NC_000008.11, read as the reverse complement.
AATCTTTTTTTAAAAAACCTGAAATCAAAAACATACCTGACCCTAAGGGTGGTAGATAAGGGATAAAGGACCTATCGTCAAAGCCCAGCGTAAGTCTAACAATAATAATAATAATAAAAAAATCACAGATAATTTTCTTGCTGTGTGACATGGTATCTACTTTTGGGGCTGTAGATTAAGGCCTCTTTTATTTCTAAAAGTTCTGCGTTAACATTGAACATTGGCCAATCTAGATTATTTCTAAAGTCCTTCCAAAGACCTAGAGATAGAGGCCGCCAAGATTCCCTGTCATTTCCCCCTTAAAGAGAAATATTCAAGATCTGTGAATATCTGTGGCCATCTCGGGAATTCTGTGACACTTTTTGGCACTCTGACTTGAAGTATTTAATAGATTTATCAGCACACAGGAAATTAAATTGGAAGGCTTTCCTCTTACACGTCTATCAAGTTAAAACTTTTCAGGATAAAATTTTTATCAGTTTTAGTAACATTCATGTTATGAAATGGAACATAAATGCTACTGAAACTTAATTTTTTTTTTTGTAGAGACAGGGTCTCATAATGTTGTCCTGGCTGGTCTCAAACTCCTGGCCTCAAGTGATCGTCCTGATTCAGCCCCTCCAAAGTATTGTGATTACAGGTGTGAGCCACTGTAGCTGGCCAAAACATTTTATTCTGAAGTGTAGTCTCTACAAATTGTCTTTAAAAGTGTGAATGGTAAGTTAAATTCTTGCATTACTTTTCTACCCAAATAAAATTACTTAAGGAAAAATTTCCCCTCCCATCTGTGTGGGCTCAAATGGTGCATCTTGTAAGTAATACCCTTGCTTACTCAGAACACTCAGCTGAGTCAGGGAGATTCTACACAAAGGTGTTTCACTGGTTTTATTTCACAAGGAAACAATATGAAGCGAAGCCAATCTATTCCTTCTGTGGCTTTAAATGCTCCCGATCTCTCAGCTGTGAAATAGTGATAGCATTGTCCAGATCTTCCAGGGTCGTTGTGTGAGTTAGAGATAATTTTTATCATTTGCCAAAGCACAAGAGGGCCCTGAGTAAAGAATGTGTGTATGGGTATCTTTGTATGTTTATAATTACCATTTCCATCAGGAAGAACAGCAAGACTTCACTTAATCTAAAATATTCGTGGAGTTAAAATGTAGGGAATAGAGAACTACGATCTCTCTTCCACCAGCCAGAAGTGGAAAATAAAGGAAGATGCTAAGAGGAAAGCTGGGCGGTTTGATCTCATCTGAGAGGTGTTCTTGGCTGAGGAAGCAGGAGATGTCCGACAACTGGCTGTGGAACCTGGCAGTGACATCAGAAGAGCTGGGGAGCGAGCCCTAGGACCAGCATTTAATTTATTTGAAGGTGTCAGAAGCTGAGGTTGCAGAATTGAGTCCTTTTAGCAGCTACCGCCCCTGGATGTAGTTTGTGAGAGGACGGGGAATAAAGAGAAAGCAGACCCCGACCGGGCACAGTGGCTCACACTTGTAATCCCAGCACTTTGGGAAGCCGAGGCAGGCGGATCGCCTGAGGTCAGGAGTTCGAGACCAGCCTGGCTAACATGGTGAAACCCCATCTCTACTAAAAATACAAAAATTAGCCAGGCGAGATGGTGTGTGCCTGTAGTTCCAGCTACTAGGGAGGCTGAGGCAGGAGAAGAATCGCTCCAACCAGAGAGGGGGAGGTTGCAATGAGCTGAGATCGCACCACTGCAACTCTAGCCTGCGTGACAGAGTGAGACTCTGTCAAAAAAAAAAAAAAAAGAGAGAGCGAGAAAGCAGACTCCACAAGCTGACGTGGAGATGAGTTTATACTTATGATGCTTTCAGTGCCCTCGATCTATCCCTGGTGTAGGCAACAAAATTAATTCCCTCCTTTTAGTTATTATCCTTTTATGCACCCTTGGGACAGCCAGGGCTGCTGGCTTCTGTGGCAGTGAATTTCCCCTAGAAGGGGGCTTGGACAGTACACGTTCCCAGTGGCTCATCAGAAGTACTTTCTGCAAGGGGATTCTGTGGAACCTCAGGAGGTATGCCTGGAGAAGCCACGGAAGCCCCAGGTGGCCCCTACTACTAAGGACACTGGTTTCTAGCCTGTGAGTCTCCTTTAGGTTCAGTGAGCTTCATGTTCACCAGGAAGGAAGGCACGTTTTTTTCCTCCTTCCTTCTCTTCCACTCCCCTTTGAGAAATGAAACCATCTGAGGAAAAAGAAGGCTGGGCTTTGTAATATGGGTCAAACCAAATGGTGACTCTCAAGACTGAGCATACATTATATTCACCAGGGAAGGGTTTTTTTGTTTTTTTGGTTTTTTTTTTTGAGACAGGGTCTCACTCTTGCCCAGGCTGGAGTGCAGTGGCACGATCATAGCTCACTGCAGCCTTGACTTCCTGGGCTCAAGCAATCCTCCCACCTCAGCCTCCTGAGTAGCTGGGACCATAGGTATGTGCCACCACACTTAGCTAATTTTTAAAATTTTTTGTAGAGACTTGCTATATTGCTCAGGCTGGTGTCTAACTCCTGAGCTCAAGCGATCCTCCTGCCTTAGCCTCCCAAAGTGCTGAGATTACAGGCATGAGCCACTGTGTCTAGCTGACTGGAGAAGCTTTTAAAATAGACTGACATACATCTCCCGCTGCACAACAGCTAAGTCAGAATCTTGGCGGTAGGGAGTATGGATTCTGTCTTTCCAGTTCTCTACAATAACCTGAGGTGTGATGACATGAGCCATTTTGCACACCACTGGATACCCGAAAATGCTACAAACACCTATTCAGCCCCTCATTATGCCTGTCTGTCACAGGGAGGCTGGAAACCTATAGCTAAGTAAGGAGACTGTGTGTGCTGTTCATCAAGGGAACGTGTGACTTCCACACATGCTGGACACCAGAGATGAGGCCCAAGCTGGTGAAGGGCCCACATGGAGGTAAGGATCACAGGCTTGATTGGGAGGGAAAGACAAGTGGAAAATGGCAAGAAGAGGAGGAACTGGGAGAAGCAAAACAAGGCGAAGATAAATTTAATAATTTTCTTTAAATAAATTTGTTATGCTAAAAAAAAAACCTCTAGTCATTTTCTAGAGACTTCTTTTTGCCTTAGGGATTCTTTATAGTTCCTCTCCATGTAACATATTGGGTAATACTTGTGGTTCTGAAATAAAATGCAAGCAGGGGGGTGTACACAAAAACCTTACCACTGAATCAAGGGACCAGCTGTGCAGACATTATGTAACAGTAATATTCTATAGTTCTGAACATGGCACTTGTGAATCAATAATTTTAGAATATTTTAGAAAGGACATTTAAAAAAATCACATAGGAAACAAAGTTAAAATTTAGAAAAAAGTAGAATATTTTATCCCATCTTCTAAGCACCTCAAGCCTAAACAAAACACACAGAATGAAATTTTAATGATGCCTGTTAAGCCTATTTGAAAACAAATTCTATCTGGCCCCCATAAACGGATGTTCAGGTGTTCAGGCAATCAACTCCTTGGTTCTCCAATCTGAAATGTTCAAAGGAAGGAGGTAGAACTTGGGCAAGTTTAAAGCATGTAGCTCTGTTGAATCACTTCTAACCACCCCGCCCCCAGCTGATGACCAATTTTTACACTGACCACAGCTGAAAATGTAAATGCAAATAAAAAGCTTGAGATGTTATTGGACGAGGTGTATTAAAATAAAATCAAAAATAGAAATATTAGGTATATACACAACAGCATAAGTGAAACACATCATGTGATACAGAAGTTTCCATTCAAAGCTTACAGGAGAAAAATTTAGTGAACAGAACCGCTTGAACCTCCTGCCACCGTGGCTTATTAGAGCCTTGTAGTCACTTATGTTCCTTCATATCCTTGGGTATAAATAGTCTCATACACATGCTACACAATTTAGAAAAGATTGCTGAATCATAAAAATAGCCCCGAATGTGGCACTTTAGCTTTCTAGAGTACAACTAAAATTAATACTTGATCTTTAACATAATGTTCAAATATTTGAAGCAACAAAGGAAACTCTTATGTTTTAGAAGGCCCTATAAGGTTCTTCAGAGATTAGAATCTTAGTTCTTCCAAACTACATTGTCAAAACAAATCTGGATATAGGAAATTGTGGAAATGAAAAAGCTGGACTCTTAAAAATATTCCTTCTAAACACAGAGCAGTTTCTGAGGCTCTTCTCCCTTTCCTGGGAGGTCCAGGTGAGCCCGGTGCCTTCGGGTGAGCAGACAGGGCAGCTGTGCGTGCTCACGGGCTCCTCCTGCTGGAAGAGAGAGAGATGTGCACGCCACTCCTATGGCATGTCTAGCAGGTCTGAGCAGTGTTCATAGAAGAAAAATGTTTTAACAGTCTCAGATTTTGGGAGGTAGGGGGAAAAAAATCATTGAAATCTGGGAAAGACATTTTTAAGCTGCTGACTTCACCTGCAAAATCTAACAGGTTGGATTAGTTTTTTTTTTTTTTTAAACAAGTAAGCCAAAGCACAAAGAAATGTCATGCTATGTATATATCCGGTTATTTTAGCTTTATAAATGAGTTTAGTTCTGCAATTATTGGGGATTCATTGCAATGGTCTCTGAAACTTTGAGTCCTATGTCCATTTGTAAACATAGAGCTAGTTGGGTGCATTTTTGGAGAGAATAGATGTTTTCTTCTCAAACGGCTGCACTCAGATGTTGTCAAGCAGAGCAAGATTACCAGCTGCTGAGGACAAGTCCAAGTTGCAACTGAGTGGAGAATCCATCTAAGAGTACAGAATACTTTCCCATTTAGAGGGTGTTCTTCCTGAGTAATTTAGCCTCTATTTCAGGATCCAGGCACGGCAGATGATCCCCGCACATGAAATCATAAGTGCAACCAGTGATGGTTACTTTTCCTCTCTAAATGAGGCAGCCACCCCTGCCAAATGGACGGGTCTCCCTGTGCTCTAAGGCTGCTGCTGGTATTGCCCTTCCGTGGCTGTGTAGAAATCATCCAGGACGCTCTGTAAGTAGTCAAACGTTGGTCTCTCTTCTGCCTTTTCTTTCCAGCACATTTTCATAATGTCATAGAGCTCATCTGGGCAGTTCTCCACACGGGGCATCCTGTAGCCCTGGGACAGGGCGGTCATCACGTCGGCATTAGTTCTCCCTAGGGTGGAAAAAAACAAAAAGAACAGAAACCCATGCCGTTTAGAAACCTGGCAGAGGGTCAAGCACTGCAGTGGTCTTTTTGCTCCTCACATCCTGTAACCATGATTGAAACAAGCTTTACTGAGGCTGTTAGGGGTTGAACAGCATCCTCCCAAAATTCCTAGGTTGAAGTCCTAACCCCGCGTACACCTCAGAATTGACAGCACCATATTTAGAGATAAGGCCTTTATAGAGGTAACTAAGTTAAAATGAGGCCATTTGGGTAGGTCTTAATCCAATATGACTAGTATCCTTATAAGAGGAGATTAGAACACAGACTAGTATAGGGGAAAGACCATGTGAAGACACAGGGAGGAGGCAGCCATCTACAAGTCCAGGAGAGAGGCCTCAGGAGAAATCAACCTGGCTAGCACCTTGACCTTGGACTTTGAAACTCCAGAACCCCGGAAAAATAAACGTCTGTTGTTTAAATTACCCAGTGTGTTGTATTGTTATGGCAGCCCTTGCCAACTAATATAGAAGCTAAGGAAATTTCTGCAAGCAACTCAATAAATAAATTTAGCATGGAGGGGATCAAGACAGCATTCAGTTTGCCAAAATTTGTTAAGTAGGAGCCACAGCCAAGTTCTCTTTAATAACAAAAGGATATTGGACTTGCCTCACATTTCAAATAAATCACCCAAATCTAATCCTAACTCTCAACTTTAATTATGTTTGCAGGGTAGCATGCTTTCAGCTTCAACTTGTAGTATATTTATGAAAAAAATAATTTTACCACATATTATCTTATACGGACATTTTTCAAAAATTGGCTTTTCATTTAATAATTGGTATTTTCATTTACTTAAAGTCAGCACCCTTAAGTCAGCCCAACAAATTGGTTACATGCTTGCCAAATAGTTAAAAACTTAGGGATTAATTTGGAAAATAATGATGGTTCAGTTAATCTGAAGGACACTTGTCTGTAGTTTGTGCTACATATCTTGTGGATGTCACTGTCTTTTAAGAGCAAGATATTAATTGAGGAGGAAAACTGAACCCCAATCATAGTCTCAAGTGGAGCTACTTCACAGACGCAGTTAACTGTTCCAATCTGCAGTACCTGGCCAGAGTGACAGCTCACTCTGACTCTGGATTTGCATATTCCTGACCTCCAGGAGAGAAGTAAGGTGCTCATTACTCCTCTAGAGCTCTGCAAAAGGCCTGGTAATAGAGAATGTTTTTAATGTGGTCAAATGTCTCAGGGTAATTCAGAAGCTGAACTGTCAATCTTTGATCCTGAGAATAGCTTTAAAGGGTAAAAAAGATCATTATAATAATAACATTTTCCTGCATGATAAAGGAGATTAATCCTTCAATTATGTGCTCATCTAGCAGTATCTATCCACACCTGTATGTTTTGCATATTTCATGGATACCCTGTTCTGTAGGATGTGAACTTCTCTAGAGAAGAATGTATGTCATGCAAAGTATATACAATATCTGGCATATGAGAGGGGCTCCATTCCTCACAACGAATTTCCTTTCCATAGCTATCTCTTTTTCAAAGCTGTAGATTATACCATCACTGGTCACTGGAAGGATTCTAAATAAGTGGCAGCTTCAGGGGAAATGGCTTTTTACCAGATTTGAAACAGAACCTTCTTTTGAATGTATTTTCTAATCAGTGTTTTTCAAATTGCGGGGCACTATCCGCATTTGGGATCAACAATTTGGGATCAACAAATTGACTTTTTTAGAGTACTACCAGTATTTTATTTTATTTTATTTTATTTTATTTTTTTTTTGAGGCAGAGTCTCCCTCTTTCACCTAGGCTGGAGTGCAGTGGAGCGATCTTGGCTCACTGCAACCTCCGCCTCCCAGGTTCAAGCGATTCTCCTGCCTCAGCCTCCCAAGTAGCTGGGATTACAGGTGCCCACTACCATGCCCGGCTAATTTTTGTATTTTTAGTAGAGACGGGGTTTCACCATGTTGGCCAGGCTGGTCTCAAACTCCTGACCTGAAGTCGTCTGCCTGTCTCGGCCTCCCAAAGTGCTGGATTAAAAGCGGGAGCCACTGCATCCAGCCAATTACCAGTATTTTTTAAAATGAATTATAACAGAATAAAACAGAAAAGGTCAGAAAGCACTGCACATAGGAAAGGTCAATATGGTTTTATGAAACGTTTGCTTTATGTACAGAGTAGGTTTCTATGTATTTCCCACAATGGCTTATGGCCAATAAACTTTGAGATCCTCTGCCTTTAACTTACCTTTTTTCATCTAAGGACACAGTGACCTTTCCTGAATTTAAACCGCTGAAAGAAGACATGATCATTTCTGTCGTGGAAGAGCCCTTGTTTTTGAAATTGAAAGATCTAAGCAAACTTTATAATGATTCAGATCTCTTGAGAATTTATACAGCAAATCCATTTTCCTGAGTCTAATTCTGAAACACTATCTTCAAATATTTGTGTGACTAGAATTTTCTAACTAAAATACTTCATTTGATTTTCATTGCTTAAAGCGAAAGACAGATTTGTATCATCCTCTTTATTTGGGAGTTTTAGTCTCCACAAAATGATATGGCCTCAGCATTGCTCTGGCTCTTATAACTTGGATAAATTTCAGAAGAAAGATTTGTGTATACTTCTGCTTTCTTGGGTGAAATTCTGGGATCGTGGTGGGAGGACTAACATCCAGTATGATATAAATAGCAATTGGACCTGCACACTCAGTTTGGAATATCTCTTTCACTTCCTTCCTGGAGATCCCTCATTTGCATAAAAGGTCAGAATGCAGCCACAGTGGAAGATAAAGCTTTCTAGGTCACCCTAGCCCCACAGCAGATTTTTTTTTCCTGGTTCCAGTATGTTCTCCTAGCTCTGAAGGACTCTCGATGATGCTGGTAAAGGCTGGACATGCTCCACCCTGTTTGGGGAATTCGACTTGATAAGAAGAATTGGAAGAAGGGAATCTGAAGCCTATCTTTTTATGTACAAGGAAAGCAATAAATAAAATCCGCTATTAAATGACAAGTCTTGTGAAAGAAAGAAATAAGAAGAGGAGAGGGACCTCAACCAGACCCTAAGATTACATGTGATAGTTGGTGTTGGCCTGTCGCTAAGTTAAAGAAAGTAAACACCCATTAGCTGGTGATCTGCTTAGAAGGCACACAGTTTCACTTTCCATCCTTCCTCCTTTCAACAAACACTGAGTGCTCACTATGGGTCATGAACTAGCACTGAGCTCTGAGACATGCAGAGATAGTTAAGACAGAGCATCATCCTCAAATGGCACACAGCCCAGTCAGGACAATGCCCTCACCAGAAGGAGGTGGTGGGGAGCAGAAGGTGGCATCTGGAGTGGGTAGAAATCAGCAGAGACTACAAGTTGGTAAAGAAGCAGAAGAAGGAGAAAAATGTGGTACAGTAGAGAAAAGGAACAGATAGCTAGTGACAGGGAGGAGCACAGCTGTACCACAAACTATGACAGTCTTCAGTCACACAGGGCCCTTTGTGTGTATGTGTATCAGGAAGAGCTAGATACCCTGGGAGTACAGTCTCCCACCCAATCATACTCCTTCCAAAAGGGCAAATTATTATTACTATTATTATTTTCTGAGCTTTGCTTGTGACCAAGGTGAGTGTTTGTTTGCAGCAGGACAAATTTCTTGATTCTAATTCAGCTGGCATTAAGATGTTAGATATATCTGGTCAGAAACAGCCAGAAAAGTCATGATGCTTCAGAAAATTTTTTCACTTTCAAACCTTTTGCTTTATATAAACAAAGCAAAACAAGACCCCAACCAGGACCCCAACAAGACACCCCCACCTTTTTTTTGAGACAGGGTCTCACTCTGTTGCCCAGGCTGGAGTACATGGCGCAATCATGGCTCACTGCAGCCTCAAACTCCCTGGGCTCGGTGATCCTCCCACCTTAGCCTCCTGAGTTGCTGAGACTACAGGTGCGTACCACCATACTCTGGTAATTTTTAAATTATTTTGTAGAGGCAGGGTTTTGCTATGTTGCCCAGGCTGGTCTCAAATTCCTGGCCTCAAGCAATCCACCTGCCTCGGCCTCCCAAAGTGCTGGGATTACAGGCATGAGCTACCATGCCCAGTCAGACCCCTCTTTTTTTCTGTATAAAATTGATAGAGAAATATAATCATAGTTTTGGTTTTAAGATAATGAAGTAAAGATCTTTTGCCTCCTCCTCACTATTTTCTTTTTTCTGTAATTCATCCCAAAACAAAAAAGAGAACAAGAAATAGAAACTTAAACTCCATCTCTGATGATGCTAAGAGACATCTGGCAGCCAGAGGAAGAAGTGGTCTGAGCCAAGAGGAAGAAAGTGCAACCAACGTGCCTGCAGAGAGGGGCACTGACAACGGGCAAGGCGGCCCATCCCAACTCAGCCCAGGAAGGCACACACTGTGTGGTCAGCATATACCATGAGGGAGGGAGGCCAGCGCCGAGGGCAGGACAGTACCTGGAGCCCATAGTACCAGTGCCCAGGCAAATGCTGGAAGAAACAATGGAGAAGCTTCATGCAGGGAATGCTAGGCCCAAGTGGAGGTGGGGAAAGTGTGGTATGGAAGACCAGGAGTGAGAAGAAAGACTGAAGACATGGGCCACACCATGCATGGACCTTGAGGGTTATGCTGAGTGAAATAAACCAGACATTAGGGCAAAACTGTATGACTCCCCTTATAGGATGTCTCTAAAGTAGAGACTGAGAACACTGGTTGCCTATGGGGAGAGAATTGTGTGGCTGGGAATAGAGTGGGGGACCTTTCAGCTTACACCTCTTTGTATCTCTTGAATTTAACACCATGTGGCTGGCCGGGCGTGGTGGCTCACACCTATAATTCCAGCACTTTGGGAGGTTGAGGAGGGAGGATCAGTTGACCCAGGAGTTAGAAACCAGCCTAGGCAACATAGTGAGACCCTGTCTCTACAAAAAATTTATAAATTAGCTGGGTGTGGTGGCATGCGCCTGTAGTCCTAGCTACTCAGGAGGCTGAGGCGAGAGGATCACTTGAGCCCAGGAATTAAAGGCTACAGTGAGCTATGATCATGCTACTGCACTCCAGCCCAGGTGACAGAGCAAGACCCTGTCAAATAAATAAATAAATGAAAAATAAAAGTATGTGGCCATATCCTTATCTAATAATAAGTGGAAAAAACTTAATTAAGAGATAAAAGTTATGAGTAGAATATTTAGAACTATATGCAGCAAACGCTAGAATAAGGAATCAAAATTCCCAAAAGTAGATTACTTTGAGGAGCACCCGCAGGCATGGGGAATTTTTCATTGGAAGTCTTTTTGTGGCTGCACACGGTGGCTCATGCCTGTAATCCCTGCACTTTGGGAGGCTGAGGTGGGTGGATCACCTGAGGTCAGGAGTTCAAGACCAGCCTGGCCAACATGGTGAAACCCCGTCTCTACTAAAAATACAAAAATTAGCTGGGCATTGTGGTGCACACCTGTAGTCCCAGCAACTCAGGAGGCTGAGGCAGGAGCATTGCTTGAACCTGGGAGGTGGAGGTTGCAGTGAGCCGATATCACACCACTGCACTCTAGCCTGGGTGACGGAGCGAGACTCTGTCTCAAAAAAAAAAAAAAAAAGGAAGTCTTTCTGTACTACTTTTTTAATGTGCATATATTACTTAGATAAGAATAAAATATTTAGGCCGGGTGCGGTGACTCACACCTGTAATCCCAGCACTTTGGGAGGCCAAAGCAGGCAGATCACCTGAGGTCGGGAGTTCAAGATCAGCCTGACCAACATGGAGAAACCCCATCTCTACTAAAAATACAAAATTAGCTGGGCATGGTGGCACATGCCTGTAATCCCAGCTACTAGGGAGGGTGAGGCAGGAGAATCGCTTGAACTCAGAAGGAGGAGGTTGCAGTGAGGTGAGATGGCGCCATTGCACTCCAGCCTGGGCAACAAGAGTGAAACTCCATCTCAAAAAAAAAAAAAAAAAAAAAGAATAAAATATTTAATAACAATATCATTGTAAAAAAATTAGAAATTTCAGAAATTCATCAAGAAGAAAATTAATATAACCTATTATCTCTTGACCCAATGCTAACATTTCAGTATATTATCTTAGTATTTCTATCTCCTCTAAAAATGAGTTTGCCTTATATGTGACTTTCTTTTTTCTTTTTCCTCCTTTCTTTTATTTCCTTTTTATTTTACAAAGCTAAGTATATGATATGACTTCTTCTTTTTTTTTTTTTGAGACAGAGTCTCGCTTTGTAGCTCAGGCTGGAGTGCAGTGGCGCATCTCGGCTCACTGCAACTTCTGTCTCCTGGGTTCAAGCATTCAAGCGATTCTCTGCCTCAGCCTCTCAAGTAGCTAGGATTACAGGCGTTGGCCACCACGCCGGGCTAATTTTTTTTGTATTTTTTGTAGAGACAGGGTTTGGCCATGTTGTCCAGGCTGGTCTCGAACTCCTGGCCTCAAGTGATCCACCCAAGTTGGGATTACAGGCATGAGCCACCACACCTGGCCTGTATAGCTTCTAAAGTACTTTAAAAACGAACAACACAGGTCGAGTGAGGTGGCTCGTGCCTGTAATCCAAGCACTTTGGCAGGCCAAGGCGGGAGGATCCCAAGGTCAGGAGATCGAGACCATTCTGGCTAACACGGCAAAACCCTGTCTCTAGTAAAAATAAAAAAAAAATTAGCTGGGCGTGGTGGCGGGCACCTGTAGTCCCAGCTACTTGGGAGGCTGAGGCAAGAGAACGGCGTGAACCCGGGAGGTGGGGCTAGCAGTGAGCCGAGATCACGCCACTGCACTCCAGCCTGGGCAACAGAGCGAGATTCTGTCTCAAAAAAAAAAAAAAACAAAAAACAAAAACATAGCCAGCAGTTTACTGCGTAAAGAAAGTACTTTCAGATAATTCCATTCATCGTGGATTCTCTCCCATATGCAGTTTTATAACCGTGTGGAAAATGGCATATTTTGGCAATGTTTACCGATTTCTGTGCTATGAATCAAGTCTTCTCATGTGAAGTAAATAGGATTGCTTGATTATGTTTATAACCCTAATGCTAGAGGCTCTCGTAACATACAACTCTCGTGACTAAAAAATTTACTGATCCCGATCTCCTGAAGATATCTCACATCCCCAGTCCTTCCAGGGACAAGCCAATCAGGGAACAGACTAGTCGATGGATTCTGGTGTGTTCTTCCATATAGAGAGAAACATATTTTTATGATTCTCACCATTTTTCTACTGGTTCTCTTTTTATTTTTTAATTTAATTTAATTTAATTTAATTTAATTTAATTTAATTTAATTTTTGAGATGGAGTCTCCTTCCTGTCGCTCAGGCTAGACTGCAGTGGTGCAATCTTGGCTCACTGCAACCTCTACCTCCTGGGTTCAAGCGATTCTCCTTCCTCAGCCTCCGGATTACAGGCGTGCACCACCACACCTGGCTACTTTTTATTTTTATTTTATTTTATTCTTTTTTTTTTTATTTTTTTAAGATGGAGTCTCGCTCTGTCACCCAGGCTGGATTGCAGTGGCGCGATCTCAGCTCACTGCAAGCTCCGCCTCCCAGGTTCATGCCATTCTCCTGCCCCAGCCTCCCGAGTAGCTGGGACTACAGGCGCCTGCCACCACGCCTGGCTAATTGTTTTTATTTTTAGTAGAGATGGGGTTTCACCATATTAGCCAGGATGGTCTTGATCTCCTGACCTTGTGATCCGCCCACAAAGTGGGCCTCCCAAAGTGCTGGGATTACAGGTGTGAGCCACTGCACCCAGCCTAATTTTTATATTTTTAGTAGAGATGGGGTTTTGCCATGTTGGCCAGGCTGGTCTCGAACTCCTGACCTCAGGTGATCCACCTGCCTCAGCCTCCCAAAGTGCTAGGATTACACGTGTGAGCTGCCGTGCCCAGCCAGTTCTTTTTTCAAAAAATGATTTTTCACCCCAAATATTTCCAAATCCTGGGCATTGTGCACATTGGCTGAGGGGTCTTGGGAGGCACATGGATCTGGGGCTCAGAGCAGCTTTGCCACCAGCGAGGGGCCCAATCACCTTCTCCAAGCCTCAGGGGCCATGGTAGCACATCACATGCAGCACACCACGCATATCACAAAACATTCTTTTATGAGATTGTATGTTTATCAGGTGTCAGATTATATACATAATCTGACTATATAATCTTTCTCTACAGACAGATTATAGAAAGAGATGTAGGCATAGATGGAGATAGAGATATATAACATCAGACACTGGGGCTGATTAGAAATATTTTTCCTATTTTGCAGCAATGTTAATTCATTAATCTCAGTGTCTAGAGCAGCTGGAAGATGAAATGCTGGCACTAAAGGGATTTCCTGGGACAGCCGGTCCACTGTGCAGGCAGACACCACCCAAAGGCTTTCAGCTGCCAACTGGTCCCTGCCCCAGTTTCTCTGTGGCTCATCCCCACATGAAACAGTAGTGATGGGAGCACGCAGACTGTGTGGCTGCTCTGTCCAAAAGCCTTCCCTGGTTTGCATCTCAGCAGAGTAAGAGGGGCTGCTCTTACATGGCCAGTAAGTCTCTCCCTGAGCCACTCTAACCCCCAGCTACATAGCCTTCTTTCTCATCCATCGACTGTCTAGAGATCAAATGGCCTAGGTGCGTCATTCATTCATTCATTCATTCACCCATCCATCCATCAAATACTCACAGAGGCCCAAACCACGCTGGCCTCCTGCTCCTGTTGGCCAAGCCCATGCTCTGGCTGCTCTCCCCATGGGGACATGCAGACCTCAGAGAGCCCAAGACTCCCTCCCTCTGTGAGTCCCTGCTGCTGCCAGGACCATGGAATAAAACCAGCAGCTCCCCACCCCCTTCTGTGAGTACTCGCCAATCCCTAAGCCACTCCACGCAGGCTCCACACTACTCTCACCACCCTACAGGATGGCTGTGTGTTTGATAAACATCAGTCTCTCCCCACTACAATATTCACTCTCAAGGACATGGGCAGATACCATGGCATCCTAGCAGCTGAGAGTGCCTAGCATACTCAAATATTTTTTGAATAGGAGAAAGATTTAAACATTAAAAATTTAATTTTAAATTCCCCTCATGCAAATATTTTGTTAATAGTCAAACATAAATGAAAATATGAAGGCTCTGGGAGAAATCCCTCTTTTTTTTTTTTTTTTTTTTTTTTTTTTGAGACAGAGTCTCACTCTGTCGCCATGGCTAGAGTGCAGGGGTGCAGTCTCGGCTCACTGCAACCTGTGCTTCCCAGGTTGAAGTGATTCTCCTGCCTCAGCCTCCCAAGTAGGTGGGATTACAGATGCCCACCACTACGCCCAGCTAATTTTTTGTATTTTTAGTAATGACGGGGTTTCACCATGTTGGCCAGGCTGGTCTCGAACTCCTGACCTCGTGATTCACCCACCTCAGCCTCCCAAAGTGCTGGGATTACAGGTGTAAGCCACTGCACCTGGCCGAAATCCCTCTTCTTAACCATGCCAGCACAGACCATGGAAAAATGGAGGGATGGTCAGAATCTGGCTCTGCAGGCTTCAGGTGTTAGGAATCTGGAAATAAATACTGAATGATGCCCTCACTGATACCAGTATGTTAAAGAGCAGAAGGGCCTCCCACTGATAAACAAAGGTGGTTATTTCTTGAAGAGAGAGAGACTCCAGGGCACTTATTACAAAACCAAGCATCGGAAATCCTTGTCTCCATGTGGGTTTCCTCCTTCCAGTCAGGGGGACTGCCTTGGAGGAGCCCCTGTGTCTATCCATCCTCATCTCGACACCAACAACCATGCCCGGAACATTCTAGTATGTGGTGGAATTAATCAGTGCAGAACAAGAACACACACTCAAAATAAGGAGGCAAAGAAGTGTCTAAGCACTCTTAGAACAATTTATGCTAAAGATAGTGAAAATAAAAATCAAGTCTTTTTTTTGTTTCGAGATGGAGTCTCACTCTGTCGTGTAGGCTGGAGTGGAATGGCGCGATCTCAGCTCACTGCAACCTCCACCTCCCGGGTTCAAGCAATTCTCCTGTCTCAGCCTCCCGAGTAGCTGGGATTACAGGCATGCGTCACCATGCCTGGCTAATTTTGTAATTTTAGTAGAGACGGGGTTTCTCCATGTTGGTCAGTCTGGTCTCCAACTCCCGACCTCAGGTGATCCACCTGCCTCGGCCTCCCAAAGTGCTGGGATTACAGGCGTGAGCCACCATGCCCAGCCCGTGAAAATCAAGTTCTGGCTCAAAGCACTTATTCTTTGCTATCGGGTAGATGAAGTAATTATTACTTTTTAATGCCTTCATGCAACCTGACTTTTTCTCATTTATACAGCTTGATTGTAAATAGCTAAGTAAACCATACCTGGGTAGGGAATTTTCCCATAGGTGACAATTTCGTATAGGAGGATTCCAAAGGACCACACATCAGACTTAATAGTGAAACATCCAAAGTTGATTGCTTCTGGAGCCGTCCACTTAATAGGGAACTTAGCACCTAAGGAAGAAGATATGTGGTTCTTACTTGGGTATTTAAACTTAAACAAAAAAGTCATGAACATGTGACCCCATACTTTCTTTTCTTTTCTTTTTTTGAGGCGGAGTTTCACTCTTGTCACCCAGGCTGGAATGTAATGATGCGATCTCGGCTCACTGCAACCTTCACCTCCCAGGTTCAAAATAATAAAATAATAATAATCCTTGTTCAACAATGCTTAGGAATTTCAAGAAAGTGCTTGTCTCTTCCAGAAGACAGTGAGCACTGCAAAAATATTTGCTCAGCTCTCGTGGGTGAGAGCATAAGAATCCTCAGTCATAACCACGTGGGCAATCCTAGCCCAAGAAAGGCCCTGCAGTCCCGACCATGCTTGGCCCCCTGACAATGTGCCACAGGCTGGGGAACTTAGGCCTCTCTGTGCATTTTTGGTTCATATATATAATACAGAATGTGGGAAAATAAAGAAGTAGATTTTTTGCATTATATTTAGTTCTGTGTGTATGGTAATGTTCATGTTTTAATTTGTAATTAAAAGGCTGGAATAAACAATATAGAATTAATGTTACAAATATTTTCTCCACAGCCCCGTATATTATATTCATTGTTTGAGTGAAAACTTTAACAATACAAAATAAACAAGAATCATCTTGCTGAATCTATTTGTGTTTTGCATTGCTTAATTGAAATACAACTGATAGCATTTGTAAGCCTAACAAAAGTATCATGTGGAGTTAATCAAGAGAGTACCTTCTAGAAACTATTAGAATAGAACCATAAGCAGACAATTATGGTACAGCTTAAATGTTGTACCAAATAAGTTTTTCTTAATGGTGACTATTGTAATTGCTTTGTCAAAAACAGACAAAAACAAAATAAAACACAATAATAAAACATCTAAAGATCATTAGTGCAACATACCTTCCCTTGCTGTGTACTCATTATCTTCAATTACTCTAGCAAGGCCAAAATCTGCAATTTTGCACATGAGTGACTCGGAGACCAGAACATTAGCTGCTCGCAGGTCCCGGTGAATGTAGTTCTTCCGCTCGATGTATGCCATTCCCTCTGCAATCTGAAAACAGAAATAGGCTCCCATTTTCATATGTAGGGTAGGTGACTGGAAAGTGCCATCAAGGAAAACCGGAAAACTTATGAATTCCTGAAATCTTTTCATGTATACTATTTTGATCATTCAGCTTTTAAAGACAGTGGGTAATGGCAATCACCATTTGAGCCCTTTCTAAAATAACTGACCACCCTCTGCCAAATCTCCAACAATGGTCATCTTAAAAAAAAAAAAAGGAACATGTCTTAACATTTTCTTTTTTTTTCTTGAGACGGAGTCTCGCTCTTTCACCCAGGCCGGAGTGCAGTGGCGCTATCTTGGCTCACTGCAAGCTCCACCTCCTGGGTTCACACCATTCTCCTGCCTCAGCCTCCCGAGTAGCTGGGACTACAGGCACCCACCACCATGCCCGGCTAATTTTTTGTATTTTTAGTAGAGACGGGGTTTCACCATGTTAGCCAGGATGGTCTCGATCTCCTGACCTCGTGATCCGCCCGCCTTGGCCTCCCAAAGTGCTGGGATTACAGGCGTGAGCCACCGCGCCTGGCCATGTCTTAACATTTTCTAATGTGTGAAGAATCTTTTCAAGACCCTGCTAAATTCATCCATGTAGATACATAGATGTTATTATGCCAGTTTCTCAAATCAGAAAACAGATGCTATGGTCTGAATGTTTGTGTCCCATTCCCCGCCCCCTACCCCAAAGTTCAAATGTTGCAATCCTGAACCCCGAGGCAATAGTATTAGGAGGCAGGGCCTTGGCAGGTGATTAGATCAGGACGGTGGAGCCCTCACGAATGGGATTAGTGCCCTTGTAAAAGAGACCCCAGAGAGCTGCCTTGCCCCTTCCACCACGTGAGGACACAGCTATATGGTGCCATCTATGAACCAGGAAATGGCCCCTCATCAGACATGAAACCTGCCAGGGCTTTCCTTGCCCCTAAACTGTGGGAAATAAATGTCTCTCGTTTAAGCCACCCAGTCTATGGAATTTTATTATGGCAGCCTGAACCAACTATGAAAATAGAGTTGGAGAAAGTGACATGCTAATACAAATAAATTATTAAGGTATCAAGAACAGGATGTCGTTTCTGTCAGGTTAATCAACAGCCCATGGAACTGGCTCTCCAAGTTCTCTCTGCACATTCCCTCCAGGACAATCACAAAGATTCACTCTTTTTTTTTTTTTTTTGAGACAGTCTCACTGTCTCCCCCAGGCTGGAGTGCAGTAGCATGATCTCAGCTCACTGCAACCTCCCGCCTCCTAGGTTCAAGTGATTCTCCTTCCTCAGCCTCCCGAGTAGCTGGGATTACAGGCACGCACCACCATGCCTGGCGAATTTTTGTATTTTTAGTACAGACGGGGTTTCACCATGCTAGTTTTTGTATTTTTAGTAGAGATGGGGTTTCATCAGGCTGGTCTCAAATTCCTGGCCTCAGGTGATCCACTCACCTCAGCCTCCCAAAGTGCTGAAATTACAGGCATGAGCCACCACGCCCGGCAAGATTCACTCTCATGACAAAGTATGACAGCAGGAAAGAATCCAGGATTTAAACACAACAATAACATAGGGAGGCAAAACTACTACTCGTTGCTGAATAGAAAGTGTAGTATCGTTCCAAAGTCAGGTTTTTAAGGAAGACATTACCAAATTATAAAGTTAAGGAGAAGGAAGGAAGAAAGGAAAGGAAGGAGGGAAGGAAGGATGGAAGAAAGCAAGCAAGGAAAGAAGGAAGGAACAAGGAAATGAAGGAAGGAAGGAAACAAGGAGAGAGGAGGAAAGGAGGGAAGTAAGAAGCAAGAAAAAGGGCAAGAAGTAAAGAAAGCCAAGTAGTAGTTTATCTGGTAAGCAGTTAGAGAAAACTCTGATTCGAATTTTTCACACAGGAATGAATGTATTCTGCCAGATTCTACCTTGAATTGCAGGTGGCTCGGCTTGGAGGATCTGACTTTCCCCAGTCATCTGCAACAGTATCCCTGGTAATCAAGCACTTCAGGCCGCCAGTTCCAGACCACGTTGCTTAGCAAAAGATTAGCTCCTTGGTATTGGGTCTGCCTTTGCTTCCCCTCTAGGCCAATCCCTGGCCTCACCTTCTGCCCCGTGGGCCTTCCCTGAACTCCCCTTTACTCACCCTAGATGGTCAATGTGTACAAAAACCATCTGCAGCTGCTGATCACAGCTTTGTCATTATTTTTATGCTGTTTAATGCTCTCAGTGGTGTCATGTTAGCCAGTTGATAAACACCTCTAGGGCTGAAAATATCTTTTCTATTCTCACTTGTATACATTGGAGCCTTCAAACTTGTCACCAAACCTCTTATCAGAGACAAAGTAAGTCCTTTGGGAAATGGGCTGGGGTTTTCACATGACCAGAATACTATCTTGTTAGCCCACTACTACAGGGATTTGGCAGATGATATTCTCATGGTCACAAAAATCTCAAGTAAAATAATCAGTGTGGCCTACATCAGTCTCAAAGACTATTCAGTCCAGTATTTCACTTCCGAGTGGAAACAAAGAATGTGGTCCAAGCTCCTTTGCACTGCTGCCAAGGCCCCGTATGACCCGGCCCCGGCTCAGCCCTCCACCTCCTCACCACGACCCCCTCCTTTGTGCTTCTACACCCCCTGCCTCTGTGTGGAACGCTCATTCCCTCCCTGCCCCTTTCACCCGACCTATGCAGTTTGCCTGTCTCAGCTGAGATTTTACTTCTCCCGGAAGCCATGCCTGGCATACCCTCTCCTGCCAGGTGTGCATGCATCCCCAGTGCTCCCTGCTCCTCACCTGACTACCTGTCCACAATTTCTGCAGGAACATGAACCCATCCCAGCACTGAGCACAGCACAGCACTAAGCACAGCAGGAGGCTTCATTTCATGAGGGACTTGAGAAGTGGGACAGAGGCTGAGTGGAGCAGAAACCAGACGGACAGTAGGAAAAGGACAGGGCAGGTTTGGAGAGCAGTGACTTCGTGTCCCCTGCCTTTCTCCCAACTGTCACAAACCCTGAGCACTGGGGAGATGCACAGCTTTTACCTGACCCTGGAAAAGATTCAAACAGCCTTGATGGGAAGTCAACAGAAGGTGGGCAGTGGTGATAACCAGGTGAAGGCAGAGCTCCTGAGTCTGACTTTCTCTAGGAAGCCTCTGCTGCCCAGAAACAGCAGGCAGTGGCATGGTGAGGGCGTCAGGAAGTTCAGGATAGCTCCTTCTAGAGTGGGCACTACTGAAACAGATGACACGGGGTGGCAATTTTGGTGGCGGCTGGGAGAGAGGAGCCCTGCCTCTGTTTCCTTTTGTCTGCTGGTAACCCAAGTTCAACAAGACTTGTTAGAAAAAGCCAGTAAAACTGGGAAAAGTGGAGAGCGAAGATCAGGCTGAGCATGTGTGAAAGAAAGGAGTGTACGATTATAACACAGTAGGCTTTTGGCGATAGAACCACGATGCCTGGCTCAAACAGACCAGAGTTGGTTACAGGAGCCCAGATGAGACAGCAGCAATTGAGCGGTCATAGCTGACTCTGTCCCAGCCTCCCGGCTCCACTCCATGGTAGTGCAGCCTTTAAAAATTCTTAGCTCTTAGACACTTATCTACCTAACATTCCAATAATTATATATAAACTGGGCCAAGAACCCAAAGAAGCCAAAGCTGGCTGAAGTCCCAAATTGGGCCTGAAACCACAGTTGACAATAGCAACCAGGAACCTGTGCTGCCCCTCTCCCAACGCTGTTGATCGGCCACACAGGTGGGCATGATGGCAGGGACCCAGCCTCCCACACAGCAGCAAGGACACACGTGATGATCAACTCATTACAAAAAGCACTCCAGGGACTTGTTAGTAAGGCATTTGTCACACCTACCCACATCCCGCATTTGCATAAATCTGAGTGCATTTAAAAAAATGATTCTCAGAAATAATAACAGACTTGCAACAAACCTAGTGTATTTTGGCCTTCTTTTCCATGCCAGAGTGCTTTAAGGAGCTCAGATTCCAAACAGTAATTAAAGCGTTCACCAAGACAGGATTAGAAACAACAGCATTAGCCAAGTTGAATAAATAATGAATATGGGAGCAAAATAAAAGCTCTCAGATATGACTTGCTTTTCAGATGATAAATATCACACCTCTCCCTTTATATAAAATTAATTCATTCTCTTTATTCTTTCCCTGGTCTTTGTGTATTGTTCTTTCTTGGTTTATTTTTTTTAAAACCTTAATTTGTTGTTGTTGAAGGTGGTCTATTTACTACGGCTAAGTAAATCCAGCTCTATTTCAAACAGCAGGAAGAAATCAGAGACTCCTTTGGCTGATTGAATGTAGTGTCAACTTTTCATGGAATACCTTCTTCCTCTTCCAGGGCCATGTAGCGTTCAGCACTACAGAAAGAGCTGTCACATAAATACATAAACCAAGGCTCAGCTGTCCCCAGGGACTCCCACTTCCTATTGTTCCAGCAGCTTGGAAAGCTTGACTTCTGTGGGAGTTACATGGAGTTGGTCAAGCTTGATGAGAAGAGGATGTGTTTGATTCAGAAGATTGTTGTGTTGTTTTGTGCCCACAGACATTTTACTAAGATGATGATGATAGGTAGGTGGGTAGGTAGATGGATATTAATAACCACCATTTCCCCACCACTAATTGAACACCTACTATACACCAAACACTGCTTCACATCCTTTACACTCAATTCATGTTTCATCTTAATAGCAAATTGACCAGGTAGGTTTTACTTCCATTGTACAGATGCAAATGAGGCTTTGAGAAATTAAAGAACCAGTTGAAAGCTGCAGAGTGAAGGGGAATGCTCCCATTTACACCAGGCGTGTCTGACCTCAAAGTCCACGATTCTAACACCACACTCCAGAATGTCAGACCCACAAGAGAGCTCAGTACCAAGAGAGCTCAGTACTCATAACTAAATGCTTCTGGAACCCAAAGATTTCATTGAGAGAGTACTTCTTCTCTGAGAAGATAAAAAGAGACTTCTGAGGTTTCCTCTCATTGTTGTTAAGTACAAATTTCACCCCTCAGAAAGGGAATCACAAGCTCTCCCCAGGCCAAGTTCTGGTTCCCATTTCAGGAAGTACATGCAAAACTTTGTTTAGGTTGTCTCTGTCTAGAACATTGTTTCTCAAACTTTTTTTTCATTATTATTCCTCCAGGAAGAATTACTGAATTAAAATTAAAATTTAAAGTTAAGGCATCCTTAACAGGAGAAATTAAACATGAGGAAAGAAGGTTGTATTAGGTAGGTATGAACTTTGGAGGGCCACAAACTATTGTAATATCTAAGATTTTTATCACCCCTAAGGGATCAATTTTTGCTCCCTTGGGGGCAATCTTACCCCCACTGCAAATGCATGATGCTATGGTCTGAATGTGTCCCTCCAAATTCATGTTGAAACTTAATCTCCAATGCAATCGTATTAAGAGGGGGGGCCTTTAGGAGGTGATTGGGTCATGAGAGATCCTCCCTCATGAATTGGATTAAGGCCCTTATAAAATAGGCTTCACAGAGAGTTTGACCCTTTTTGTGCCCTTCCACCTTCTTCCATGTGAGGACACAGAAAGAAGTACCTCGCCAGGCACTGTATCTACTGGCGCCTTGATCTTGGACTTCCCAGCCTCCAGAGCTTAGAGTTTGAGAAGCAGAGCACTAGATCATAGGCTTGAAAGCTTAAGCTATTTTAGGATTGCAACAAAATCTTAGTCTCAACACGTTGCCTTTGAGCAACCTCACAGGTAGACTGTTACCATCATAATGGTTGGGGAGGAAGTCCAGATGCAACTCAGCTTAACAAAAGAAGGAGTAAGATGTGCAGGGCCAGCATAAGGAGCCCAGGCAGGGAGGAGGAGGCTCCATATGGAGCTGGGGTGAGGGAAAGGGCAGGTGAGGAAGGTTCTCCAAACACCTTGGAAGAATTCCTAGCCCATCAACTGTTTGGAACACATGGCTTGAGCTTGTTTTTCCTGCAACTTAGGTCAGGACCCTGTGGGCCTCATGGCTTGGAGGCAGGGGATACAGGGTCAGGCCTCAGCTCCTCTCCCTCTCTATCACAGCTCTGGGCCCAGAGACATTACTCACAGAGCTTGGGAAACCGATAAAATCTTTTGGTTCTAAACCAAATGAGGAGATTCTCTTCATCTTAGGCCATGTGATTCTCTTCATTATAATGTCAGGCCCAGGGGTGAACAAAGACAAGAAAACCCCAACTTTCTAAACCACCTGCCGACACCAAAGAACTAATTTAAACTGTCTCTTTCACCCAGTGCTGATGTCTAACTCTGTCTCAGAAAGTTGATGTGTGAAGCTACTGGAAATCTGAAATAAAAAGCATCCCTATTACCAAAAATGAGACTAATCACGTAAAGAGACGATGTCAGTGAGGTTTCCATACTCTTGACTTAAGCTGAGATGTGCTGATGCTTCTTGTGCTCTTTGATTCAAATAGCATGGCCAATGCACATTTTTTAGTTTCTTTTTTTGCCTTCAGTGAAAACATATGATGGTATTTTCTACCTGTGCTGTTTCTGTGTTTTTCATTTTCGTTTTTAAAAAGCGGTTTACTGAGCACAGGGACAAGGGAGCATGTGGGGGTGCACCATGACCAAAACTCTGAGTGTGGAGCAAGGTGATTGTTTCCTGAAAACGCCTGTGCCTGAAGCTGATGACAAAGAAGACCATGCTGAGCCCACTGCTGTCCTGGGAGGAGGCACAGAACTACTGGGTCAGAGAGCAAATCCTGGGGGTGGGGGGTTCTGGTGAAACTCTTGGCATCTTGTACACAATGAAAAGTCTAGGTGCACAGAACATATTAATAATAATGCTTCCTGAGTTAATGGGCAGGCTTATCTTGTTTGGCTGGATAGATAGACTTCCAGTCATCTAGAGTGGCCTTTGTAACATACAATGAGAAGAAAAGGAGTTAGTCACCAAGTGTCTGCCTCTTCCTCCACTGCCAGTCAGCTGAACAGATGCCTTCCATAAGTCAGGGCTTTGAGGCAGCTAGAGGCACAAGTGGACCAGAGAAAGAGAGAAGTAAGGTCTTACCCAACGTTCTGACCCCAAAGGGGCAGGACTTTCTCCCCCACTGCTGGTGTGAAACAGGAAGTGTCAACCCTTCAACAAAGATACCCTTGGGGCCACAGCAGGTGAGAAAAGGTGCCACTTCCTCCAGGTGGAGGCAACCCAGCTGTCAGGGCTGGTGGCAGAGTGGGATCAGGGATAGACCTCAGACCCCGAGCAGCATCTCAGAGGCCACTATGGACACAGCTGCTTAAGTTGACGTGGTAGTACTGCCGGCGTGTCTCTATTTGTTGGTATATTCACATCTCTAGTATGATTTCACACACACAGACACCCTTAAATAGGCACACACTTAAGCTGGGCAGAGTGGGGACAGAATACAAAATTTAGAGTCCTATTTACTTTGCAAATAACTTTTTCCCCAGGGTATGAGGTTTAAAACATGTAAAACAAAATTAAAATTCTAAGCCTCTTAACCAACTGGGTAGACCCTCCCCTTGGCCCAGGGGATTTCAAAGAAACCTGAAAAACTAGTTCAGGCCATGATGAGAAGGGGGAATTGGACATGACTCATTATGCCCTTCTCCCTTTTGGAGTGTAGACACCAATGACCAGCATTCACATTAAAATAGAGATCCTGAGACTGATAAACAGACTCTTTGCAGCAATAAGATACCAAATTCCAACCAGACTTTAGTATAACATCACATGACAGATAACAGGTTCTAAAGAAGATCAAAGTATTTTACCTTAAAATATATTTCTCTGACAAATTTTGAAACGGCCCTGCAAAGCCATCTCTTATGGGGGAAATTTATATTCTATAGAGAATCCCATTCCCTTTCCAAGTCTTTTCCTGATCCAGGAGAGATTTAACTGACACCTTTTAAGGTCCCATAAGAGACATTCACATCTGTTCTCTCTGAGGCCTGCTACCTGAAGTCTTCATCTACATGATAAGAACCTTTGCTTCTACAACCACCACTTCCTATACCTTAACTCAAGCTTACTACAACTCTTCAGGCAAAGCTTAACTCCTTCAACCAATGGCCAATCAGGACTTTTTTTTTTTTTTTTTTTTTTTTGGAGGCAGAGTCTCACTCTATCACCCAGGCTGGAGTGCAGTGGCACAGTCTCAGCTCACTGCAACCTCCACCTCCTGGGTTCAAGCGATTCTCCTGCCTCAGTCTCCTGAGTAGCTGGGACTACAGGTGTCCGCCACCATGCCTGGCTAATTTTTATATTTTTAGTAGAGACAGTGTTTTGCCATGTTGGCCAGGCTGGTCTCAAACTCCTGACCTCAGGTGATCCACCCACTTCGGCCTCCTAAAGTACTGGGATTACAGGCATGAGTCACTGTGCCTGGCCAATCAGGAAATTTTTGAATCCACTTATGGCCTGGAAGCCTCCCCTCCCAGCTTCAAGACATCCCGCCTTCCTGGGTTGAACCAATGTACACCTTCTGTGTACTGATTTATGTCTTTGCCTATAACTTCTGTCTCCCTAAAATGTGTAAGATCAAGCTGTATCCCAGCCACCTTGGACACATGTTCCCAGGATCTCTGGTGGCTGTGTCATGAGCCATGGTCCTCAACCTCGGCAAAATAAACCTCTAAATTGATGGAGACCTGTCTCAGATGGTTTTTGGTTTGGTTAAATGAGACCAAAGTTTTAGAAACATTTGAGTGGAATGCACTCATTTAAATTCCCTCTCCTCTAACAATGTTAAAGTAGAAAGTCCAAGTTGCTATTTCCTGAATGGGGAGTGTCCATGTGAGTAGGCTCAGCAAGCCCTATCCAAATGCACCTGCCTGGACCTTCTCGAGGAAAGGCAACCGGGCTCTCCCTCATGAGGCACTGCGGTTTTGTGTCATCAAACACACCCACTGAGAAGTGGGTTGCCTATGACCACACCAGAGATGGGAAATTCCTAACCACCAAGGCCCTAGGTAATATATCAGATGGACTTCTTTTATGCGGGTTTGATAGAGAGCACAATCTCAATTATGTTTTACAAATCCAAGCAGAGCTCAAATAATGCCCCTGCTTAGTAGCTTCCTAGTGATGACCATCCAGGTCATTCATCTTTCCCGCTTTTCTCAAAGGCCCAGTGAGAAGTCTGTCAACCCCAGCATCCCACACGGTGAAACCGGCTTCCAGCAAGCTCTCTCCCACCCGAGGCGCAGGCTCTGAGCCATCACCAGCCTTGCTGGGCATGTGCCCTGTGGACTGTTTGCTCAGCACACATACCCGGCTGCTACCACCAGAGAACATGAGCAATGCTTTGGACAAATAATGAAGTGTTCTGTGGATGACCTCACTCTGGAAATCTTGCTTTAGTGCTCTTCTGTTCATCCTAATTACTATCGCTTTTTGAGAAATTGGCAAAGACAAGCAAGGCTATCTTGCTCGGTGAGTTTTTTGTTTTTTGGGTTTTTTTTTTTCACTTTAATGAGAAGAACCCCCATTTCTGTCAGATGACTGAGGGAAAAAAGGGATCAAAGGAACCTCACTGAGGGGCTGAATGTGATCTCTCAAGCAAAGCTAAAAACTACCCCAGGAAATTCCAGCCTAAATGAGAAACTGGAACTGAAAACGCAACCTGTCTTAGAATTGGCTGCTTGGAAAACATTTGTCATCTAGACAAGCAGTGAGAAAAATTAAATGAGAAACCTGTCAAAAAGTAGGAAAAATGAAGATCTGATTTTCCTGGTGCTTTACCTGTTTTAGTAGACACTGTTTACCTTACTCTCTAAGGATGTATTGTCTTCCTATGCTTGAGAAAAAGAAGAATTCACATAATTAATGATGTTCAAAAGCCCTAGGATGCCTATAAAATAACAATATTAATAAGTTGGAACTGAAAAATAAGTAGAAATTGAGTAAAACCTACAGTCTCTCTAAAGGATTTTTTTATAACAGGAAGCCCCTGGAGTCAATCCCAAACTGACCTAAAAAGACCATTTAATGATAACAACAAAAAAATAGGATGTAAACACACACACACACACACACACACACACACACACACACCAGGGAGTTTGCAAAAAGTTTAAGAACTCAACTTGTCTGTACTGCAAATATGACAGCATTTGTTTTATACCTCTCAACAGTTGTCACAGAAACACTTTTCTACTTGTTAATATTCATTGATTCCCCAACACTAGATTCCTCTAATCTCCAATCCATAATTTGGATGGAGGAAAGGGATGGAACAGAGAGCTCATGCATTCTTGTTTGTACTCTACTTTTTTGGGATCAAAATTTCTTGGAAATTTTATTTTAGCTTTATTTGGTTATCATAATAATCTCCTTTTCCAAGTATAACTGCTAAGAAATAGTGAAATCTATACTTTGATGATGATGATGATTGCTACCATGTATTAGCTACTACTTGCCCAGGCACTGTGCTAGGCATGTTAGTCGTTAAAATAAGCCCATAAAGTAGGTTATATTCATAGTAACGAGGACGAAGCTGAGTCTTGGAGAGGTTACAATTTCCCTAGAAAGGCCAGGATTCCAACCTGAGTCTGGCTGGTCCAGGCTTAAGAGTCTGTGCTCTTAAGCATTCATCCACATTGGCTCCTTCCTTTAAAAAGAAAGGATTTGAGCCAGCCATGGTGGCTCATGCCTATAATCCCAGCACTTTGGGAGGACGAGGTGGGTGGATCACTTGAGGCTAGGAGTTCGAGACCAGCCTGCCCAATGTGGTGAAACCCTGTCTCCACTAAAATACAAAACTTAGCTAGGTGTGGTGGCGGGCACCCATAATCCCAGCTATTTGGGAAGCTGAGGCTTGAACCCAGGAAGCGGAGGTTGCAAGACAAGACTGCACCACTGCACTCCATCCTGGGCAACAGAGTGAGGCTCTGTCTCAAAATAAATAAATAAACAGAAAAGATTTTTTTTTTTTTTTTTGAGATGAAGTCTCACTCTGTAGCCCAAGCTGGAGTGTAGTGCCTGATCTTGGCTCACTGTAACCTCCACCTCCGGGGCTCGAGCAATTCTTGTGCCTCAGCCTCCCCAGTAGCTGGGACCTACTCGCCACCACACTCAGCTAATTTTTTTTATTTTAGTAGAGACGGTGTTTCATCATGTTCCCCAGTGTGGTCTCGAACTCCTGATCTCAGGTGATCCGCCTGCCTTAGCCTCCCAAAGTGCTGAAATTACACGCATGAGCCACAGCGCCTGGCAAGAAAAGATTCTTTTTATTCTATTCTAAAAATACAATGCTCACCAAGTTGGCAGTGGAAAAAAAAGAGGCAAAAAGAAATAAGAAAGTCAGATAATTTAAAAAATGGTCAACTTAGGCCGAATGTGGCGGCTCCCACCTGTAATCCCAGTGCTTTGTGAGGACTAGCAGGAAGGATCACTTGAGTTCAGAACACCCTGGACAACGTAACAAGACCCTATCTCTACAAAAAATTAAAAATTAGCCGGGTGTAGTGGCACATGCTTGTGGTCCCAGCTACCTGGGAAGCTGAAGCAGGAGGATCGCTTGAGCCTAGGAGTTTCAGGCTGCAGTGAGGTATGATCACATCACTGCTCTCTAGCCTAGGACAACAGAAAGAGATCCTGTCTCTAAAATAATAATAATCATAATAAACAGTCAAGTTAAAGCTTGCAGTCTGTTAGACTACCTTCATAGCTCAAAGATGAGGCAGTGTTTGGCATATCCAAGCTTAGGGCTGGTGGAGATTTCTGTGACTGCTCAAAATCTAGTCAATCTGTCAGCATGCAAGGACCCACAATGCCTTAGGGAGAGATGATTTTCAAAATGACAGCTTCACCAAATACCCATATTTAAATCATTAAGTGTCCACGAAACAGAATTACCTTCTTTAGAAAACAGGAAGAAAAGTTTGTCAATGAATACCCATTTACTTTCTCTTGCAAAAACTCACTGAACTATGTCTTTGGGATAGATATTTCAAAACTCACTGTACTACCCCGAAGATAGATATTATCAAAACCCAGAAAATAACAAGTGTTAGTGAGGATGTGGAGAAACTGGAAATCTCACACACTGCTGGCAGGAATGTAAAGGGATATGGCTGCTATTTGTAATGTCACTAGGATGCCATGCCATGACTACTCCCTTAGCATATACATAAGGTAGCGTTTTTTTTTGCGGGGGGGATTCTGGTGGATTTTTTTTTTGAGACAGGGTCTCTGTTGCCCAGGACAGAGAGCAGTGGCAGGATCACAGCTCACTGCAGCCTCAACCTACAGGACTTAAGCAATCCTCCTACCTCAGCCTCCTGAGTAACTGGGACCACAGGTGCTCACTGCCACACCCAACTAATTTTGTTTATTTTTTTGTAGAGATGAGGTCTCACTATATTGCCCAGGCGGGTCTCGAACTCCTGGGTTCAACTGATCCTCCTGCCTCAGCCTCCCAAAATGTTGGGATTACAGACATGAGCCACTGAGCCTGGTCACCCTTAGTATATTAAAAGACTGAAGGTCAAGGTATCTCCATTAGCTTACGAGAACTGACATTCCCCCTTCCATCCAACCACACACAGTCCTGCCTGTATGCCACAAGCCCCACCCAGTTGCAGGTCCACTAAACAGTCCTTGCCTGCAGAGTTTACTCTTTGATGGGGGAAGACAGAAAATAATAATCCAGCACATGAATATACACCATGTCAGATAGCTGAGAAGAAGAAAATACATAGCAGGCAGCTGTGCTATATTTCAACTAAGACAAAATACCTTAAAGAACTTGATGTGTGTTATTCTGAAAAGAATTCCTGTATAAAGACAGCGCCTGGGCTCCGAAAACAATCCCTGACTTATTTGTCCTGTGACAAACTTAAAGGAAATCTGTAACAAGATCTAACAAATTCCAAATATACCTGAAACAGATTTGCTATCCTCTTTATTTATATTTCAACCCCTTTGAAGTGCGTTTTCAAAATACCATGTGTTTGCGAGGGAAGCCTGTGACGTCTGCTCTCTGTGGCTGCTCCTGCATTTTCCTTTACCTAAGGATGTGGGGGCAAGAGCAGGTGGGTGTGGCTGCAAGGGCCGAAGCTGAGGAAGAAGCAAGGTCAAGCATTTTGCTCACCAGGTAGGACTTGTCCATGCCTAGTGATTTCAGCAAACAATTACTGGGTTTCACTCACTTAGAGCAGTGAGAGAAGTACAGTTCCTCCCCAGCAGTGCAGCTTTCTAATGGGGAAAAGCAGCATTCCCTTGCAAGATGCGTGACCTAGAAAAAGGATCACTTGCTCGGTTCAGCAACTTCTCAATGGCAGTGTTTCCCGACTATTGAAGCCCACAGGACCCCTGCGGCTTATTCAGGGCCCTAGTCCTTAATGACTGCTAACAGTGAGAGGGACCTACCTAGACACCTGCAGATTTTAAACAAGAATCCAAGGTGAATTTAATGATAAGCACATGAAACCCTGAAACATAGATTTCCAAACAAATAAGACAATAAAAAATGTATGAAAAGGAGTAACTTCTGAAAGCAAATCTACATCATGACTGACACACACTGCAGGCAAATGGCCTTATGGGGGCTTCCCCCTGCATTCCGAGTGAAGCCAAGAAGAACTGGAGGGCTGAGAGTGAGGGGGTTATCTGATTTATGCCTCAAAGCATTGCTCTGACTGCTGTGTGACCACTGGGCTGGGGGAAGCCACAGCTGAGCACAGGAGTAGAGAGCCAGCTCCTAGATTACTCACTTTGAGTGTGTATTCAAGTTGGGTCAGAGTGACCATGTGCAGGACTTAGGAAGGTGAATCTACTTTGAGGGTAGAACCCCAGACTTGCTGAGGAATTGGATATACAATGTAAAAGGAAGAGGGTCAAGAATGACTTTGAGTGTTGGGATCTGACAGCTCCAAGGACAGAGGTGCCATCAACAAAAGGGAGAAGATGGCTGCTGGCACAGGTTTTGGAAAAGGGGGTAATAGGCACTGAGTTGGGGTGCATTGAGTTTGACATGCCCAACACACATCTTTGGGCAGATGCTGAGCCAGCAGGGGCTCACGGGAGCAGTTTGGGCTGAGCTAGAAGCTTCGGAGTGGCCGGAGTCTAGACAGCTGTGCTGGATTAACTAATGTCCCCCCAAAACTCACGACCACCCGGAACCTCAGAATGTGGCCTTATTTGGAAATAGAGTCTTTCCAGATTTAATTAAGGATCTCAAAATGAAATCTCACCCTGGATTTAGGGTGGGCCCTAAATAGAACCACTGGTATCTTTATGAGAGAAGGCAGAGGAAGGTCAGAGGCCACCGGAAGACAGAGGTGGGAAGAGGAGCAGTGCGGTCAACAAGACATGGAATGGAACATCGGAGCTGCCAGAAGCTGGAAGAGGTACGGAAGGATTCTTCCCAAGAACCTGGAAGCACAGCCCTGCCTATACCTTCATTCCAGACTTCTGGCCTCCAGGACTGCAGGAAAATACATTTCTATTGTTTTAAGCGCCCTGACAGCCCCAGGAAATTAATACAATGCTTTCAATGGAATCACTTAGGAGACTTAGTGTGGAGAAAAAATAGGTTGAAAGAGTGAGTTCTGGGACATTGCAAGGTTTAACCACTGGGCAAATGAGAAGCTGGCTGGTGAGGGGGAAGGAAAAGCAGAGAACAGTGTCCCAGAAGCCAAATGAGGAAAACGTGCCATGAGGGAGTGAGACTGACAATAGCAGACCCTGCTGGTGGGCAGCTAGGAAGATGCTGAGAGATGGGTGCCCTTTGGATGTAGTGTCCTGAGGGTCACTGCTGACTTGTGC
The DNA here is from genome assembly GCF_000001405.40 of Homo sapiens. Lineage (NCBI taxonomy): Eukaryota > Metazoa > Chordata > Mammalia > Primates > Hominidae > Homo > Homo sapiens. Next base: position 55,983,575 of record NC_000008.11, on the reverse strand, counting down.
TGCTGGGGTCGAGGGGTGGGAGGTTCAAGAGAGGGCGGGTGGGGAAGAACTGGGGGAAACTGAGCATAGTTCCTAAAACACTTCTGTTGTCAGGGGGAGGAGACACCTGGAGGCTGAGGTAGCTGGAGAGGGATGTAGGGGAAAGTGAAGGCTTTACTTTGATTCCTATGGGAAGTGCAGAAGTGAGGGAAAACGCTAATGCGGAATTTCTAGAACAGTGTCTTGAAACAGCAAGAGAGCACAAGACCTGATGCATGTCAGGGCTCTTGGCTGGCAGCTTCTCTTGTCTCAGGGAAAGAGACAGCAGGGAATCCACAGAGAGAGGCAAGTAGGGGAAGGTTTGAGGGCAGAGAAAGGGAAGGTGGGGCATTGTTTCTAGCAGGCAGTGAGAGGGAGCAGACTGGGCACATGTCGGGGTTCATGAGGCTCCTCAGGCTGGTGCTCTTGAACTGGAAATGCAGAAAGCTGCTAGGCATCTCAGTGCAGGTCACAGCTGTTGTGTGGACATGAGGGCAAAATAGGTGAAGGGTCGGACTTCCATAGGGCTGGCATTTTACCAGGTGCGTGTGACATGGGGGAGGGGCAATGAGTGTCTCCAAGCTAGGGGAGGAGAGAAGAGAAGCAGGAGCGGAGGGGCGGTAGGGACAGGCAGGTTCAAGGGACGGGAAGTGCTGGTGACAGGCTGAGGCTGTAGGGGCTGGAGCGGCTGCAGGAGGGTGAGTGGACAGAAGGGAGGCAATGGCTGAAGTGGAAACGATCAAATGAAGCAATGAGCAGCAGAATTGGTCAGCCTGCAGAGTGGCTCGAGGGGAGAGGACAGAGTCTTGGAGGGGAGGAAGTCAAGACACAGAGAAGCCAGCATTTGAAGGTGGGGATGGCTACAAATGATGGAATGATGACAGGGCTGTGCTGGGAACAGCAAGCCAGCCGGAGCTGACCACAGCAAGGAGGAGTGTTCGGGGATCCGAGGACCACAGCAGTGAAGTGAGTCAGACTGGCACAGTCTGATGGCGTGGACTCCAAAGCTGGGGGTCCTGGGTGGGGGAGGTAGAAGGTCTGGAAATGGAAAAGAAGATCAAGCCGTACAGCTCCTTGTAATGCATCAAAAATACCTCAGCACACCATTGGTTCCATTGACAATACTACAGGTTGAACATACCTAATCCAAAAACCCAAAATCCATATTGCTCCAAGATTCAAAACTTTTTGAAATGGTTAATCAGTAAGTATAATGCAAATATTCAAAAATCTGAGGATTAAAAAAAAAACAAAACCAAATCTGAAGCACTTCTGGACCTAAGCATTTTGAATAAGAGATACTCAACCTGAAGTATAAATGTAATTTTAATAATCATGCAAGTAGTTGGCTCTGTAACATATAACATTGCCAGATAATGATGTTACAGACACTGGGGGCGCTGGGTGGAAAATGAACAAGAGCTGGAAATCCTGACTTTGTTAAGAATCCGCCAGCCCATCACCCTGGGAACTCTAGCATCAACCTCTGCCAACAGGTGCTGAGAAAGGGCTCTGTTCAGCGCCCAGGGAGAGGCCACGAGAGGCCCTGCATGACACTGGGGGAGGACAAACCTGTTCAGTTGTGGGGTTTTTTCCCTCCAAATTAAGCAGAATGCATCTGCCGTTGGCTTCAATGTCAAATACTTCATTTATAATTTCTCATTCCTCCTGGTGTTCTTTATGCCACAAGGAATGCAAAACAAAGCTGCACTTTGTTTTTCCCACAGGCCCAGATACTTGTATTCTACTTCCTTCTTCTTTTCTCACTTTTATTTCAACCAATGAAGTAAGTTTTGTACAGGAAAGTAAACCTATAGTTAGAGGAAGGGGAAGAAGAAAATACTTTATGGTTAAATACACCTGAATAATGACTCAGAAAACCTTTTCAAAAGCATGTGTTCTGGCCGGGCACGGTGGCTCACACCTATAATCCCAGCACTTTGGGAGGCAGAGGTGGGAGGACTGCTTGAACTCAGGAGTTCAAGACCAGCCTAAACAATGTAGTGAGACCCTATCTCTATATTAAAAAAAATTTTTTTAAACACACAAAAAATATGTTCTTCTAGTTACTCATTCAGAGCTGTATGAAGCAGAGAATAAAGAATTTATTGTTTTAAACGGAATATAGTCAATCCCCATTTTAAGTGGCCAGTATAGTCATCCAACAAGCATTTTTGAGCATCTACTATATACAAGGCACTGCACCAAGTGCTGGGGATAAAAAGGTAAAGAAGAACTTATCAAAAAATTCAAATTGCAGTACACGCTATGGAAGAAATGGGCGGGGACCGAGACTGAGGAGAATGGAGTAAGCAGGAGTTGGGATGGAACTGCTTCAGAAGGAAGGTCAGGGAAGGTGCCTGTTGATAAGAGGTGTGGTGTGGCTCAGAACAAAGGGTGAGCGCTTCCAGGAAGTGGGCTCTGGAGAGGCACTGGGATAGGGAAGAGCGTGGTGGGCTCAGTGCTGAGGAATCAGTCACATGCACAGGTGTTGGGAGTCTCTCTGGGTGTGGTGGGGACCCACTGAACGGAGCTGAGCAGGGATGCAAAACCATCCAGTCTGTAAGATTCACAGAGACCGAGAACAGCACGGGGGTGGCCAGGGGCTAGCAAGCGGCCGCGGGGAGCTGGCATTGAGTGGGCAAAGAGCTTCCGTCTGGGAAGATGAAAGAGTTCTGCAGGTGGATGTTGGTGATGGTTTCACAACAATGTGAATGTTCTTACTGCCAACAACCATAAACTTAGACATGGTTAAAATGGTGTAATTTGTGTTTATTTTACCACCACAATTTTAAAAAGGCAAAAATTTTAAAAGCATCCAATTGTCCCTGCCTACTTTGTGGAGCCTGGAAAGAGGGTAGCCAAAGAGACAGGAGGGAGGCTCATTAGGAGCAGGGCTGCCTGGGAAGACATGGGCACCCTTCTGTTAAAAGCTAGTGTTTATCCAAAATCCAAATTTGACTGTATACCTTGAATTTCTTCTGTTTGCCAAACTGGACAACACCAGTTAAGAAGCAACTGTGGGGCACGATGGTGTATGCCTGTAATCCCAGCTACTTGGGAGTCTGAGGTGGGAGGATGGCTTGAGCCCAGGAGCTCTGGGCTGCACTTTGCTATGCCCATCCGGTGTCTGCACTAAGTTCGGAATCAATATGGTGACTCCTGGGAGTGGAGGACCTCTAGGTTGGTTAAGAAGGGGTGAACCGGCCCAGGTCAGAAGCGGAGCAGCTCAAAACTCCTGTGCTTAGGAGTAGTGGCATCATGCCTGTGAAAAGCCACTGCACTCCAGCCTGGATAAAATAGTGAGACCCCATCTCAAAAAAGACAAAAAAAAAGCAGCAACTGCAATAGTGCAGATGAGAGACAATGGTGACCTGGAGGAGGGAGATCTATTTTGGAAGAAGAAATGAGAGGACTTGATTATGAGTGAGGAGGGCTGGGCAGACCATTGGCTGAGAAAGCCATGGCTCAGGGGGACCCTGTGTGGCCACCTCCCGGGGACTGTGGCCTGCCTAGGTGGAATGCTGCCTGTGCACATGGGCTCTGAGCCCTACTGGGGCAGGGCCTCTGGAGGGCTGTCAGCTGCAGGCCTCATCTCCAAGGAACAGGTCTTGATGTGGGGAGGGGAAGAGGCCAGGAGGCAGCAACTATGGCAGGAGCTCGGGTGGGGTCTTCCGCACCAGGGTGGGCGGCCCTCTGGCAGCCCCGGAGATGCTGTGGCATCCCTCTGAGCCTTGGGCAGGGTGTCAGGCTGCTGCTTGGCAGAGAGGAGCTGCCTTAGAAACCATACCAAGGAGCCCAGACACACCATTTCCTGGGGTGACGCTGAATCAGGGTGAGATCTGCAGAGCTGTGCTGGGTGGAGGCCTGAGATGGGAACCTCAGCAAAACCTGGGGAATGCATTCCAGGCACCAAACTGACCTCAGAATACACATTTCAGTCAAACCGGTCTTAAATGGGGGCAAGGGCTACTTTTGGTGACTCAGTTTTTAGATGCTTCTCATTGTGTTTCACAAAGCCCCACGAGCTGCAGAGCTACAGACACAAATGCATAGCTACAGCACGTGCTCCGAGGGTAGGCGAAGAATGCTGTGTTTCTACAGAAGTCTACAAAACCATATATTTTTAAAAACCAATAATTTAAGTTCCTCTCTCAGTAATTTTATTTCATTTTATTCCATCACAGAAGAAAACCACTTTAAAAAACAAGAATGAGGCTGGGCACGGTGGCTGACGCCTGTAATCCCTGCACTTTGGGAGGCCGAGGCGGGTGGATCACCTGAGGTTGGGAGTTCAGGACCAGCCTGGCCAACATGGTGAAACCCAACTCTACTAATAATACAAAAATTAGCTGGGCGTGGTGGCACACGTTTGTAATCCCAGCTACTCGGGAGGCTGAGGCAGAATTGCTTGAGCCTGGGAGGCGGAGGTTGCAGTGAGCACCATTGCACTCCACCGTGGGTGACAAGAGCAAAACTCCATCTCAAAAAAAAAAAAAAAAAAAAAGAATGAGAAGTGCATGGTTTCATTTAAGTACAGAGAAAAATCACATTTTTTTCAAGAGTGAGGCATGCTGAGCGGTCAGGGAAGCATGGAGAGAAAAGCGGCAGCAGAGGAGAAAGAAAAAGGAAGAGGAGTCAGCCAGGGCTAGGGAGGAGCCTGTGCAGGCAGAGAACAGGGTTCTAGGGATCAGGAAGAGGGAGAGAGGCCAAGGGCTTGGCTTCCACCCAAACCATGTCACTGAGAAGGGTCCAGCCAGGTTCTCAAAGACTTCCCTGTCGCAAAGTCCCGTGGCAGTTTCCCTGCTCTCTGACTGCGTGTCAGAACTCCGTCGCCTGCGCTGCAACCCCACCTCCTCCTTACAGGCCACTGTGCTTCTGGTGTCCCCAGCCTGCTCTCTGACTTGTCCCTCTCAGCCCTTTCTTTAGGGTCTGTCTGGGGCTGTCCTCTGCCCCTTCCCACACTCTCTAGGGGACCTCATCCAACCCCTATTTATATGACTGTCTGCAGCACCAGCCTCCTTGAAGCCTCTAGCCCCAGACCCCTATACTAAAATGCCTGTCCACGCTAGCTGCCCATCTCTAGCTGATGTTTCATGGCACTTCAAACCCAGTACAGCAAAACTAATTTCATCAGCCACCTCAACCCCGTGCCCGCAATGGCGGTCCTCAGCTGCCCCATGCACATTCCTTCTCTATTTCTATGTGCCTGTGATAGGCAACACTGACCTCGCTCAGGCCCATCCTCCCTCCCTCATCCCTGGACTCTAGCTTTCACCCCTTCTAATCATTTTTGTATACGGTGGCTGGGGCAACTTTTAAAGCACAGGTCTCATCCTATCACATTCCTGCTGAAATGCTCAGTCGATCCCCATTATCCCCAGGCAACCCACCTCAGTTTCATAACTCAGGCCTCACACCTGCTTCAGGGACAGCACCAGGAAAGCCACTTGGTTGAGAGGTTTAAGTATCTCCAGACTTGGGCTGAACTCCTTCAGGTGCTTCTTGGCTTTAGTGAGGGGTTGGGGAGAGGGCCTGAGAATCTAGCTCTGAATTGAAAAAGCTCAGAAGAAGTCCTGTCCGTTTCAGAGTGTACCCTTTAGAGACGAGCTCTGTTTGCTTTTGTTTTGTTTTTTTAGAGGCAGGGTCTTGCTCTGTCACCTAGGCTGGAGGGCGGTGGGTGTAATCATAGCTCACTTGAGCCTCAACTTCCCGGGTTCGATCAATCCTCTCGTCTCAGCCTCCTGAGTAGCTGGGATTACAGGCACGACCATCAGGCCTGGCTAATTTTTTTTTTTTTTTTTTTGGTAGAGATAGGAGTCTCACTGTGTTGCCCAGGCTGGGCTCAAACTCCCAGCCTCAGGCAACCCTCCCACTTCAGCCTCCCAAAGAGCTGGGATTACAGGCATGAGCCACTGTGCCAGACAGAGATGAGCTCTGGGCTAGAACACAAACTCTCCCATTCCTTTTCCATCCCACCCTTCCTGGTCTCAGTTTTAAAAAACAAAACAAAAACAGCAACAAAAACAGTAATAAAACAAAATGTTAGGAGCATGAAAAGCTGAGAACTCTGTGATTCTCCAAAAGTCAAAACAGACCAATTTCTATAAAGAACACCCTGGTGTGTTGGGGGAGAACAGAGGTAACATGAATACATATTACAGTAAATACAAAAAGCATCCACTAATGATTTAAAGGCCTACTTTGACTAAAAGGGTAAAACTGTAAGTCCTGTTGAAACTATTTGCTGAGTATAAGCATTTTTATTTTGTACAGATACATTTTTTAAACCAGAGTTATCTACAAAACAGTTTAGTCTTCCACAACTGAGAATGAACCGGTCTAGTTTATTTTTATTTTTATTTTTTTTTTGAGACAGAGTCTTGCTCTTGTTGCCCAGGCTGGAGTGCAGTGGCACGATCTTGGCTCACTGCAATCTCCGCCTTCTGGGTTCAAGCGATTCTCCTGCCTAAGCCTCCTGAGTAGCTGGGATTACAGGCGCACACCACCATGCCCGGCTAACTTTTGTATTTTTAGTAGAGACCGGGTTTCACCATGTTGGCCAGGCTGGTCTCAAACTCCTGACCTCAGGTGATCCACCCACCTCGGCCTCCCAAAGTGCTGGGATTACAGCCATGAGCCACTGTGCTCGGCCTAGTTTCCTTAATGTCCATGTCTCTCAGAGTGCCCCCTAAGCTGTTCTCTCCATATACCCCCACTTGCATCCCCGTGTACTCCTTTTCTGTGCCTTTATGCACGAGGTTCCTACAACTGAAGACCCATCCCTGCAGCCACACCCCTTCCCAAGCTAGCAGGGCTAATCCTGGCTCTCAGGGTGACCTCCTCCAGGAAGCCCACCTTCCACCTGCTAGCCCACCCTACTACGCTCCATCCTCCTCCATGTACTCTGAAAGTAGCATGCGGTGCCCACTCTGACAGCCCTTGCCATATCCCAGGGCTGTACCCTGTCTTTGCCTGCAACTCACCTGTCCCCCACTCCATGCCATGTGCCGTTTGCTCATCCCTCCTGACACAGTGCCTGGCTGTGCTCAGGATAGCTGTGTGAGTGAAAGGGAGCGGGCCACACCAAGAGGGTGAGGGGGCTCAGGGAGAGCAAGCCAAGTGCTGGAGACAAAGGTCAGCTGGAATTTACTCTCCACTGCTCCCTTCAAAATGCTTTCTTGCTTTCTTTCTTTCCTTCCTTCCTTCCTTCTTTTTTTTTTTTTTTTTTGAGATGGAGTCTTGCTCTGTCACTCAGGCTGGAATGTAGTGGTGTGATCTTGGCTCACTGCAACCTCTGCCTCCTGGGTTCAAGTGATTCTCCTACCTCAGCCTTCGGAGTAGCTGGGATTACAGGCACGCACCACCAAGCCTGGCTAATTTCAAACTGCTTTCATCTCCACTTTTCAACTGTGACCAGCTGGTGATAAACTCTGCCCACTCCTAAACCACTTCAGTTGAATTCTAGCCCTGCAAGCTTCCATGATGAGTACCCAAAGAGAATAGCATTTTGTGACTTACGGTAGCACTCACCAGAAATTGCCACCCCTGGTCAAAATAACATTAAGATAAGAGACAGATCTTGCCTGCAGGCCAAAAGCACCACCACCTCTGCCATACACTAACCCAAAGCTTCCCAATCAAATTTAAAGCAAAAATAAATTCTGCCTTATTTGCTATTTTAACAGCCAGTCATGATTCCTCTTGCTTAAATATGCAAAACAGCCCCACCCCCACCTTACCAAAAAAAAAAAAGAGTTCCTGTTTTATACTATTTTTAAATGACAGTTTCCTATTCCTTTGGCTTTTTCAGAAGGAAACTGCATATGATCCACTTTTGCAATTCTGACAGTAACTAGTTTCATTTGTCCATTTTCTAAGTTTTCATGGTCAAAGTTTAAGCTGAAAACATAACACTCATTATTCAAAAAAGATAAATAGAGCATTTAAGTGCCCAACATGTAAGTACTGCATTAAAGTGATATATTTGTGTTCCCTTATTTAGAGCAATGCTAAAATCTTATATCAATGTCATCTGCATAGCCTCAGAATCATTAGTTGCAACTTTTGGTGACGATTCACATAGATAGTCTAAATAAAAGGAGATGTCCTTAGTCATGCAATATTAGAGCTGAGGCTGTGGGAAACCCAACCTGTGCCTCCCATCTCACAGACGAGGACACTGGTGCCCACAAAGTGATTTTCCCCATGCAGAAGCAGGTTTTCTGGTTCTTGGCTCAGTGATTTCTCCATCATTAGCATAATCTAGGCTCCATTTACAAAATCATGGCAACATTTCTCAAATTCTGAGAAAGAGCTAACCACCAGCTGTGTTAACATTTGTATACTGAGAAAGCTGAGGTTTCCAAGCATCAGCTCCAAGCAATGCCCACTCAGGGACCATCACATCCTGACCACTATGTGGCCCCTGAATCCACAGCGGCACCCGGCTCAGATTCCTCTATGAAATTCATGAATGCCTTCTTCAGTGCTGGCTGTTTTTCTCTCTAAGGAGCCTCTTGTGCTTGAAAGAGCGATTGGGAATGTGTAGGCCTCAGTAAGAGTCATGTATGAGAATTTCCACGTGGAGGGGAGATTATATATGGAGTGGGGAGCGGATCTGGCCTCCTGGTTAAACCGCAAACCATGTCAATCACCTGCGGCTTCCACTTGCCACCACGTCTGACTCGACATCTCAATGCAACTCTCCCTCCAGCTTGAGTGAACTAAACATGAGGACGCTATCAATCAAAGGTTGTTACTAATCAAGGCTTTGAAGATAAAGCAGTTGATTCACTGGGATAATAGCCTTGAGGTGGAATATGAGCGTCTAACACATCTCTTACGTTCCAGACAAAGAGACAGAAGAAGAGACCCACTTTGGATGATATTGGCAAATATTCTAGAAACTTCCCAAGAACTTCCCCCTCTAGACCCTTCAAGCCTGATTTACGACCAACATACTGGTGAGTTTCAACCAAGAGATATTACAAGGGCTTCCCAATCTATACACTGTTTTCTCACTCAGTAGCTACAACCATGAGGGTGTGCTCAGAAAGCTCTGCTGTTAAAAGGCCCTCCTACTCAAAAAGGTCGAGAACTTCCTAGATAGAGTTTTCCTACCTTCCTCATTTTACCAATTTCCACCTTAAAATGTGGCTTTAAATTTAATACTGGGGGTAAAATATACCTTGAGCATAACCTCCATCTTGGCAATAAAGACTTTTGAAGTGGAAAAAGCTAAAGAAAACATTAATTTTGATGGTCAAAATCCATAACGGGGAAAATGCATATCACAGTAGGGTTGAGTGCAAAATGACCATAACAGCAACTGTAACCATGAGACAACAGCAGGCTGCAGAGGAAAGAATCAGTTATCTTGAGTCAGAAGTCCCTGGATCAAGTCCCAGCAATTCCGCATACTAGCTCAGTAACCTTGGCCAAGTCCAAGTTTACCTCGTTATCTGTAAGAGGTACTAAACAACAAAATATATGCTTTCAAGGCTGTTGGGCTCAAATTAGATAATGGAGGTAGAAGTGCTGTATCAACCAGAAGAAGCTAAAATAAATGTTACTTGTTGCCATGATAATTACAACAACTCTGATTTTGCAAGTTTTTTGTTTTGCTTTGTTTTGTTTTAAAGAGACAGATTCTTGCCACATTGTCCAGGCTGGTCCTGAACTTCTGGCCTCAAGCAATCCTCCCGTTTCAGCCTCCCAAGTAGCTGAGACAATAGGTGCATGCCACTTTGTTTGGCTTGATTTTGCAGTTTTTACTGACATTTAACTCACAAACAATTGTTCCATTTTTAGTAATTTTTGCACTTCAGAGATACCGCCACCAAAGAGTAATAAATGCTTTGATTCACTTGGTCTGAATTACAAGATGATTTATTTGCTCTCCAAACTGCAACTGTAAATTTTTCACTGCTCTTTCCTCTCAGTTTGACATGTCTATGATTCCATCTCAGCTTCTGGTGAAGGAAATCCCCACTGGTTTTAACCCCTTTTCTTTCCAAGTTCATTTTTCTTCTCTGACATAGGGCCTAAAAGCCAAGGGAATTATGCAAAGTCTCTCTGCTCTGAAAGTATCAAACTTCCTTTCCAAAGAGGTATTTTCCTATTTCAGCACAAAAAGCACTAAATTGCTTAATTTAATACAAAGAGAAAAGCAGTGGGTAAAGCTGCTGTAGTCAGGATTTCTTGATCTATGTTGAATGGGCTATGGATGGTTGGAGAGTGTGGATTATTACACTTGAGCTCAGACAAGTCTTTCAGAACTCATTCTGAGACAGGAAGTGATGAAATCAGCTCTCACATGAACTGTGAGGCTGTCACGTGCACTTAGCCACTTTCTGTCTCAATGGGTGACAGGGGAATGCGGAGGGGAGAGTAGGGCATGGGGAAGTGGGTAGTGGGGAGCGGGAAGAAGAGGCCAGATACAGATGGTGGGAAAAGTCCCAACTCTGCCCCTCACAGTTTCCCTTATTCTTCTAGGGCTAGGATTAAGTAAACTGGGTTATTTCTACTCCCAATGACCAATCTCTCATTGTGACAATCTGCTGAATTTAACCACCCCTTGTGAACATTCAATTTCCCAACTCTGACGCTATTGACAACGGTTATGGAAGACAGCAAGTCGCATCATTATCGCACAGCCTACTAACTGTTTAGTTAGAGCTGACACAGCAAATGGACTTCTGTAATTCCTCTTCTGCTTTATCCCTAAATTTCCACCCTAAATAGTAAAGTGGGGGGAAGGTATAGAAAAGGTTGGATTATCGAAGTATCTGGGCCCCAGGGATCTCTGTCACCGTGGGGCAGCTTTAATAATAATTCTATTGTCATGTTATGCACTATGGAAAAGTGATAGATTTAATTAGTGGCACATGATAGAGAAGGAAAGGTAAGATAATGCAGAGATGGCCTTCTTGGCACAGACAGATCATTTCAGAAAGGTGTGTGAAGGAGGAGGAGGAGCACTGGGTAGCAGTGGTCATCAGTGAGGGCATCCCAGGCGGACGAGGGAGCAGGCGCAGTGAGCAGAAACTAGAAGTGGAAGGTATGGGATTTCAGGCTGAAGCTGAAGCGTACAGGCCCTACTCCTTGTTGCCAAGGGTAAGACCCCTTTCTCAAATTATCTGTATTATAATAAGAAAAGCCACAGGTACAAGAAGCAGATAATGATTAAGGATGGAGACCAGGTGGTCTCACCAGCGCCACCTTGAGGGAAGGGCTGGGAAAGAGTCTGAGTGAGGTTTGCAGCTTGAGCAAAGATGAACTCAAATGGAGCCAGTGCTTAGTTGTAAGGAAAATGAATTTTGTGCTGAATGAACATACTTAGGGTCCTGCCGGCTGCTGCTGACCCGTGACTCTCCCAGTGACACTGAGCAGTTCATGCACTTGAGCCAGATGAACTATGGGTTCCACCAAGGGGCCACTGCTAGGAAAGAGACCCTGGACCTGTGAACATGAGTTCACCTGGCACGGGCTGGATTTGGTAAACTGGCTTGGATGGAGACCACTGGTGCCGACCTTGATTGCCCCCAGGCCCTCCTGTCACCGAGGGGGCTCAGCCCCATCAGTTGACAGGAGAGTCAACTGAAGCCCCCTGGAATCCACAGCACAACAGTCACAGTCAATGCCAGGCTCTGTGGTAATCTTCCTCGTAAGCTATGAAGGTCTAGAAAGTAGCTTCTCCCCCTATTCATTTCTAGGTTAGAAAAATTACTCTTCGAGGTTAGAAAAATTACTTTTCGAGGTAATGGTAGTAATTCACTAAATTAAAGACTCAGCATAGAGGCTTTGACTTGGACCTTAAAAGCTTTGACTATGTCAAGATAAAGTCTTACAAGATAAGCCATGCAAAACCCAATACAAAATACCCATGTGACAAAATAAAGTCATTCTCCGGGTACAGTACATACCCAATGTGTGTAACTTCTACTCTAAAGAACTGTGGGTACAGATCAGACCCCCAGCAGATGGAACGGCTGTGACCACTCAGGCCCTCCAGGCCATGTGTCCCGATGTTCCATAGCCCTGTACAAGTGTGACAAACCTTTGTTACACTCCTCAAGTCTCTTGACCCATGGGGACACCCAAATCACCACCTGAGTAGAGGGCCTCATTGATCCGTGTAAGTATGGCCCAAGTTTATCAGACTTCTGCTTTCTCCATTTCCTGATCTGTTTTCTACACGGGTTCTAGAGCTGTGCCCAACCCCACCTATTCCTCTTACTGCAGAGAGGTGGTTTTCAAACTATAGTTCTGGAAACCTTGGAATCCCATGGAGCCTCCCAGGGGCCAGCATAGACTTTGAGGACAGGGCTAAAAAGGCAGGGCTGCTGGGTCCTTTCCTTGCCCCTCTGTTCCACCACAGCAATTATGCTTCTTTCTTATTAGATGTTGGCATTTCAGGGCACACTTGAATTTCCAACTCAGATGAGGAACCTGTTAGGCTTGCCAAGTCCCGGAGGTGGAGAGGATGCCTGAGCACTGTGACTCACCCATCACACACCTTTACTGGAAGGATGGGCATTGCCCTCCCTTGGGTTTTCCCAGCTTCCACCAGCAGGCTCTGAGGTGCTTGTGTCCGTGCCAAGCATGTGACACAACAACATCTGTGTCTGATGTGACTCTCAACAACATCTCCTTAAAGCAGGAATTACCATTCTGTTTTACAGGTGAATAAAGTAGCCCAAATAGGCAAAGGGCTTCTGAAATGGAAGCGGTATAGCTATCGAGTGGCAGAGCCAGAACACAAACTCCAGTCTCCAGGTGCTGAATGCCAGCTTAGCCCACGATGCTCTATTACAGAACCTGTGTCCAGCCCTACCTTAGGTGAGGTGCTTCACCTCTGTACTCATGCATTCCTTGGATCTCGTATTCCCAAGAAGGCCGTAGCAATTTCCTAACTAAAAGAGGGTGTGAGGGAAGAAGTGGCAGTGAAAAAGGAAGACTATAGGGACCAGTCTTCCCTAGAACTTCTATAAATCTCTTTTGCTACATACACTGGGCTTCATGAAACCACCGATTGCCAATACTGAGAAACAAGCAAGCAAACTGCTGAACATTACTAATGGACACAATGAAACTAGTAAAAGCCAGCAGCTGGCATCATTCAAGTGTGCATTTCCTTGATATTTTGGGCACATTGTGGGGCTTCTGGATAACTTGCTTCTGCTCTTAAATACACTTCAGGAAACATGTGATTCCAAAGTAAATAAACAGGCAACTCCTAGGCTAGTACTAAAAATAGTACAAATGAATATTTCACAGAATCCTGATGGCACATCCAACAAGAAGGAGCGAGAAGAGGAGCAGGAAAGTGACATAGTTCCTCTGTTTTCAAGAATACAGAGGACTTAAAAGTATCCATACATTCGATTCGTAACTTAAATAAAACATACGCATCATTTAAAAGCTGCTGTGCTTACATAGCATGGAACTGCCTCTCCCAAATGCTGAGAAAGTGATTGATTCAGCTGCACTGTTTCTATGACTTATGAAATGAACATAAAGAGGTTGACTTGGTTTATAGAAGATGATATCCAGGTCAAAACTCAACACGTACACACAATCCATGTGAATGTCCTATTACTATCTCCAAGAATTGTATTGTGGAAGGTCTTTTTCTCATAACTGCTGCTGGGAAACATTCAACAGAAATTCCTTCTCCCTGGAACAATAACTCCTTCATGAATTTGACGCAGGGAAGTCTTTGCAAATGCACGTGCACACGGGGCTTTTTGAATATGTTACCTGAGCAGAAAAGTCAATGAGCTTTGGAAGCAGCACTTTGCCACCTTCATCGCTCTTCAGGAAATCCAGCAAACTGCCTATGGAGAAAGAAAGAACAAGTTAGTGCATTCCAAACACACAAGAAAAAATCCAAACAAAATTCACATCATCATTACTATTACAGGGGAACTCCCCACAAAATGATTGGCTTTGCAATTCTGTATGGTTATATAAAGCCTTTTCCTGGCATTGGTCAAACGCAGTCCCCTCTAATCTGTTACCTTTGACCTGATGTGAAACATGGCATGTGCTCCAGGTGAGAAAGAATGTGGGTGGATACCACTTTTCTCACTACAGGTGTCTGAGAACCATGCATTTCAGAGTACTTGCCACCATGATCCACTCACTGCCACCTCCCAATCTTTAGCGAGCTCACTGGAAGGCCTGCCCTCTGCAGACACTTGGCCAGGCTCACTCCCATCTGTATTCAGCAAAAAGCACAGAACTTGGCACTTACTGTAGGTGCTCAATGAATGTTTTCTGAGATAGGGTCTTACTCTGTCACCCAGGCTGGAGCGCAGTGGCATGATTACATCTCACTGCAGCATCAGCCTCCCAAGCTCAAGCAATCCTCCCACTTTCAGCCTCCTGTGTAGCTGAGGGTACATGCCATCACACCCAGCTAATTCTTTTTTTTGTAGAGATAGGATTTCACCATGTTGCCCAGGCTGGTCTCAAATTCCTGGACTCAAGCAATCCTCCCACCTTGGCCTCCAAAAGGGCTGGGATTATAGGTGTGAGCCACCACGCCCAGCCTCAAAGAATATTTGATGAGTGAACTGTGCTTTGGAAAAAAGTGGAAACCTACCTAAGAAGGAGTGTGCTGCTGAACAAACTCTCCAACCTCCTATGGCTTCATCTCTAAAGCAAGACCTGTTTTTCCCCTAGAACTTTAAGTACCAGCCTTACGGGTAGCCTTGGTCAAGTTGTTTACCTCATCTAGGTCTCTGTAAAATGGGCATGTACTAGAGGCTATATTACAGTTTTGGGGGGTTGGAATCAAAGGTTGCATCCAAAGCACATACCATGATGGTTGACAGGTAGCAAGTGCTCAGTAAACGTTATGCTATCTCATCTATGACACAGAACAATAGTACTTAGCCCTCAGGCTGCTGAAAAGACTAAGTGAGATCACCCATGGAAAGCACCAAGAGCAGTCTGGCATATAGTAAGTGCTCAATAAATATTAGGCATTGTTGGCCAAGCTTGGTGGCTCACACCTATAATTCCAGCACTTTGGGAGGCCAAGGCAGGCAGATCACCTGAGGTCGGGAGTTTAAGACCAGCCTGGCCAACATGGTGAAACTCTGTCTCTACTAAAAAATACAAAAATTAGCCAGGCATGGTGGCAGGCACCTGTAATCCCAGCTACTTGGGAGGCTGAGGCAGGAGAATCACTGGAACCTGGGAGGCAGAGGTTGCAGTGATCCAAGATAGTGCCACTGCACTCCAGCCTGGGTGATAGAGTGAGACTCTGTCTCAAAAAAATAAATATATATATATATTAGGCATTGTTACATAGGAAAACTCATATTTATACCTATCATTAGGAATACTCTAAGTTAATTAATTCAACAATATTTACTGAACTCCTATAAGGTGTCTGGCCCTGAGCCTGGTTTCTGGGCTATATATGGCAACCCAAGCCACAAGAGCTAATTGGTTTGTTTGCTTTAAAACAAACAATGCCATTGTTTGGAAAGACTCTGAGTGACTGATATTTTGAAATACTCACAGATATTAAATAAGAAAATGTAATATTCATCTTTTGAATCTATTCAGCTATGACATCATACTATCATCTCCATTGTGCATGAGATGATTGTTAATCCTGGATCATTGCTTATGTTTCTTCATTACTTCTGAGGACTTCGTAAAAAATAATTTGGCAGTTTATTAGTATGTTTCCTGAACTGGAGGTGAACAAAGGAAGAAGGATGTTGATTCAAAGTCTTGTATATGAAGGTGATCACAGTAGAAGAAAAATTGATTGCTTGAAGTCTATTCTCCAGCAATTCTATGATTACATAGGACTTTAACCTCCACAAGTTTTAAAAAACATTAATATTTAAAAGTGACACCCTGAACACTTAGATAATGCTGAAAAGGAAAATGAATATTAGATAACGCTAAAGAACAAATAGAGGCTGGGTGCTCATGCCTGTAATCCTAGCACTTTCAGAGGCTGAGGCAGGCAGATTGCCTGAGCTCAGGAGTTCGAGACCAGCCTGGCCAACATGGCGAAACCCCATCTCTACTAAAAATACAAAAAATTAGCTGGGCATGGTGGCACGTGCCTGTAGTCCCAGCTACTAGGGAGGCCGAGGCAGGAGAATCGCTTGAACCCGGGAGGCAGGGGTTGCAGTGAGCAGAGATTGCACCACTGCACTCCAGCCCGGGCAACAGTGTGAGACTCTGTTTCCAAAAAAAAAAAAAAAAAAAAAAAAATGAAAGAGGAATTTGGTACTGAACAATCCGTACTAAATCTGTAGTATTAGAATTCTGGGAACTCTTCACATTTTAAGCATATGTATTTCAAAAATTCCTTTTTGAAATACATAGTAATTCATTTGATAAATATTTATTGGGGGCTACTAGATATGGGGTACTATTCTCAGGGCAATAGGTACACGCAGGCAGATGCAGAGAAAACAGGAGGATTAGATTTCAATTCTGTGACATGGATTACTTCTGGTGATTAGGTTTATAAACTGCTTTGTCTTCCCATATTTCCTGATTTTTCGGTAGTGGGTATACTGTTTGATAATTAAACTAGTTGAGTGACCTCTGAACACTTACACATTTTACTTTTTGAGTTTGAAGCCCTTGCAAGCTCTGGGCAGTGGGAGGAACTCACCCTTGGCCATGTACTCGGTGATGATGTAAATGGGCTCCTCCCTGGTGACCACAGCGTAGAGCCTCACGAGCTTGTCATGCTGCAGGGTCTTCATGAGGTTGGCTTCTTCCAGGAAGGCTTGCACAGACATAGTTCCTGGCTTCAGGGTTTTCACAGCCACCTTGGTACTGTTGTTATAGTAACCTAGGAAGAAAAAAGAAGGCGGGCATGCTTTATAAAACAGAAAATCTAGCCGGGGGAGGTGGCTCACACCTATAATCCCAGCACTTTGGGAGGTCGAGGTGAGTGGGTCACCTGATGTCAGGAGTTCGAAACCAGCCTGGCTAAAACAGTGAAACCCCATGTCTACTAAAAATACAAAAATTAGCTGGGTGTGGTGGCAGGCGCCTGTAATCCCAGCTACTCAGGATGCTGAGACAGGAGAATTGCTTGAACCCAGGAGGTGGAGGTTGCAGTGAGCTGAGATCGCACCATTGCATTCCAGCCTGGGTGACAGAGTGCGACTCCGTCTCAATTAAAAAAAAAAAAATTAAAACTTCACTTTGTAGATGCAGAGTTAGCAAAAAATTTAATTACAGATAGAAAAAGCCTGAGTTAAAACACTATGTAGTGATAAAATTAGGGGAGGCTAGATGAAAAGTATCTAGGAATTTTCTTTCTTTACCAAAAAATGTTTAAATTATTCAAAAATCAAAAGGTTTCTATGAAATAGTAGCAAAAAAACGTTTTTATTGGCACTCTACCATGAGGGCTAATATTTATTTATTTATTTTTAGACTACGTCTTGCTCTGTCGCCCAGGCTGGAGTGTAGTGGCACGATCTTGGCTCACTGCAACCTCCACCTCCTGGTTTCAAGCGATTCTTATGCCTGAGCCTCCTGAGTAGCTGGGTTTACAGGTGCCCACCACCACACCTGGCTAATTTTTGTATTTTTAGTAGAGACGTGGTTCCACCATGTTGGCCAGGCTAGTCTCAAACTCCTAACCTCAAGTGATCCGCCAGCCTCAGCCTCCCAAAGTGCTGGGATTATAAGCATGAGCCACTGTGCCCAGCCGAGGACTAATATTTTTCTCTAATAATAAAATGTTCTTTATTCAAGACCAAAAAAAACAAAACAAAACTCTATATATGCTATAATCCCTTACATACATATACATACACACACAGGCATACACTCACATTATAATCCCCATTTTAAAATACAGACATATTTTATAGATACACAGACACACACATATAAACAACAGTCTGGAAGAAAAGACACCAAAATATATCAAATGCTGGTTATTTCCAATGGTGTGATTACGAGCGATTTTAATTTTGTTCACCATATCTTTAACTATTTACCACATTTTCTTTAAAAAAGGTGTTCTTTATAAAAATTACTTATATATACTAACTTTAAAGTACAATATGCTAGAGTCAAACAAGCACTTCCCAAAATTTGCAGACAACTGGACTTGGGTGACTGTTAGTGAAAAAGGATCCCCCACTAAAAGGACAGGGAGCCACTCCCTCCACTCCTCCCCCACCCAGGAGATGCAGCAGGTGCCCTGGGAGGCCTTCAGGGGAAAAGCCTGCATTTGTTCACCCCAGCGTTTCCCACAATTTCTTGACCTCAGAACACTTGTTCAAGTAGCCTCTTACACCGCATGGAACACGCTCTGGGCAATACTGACTCCTTAGTATAGTTCCCCCGAGGCACCACCCTTCTGGGACTGGGATTGAGCACTTTAATCCTGACTTTCTCTTGGGAAAGCCTTTTCTCAGTAATTTGGCAAAGCAGAAATATTAATAATCATACTCTTCCTTCCTGTCCTCTCTTCTGCTTCCATCTTTCTCTTGGAAATGTTAAAAAAAAAATGGGGAGAAGGGAGTAATAGCTGCTGGTGTCACTGCAAATCTTCCTGCAGTTCCTGCTGCCTGGTGCGCAAAAGCTGGATAGCACCTGCCCTATCCACCTAAGGAAAGGTGACGTGGAGTGGACGGTCCCCTTTTTAGGGTGCAAGAGTATCTGTATGTGAATAGCATAGAAAGATGACTGGAAGCCTGCTGAGTAAAACAACAGTGATTATCCCTGGCTGGTAGAATTTGGAGTGACTTCTACTTTCTCTTGTTCTTTTCTATTCTGATTGGATTTGTCAATGAGTATGTACTCTTTTCTTTTCTCTTCTCTTCTCTTTCTTTTTTCCAGGAGAGACAGGGTTTTGCCATGTTGGCCAGGCTGGTCTTGAACTCCTGACCTCAGCTGATCTGCTCACCTTGGTCTTCCAAAGTGCTGGGATTGTAGGCATGAGCCACTGTGCCCAGCCAAGTATGTACTTTTTAAAAAATGATTTTTTTAAATAATAAAGAAATGTATTATACATCTATTTCCAAGCCTTCAAACAAATAATAAAAAGTTTATTTATAGCTAGCAGTCAACCTATCCAATGATGTTTCTTTTGGTCATTAAGACTGATTCCTCTATTAAAATGTTTTATTTTGTATTCCACTTTGGTTAATACTTAGGAGCTTGCAGTGCTCTATAGAAAAATGAGGCTAGACAAGGTGGTTCATGCCTGTAATCCCAGCACTTTGAGAGGCAGGAGGATCGCTTGAGCCCAGGAGTTCAAGACTAACCTGGGCAATATAGTGAGACCCCCTTCTCTAAAACAAAACAAAAAAAGAAAAGAAAAAGAAAAATGCAGTACAAGATAAGTGTTAGAACATATGGAGAAGATAGTAACATAAAGCTGACAAAAAAAAACCATCCTAGGTCCTTTTAAAAAGCTACCACCTACCTAAAATAATGGAATTATGAATATATTAAATTGTTCTGACATCTAAATGCATAATTACAAGCAATATGGCCTTTTCTGTAGATCTTAAGAGTTATTGTAAAGTACATTCCACCAACAAAAGCCTTTTAATATTACATTTAAATCAAAAAGGTTTTATTATAAATTTTTTAACGTTTATAAACCCTAACCTTAACCCCAGCCCTAACTCTAACCCTAAGTTACATGAGCATATCCATAGCAAATCACAGCAGGAAAATACATGATATAAAATAGATGAAAATACATAAACTATATGATACATATAACTGCAAGGAACTTGCATCCAGGATATAGAAAGAATTCTTACAAATCAATAAGAAAAATCAGAAGAAATAGGCAAAGACTTGGAAGGGCATTTCAAAAGAAGAAATTCATATGAGTAATAAACACGTGAAAAGTACTCAATCTTATTAGCAACCAGAGAAATGCAAATAAAGTCATGAGAAACCACTGCCGAGCTCAGCAAAAATTTTTAAAGTCTGGTAATATCAAGTGCTGATGAGCACCTGCCCCTTGGGAGGGACTCTGGAGCAGCTGCCCTAGGCCTCATTCTGTGTTCTTTGCTGAGCATCACTGAAATTCAATTGCAGAGCTTCTGTGACAACATCCAAGGTGTCCATGAAGGATGCTGAGTGCACACTTCCTTCCGGATAACCACCCACTGCCTGTGCTGCCTTGGGGCCCACATCTCTCTAAGTACAGCTCTGCTAGTCAGGAAAGGGGACGTGGGGACTGGCATATTGCTGGTGAGAATCTTAAGCTGGGACCAGCACTTTGCAAAATAAGTTGGCAATAACTTAGAAGAGCTGAAGATTCATACACCTTACGATCCAGCAAATCCACTCCCACTCACCCTAGAGCTCATGCATGCTTGCATCAGCACAAAAATGAGGCACAAAAATGTGCAGCGCATTGTTCATAGCAGCCCAAACTGGGAAAAACTCTGATATAGTTTGGATGTTTGTCCTCTCCAAATCTCATGTTGAAATTTGATCCCCAGTGTTGGAGGTGGGGACTAGAGGGAGGTATTTGGGTCATGGGAATGAATCCCTCATGAATGGCTTGGGGCCATCCCCGTGGTAAAGAGTGAGTTCTCGCTCTATTAGTTCACAAGAGAGCTGGTTGTCTAAAAGCATGGCACCTCTTCTGGTCACTCTCTTGCTCTCACTGTGTGACATGCTCACTCCCTTTTGCCTTCCTTTTTGAATGGAAGCTTCCTGAGGCTTCACCAGAAGCAGAGACAGGTGCCATGCTTCTTATAAAATCTGAAGAACCGTAAAGCAAATAAACATTTTCTTTATAAGTTACCCAGTCTCGGGTATTCCTTTAGCAAAGCAAAATGGACTAACATGAACTCCAATTTCATCAGTAAATGGTGAAATAAATGGATAAATGATCGTATATCTTGAAAACACATGCAGCACAGCACAATATGGCATGAAGATGAATAAACCATAGCCACACCCAAAAGCATGAATGCATCTCACCAATACCATATGGAATGAAGATGAATGAACCGTAGCCACAGATGCATCTCACCAACACGACATGGGATGAAGACGAATGAACCATAGCCACACCCAGAAGCACGAGTGCATCTCACAAACACGACATGAGATGAAGATGAATGAACTGTAGTCACACCCAAAAGCACGGATGCATCTCACCAACATCATAGGGACTGAAGATGAATGAATTGTAGCCACACGCAAAAGCACAGATGCATCTCACCAACACCATATGGCATGAAGATGAATAAACAATAGCCACACCCAAAAGCATGGATGCATCTCACCAACACAACATAGGATGAAGATGAATGAACCGTAGCCACACCCAAAAGCATGGATGCATTTCACCAACACCATATGGAATGAAGATGAATGAATTGTAGCCATACCCAAAAGCCACATGTATCTTACCAACACCACATGGAATGAAGATGAATGAACTGTAGCCACACCCAAAAGCATGGATGCCTCTCACCAACCCGTTGAGTAAAAGAGGCAAGACGTAAAAGAGCACATTTGGTATAATTCGTTCATACAAAGTACAAAAACAGCAAAACTGAGCTATATTTTGGGGGGATGCATACATCCCCATATACAAAAGTGGCAAAATTAAGAAGAAGTCAGAAAACCATCAGGAAGGTCGGAATAGCTGTTGTCTCTGGGGGACAGGTAGGGTGTGGGTGGGAGGGGATGGGTGGACGGTGGGGGCTTCTGGGGCTAGCAAGTTTCCTCTCAGAGGTCGACACACCAGTTTTTGCTTTGTAATTATTTGTGAAATTAGATATTTGTGTTTGCATTTTCTGTCTGCTTGTTACATTACATAGCAATAAAAGTTAAAGAAACAAAACCATTTCCCTTTTGCCATCATAAAAACAATGAAGCTCATGGAGACTTATAAATAGAAAAGTATGAGTAAAGGACGAAGGAAAAAAAACGCTTTCCAAGGTTAGGGGGGAAGTCATCAGGAAATATTGCAGCTGCATATATTTTAAATACTGATAAGGAGTTTGAGGTGAGTGGTAGATAAAGCAGCTGTGTCAAACATGGCCCAAGAATGGCGGCAGCTCCCAGATGATCTCTTAGGGCTGTGATATTGAAACAATAGGGTGGTTTTCATCCCTCTGTTAAAGGCATGATTTTTATTCAGTGCTAAGGATCAAATCATAGGTTTCTAAGATACTCTCTGGTAGTTTGAAGGTTCAAATTAACCTAGTCATGGAGATTTGGGTTGTCAATACAGATGAAAAATTATGTTAAAAAAAACTTTTTGAGCTAGTAAAAAGCGTCTTGTGGAGTGACACTTTGCCACAGTTAAAGAAAGCTGATGTGGCACCTTGAGAGCACTCTAATTCCGGCTGTGACTGGCTTGCTAAAAAGTGCCCACGTACCACAAAAGGGAGAGTGGTTTTTAAAAAATGCATGCAGTTGATTTTGGAAGTGGGTTGGTGATTAATCTCAAGGCAGTTGGCTCAAATGAGAATTTATCAAGCAAAATTCAATGTAAAATAAGTTTCCTTCCTTCCTCAGGGTCTCTTCATAGACCAAGCAGTCAGAGGAAACATCGTCCTTAGCCTCACTGCCCAGTTGATTCCCTGGGAATAGGACAATCCACAGAGGAAGCATGTCACCCAAGTCAGATGTCACAAGGATCACACAAACAAGAGGAAACAGCTTGAAGCAGAGACACCTCTTTCTTTTATCCCCACCCAGCCCCTTCCCCCAAAGAACAGGTCACTTCCTAGTATTTGTTCACTGCATTTCAAGCCAAAAAAATGCAGACCATAAAATGAAATGGGTTGTCCATGAACAATTCCTTATGTTTAACAAAAATATTAACTTACTGGGTTAACAGTGATAGAATTTTAATTGTATTTTTTCTATCAATGAGAAAAGCTGGCCTGCTTATCCTTTGAGAAACTAAAAAGGGTAAGAGAAAACTAAATTCTAGCAGCTCAAAATTGGGAGAGGGAGTATCCTTCAGTCTATTTGTAACATAAAATCACCAATCACAACTCTTTTGGTTGTATTCCCAATATTCCTCTGCTATGTGTATTCAACATATTTAAATTATTTCAGGAGTGAAGAAGGAGCTCGCTGACTGACAGGCAAACTCAGTCCCTACAAGCAAAAGATCCCAAGTCAAAATTTTCTATTTTTTTCTCTTCTATTTTCTTTTCCTCCCCTTCCCTTCTTTTCCTTCCTTCCTCCATTCAATATAAGACTGGAAGAAAAGCACAATTAAAAAATGAACGGTGATCAATGCCAATATCCTGGTAGTGATGTTGTACTATAGTTTTACAAGATGTTACCACTGGAGGAAACTGGGTAAATGGTACATGGGATCTCTCTGTATCATTTCTTTTATATATTTGCCAGCTTTATTGAAATATAATTCATATACCATGTCATTTACCCATTTAAAGTATATAGTTCATCAGTTATTTGCATATTCAGAATTGTACAATCATCACCACAATTAGCTTTAGAATGTTGTCATGACTCCAAAAAGAAATCCCATGCTCATTAGCAGTCACTCCTACCATACTCCCAGGCCCCCCAGCCCTAGGCAACCAGTCATCTACTTTCTAACTCTAGATTTGCCTATTCTGGACATTTCATATAAATGGAACAGTATAATATGTGCTCCTTTGGGCCTGATTTCTTTCACTTAACATAGTGTTATTATAAGTCATCCATAAAACAGCATGGCATCCATGTTGAAGTATGCCAGGTCATTTTTTTTTTTTATTGCCAAATACTCCATTGTATGAATACACCACATTTTATTGACCCATTCATCATCTGATGGACATTTCAGTTGTTTGTACTTTTTGGCTATTACAAATAATGCTACTATGAACACTCATGTACAGGTTTTTGCGTGGACATATGTTATCCTTTTTGTATTATTTCTCACAATGGCATGTAAATCCACAATTATCTCAAAATAAAAAAAATTAAAAAGCAAAAATACAAACAACTTCTATTTAGTGGGAAACCCTGGGCAATTTCTTTCCTCTGCTGTATAGCCTTTGCACTAATGTGACATATTTTCTTACTAAAGATATTATTTAATAACAGTGCTTTGAATGCTGTCAATTGAACTTACCTGCACAATTTCTTTCAATTGTTATGTAATCCCTCTGAGATAGGTTCCATTAAACCCCATTTTAGATGAGGCTCTACTGCCTCTGTCATTTAAAACGTTATTAGTAAATCAAGTAAAGAACACAATTTAAAAAGTGAGAAAGGGACTTGAACATACGTTTCTCCAAAGAAGATGTAGAAATGACCAGGAAGGACATGAAAAGATGCTTGGTCACTAATTATTAGGAAAACACAAATCAAAACCACAGTAAGATACCATCTCACATCTATTAAAATGACAACTATCACAAAAGCCAACCAGCCAACAACAAAAAAAATCCCCAAAACAGAAAATAACAACTGTTGGTGAGGCTGTGGAGAAAGGGAACACTTACACACGGTCAATGGGAATGTAAAATGGTGCAGCCGAAGTAGAAAACAGTACGGCAGTTCCTCCAAATTTTAGAGATAGAAGAATTACAGGATCCAGCCATTCCACTTCTGGATTTATACTCAAAGGAATGGAAAATAAGGTCTCAGAGAGGTATCTGTGCACCCATGTTCACAGTGGCAAATTCACAATAGCCAAAAGGTAGAAACAACCTAATTGTCCATCAATAGATGAATAAACAAAAGGTTATGTATGCATATAAAGGAATATCATTAAGCCTTAAAAAGCAAAGAAATTCTGACACATGCTACGACATAGATAAACCTTGGAGACATCATGCTAAGTGAAGTAAGCCAGAGACAAAAAGACAAATACTGTATGATTCTAATTATTTGAGGTACCTAAGGTAGTCAAATTCATAGAGACAGAAAGTAGCATGGTGGTTGCCAGAGAGGGGATCAGGGAGTTGGTGTTAAAGAGTACACAGTCTCTCAGTTTTATCAGATGAAAAGAGAGTCTGGAGATTGGTTGCATAACAGTGTAGATGCATTTAACACTACTGAACTGTACACCTAAACATCGCTAAAACACAAATTTTATGTCACGTGTATTTAACCACAATTTTTAAAAACGGAATGAGCAAATCTATTCAAGTGATGTATTTTCTCAAGATTTTTATCCTGTTTCAGTCTAAATAAAAAGTAAAAATTTGTATAAAACAATCAGATACTTTCCAACACTCCATTCTCTTCTCTTCTAAACTTGTTTCTCCTAGGCACCACCTGAATATATGTTAAGCAAAAGTTCTCTAAAATTAAGCTGTGTGCAGGAAAGAAGAGAAATTGGAGGATTCAGTGTATCTGGAATTAGAAGCAAGGCGGTTTTCCCAATCCCAGAAAGGACCAATGTTCTTAAGCTCCAGGTGTACAATTTTAGTGCAGACTTACACCTTACGACAGAACAGGGGGTGTAAGCAGGTCTGCTGAGGTGTGTGCTCCAGGCTGCCTAGCTCCTGACTTCCTGCTCCCAACCTCGCCAGGCACCCCCTGCAGGACGCACTGACACCACAGCTGACAGCAGCACTTTTGATGCCAGGCATCCAGGCTGGCAGCAACTGCATATTTATTTATTTATTTTTTGAGATGGGGTCTCACTCTGTCACCCAGTTTGGTGACAGCGGCGCAATCTCAGCTCACTGCAACCTCTGCCTCCTAGGCTCAAGCGATCCTCCCACCTCAACCTCCTAAGTAGATGGAAACACAGGTGCAACACCACCATGCTCAACTAATTTTTTTTTGTATTTTTGATAGAGACAGGGTTTCACCATGTTGTCCAGACTAGTCTTGAACTTCTGAGCTCAAGTGATCTACCTGCCTCGGCCTCCCGAAGTGCCAGGATTACAGGTGTGAGCCACCGTGCCCTGCCAACAACTGCATCTTTAAAAACAGTGTTACTAAGAAATAATTCACTCAAGCAGTTGGATTTGAATTACTTTGTTCACTTTACTTGTCTCTCAGGAGCAAATAGCATGCAATTTGATGCTTTATCCTGGCTTCACAGCTGAACAGGAGAGGCTAGAACAAGATTCCAAGCCATGACTTTATATGCAGGGCTACTGATTTAGGATGAACCAGTACATCCTGATTAACCTCCCTCTACATTTCTTTTCATGACAGACACGTTAATTCCTTTGCCAGCAAATATCCATAGGAAAGTCTAATTGGATTATTTATGGCTCTGTTTTATGATTAAAATTGGGGAAAATACACCAAAATATAGCTTCCAATAACTAGAATAAAAAACAAAAAAGTGACAATAATAAAAATAGGGCACACGGAGTCAGACTCTGGGAAACATCCCAGGTGCATAATCTCATTCTTCCTTTGAACAACTGAAGATTGGAGTTTGTCCACTTCACTGATGTGGAAACTGAGGCTAGGGAAGTCAAATTAGCTTAGAAATAGTGTAGCAAATAATTGAGTCCAGGGTTCCCAGATGCCAGAGCAGCCTGGCTCTCTCACTGCCTTGAATGACCTTGAGTAAGTTGCTTATCTGATTCTCAGTGATGTTGTTTATCGAATGATCACAGTAATGCCTCTCATTCACAGTGCTACAGCAATGAGTAAGTGAGAATGTCAATGCAAACACACTTAGAGCAGGGCCCGTAGAGCCTGTACACTCTTTTCTCCCTTCCTCCTGTCTTCTCCTCCTTCTCCCCACACAAAGTCACAGTAAGTACTCAGATGGACTAAGAGCACAATTAAGTGTGATTGCGATCCTGGTTTTCCTGCCAATACTCTCAGTGAACAGACGGAGAAGCCGGGAAGAGAACGCAGAAGTCCCTGGATCTTGACGTGAGCCAGTGGGGTTGGAATAGACATGTTCAAGGAGCAAGGGAGGAGGACAGAAAGGACTGGAGCTTTATAGAGAAGTGACGGCTTCTAAGAGGGAAGAGAATTCACAGATCGTGCTGAAACCATTTGGAGAAAGTTCTATTTACATAATCTTAAACTTCCCACAGAGTATTTATTTACTACAAAAGGGAGTAAAAAGTTGCCACGGAGAAACTAAATTTAAATGATCCATTTAAACTTTTGGATCACTTTAAATAAAAGTGATGGTGGATTACTGTAGATAAAATCAAATAGAACATCATTAAGAATAGGACCGGCT
The DNA here is from genome assembly GCF_000001405.40 of Homo sapiens. Classification (NCBI taxonomy): domain Eukaryota; kingdom Metazoa; phylum Chordata; class Mammalia; order Primates; family Hominidae; genus Homo; species Homo sapiens. The sequence goes on along the minus strand of NC_000008.11, from coordinate 55,956,412 downwards.
AATACTATGCCTCCTGACAGGTGCCCTGAGAACACAGTACTGCTTAGGTGCTTAAACACTCTTCACAAAACTCAGCAAGTCACGTCTGCACTTAATCTCAGGTGGTCAACGGCAATAATAACATGTATGTATGTGTACGTATATAAAAGAACAAGAAAATTAGGACAATATTAACAACTGGTGAATCTATGTGAAGGGTATACAATATTCATTATACTATTCCTGCCCCATTCTGTAGATTTGGAAAAAAATAAATATAAACATCAAAGGAGGAAAAAAGAAGCCAAGTCATTCTTTTTTTAATGAGCATATAATAGTTTTGTGGTTCTTGAAAAAGTTCAACAGAGGCTTATCACATGCCCCAGCAACTGAACTCCTAGGTTTATACACAAGAGAAATGAAAATGTGTCCACATAATAATTTGTATGTGAACATTCATACAGCATTATTCATAACAGTCAAAAGGTAAAAACAACTGAAAGGTCCACCAATGGATAAGTAGATAAACAAACTCTGTTATAGTCATGCAATGGAATATTACTCAGCCATAAAACAAGAAAATTCTAATACATTCTACAACATGGATGAACCTTGAAAACATTATGCTAGGTGAAATAAGCCAGACACAAAAGGGCAAATAAATGATTCCACTTATATGAGGTACCTAGAGTGGTTAAATTCATAGAGACAGAAAGAATGGTGGTTGCCAGGGGCTGAGGGTGGGGCGAATGAAGAGTGATTGTTTATTGGGTACATTGTTTCCTTTCGGGATGATAAAAACATTTTGAAAGTAGATGGAGGTGGTGGCTACACAATATTGTGAATGTACTAAATGCCAGTGGATTGTTCCTTTTAAATGATTAATTTATGTCAGGTGAATTTCATGTTAATTAAAAAAAGAGCACACAGAGAAATGAGGAGGAAGACAACAGAGTGTGCATGGGAAGAGACAACATTCAGAGTGAGCACTCACACCCATGAATCTGCTGAGTGGAACAGAAACTGAGGACCTGATTTGCACTGCCAGCCAGTTCTGACACATGCCGATCCACACGGAGAATGTGAAGTCATGTAATTACAGTTTACCTGAATTCTGCAAATATGTGCAGAAAGACTTACAGTGCAGTAAGAATTAATTAATGATAGGCTGGCTCAGTATGTGCCGTGTTTAAAAGTCACTTCTGCTCAAGAGGGGCCAACAGGAGAAAGTGAGCAAGGCTATGATCCCAGGGGCCAAGACTGTAGAGGGAAAACCTGGATGCAGAGGTGACGTGTCCACGTGGCTGCAGCTTCTGTTCTGCCGGGGCTGGAGAGTGTTTAAAAGCCATCTGCCCCTTCCATTTAGAAATCACATTTGCTTTCACTCAACAAAGCTGACACAGAAAAAGTGACCCAGTCAGATGTGTGTGACCTAACATGTTACTCTTTCCAGAAATAACCGCACATTCCATTAGAACCATTAAAAGAATGTTATGCTTTAGCATTTTTGTTCTAAAAAACTCTTATCACCAAAGAAGTTCACATTCACTATGAAAACTTTTATTTATTTATTTATTTATTTATTTATTTATTTATTTTGAGGCAGGGTCTCACTGTGTCACCCAGGCTGGAGTGCAGGAGTGCCATCTCGGCCCACTGCAGCCTCGACCTCCTTGGCTTAAGTGATCCTCCCACCTCAGCCTCCCAAGTAGCTGGAACTACAGGCACATACCATGGCACCTGGCTAATTTCTTTATTTGTAGAGACAGGGTCTGCTATGTTGCTCAGGCTGTTCTCAGCCTCCTAGGATCAAGCAATCTTCCTGCTTCAGCCTCCCAAAGTGCTGGGATTACAGGTATGAGCCACTGTGCTCAGCTCACTATAAAAACTTTTTTTTAAAGTAGGTAGATGAAAAGAATCCCCTGGAAAAAGCCACTGCTATAATCTTGCTGCACTTCTTGCCAGCCTGAGAAGGCAATACTTAATGTTAAGAAATGATTTCTTCATGACGTGACTTTGAGAACCTTAGAAACTTTCTTGGTGACCCTCAAATTGTAATACATTGAGGCTTTCTATTAAGCCAATGGGTTCCAGCCCTAAGATAACCTTTCCCAGAGATGGAAGCAAATTTCTTGCACTTGAGCCGTGCATCCAGAGAATCTGGCGATGAGGGAATCATGAAGAAATAGGCAGATGATCAAGATAAATACCCATTACTCCCCTCCTTACAAACATTAAGAGAATTACTAAGTCGCAAGAAAGAGCAAGAGCTGAAGTAAATAGATTTTGCAGGCCAGTTCTCAGCCCCAATGGACAGAGGAAAACAAAATAAATGATGCTTCTGACATAATTTAGTGTCTGGCTCAGAAGCTGATCGAAATTGGCTTGAGCCTTTACTTCTCCTGTCACCATCTCTAGAAGGACATAGATCCCCGAGCCGCACACTTACCCATCCAGACTTCCCCAAACTGCCCAGCGCCAAGCCTTTTCACCAACTTGATGGACTCCCGGGGGATCTCCCAGGCATCTTTATCCCATGGCTTCTGTGGCTTGGGACTAATACAAGCCTTCTCCAATCTTCTGCACAAGCCATCTGCCTGCTCTAATTTGAAAGGGAAAAATGAAGGTTAAGAAATGCAATACTTTGTACTTTACCTGTGTCTATAAAGAAAAGTTGAACACTAGCCTTATAGTGTCCAACCTGCCGCAGTCTGTGAACTAAAATGCATCCTTGACATAATTGTGACTTTTGAAATTTGTGGGTTTTTTTTGTTTTTCTTTTTTTTGAGATGAAGTTTCACTCCTATTGCCCAGGCTGGAGTGCAATGGGCGATCTTGGCTCACTGCAACCTCCGCCTCCTGGGTTCAAGAAATTCTTCTGCCTCAGCCTCCAAAGTAACTGGGATTACAGGTGCCCACCACTATGCCCAGCTAGTTTTTATATTTTTTAGTAGAGACAGAATTTTACTACGTTGGCCAGGCTGGTCACAAACTCCTGACCTCAAGTGATCCACCCGCCTCGGCCTCCCAAAATGCTGGATTACAGGTGTGAGCCACCAAGCCCGGCCTGAAATTTATATAAGAAAAACCATTTAAAACATACTTGATTGTATTCTTCAGCACTGCTAACATACATGAACAAAAACAACAAAGCCAACAGACAACCACAGGCTGCCAGATTGTCACACTTAATAAAATGTGGTTTCAGATTACTAATCCCACATTAAGCTTCACAGGGCACCATAGTGGGGACTCGGTCATGTCACCACTGGACCCCAGGCCCCAGAACACAGCCAGAGTACCACAAGCCCTCAGCATGTGCCGGATGCACACAGGAATGGGAGGGCGGAGGAAGGCAAGAATCTACAAAATCGGAAGCACGTTGCTCTCTCCGTGTTTTGGGACTCAAGCAAACCTATAATGTGCATCCCCTTCGAGCAGGTCATAGAAAGGAGCCGGGGCAACAACCACTCAACTGACTCCAATTACACAGGAAAGGGACCCAGAGTCTCAGGCCCAGGCTTCTCAGGACTGCAAAGTGGCACTGGAGACAGGGACATTGACCTGCCACTTCTAAATATTTCAGTGGTAGTGTTATATCCGTTTGACTTTACCAAGAATATACATTACTTTTACACACACACACACAAACACAGATCTGCAAATCTGCATTCCTATTCCAGATATTCAGATGCATTGTAAAAATATATGCAAAGACAATATATATTTTTCTCTTGGTAATTGTGGAACACTGAATGTCAAACAGCATGTACTAGGTGGGAAGGACTGGGAGAATTATTCACAAGGATCAAATCTTACTTTGTGTATTTAACTGTAGATTAATTAATTGCTTTTATTTTAGTATTTGTTTTTTGAGACAGAGTCTTGCTCTGTCACCCAGGCTGGAGTGCAGTGGCGCGATCTCAGCTCACTGCAATCTCCGCCTCCTGTGTTCAAGTGATTCTCCTGCCTCAGCCTCCCGAGTAGCTGGGACTACAGGCACGCACCACTATGCCTGGCTAATTTTTTTTTTTTCTAGTAGAGATGGGGTATCACCAGGTTGGCCAGGCTGGTCTCGAACTCCTGACCTCAAGTGATCCACCTGCCTTGGCCTCCCAAAGTGCTGGGATTACAGGCGTGAGCCACTGTGCCTGGCCTAACTATAGATTAATTTAGAACCACTTATAGAATATGACCTGCAACTGTATCTAAGAGAAATACGATGCATAAAAAGTTTTAATATAAAAATAGCGTTTGACGTCTTATACATATCATAACAAATATATCTTGTCTTGTTGAACCTTCAGTTTTTACTTACTTTGGTAATGTTTAATCATGTCGCTGATACAGGGAAAAGTGATTCGTGGAGAGATGTAATAGCCCCCATTATCCAGACTTCTAATTTTGTAGTGCTTAATAACATCACCATGCACAGGGTCAAAGTCTCTGACAGACAGAGAGAAGCTTCCTATGGGGGGAAAAGTGTAAGTAAATGTTTATATCTCACAAATAAGATCTGCATTATACAACAACTGCAGTACACATTTTGTGATACAAATATGCAAAATACATATATTTATGAAATTTGTATAAAATGCATAATTTTAAAAGTCCTATAAAAATTCTACTTGACAAATGAAGCTGGCATTTTGTTTGCTGTGTAGCTTGCCAACATACCATTTTCTTTCTTCATGATAATTTTTTTAAAATTATTATTTAGCTACATTTAAATTTTTTTAAGTTACTTTGATTTTCTTTTTTTTTTTTTTGAAATAGGTTGTTGCTCTGTCACCCAGGCTAGAGTAGAGTGGCACAATCATAGCTAACTGCAGCCTCCACCTCTTGGGCTCAAACGATCTTTCTACCCCAACCTCTCAAGTAGCTGAGACTACGATCATGCACCACCACAGCTGGCTAATTTTTTAATTTCTTATAGAAACAGGCTCTTGCTATGTTGCCCAGGCTGGTATCAAACTGCTGGGTTCAAGTGATTCTCAGTCTCGGCCTCCCAAAGCATTGGGATTACAGGCCTGAGCCACCACGCCCAGCCTAATTTTCTTTGTCTTAAAACTTCAGGATTTATTCAAATAATAATGCAAAAGGCTCAGCAAACAAAGCCTGGTAAGAACTGGCCACAATCATGTGTGCTTTCTACAGTACTTTTCTTTTCTTTTCTCTTTTTTTTTTGAGACAGTGCCTCACTCTGTCACTCAGGCTAGTTAGAGTGCAGTGGCGTGATCACGGCTCACTGCAGCCTCCCTTCCCTGGGTTCAGGTGATCTTCCTACCTCAGCCTCCAGAGTAGCTGGGACTATAGGCATGTGCTGCCAGGCCTGGCTAAGTTTTGTATTTCTTGTAGAGATGGGGTCTTGCTGTGTTGCCCAGGCTGGTCTCTAACTGCTGGACTCAAGTGATCCTCTCGCCTCAGCCTCCCAAAGTGTTAGGATTACAGGTGTGAGCCACCACACTCAACTATATTACTTTTAGTAGCACAACTAATCACTGAGGTTTGTTATTTGTTATCAAACCATAAAACTTTTACTACCAGAGCATACTATATGCCCTTTTTTCCCCTTGAGTAGCTCTAGAATAGTTTCTAAAAATAATTTCCTAAATAGTGTTTTAAAAGAGGCTTTGAACAATTTCCTACCTTTTAATGTTTCACTTTCTCTAATAAGGAAAGCTCCAGCGCTATTTCCTGGTGCCAAAAGCTGCCTTTCTGCGTCCTTCCTGGTTATATCCTTGAAAAACCACCTGTGAAGACATTTCAACATTTCCTGCATATTATGTTCCACGGCAAGAAAAAGGTGAAGAATATTAACAAGAAATCCAATGTGGCAAATAAAGCCACCAAGATGACAACACATGAGGACTCACTCTTCTGTTTCTAAGGTGTTGAGTTTGGCCACATAGTTGCTGGGGATGAAGCCTTCTTTTTTTGTTAAAAGGGACTTTGCTTTCCACCATTCTCCATGCCTAGAATAGAAATACACATCAAAAAGAAGCTAAAAGATTACATACTCCATGCATGTATCAAAATATCACAGATATCCCATAAATATGTATTTATGTACAGATATTACATATCAATTAAAAAATTAAAAATAAAGAAAACATAGACTTACCACAGGACCCAGCAACTATACTCCTTGACATATACCCAAGAAAGATGAAACCATAATGTCCACACAAAAACTTGTACATGAATGTTCAAAGCATCCTTATTTGTAAAAGCAAAAAGTAGAAACAACCAAAATGCCTATCAACTGATGAATGGACAAAATCTGGAATATCCATCCAGTGGAGTATTACTCAGCAGTGAAAGGAATGGAGTGCTGAGAGATGCTACAACAGGGATGAACTTTGAAAACATTATGCTAAATAAAAGAAGGCAGTCAAAAAGGACCACATATTGTATGATTCCATTTATGTGAAATATCCAGAATAGGTCAGTCTTCAGAGATAAAAAGTAGATTCGTGGTTTCCTAGGGCTGCAGAGAATGGGAGAGTTGAGGTGACAGCTAAGGGGTGCAGGGTTTCCTTTTGGGGTATTTAAAATGTTCTAAAATGGATTGTGGTGATGATTGCACAATTCTGTGACTATACTAAAAAAATCACTGAATTGTACACTTTAAGTAGATGGATTGTATGGTATTGTGAATTCTCAATAAAGCTATTAAAAAGAGAGAGAGAGAGACAAAGAAAAGAAGCCAGGAGTGAGGGTTTTGAATGTTCACAACACAAAGAAAGAATAAATGTTCCAGATGATGGATATGCTAATTACGCTGACTTGATCCGTACACACTGCATACATGTATCAAAATATCGCTCTGTATCCCATGACTGCATATAATTATTCCATGTCAACTAAAAATAAAAGGAAAAAAGTGTTTATATCCAAGACTCAACAGCTACAATAGCAATTGTCTCAAGATGTTTGTTTAGGATGGTGAAGGCGGGTGGAGAACATCTCTGGAACCCCAGAATCCAGTGGGAAAATTCACTCTCCGTGATGGAATTAAAATATGTTTAGAGACAGAAGCAAAGGAAAACAGCCTTACAACTAAAGCACGCATCACTGCGATCAGGGGTGCACAAAGAAGAGTTGGTACAAATGGCTCCCATCTCACAGAAACAAAAGGTTTGTAACTTGCCCCAGGATAGCTAAGAAATGCTTTCAAATCCTTATAGAAATGAGAGTCAAGGGAATACTGGTCCACAGTTCATGCATTATAAACTCCTTTGTTCAAACATCTAGTTATCATAGAGATGGACACTATGAAAAGAAGAAAACCATAAGACAATTCCAAGCAAGTGAGCTTCAGCACCATGCTCGAGTCCTCAGCAGAAAGGCAGGCATGGAGCCAGGGAGGAGGCAGGGATGAGCACTGGAAGAAGCAAGCAGGTAAGCTGGTAATGGGGGAAGGAATGGGTCCCTTTGAGCCTTAACTGCATTCCTCTATAAATTCCACACACAGACAGGATCCTTGTCTGTAAGGCATGAAGGCAACTAGAACTAATACTAAGCTCTGCATCCTCTTTGCTTATGTCATGTTTAAACACATGCATCATGCTCACATCAACCCCATGATCTAGGTACTGTCATTCCCATTTTATAAGTAAAGAAACCAAGGTATAAAGTTTAAGGGTCTTGTCAAGGTCATACAGCTATCAAGTGGCAGGGCCAGGATCAGGCTTAAGTCCCTGTTCAACCCATATGCAACATTGCTCTCAACCACGGAACACCTTGTCCTTAATAAGGGAGTCTCCCCCTCAAACCCTATTTGGCAGGTCACAGTGACATTTAATGCAAGATTAGTAAGAAAAGCAAGCTAGAATTAAAGCAACTGGAGTTTCTTATTCTGAGCACTGTCCTGCATGCCTATGGTCTGACACTGCCACATGTCTGAGTCAGCAAGAGGGGGTTGAGGAGATGACGACACTCAGGCGTCCTCACAAAAGCATGGCAGCTGCTGAGTTGAGAATTTCCCAACACAGCTGCTGTAGCTCAGTACCCTTAGAACTCAAGCTAGGCTGGGCCCATGAACCCAGTCTAAACATGAGTAATATAACAAAAGAAAAGTGACATTTCAAGTATCATGCATGGGCCACACAGACCCAAATTTCTTAAGGTGGCAAGAGTGGATAAAGAAAGAAACCAGGCTGGGTGTGGTGGCTCACACCTGTAATCCCAGCACTTTGGGAGGCCAAGGCAGGAGAATTGCTTGACAGCAGGAGTTCAAGACCAGCCTGGGCAACATAACAAGATCCCATCTCTACAAAAATTTTAAAAATTAGCCAGGCCTGGTGGCACATGCCTGTAGTCCTAGCTTCTCAGGAGGCTGAGGTGAGAGGATTGCTTTAGCCTAGGAGTTCAAGGCTGCAGTGAGCTATGATCATGCCACTGCATTCTAGCCTGGATGACAGAGAGAGATCCCATCTCAAAAAAAAAAATTGTTTTAAAGAAAAACCACTGTCTGTCTTCAAAGGGAAACCCCCTGAAGTGTGCTCACAGACCGACTTAAAAGGAAAATCCCTTTGGCTCTATTCCTTCCACTGCCCACTCCCTGTGGGTAGCAAGGAGGCCTCATACCCATTACAAGAAAGGGGCCGGGCTATGGCTGTAGCACCAGAAGCAAGACAAGGGGACAGCCTGCAGGACTCAGTGGCCTGAGGAAACGAGCAGCCGTGGCGTGCTTGAGAGCACTTACTCCTCCAGGACTTTCATCTTCTCTCCTTTCTTGAAAGACAAGTCGTCCGGGTGGATGCCATCATAGGGGTACAAGGCTACCACAATGTCTCCTTGTTCCTCTGGATCTAAAGATGAACACAAGAGAACACCTGTAAGAATCCATCAGCAGAAGCGTTTTAACAAACCTCATGGGGCACAAAGGATGAGAGGAAGCACTAAGAGGGGGCAACTGGAAGAAGGACATGTGCTTCCTGCCTAGTGGGCTCAGGGTCTGCACGGCCCACAGAGAGTACCTTGCTGTATACACTGTGTCCAGTATTTGTTCTTGCAAATCACTTAAAACTAAAACTATAAATACAACTCTATATTTAAGAAATTATACACCCATGTTCACAGCAGGATTATTCAAAATAGCCAAGATGTGGAAATAATGCAAACATCTATTGATGGAGGAATGGATAAACATCATGTAGCATTTTGGTTTTTCTCTTTTGAGACGGAGTCTCGCTCTTGTCGCCCAGACTGGAGTGCAATAGTGCAATCTCGGCTCACTGCAACCTCCACCTCCTGGGTTCAAGCTATTCTCCTGCCTCAGCCTCCCCAGTAGCTGGGATTACAGGCGCCCACCACCACGCCTGGCTAATTTTTTGTGTTTTTAGTAGAGACGGGGTTTCACCATGTTGACCAGGCTGGTCTCGAACTCCTGACCACAGGTGATCTACCTAACTTGGCCTCCCAAAGTGCTGGGATTACAGGTGTGAGCCACTGCACCCGGCCAGGGCATATACTTACAAGGAAATATTATTCACTATTAGAAGGAAATAAATTCTAACACTTTCTACAGCATGGATGAACCTTGAGGACATCAGGCTAAGTGAAATAATCCAAACACAAAAGGACAATTACTGTATGATTCCACTTCTAGGAGGTACCTAGAGTAGTGAAATTCATAAAGACAGAAAGAGCGGAGGTTGCCAGCGGCTGGGGGAGGAGGCAATGGGGACTTATTGTTTAATGGGTATGGAGTTTGAGAAGATGCATTCTGGAGATGGAGGGCGGTATTGGTTGTACAACAATGTGAATGTACCTAATGCTGCTGAAATGTATACTTAAAAATAGTTAAGAGGGTAAATTTTTATGTTATATATGTCCCACAATAAAAAAAAATAAAAACATTTAGGACAATCACTTTATAGAAGCTCTAATAGTAAAGAAAAAAAATTTTAACTATGTTGCTATGAAAACATACCTTTAGTTTGAAACCTCTGTCCAGGTAAAAGCTGAGATTCTGGAACCTACGAGAGAATATTTGTTAGAAAAAAAAATTCTGTTTAGCTTTTCTTACTCACATTCGTGTTGTATATATGATTTTTGTAACAGTAGCAGATGTTAGGATGGGCTCATTTATTAAGTCAGAAAGAACAGGAGCACAGAGGGAAAAACCTGTAGAGGTGCATCCTGCCCTGCTTGGCCAGTGACAGGGCTCTTTATCACTTGCTGTGGGTGGCAGGAAGGGAGCGAGGTTCTGGGCAGGTGCCAGGTGCTCACCTCATCCTAGCTCCTCCTCTTCTTTGGTGACAGAGCCCTAATATTATTTGGGGTGGCAGTTTGCCCAGCTCAATGAGTGTGCTTCCAAACTCTCTAGCCCCGGGCAGAGGGCAGAGGGAGTTTTGGTCCGCAGATCGGTTGTGCAGGGCTTTGCTGTCAGCTCCCCTTTTCCCTTGCCTCTTTCTCTCTCCCTAGAAACAAGTGAAGGCTGGAGTCTTCACATAGAAAGCAAACACCAGCGGCAGCAGGATGGAGACGGAAGAGGTGGGACCCTGGTGATTTCGTGGAGTTGCCGTCCCAGCCTGGGACTGCCCATCTGAGGCTTCCCCAATTGTATAAAATTGCATGGTCAGGGCTCTGTCCCTGGAGGCTGAGAGCAAGTCCCATCCCATCCAGGTTTTCTTGGGCTGACCCTGACTCCATCACAGGGACAGATGGCATCCCCTGTTATTTCAGTGGGGGGGTGAGTTATTGGGAAGGATTTGGTGGCACAGAAGACCACCTCAATTACCTTTAAAATCAAATTCTTTTCTTCACAGTGCCACATGAGGCTGTGTGAGGCCTCTGGGCCTCTTGTAAGATAGATGCTGTCAGAGGCCTATACCACAAGTCATGTAACTTTTCTGTCTCTCTTTGATTAAAGTGGCTTCACAGAATGGGACCAAAACAGTTTGTACTGAAATTTAAATTTCTGATGAAAGCCCATAAAATCTCCATTTCAGTGAGACAGGGAAAATTACTACATTGTAGTACCAGAAAAACCCATGGCTGCATACTATCCTTCAAATGTTTATGTCAGGAAGTTTTATGTTGATTTTTTAGTCATTCAGATTTGCATAATTTGGATATATGATCTATTTTATGTGATTTAGAGGAAATAACTAGAAGACTAGAAACTAATTACATCATTTTAAAAGCAGCAAGCTGATTTTTCAAATTTCAAAAAGCCCTTAACTTACAAACATTTTAATATGCTTTTTATAAGACCGAAACACATGTATGCCACACATATACTATTGCTCTAGATTTTTCCTTAAAATGGCTTTTTCTAGAATGTTGTTGAATTTGCATCAACCCTACCTCACCTTCTCATCAAATTCCCCTTTTAATCAATCCATAGCGTGCATTTTGTCATATCTGGCCAGGGCTGAGAGTGTTGGTTATGGCCATGGAATAAGGCCAGGCTAACTGGCTCATGAGTGGAGGGCATCTGTGACCACAGAAGGGGCAAAAAATGGTATACAGGAGGGAATTGAAAGACTTCAAGCGTGTTTACTACTTCTGCTTTCTAACTTGATTTTTAATCCCCTTTATTTTGAACAAGAGGAAAAAGCGGTGTGTGGGTTTGCACACTATTCTCCTTGACTTTTCTGAATAAAGGACATCTTTATTCATCATTTAAAAACAAAAAACAGGCTGGGTGTGGTGGCTCACGCCTGTATTCCCAACACTTTGAGAGGCCGAGGTGGGTGAATCACCTGAGGTAAGGAGTTCAAGACAAGCCTGGCCAACATGGCAAAACCCCATCTCTACTAAAAATACAAAAATTAGCCAGGCATGGTGGTGCATGCCTGTAATCCCAGGTACTCGGGAGGCTGAGGCAGGAGAATCGCTTGAACTCAGGAGGAGGAGGTTGCAGTGAGCTGAGATGGTGCCATTGCACTCCAGCCTGGGCAACAAGAGCAAATCTCCACCTCAAAATAAATAAATGAATAAATAAGTGCAAAACGAAAAAACTTGTGTTTTAAAACCTACAAAATCTATAGCATATGGTATGAGAAAAATCAGATCTTTTTTTGAGAACTCTGATGTCTATAAGAAAACTATTTGTGACTCTAATTTCTCTTATTTTATTTTCTATTAATCATATTTATATATGATATGGTTCTATATCTGTACATACTTATGTAATGTTTCTTTCACTGCCTGTAATAGGTTTTTAAATTTTATATTTATAATCACACAATTAAATCTATTAATATTCCTATACATTTTAAGTACATATATTTTCTATATATAAAATTACAATGTTAATTTATCAAGAAACATCATGTATGATAACTTAATAGCATGATATATCCACTCTTTATCTCCACTTCCTTTTTTTTTGGAGACTCTCGCTCTGTAACCCAGGCTGGAGTGCAGTGGCGTGATCTCGGCTCACTGCAACCTCTCCCTCCCGGGTCCTGGTTCAAACAATTCTCCTGCCTCAGCCTCCCAAGTAGCTGGGATTACAGGCATGTGCCACCATGCCCAGCTAATTTTTGTATTTTTAGTAGAGATGGGGTTTCACCATGTTGGCCAGGCTGGTCTTGAACTCCTGACCTCAGGTGATGCACCTGCCTCGGCCTCCCAAAGTGCTGGGATTACAGGCATGAGCCACCGTGCCTGGCCTATCTCCACTTCTTAAGAAGACCGATGTTGATTTCTTTGTCTCAATGATGACATGTGACTTTGATACATGGCAGATATTTCCTACCTTCAGGGTAATGGGGACATATTGAGGGGAGGGCAGGCAGAAAGGTTTGATAATGGGAATATATTTCTAAAACACCTGAGCATTTAAAAACATGTCAGACTAGAGAAACTATAAAAATGCCTTTTTTTTTTTTTTTTTTTGAGACAGAGTCTCGCTCTGTCACCCAGGCTGGAGTGCAGTAGCGCAATCTCGGCTCACTGCAACCTCCACCCTCTGGGTTCAAGCAATTCTTCTTCCTCAGCCTCCCAAGTAGCTGGGACTACAGGCACGCACCACCACACCCGGCTAATTTTTGTACTTTTAGTAGAGCTGAGGTTTCACCATGTTGGCCAGGCTGGTCTCAAACTCCTGACCTTGTGACCTCCCAAAGTACAGGCATGAACCACCATGCCCAGCCTGAAAATTCTTAATAATGGGATTTGGGCTAATCTGGAATAAACTGTTTCCAGCTTAAATGCTGCAGAATTCCATAGAAAGCAGGCTATGGGTGGTATACATGTATACAGTGAGAGAATACATATATGCAAAGGATATAAGCTCGGAAATGAAGTAGATTTCAGGTTATAATTGTTCAAAGCTCTGTTCTTCCTTTCCATAAAATGTGATGTTAGTTCTTTCTTTGCCAAGTATTTCCGAAATACACCAAATAGCACATCACTCATAAAATATTTCTAGTCCAGCTATTTCTCTAAGGTTAGGGGACAGAATTAGAGGTGTTTTTCCTTAATATTTTAATTCACTAAAATAACAGATGACAACTTCAGGATCTGTACTATTTTGAATTAATTGAAGAAATGACAGGACAGGATAAAGTATGATACAACAAAAGACACATTAGCACCTATTTTAGTTTCTGACTTGCATCCCACATTTCCTTTTGCTTCTAAACCACTGAGCTAATCTCACTACATCTTTTTTTTTTTTTTTTTTTGAGACAGAGTCTTGTTCTGTCACCCAGGCTGGAGGGCAGTGGTGCAATCTTGGCTCACTGCAACCTCTGCTTCCCAGGTTCAAGCGATTCTCCTGCCTCAGCCTCCTGAGTAGCTGGGATTACAGGCGCCCGCCACTGTGCCCAGCTAATTTTTGTATTTTTAGTAGAGATGGGGTTTCACTATGTTGGCCAGGCTGGTCTCGAGCTCCTGACCTAGTGATCTGCCCACCTCAGCCTCCCAAAGTGCTGGGATTACAAGCGTGAGCCACCGCGCCCAGCCTCTCACTACTATCTTGAGTCACACAAGCCTATGTATGTATGTGTGTATATATATATATATACACACACACACATATATATATATACACACATATATATACACATATATACACATATATATATACACATATATATACACATATATATACACATATATATACACATATATATATACACATATATATACATATATACACATATATACACACACACATATATATGTGTGTGTATATATATATAGTGGGGTCTTTGCACCAGTAATATGAAAGATGGCTTTCTTCACACAAAAGAATGTGACCAAAGGCCCTTTTAATTGCACAATGAGTGGCCTAGTTATCCCTAAAATATTTATACATTCTTCAAAGGATAAAGTTACAAAGCATATCAAAAATTATTTGAGGACCAAGTAATCAATGGAATTTTTTTGCATGCACATATTACAGACTGGTGTTTAAATTATGTAGCCATGCTTTGATCTTGCTGTGGGAATTCTCCCCTGAGACTATCTACTTACTGGCCTTTGCTGTTTATTGGACGTTGGATCTCTCACATAAATAGTTCTTTCAGTATTACGTACTGGTTGAGTCTTCAAATCTACTCCATCGTCACTCAAGCTGTCTTTCCCTTTTGATTTTATACATCCCATATTTCCTGTTGAAACATAAAAGTAATGACATTGTTTTACCATTCCAGAACTGCTTCAAGCCATCAAAATGTCTCCAATAAAAAAGAGTAGAAAAAATATACTTTTATTCTTTATCATATATAGATTAATAAACTCAAAGTGAATACTGTTCCCAAATAGGTTTGCCTGTCCATTGATTCACTCAACAAATATTTATTGAGCATTAATTTTCCATCACCCAGACAAAATCCAGCTCTAACTCTGCTCGTATTCTTGTGGCAAAGATGTGTAAAGACTCGATGACAGAGGACCCACAGGATCTAAGAAAGGACATGTAACTCAGGCAAGAGGAAAAGGAGGTGGTCAGGGAAAGCTTCCTAAAGGAAATGCTCTGTGAGTTGAAATGGGCGGGATGGCAGCCAGTTTGCAAAGTCAGCAAAGAGATTCCAGGAAGAAGAAACTTCATATGCAACCACCATGAGCTCAAGATAACATGGCCCCTTCAGAGAGCTAGATCAACCTAATCTCTTCAGAAAATGAGCTCTATCTACAACACTAAACACTGCAGTCAAGGAGCAGGTAGGGAAGGTCAGGAGTCAGGGCCAGAGAGGGAGGCACATGCTGGATGTGAAGCTGAGTGGTTGATTTTTTACCCTGAAGACAAATGACACATCCAATCTGCAGTGTGCAAGGTGGAGTGGGGTGGGGGGCCTTGAGACTTCAAGGGCAGGTGATGAAGAGCTAGAATCTGCAGAACCTGGCTCCAGCTAAACATAGGTAGGGGCCTAGGAAGATGGCCTGGCTTTCATCAAGACTGGAAATGAATTGAGGAAACACACTTATGGGAGAGAAGATACTTATGAAAACATTCAGATGATCAAATCCAGTAGGGCTACTGAGTAAGCTACTTGAGTCAGGAAACCAGGAGTACTAGCGCAGGTAAAAGCAAAATGACGGTCTCCGCAAGCCATGCTAGGACAGTGGAGGAAAGCCACCATGGCAAGAAGGGGGCTGGTGCCTGACCAGGGCAGAACAACACACGGTGCACATCTAAACATGAACTCTGTCATCCAGTGATTCCATTAACGCAGGACGGCTGAGCACTACACACGCACTCTGGGGACTGCAAAGGTGATTTTGAACATTTGAATCAGACACAGTTCTTGTCTTACAGTATTGGGTCAAATCTATGCATTAAAAACAAAACAGCCGGGCGCGGTGGCTCAGGCCTGTAATCCCAGCACTTTGTGAAGCCAAGGAAGGCGGATCACGAGGTCAAGAGATGGAGACCATCCTGGCCAACATGGTGAAACCCCATCTCTACTAAATATACAAAAATTAGCTGGGCGTGGTGGCACACGCCTGTAGTCCCAGCTACTCGGGAGGCTGAGGCAGGAGAATCGCTTGAACCCGGCCCGGGGAGGGTGCAGTGAGCCGAGATCGCGCCACTGCACTCCAGCCTGGGCGACAGCAAGACTCCGTCTCAAAAAAATAATAATAATAAATAATAAAAAAATAAAATCTCACAAACTTCATTAGAAGTTGGTTCTCACCGAACAGATTCTCTGGACACTGTCCGGGAAACTCTTCTGGGGCACAGTGGGAGCATGCTGCTCCCCATGTGATGTGTAATTCTGAAGCACTGCCAAATCTGGTGCCTAGGGCTTAGAGTTAAGTCTAGAGGAAGGAGAGATGACAGGAGTTTGGGGAAGGGGGAGAGGTGGTGTGACTAGGCAATATCTCGTGGGGGAGGAATTGTACTAAGAAACCTCAAGAGCTCTTCTGGGAACTCGGCCCTCTCCGGCATCGCTGCCACGCGTCCAGGCCTGCGTTTTTTCCTGCAGGCTTCCAATTGGTCTAGGAACTTCAACTTGTTTATCATTTCATTACTTGAGGTATGAAGCCTCTAAAGAGCAGCCACACCTCTTTCTGAAACTAGCGAGCTGCAGTTCCCAAAATAAAGGGGAAGCAAGTACTTCTTTGATTCAAAACAGCACATTTTTTAATACGCTAAAGTTTCTGAAATGGCCATGGGTTTAGAGTTGATCTCTAAGTAAGCATGGGAGTTCTTTTTTCACCAGTCTCATCCCTCCCACGCCCCGTCACCCTCCCCGAAAAAGCGGTGTTTAACTCACCATCCCTTAAAATCGTGCTTTACAAATGGGCAAATACGTTAATAGCAGCACGAGGACCCTGCGCACGCCGCGAGCTCCGGGGCAGGAGCCCTGCATGGGTGCGGCCAACCCACAGCGCACCGGGCCGCTCGATCCAGCTCCCTCCCAGCACGGACCGAGCCCTGACTGAGCTGTGCCACAACCAGGGCACAGGGAATCCCCTGTCCCCCCCCCACTGCGTTCCTGCAGTTCCCCTGCCCTCGCTGCTCGCTCCAGCGTTCTCTCTCTCTCTCTCTCTCTCTCTTCTCTTGGGAAAAGGAAGGACGGAAACAAAAAGCAGGTGGATGTGGGTGGGGTGGTGACATCCAAGACAGGAAGATCGATAGATGGCCATTTATTTATGCTTAATTTCTTTCCACCATTGTCATGGATAATTTAACATCGAATGTATGCACTGTAAATGAAAAAATTAAAGCCACGTGGAGAATTAGCATGGCCTCACTGCTCAGGCACAGCTGATCTCTGCTCACAAAGTGTTTGGGGTCCCCCATTCAGACACTCTCCCACCAGAAACCTCAACAGAGGTCCTCCATGTGACATGGGGATGAGCAACCCAAACTCAGAACAGGTCTTGCAATTCCTTATGCTGTATGAAAGTACCAGAAATGTAGAAAATACAATATACTCCTGACAAAAACTGAGAGTGGTTACATGTTCCAAGTGATATGAGCTACACTTTACAATGATTTCCACCTTAGTATTCTTCTATTACACATTTATAATATATTGAGCATCTCATTTAATCCTTGAAGAAACCATACGGCCAGATGACTTTACAGAGGAGAAAACTGAGGCTCAGAAAGGTTAAAAGACTCGCGCACAGCATAGCTGGGAGGGGTGAGGCTAAGACTCACTCACACAGGAGTGCGCTCTCAAGTCTAAGTCATAAGCTAAGTCTACAGCCTGGGCTCTTACCACTTTGCCATACAATGGGTATTTTGAAATGCATGTTTCATCTATTTATTAACAATGCCAAACAAAGAGATTATTTTTATAGGCTACCTCTTTCTCAGAGAAAAAAAGCTTTAAAATGTTTTACCACAAAAGAGTCAATAATGAAGTTAATAAAATAAAACCAGAAAACCAGAGCCAAGGCAATGAGAAAAATGCGAATGTGGTAACATTGTAGGGAACAGGTCTGCTGTAACTGACCTGCACATTTGCCCTAGGTTTTCTGGCAAGAAGGGCCAGGGACGTCATGAGTCACAGCAGGAGAGAGGAAGCAGACCAGGTTCCTGATGGGAATGTGTGTCCCCAACAGGAATTCCAAGTTTGCTTATAATGCACTTTATATCAAGTGCTGTGGATGATGTAGTCAGCAGTGCCTTCAAAACCATTTTTTGAACAGTAAATAAAGACATATTTTATGCGTAGAGAATTTGGTTAAAACAAGATAGTAACTGAGGCTTTGACATGCAAATACAACTCTAGTCTGTTCATTGCAAAAGTTTTACAATATGGTCTAAAGAGACACAAACGGCCAGGCAGCCTTTTGATTACAAAGCAACACCCACTGACCCATCCAGAAAATGTGAGGCTGGAGATTTCTCTTTCTATAAAGTCTTTCTTTCATTGGAATGAATATCCATTAGGGGTGGCTCATCCTCATTCAAGAGCCTTAGAATATTAGAAGAGTGATTTTAATCCCTCTTTTATTTTATTCCCAGACTCTGGGATAATTTTTTGGTTTTTAAAAATCACTCTTACCTTGGCCAGGTGTGGTGGCTCACAAGTGTAATCCCAGAACTTTGGGAGGCCGAGGCGGGTGGATCATCTGAGGTCAGGGGTTCGAGACTGGCCTGGCCAACATGATGAAACTCTGTCTCTACTAAAAAACACAAAAATTAGCCGGGTGTGGTGGCACCCGTCTGTAGTCCCAGCTTCTCAGGAGCCTGAGGCAGGAGAATCCCTTGAGCCTGGGAGGCAGAGGTTGCAGTAAGCCAAGATTGTTGTGCCACTGCACTCCAGCCTGGGTGACAGAGCAAGACTCCATCAAAAAAACAAAACAAAACAAAACAAAACTCACTCTTACCAGAGGCAGTAGGGTTTTGGTTTCATAAAATCTAGCAATGCCTTACCATTATCCAGCTGTTCAACAAAGATGCAATCTTGCATTGGAATTCCACTTCTTGAAATTTGTTCTTTAAATACACTGCACAGGGGCATAAGGATGTTCCCGCTAGCATGACTTATAGTAGAGACAATCTAGATGTCCTCATTAGGGGTTAGTTCTTTAAGTTAGAACAAAGTGACACATTATGAGTGGGTTAAAAAGAGAGATTTGTATATTTGGACATTCTTAATCAAACAATCAAGAATTGCTGATTGAAAAAATTATATATACATATTTAAATTAGGCTGTTGCAAAAGTAATTGCGGTTTTTGCCAATTACTTTTGCACCAACCTAATATATGTACACAATCCATATATATGTATATATATTTAATGTCCACAGGAAAAAAATCTAAGAGGACATCCACCACCTTGTTGGTTAGGTTCTAAAGTCCACTTGTGAGGTAAAAGATCCTGTATAGAAATTTTGTATTGAAATTCCTAAAGAAGACACTATACAATTCACAACATATTCTGAAGTAAGGACTATGGAGTTGGATTGCTGAAGTCAACTGCTGGGTCTATTGCCTGACTTTGCAATATCAACTGGTCACCCACCTAAAGCAAACAGAGTAGCTATAAATGTCTATGAGGGTCAGAGACAAAAGACGTGGGGGGTAGAAAAGGGATAAACACGTATGTGCCTACTTTGTCCCTGGTACTTTGTGTATGAGGAAAGTAAAACCCAGAGATGAACCTGTGCTAGGTAATCAAAGGTCTCAGGTACAACCGGAACTTGGTCTGGCTTCAAAGCTGTACTTTTTCTTTTTTTGTTGCTTTTATTATTTTTAATGTATTATTTCTTTGTGTTGGGAACATTCAAAATTTGCTCTTCCGGCTATTTGGAATATACAATACATTGTCTTTAATTATAGTCACCCTACAGTGCTGTAGAACCTAGAATCTATTCCTTCTATCTAAAAGCTGCACTTCTTTTTTGTTTGTTTGTTTTTTGAGATGGAGTCTCACTCTGTCACCCAGGCTGGAGTGCAATGGCGCGATCTCTGCTCACTGCAAACTCTGCCTCCCGGGCCCAAGCAATTCTTCTGCCTCAGCCTCCCAGGTAGCTGGGATTACAGGTGCCCACCACCACACCTGGCTAACTTTTGTGTTTTTAGTAGAGACAGGGTTTCACCATATTGGCCAGGCTGGTCTCGAACTCCTGACCTCAGGTGATCCTCCCACGTGAGCCTCCCAAAGTGCTGGGATTATAGGAATGAGCCACCACGCCCAGCCTAAAAGCTGCACTTCTTTACTGATGCAAGGTCTTGCTGCCTTTCTGTGGAGGAAGCTCCAGATCCATGAGTTTTCTGAATTAGAGAGCTTAGAAAGACATGAGGAAGAGAAAGGAAGCCTGGGGAAATAGAGGTGGGTGGTGTCTATCTGAAACAAAAGTGATCTTGAGTTTCAAATTAGGTCCAAGACTGGTTCAAGCATCATTTATAGGAATTCGTCCCTAAAAGTATGTTCCCTACACACTTGCATTCCAGTATCAGTTCTATAACTCAAGAGATTTACTTTGCCCACCAACACAGAAACCTTTAGATACCCTTTAATTGTCCTTCTTACTTTACTTTCGGAAAGGAGACTCAGATTAGAGAAACAAAGTCTTCAGAAGAGTTGAATGCTTTCTCCAAACTGCTTATCAAAGTGACATGGGGACACAATAGCCTGGTTGGCAGCCTCAACAGTGCTGGAGAGACTTGGTGAGGGCACTAGCACTAAGCTCCACCACCAACTCCATTAATTCCCAACTCAAGCAGTTCAGTCTTGCATCAATTTTCCCAAATTCCTGTTTTTTTTTTTTTTTTTTTGGATGGAGTCTCCCTCTGTTGCCCAGGCTGGAGTGCAGTGGTGCGATCTCGGCTCACTGCAACCTCTGCCTCCTGGGTTCAAGCGATTCTCCTGCCTCAGCCTCCTGAGTAGCAAGTAGTGGGGACTACAGGCGTCCGCCACCAAGCATGGCTAATTTTTGTATTTTTAGTACAGACAGGGTTTCACCATGTTGGCCAGGCTGGTCTCCAACTCCTGATCTCAGGTGATACACCCGCCTCGGCCTCCCAAAGTGCTGGGATTACAGGCGTGAGCCACTGCACCCAGCACCTAAATCACTTTTAAAAGAGAGAGAACTGAAAAGGACCTAGCCAGACCGTCTTTATTTAAACAACTAAGATTTTTTGCCTTACATACCATGGTCATTATTTTCAAACATTCTCCAATATTTTTCCTCAATAAAATCTCCCAGCAGCCAGGGTGGGCACAGTTGGTGAGCTGGTAACCCGGGCTGGCCAAGCTGCATAGCACGGCTTTCTCTATCTGACCAGCCTGCAACATAAGGCCCTACTTAAGGCTTTTTCAGTTTGCTTTTGTTTTTGTTTTTTTTCTTTAGGCAACCTAACATTATGAATGTAACTCCCTAAGGTTTAAATGTCATGTGTAATAGGAACAGTGTTTGGGGGCAATTAAGGCAATGCTGTTTCGGTGCCGGGAATCCCTCAGATCACAGAGCTGCCTCCATGGTGTGGGCGTCACCTCTAGGCTATGACCATGGCCCGTGGAGCTGCTTCCGTCCATGGTGTGGGCATCACCTCCACCACAGAGCTGCTTCGATGGTTAGGTGTCAGCTCCTGTCTGTGACTAAGGTGAGCCATCAGGCTCCCCCTAGAAGGGAGGAGGATATGATTTAGGAGAAGTGAGAAAGAGGTGTCTGAAGGAGTGTTGGAAAGAGTAAAGACTGGGATAGAACCTGTGTCCAAGGTGCCTGCCAGCCTCCATTCACTTTGACTATTGAGGGTCAATTGGGAAAGGGGGGTGAGGTGGGAAGTGGGTTTAAGACTAGCTAGCTAGTTACAGGGTGCACCCCCCTCAACACAGGAGGGATGTCTCTGGGTCTGAATAAGGAGTTGGCTCTTCTCTTCTCTTCATGTCTCATGCAGGGTTGAGCACTGAGGAAAGGGGTGTCAAGACAAAACAGCCAGATGCTGTCCCAGGGCTCCCCTCATTCTGCCTGTCAAGGTTTCCAGGAGATCCACAAGTTTCCCAGTTGCATGCACTTGCACGGTGGGTGTCCATTTAACATCCCTCGAATCAGCAGTGCCCAGTCAAATCTTAGCGGGCCGGTGAACGGCATACACAGAATATGGAGAGAACCTATGGCTTCTTTCTACCAAACAGCACAGCAGCAACCCTGTACCTACCTAAACACAAGATTGCAAAGGAGTAGCGGGTAAGAAGAAGAAACAGTAATGATGGAAGACAGACTACATTTGAAAAGATTCAAACCCTGTTGGCAAACTTAAGCTGTTTGCCAACTTCTTTTTATCTTCTGTTTGCTGTGTTTACCTGATTTGAAGCTCCTTCTTTTTTTTTGAGACGGATCTCGCTCTGTCGCCCAGGCTGGAGTGCAATGGCACAATCTCGGCTCACTGCAACCTCTGCCTCCTGGGTTCAAGCGATTCTCCTGCCTCAGCCTCCTGAGTAGCTGGGACTACAGGCGCTCGCCACCATGCCTGGCTAATTTTTGTACTTTTAGTAAAGATGGGGTTTCACCATATTGGCCAGGCTGGTCTCGAACTCCTGACCTTGTGATCCGCCCGCCTTGGCCTCCCAAAGTGCTGGGATTACAGGTGTGAGCCACTGCGCCTGGCCAAAGCTCCTTCTTTATTATTTGCCACAAGACATAAGCACAGCCGTAGGTAGACCCAGGGTCATCTAGTTATCCACAATGTGAAGGGGCAGCAGCACTGGGCACAGTTTTAATCACTGCATTTACTAGAATGTTTCCAGAAAAGAATTGCAAGACAATTAAAGAGGTATATGGAAGATTGGCATCTAGAACAGAGAAACTGAAAGGGAAATGTGGCTCTGCCTGGAAGGGAGTGCAAAGAGGATAATGAGACAGTGTTGAACTCAGGAAGCCTGTCTGTGGAGTCCAGCCTTGACAGTCCTGTAATTATCGACAAAACCACTCTTTTCTCTGGACTGTAATTGCCTCACCATAAAATGAAATCACTGGGCTTGGCATGAGAGGATAAGTGATACAATCTTTAACTTGACAGTACATATTAAACTCCGTTAGAATGTACACACTTCTTAACCCAACATGACCACTTCTTGGAATAAATTACTTATAAGAAAATAACTGGGGGCTACACAAAGTTCTATACAAGAGAATACTTATTGTGGGACTGTTTGGAATACCATATAGAAATAGGCTTGTTTGTCAAATTATAGGTCACTGGTTAAATAAATGCAGATCAGCTCTCAAAATTCACATCACCAAAGCCAGTTCTGTGAGGGTTTTCAACTTACAAGATGATCAGTTCACCAAAATTGGTATCTTTTAATTATTTCAGATTTACGTAATGTCATATTAGATGGGATAGTTTTAACAGCTTAAGTTTATAACAGTTGGTATTAGTTGTGGTGCTTTCATAGCTTAAGAGTATAGTAATTCTTTTTTAAAAATAATTTCAACTTTTATTTTAGGTTCAGGAATACATGTGCAGGTTTGTTACATGGGTATGTTGCAAGATGCTGAGGTTTGGGGTACAGATGATCCCACCATCCAGGTAGTGAGCATAGTACCAAATAGTTTTTTGGTGAATGTCTCCCCTTCTCCCTCCCCCACTTTAGTAGTCTCCCGTGTCTATTGCTCCTATCTTTACATCCATATGTATTCAATGCCTAGCTCCCATTCATAAGTGAGAGCCTGCAATTTGGTTTTCTGTTCCTGCATTAATTCACTTAGGATAATGGCTTCCAGCTGCATCCATGTTGCTGCCCAGGACATGATTTCATTTTTTATGGCTGTGTAGTATTCCCTGGTATATAAATGCGAGTATAATAATTCTTATCAAATATAATTGTTTTAGGCCTGGTGTGGTGGCTCATGCCTGTAATCCCAGCACTTTGGGAGGCCCGGGCAGGAGGATCACCTGAGGTTAGGAGTTCGAGACCAGCCTGGCCAACATGGCGAAACCCTGTCTCTACTAAAAATACAAAAATTAGCCAGGCGTGGTGGTGCATGCTTGTGATCCCAGCTACTCAGGAGCTGAGGCAGGAGAATTGCTTGAACTTGAGAGGTGGAGGTTGCTGTGAGCCAAGATAGCACCACTGTACTCCAGGATGGGCAAAAGAGTGAGGCTCCATCTAAAAAAAAACAAAAACAAACAAACAAAAAATATATATATAATTGTTTTAAAAGATTTTGACAAATGTTCTATTTTTTAGAAAGCTAAGGATTATTGAGTCTTCTTAGAACTATATTAATCTGTCACTAGTAATTAGTAGCTTAAGTTTAATGTGAGATATGGTTGTTTCTGTAGTTTCCTAATTCACTTCTTGCTTTACCTCTCCTTACATTTTTAGAATTTTAATTTTTAAAAAATTCTTCAACCTTAATGTCATCTTTTATTACATTTGAGATTCAAGTCTTCTGCTTCTTTCTGGTATCCCTATGCACAGGAACACTTCCTTTCCTTATTTCAGGATGGTTCTATCCTTTCAACTCAAATGGTTTTGCAAACAGCTGCCAGGTTAACACATCCTAATTTCACCTTCTCAGAAACTAAAGTTTAAGCATGTCATATGTGTTGGAAATGATTTGGTCACTTACAATTTCTTTTTGAGGCTTATAAATTTAAATTTTATTTTTTCTAATTGCAGAAACAATGTTGATATGTCATTTGAAGAACTAGCAAAAGCACATTAAAAATGCATAAAGTTTTTTAAATAAAAATAATATTCAAGTAGTTAAAAGAAACAAGTCTTCTGGTACGGTGTAACATTTGAGAAAACATCAAATTGCCCTTCTGGTAACTGGCTTTTGGAAAATTGATCTAGAACATGATACTTCAACACAAAAGAATACTAAGTGACTATTAAATTTTAATACATATATATTTATTGACATAAAAAGATATTCACAATATATTTAAGTGAAAAAATGTAAAAACAGTATATATAGCATGATATCATTTTGTGAGGGAAAAGGTACAAATGAATAGAAAAAAGTCTGAAAAGAAATAGGCTAAACTACCGCAATGTTCATCTACAGCTATTTTTGGTTTTGCCCTTGCAAATTTTTAATTTTCCCATCATATATACCTTATTTAAAAGGTATATT
This sequence comes from Homo sapiens, assembly GCF_000001405.40. Classification (NCBI taxonomy): domain Eukaryota; kingdom Metazoa; phylum Chordata; class Mammalia; order Primates; family Hominidae; genus Homo; species Homo sapiens. Next base: position 55,931,466 of record NC_000008.11, on the reverse strand, counting down.
TTATATACATATATGTATAATTTTATATATGTATAAAATCAGAGTTTCGAGGCCCTTAGGTTTTGTGCTCAGTTCCCCTTAGTCTAAAATTTTAAAAATGTTTTCCATTGTGTACAAATTATGTATACAAGTATCAATGTATTTTATTATAATACATAATACATAGACAAGTTATACATGTACATATAGTACAATAGGTAAACAATATACATATTTATGTACAACATAAGGTTATGTATAGGATACATTACATATAATATGTGCTATGTACGAGTTACATATTATATTTTAAAATATAATATATTTTATTTAAAAATATAATATATTTTATTATATATAAAAAGTAACATATACAAGTTATATATATATAACTTATATATATATACACACACGTATATGTATATGACAGAAAAATAAAAAAGTTTTTAAAATTTTGAAGCAAAATAAGATAATCTGAACCCATGGCCTAAGGTCCTTCAAACTCTAATTGTCCGTGGGAGTAAGAACTTAGAGAGTAGCCATGCATGGGGGCTCACATCTCTAATCCCAGTGCACTGGAGGCCAAGCTGGGAGGATTACTGGAGCCTAAGAGTTTGGGGCTTCAGTGTGAGGTAAAAGAAACAGGCCCTGCCAAGGTCCTGGGATGAGCTGATGGCCACAGCAGGAGCTGGTATGACCGGAATGAAGCCAGCAGGGGGAGGAGGAAGAGGCAAGACCAGGTCTTGGTCCCCCATCAACATGCTGCAAGAAGCCTCCACCACGTGCCGCATCCCCATTTGCATAACTCTTAGTTGAGCAATTTCACACAGAGGAAGACAACAGGGCATTGCTGAAACAAGTGGGGTTTTTTGGTTTTGTTTCTCTTAACAATAAAAGGGAACACTATGAAAACAAGATGAGCTCATGGAAACTTACGTAAGGTAGGGAAATAGACCATTTAAAGGACCAGAAGGGGACATTCAAAGCAGAGTCTGAATTATGTATATCCAGCCAACCAAGGAGAGTTATTAAACATCAACTTTGTTTCCAGATTCAGATTTTTATGATCAACAATCCAGCCACCCATATTCAGAAATACATATAATAGTGTATTTATGTCCCACTTTAAGAGTTGTCAGCTTATCTAAATGCATGTAACATAATAGAAATTATTATGAAATTACAAAAAAGTGAAACTCAGCTCAAGACACCTAAAAGAAGTGGAATGTTGTATCACACCATAAGCTTCTGCTGCTTATTAGCTATAGATGGCAAATCATCAGGAGTCTAGGTTAGCTAGAGCAGTGGTCCCCAACCTTTTTAGCATCCGTGACTGGTTTCATGGAAGGCAATTTTTCCACAGAGCGGGGTCAGGTGGGGGGTGGTGGTTTCAGGATGAAACTGTTTCACAAGGAGCACATAACTTAGATCCCTCACATGTGCAGTTCACGATGGGGTTCACGCCCCTATGAGAATCTACTATGGCGCTGATCTGACAGGAGACAGAGTTCAGGCAGTAATGCTTGCTCAACTGCTGTTCACCTCCTGCTGTGTGGCCCAGTTCCTAACAGGCCACAGACCAGTACCAGTCCATGGCCCAGGGGTTGGGGATGCCTGATCTAGAGGACAAGGCAAAGAGGAAAACATATCCATGGATATAAATAAATCTGCTTCTCTACAACAGGGTTTGTCAACCTCAGCACTACTGACATTTCAAGCCAGAAAATTATTTGTTCTAGAGGACAGTTCTGTGTATTGTAGGATACTTAGCAGCATCCTTGGCCTCTACCCACTGGATGCCAGTAGCACCTCTCCAGGCCTCCCAGCTACCAGTTGTGACAACCAAAAATGTCTTCAAACATTGCCAAATATCCCCTTATGAAAGCTTCATGCCAGGAAATCTGATGTTTTAATTGCTGGTAATAACTCAATTATTGATATTTTCTGTTACAGATTGGGGCAAAATATGCTTTCTTACTCATTCATGAATGTTAAGTTTAATATCCTGTTATAAAATGTAAAGGACATAACCAGAAATCACATCTGCCACTATGCCTGTACACACACAGACAGACACAAAGACACATACACAGATCTGGTAGCTGTTGAAACAGATCCAGAGATTTTCTATGAGAAAAGCATCATCCCGACTGTATTCTTAGTCTCACTAAGTCTTAGTCTCACTTAGTCTCACTAATCTCACGCAGTAAAGATGGAAGAAACAGTAAGAAGGATCTATTCTACGGATCCCTGCTTCTCATGAGGAAACTAAGAGTCAAAGACAAACCAAGATTAGCTACAAATAGATTTTATCTTCACTGAAAGTAACAAAAAGACTCAGTACATATGAATAGAATAAACAGCCCAGAAATAGAACCACACAAATATAGTCAACTGATCTTTCAAAAAGAGCAAAGACAATTCAACACTGAAAGGATATTTTTTTCAATAAGTGGTACTGGAACAACTGTATATCCACATGTAAGTAAATAAATAAGTATGTAAATAAATAATCTAGACCCGGATCTTACATCTATTACAAAAATCAACCCAAAATGAATCACAGACCTAAAGGAAAAACAAAAAACTATAAAACTCCTAGGAGATAACATAGGAGAAAAGCTAGATGACCTTGGGTTTGGTGATGACATTTTACATACAACATCAAAATGATCCATGATCATGAAAGAAAAAATGATCCATGAAAGAAAAAATGATCCATGAAAGAAAAAATTATAAATTGAACTTCATTAAAATCTAAAACTTCTGCTCTGTGAAAGACACTTTCTTAAGAAAATAAAAAGACAAGCCACAGATTAAAATAAAATCTTTGCAAAATATATATCTAATAAAGGAATGGTATCTGAAATAGACAAAGAACTCTTAAAATCAATAATAAGAAAACAAACAACCTGATTTTTAAAATGGGCAACAGATCTGAATAGACACCTCACCAAAGAAGAGCTACAGATGGCAAATAAGTACATGAAAAGATGCTCCATATCATATGTCACCTGGGAATTGCAAATTAAAGCAACAATGGGCCCTGCGTGGTGGCTCATGACTGTAATCCCAGCACTTTGGGAGGCCAAGGTCGGCGGATCACCTGAGGTCAGGAGTTGGAGACCAGCCTGGCCAACATGGTGAAACCCCATCTCTACTAAAAATACAAAAACTAGCCGGGCGTGGTGGCGCTTGCCTATAGTCCCAGCTACTCCAGAGGGTGAAGCATGAGAATCACTTGAACTCAGGAGGCGGAGGTTGCAGTGAGCTGAGATTGCACCACTGCTTTCCAGCCTGGGCAACAGAGCGAGATTCTGTCTCAAACAAAACGAACAAACCAAGCAACAATGAGATATACTCTACTACTATATACCTATTAAACAGGAAAAATCTAAAACACTGACTACACCAAATGCTGGCAAAGAGGCAGAGCAACAGATACTCCAATTCATTGCTGGGGAACATAAAATGACCCAACCATTCTGGAAGACAGTCTTGCAGTTTCTTATAAAACTAAACAATACCCTTACCATATGACCCAACAACTGTGCCCCTTGATTTTTACCCAAGTGAGTTGAAAACGTATGTACACACAAAAACCTGCACATAGATGTTTATAGCAGCTTTCTTTCTTTTTTTTTTCCCCCTTGGGACAGAGTCTCGCTCTGTCACCCAGGCAGGGGTACAGTGGTGTGATCTTGGCTCACTGTAACCTCTGCCTCCCAGGTTCAAAAAATTCTCCTGCCTCAGTCTCCTGAGTAGCTGGGCATTACAGGCACCCGCCACCACACACAGCTAATTTTTGTATTTTTAATAGAGACAGGGTTTCACCATGTTGGCCAGGCTGGTCTCGAACTCCTGACTGCAAGTGATCCGCCTGCCTCTGCCTCCCAAAGTGCTGGGATTACAGACGTGAACCACCGCACCTGGCCAGCAGCTTTATTCCTAATTGACAAAACTTGGAAGCTACTGAGATGACCTTCATTAGGTGAATGGATAAATAAAATATTTATCCATTTTATATCCAGACAACAGAACACTATTCAGTGCTTAAAAGAAATAAGCTATCAACCATGAAAGGACATAGAGGAACCTTAAATGCATATTACTAAGTGAAAGAAGCCAATCTGAAAAGGCTACATACTGTGTGATTCCAACCGTATGACACTCTGGAAAAGGTAAAACTATGGAGACACTAAAAAGATCAGTGGTTGCCAGA